>NC_000005.10:128859807-130109807 GCF_000001405.40 Homo sapiens | reverse complement strand
ATCCAGCTCTGGGCAAGTCCTTGATAATTGTCAGATTCCAACCCCATGTCAAATCCCCACCTAATATTTCCCGATATTCATCTTCAAAGTAGTAAATATGCACTTAAAAAAAAAATTACTCTCCTCAGAATAGGAAAGTGTGTTCTTTAAGGAAGAAGCAAAGGTGCAGCTCTCTCTCATGAAATGCTCCTTATATTCTATATTGATGAGAAAAATACTAGAACTCCTGAAATTTTAAAATTGAGAAAAAATTTAAGCCTAACAATTGTGTGTTTTGTAGATGTGTAAAGATTTTAGAAGTTCTCCTTGCTGAAATTAGCTTCTAATGTATTAATTTTTTTTCTCTTACTTACAACATTTTAGTTGAGAACTTTCTAACCTACCAAGGTATCCATTTTGCCTTGGTAGGGTCACAGTGTTTTCAATCCTCCTCTGCTACTTTCAATAGGAGATCACCCCCTAGTGGAAATGAAGTAGAAAGTATGGCATTTTTGTGCTTCTCTAGTGAAAATTTAAAGGAAATCTATGTCTCTTAAAATGATATTAATACTATCAAGCAAAATCTAAAGAGGCAATTTTGTAAGCAACAAAGATTTCTAAGTTACAATGAGTCCCTATTTGCATAAGAATATATTAACGGTTTTAAAGTTTCTTGGACCTTTATCCTAATTCACAAATTATTGTCTCTTTCCATTAGAACTTTTATTTCATTTCCTTATTTTTAGACACTGATGTGCCTGTAAATGTAAACTATAGAACATGACTGAAGTAATTTGCAATCTTCTTTCTGTTTAAGAAACTTGAGGGCTTCATATGTCTTCATAGTCAAATGGATAATACCCATGCTTTAGACTATTTTGGTCCATTTTCAGAAGAAATGTTATACAAAATATAAAATATTAGTATTTGCCTTATATTTAATAGATGCAATACAAAAGGACTATTCTGGGTGCTTGACATGTTATTCAATTAATAAACCTATAAAATACTTGTGGATAAAATGCTTAACTATTGTTTCCATTTGTGCATCTGCTTTGAAGTTGATAATATAGCATGTGAATGTTCTAATGAAAAGCCTAAGTGTGAATGCAGTCATTTTTTTAAATGCTGTAAAAACTTTATCACATTTTAAAATCAAAACCAATAAATTCAACCTCATCTTTGATAAAACCTTCCAATAACTAATCATAACCGCATATATGGGATTGTGCTTTTATGATAATATAACTTTTTGACAAAGCATTACAATCCAAATGATTGTCAGTTTTGCATTTTTCTACCATTTCATGAAATCTTGATTACAATTATTTCTGAAAGAATAAAACCTCAATCTTAGGTAAATGGCAAATTGCCACTTAAGTTAGCCAAAGGAGAAGTTATTTATTTGTATTAAGTACTTTGCACAGACTCTGGATGGCCCTATACAATTTATAATATGTGATATATACAATAATATAAAAATATAAAACACTAACGCAGGAGGATAATTTTTTGAAAGGGCTCTCTGGAATTATGCATGGAAATGCCAATATGAGCTTGATGTTTAGATAACTTCAAACATAACACTAACATTTAAGTATTTATATATGTGTATTTTCATGATGTAAAAAGTTTTGCATCATAAACTGATTAAATTGCCATCAACTAGAGTGTATAAATTATAGAGTTAGGCAAGAATATTAATTCCTGCCCCACCTACCTTACAAGACCATTGGTAGCACCACAATTAAAAATATATATGAAAGTGCTTTGTAAATTATAAGCAATTATAAAATTGTCAGATGTGTTATGCTTACAGTTGGTTGATAAATTATTTTGATAATAAAAATGTTTTTCGTTGTAACATACTGAAGGATTCTATCAGCCATATGAAAAAGAGTGTTAGACACTGAAGCAAATATAACCCCTTAGCTATTCTGCTCTGAAAAGAGGTAATAAGCTAGAAGAGAGAAGAATTAAGCAGCCAACTGATTTGAGTGATTGTGGGGCAGGGTGGAGAGGATAGAGCTTGCTTTGCAGGCATGATACCAATAATTAGACCTAATTATTAAACTGAACTGACTTGATTGATCAAATACCACTAAGTTTTACTTTGTATCTATTCTGTGTAGTCAAAGGCCTGCCTGCCAGGGCCTGTCAATAAGTTGGCAGAACAGATTTTGACAATAAACATGTAATACTACAAAGAGTGAAGTTAGGGCTGTCTAAGCTAACAGCACATTTGCAAAAGTGGTATATGTATGTATAAAGCAGAAGGAAAACAACTCATTTTCAAATTTATTTTAATATAAGTACCATTTCCTCTATATATATTAAAATAAATTTGAAAAAGTATATATATAGACGAACACACACACACACACACTAGCCCCGTAAGGAATACTTAATTATTCAGTAAAAGAGACTCAGAGCAAGTCACCTTCGTTGTTAAATATATACTACTCTTTTGCTGAGTAATGTGGAACTCCACATTACTATTGTTAACGTTAGCTATAGTAACATTGTGAAGAAGGTCAGGAGAATTTACCCTTTACATAATGCTTGGATGGCAAAACTGCAAATTAGATCAGTTTTATTTCTGTTTTTATAGGTGAAGAGTAAAGAATGAAGGCTCTGATCAAATAATACAAAATTATACAAGCAAGAATCATTTTGCTTTGAAAAGCACATTAACTGAAGCAATTATTATCAATGTTATGTTAAATAATCATATTAATAAACTTAGTTACCCATATTTTAGTAAACAAACTAAGATTCTCAATAAATTGAGAGTAAATCCAGAAATAGAGACTTACAGTGACAAAATGAGAATTGTTAATTAAATGTCATTCATTCTCAACTCTTCAAAGCATAACAAATTGTCAAAAAGGTAACTGAGACTGTGCAGCACATGTCACATAAAAACTGCTTAAGCTAAAATTATGAACCTTCCTTAGCATTCCTGGATTGTTTCTTAACATAATTTTTCTAACTGGCCTAATTTCCATGTTTCCTTGCATATGCAAGTAATAAATACAATAAGTGGTGCAGTTAGAGGTAGGTATAATGACTTCTAGAACAGTGACAGCTGAGATTATAAATTTAAGTTTAGAGACAGACAACATAACAATGAGTCATGCAAATATGAATATTTATAATAGATGATGCTAAGTCATCTCAAGGGCAGGTTAAACTGTGTTCAATGCCTTCCCACCAACAGTACTTTCTCATTCCTACTTCACTTTATTTTCTTTCATAGAACTTTGTCACCACCTGAAACATATTTATTTCTTTATGGGTTTATTGTCTGTATCCCTACAGTAGAATAAAAGCTGGTTTAAAAGGCAAAGACTTGATCTATTTTATTCTCTGCTGTATCCCCAATGCCTAGCACACAAAAGTAGGTGTTTTACATAACTGGTTTGCCCATGAGTGTGTTTTCTTCTCCTGTACTGCTGGGAGTGATATGCCCATAACACAAATTAATGGATTTAGTGACAAGATTGGTCTTTTACACCATCCAAAAGCAGCAAAATTATATGAATTAACAAAAAAGTGTAAGCGCATGACTGTCATACGTCCACTTACCTCACTGCAGAGCTAAGCATTGCCTGTTCATGCTAATGAAATAAAATTATCACAGAATTTATATTACAAATGTATCACGTGGTACAGTAAAATAACATAATTGGCAATGATTTTCTGAAAGAAGTCTGAGACTCTTATTCTCATATCCAAATCCACTTGAACTTGTGTGCTTGGGGAGGTTAAGTAAGATATTAGAGTAAAATATTTTCACATATTCACAGTGAAAAATATCTGAAACAAAAACCAAAACCCTGTTTATCAGAATTTTTTTAAAAAAAGAACAGCAACCTAGTTCTCTGGGGGAATACTGGAGAAAAATAGTTTTGACTCAATTATAACTATCCATATTGATCAATTATTGGAACTTTGAGAACAGAGTATCTGAATTGCTGCCTATCACTTTTTCAAGAATAATTTTATGTCCATATATATTTTTAAAATCTTGCTTTACATAGGATCTTCTTATAAAATAACCTGGAGATAATTCAATACTCATGACAATGGCACTAATACATCTGAAAAGTAATGATTGAGGATGGGCTACTTCAGTGAACTCTGACAAAATTACAACCCAAGTCAAGTTGCTATAAATGTAAATGTAATTTTACAATATCTAGTTAGTAGCCACTGCATAGGAATGTGCATAATATGACAGCATAACTCCAAACTATTTCCAGAATGAAACAGGGCCTATGATGAAGTTATGCTAAATTCCATGCCACTTTGTTCTGAGAATGTTACTACTTCATGTAGGCCTTTCTTGAAGTGACTAATAAGTCTCTCTGTCATCTTTTTATATAGTTGGATCTGGATTGACTCAGAGAATTATAAACTATGCCACAGTGAAAATGTCAGTGTGAAGCATTAAATGAATAGCGATCTTTACTTACCTAGGAGCCACTTCTATCTCAGGGAAACACTCTGGTAGTGAGACTAAATTATATGTTTAAACATTAGATATTGAAAATCAAACAATACTTTGAAGTTCTTAAATTCTTGTGTCCAAATTATTTTCAGGGGAAGAGAGAAAGGGAGCAAGAAAAAAGAAAGGGAGAAAGGATGTGCACAGGGCTGTATTGCTGAAAGGTGACACTGCCTTCATCTCATATTCATACTTTCCACCTCCAATTAATCACCATATTGTTATCACATTACTCATCCCTAAAAACTACTTGGGGCCCCTTGGCTCAAACACCAATAATGGTTTCCTTGACTTTATAAGTCTAAGCTAAACCCTGACTGTCTATCAGTCTAACCCAAACCCTAACTGTCTCCAAGCATATAAGGTCAAGTGGATTTGGATATGAGAATAAGAGTCTCAGGCTCCTTTCAGAAAGCAGTTGCCAATTACATAATTTTACTGTACCACTAATTAAATGATACATTTAATTAGTCATATAAACTGCATGATATTTTTATTTCATTAGCATAAGAAGACAATGCTTAGCTCTGTAGTGACTTAAGTGGATCTATTACAGTCATGCACTTATACTTTTTTGTTAATTCATATTCATTAACAAAAAACATTAACAAGTCGAAACATTAACAAGTATGACAGGCCTTACGCTACTTGTCTCACATTAGTGCCAGTAATAGCACCTTTAAAGAAATATCCTCATGGCTTTGCTTATGGCATTGCTCTTCCAGTCCTTCCTTCTTCTCTCTGTTTACCTAATACGTTATGAGACCAAAAGCCCTGAACCTTTGGCTTTTGGTGTGAAGTCCCTCCTAAAAATAGGTAATCTCTTCCCCCCAACTCTGAACCTTCCAGTTTTATTCTTTTTAAGTCATATTTTGTTTCATCAACAAAAGCACATTACCGTGATGGAAGGAGGTATCTGAAAACACATTTAGTTAATTTGATCAAGGGTGTTAATTCATTCCTGAAACCACGTGTAAAGTAACTCTTCGGTGAGAAAGGATTCCCATGAGAAAACATCACGGCTGAGATGTGCTAAAATGTGTGTTTAATCAACAGCTTTAATTTTAATCCTCTGAGAAATTTTCATAGATGCATTCTTTTTTATTGTGAATAATCAATTTTTTTTGTTTTGTTATAACTCTGTGCTTCTGCTGAGTTTTACGGGCTGGTGATACAAACACTAAAAGGTAAGCCTACCAAAGCAAGAATCAACCTTATAAACATGCCAAAAAACTAAACTAAAGGTAACATAAAAATGGGTTGGGCTAACAACCAAACTAGCAGATCCATTTAGCTACTTGTAAAAAATGAATGCTTAAAGTCCATCAATACATAGTCTCTGGCTAGAACAAGGGACTGTTTTTGAGATATAAGACACTTTTAAGATATAAGATACTAGGAGAATTAATTATCCCAGAGTAAACAATGTATGGTCACTAGTTCAAGAAATGTGTATCAAGGCATGTGTAAAGCAAAGGATAGCCAGAACTAGGGTAATATTTTATTCAGAGTGAAATGCTGATAGGTAATACAAGGCCTGGCTATAAACAAGGAGTCAAGGCTCTCAGGTAAACTTATATATAACATTAAGAGTTGGCTATATGCAGTAGTAAAACGTTTATGTGCTTTTTAAATACAGAAAAACATTTCATTGTCAGTTAACAGATAATTCATACATGTATACACATACATATATCTCTCTCTATATTTTTCTGCCAACAGTGAGATATTCCTCTCTTAAAATACTGGATAACACAATGCTACCCTAGGTCTGGCATATGCTCAGCAAAAAGATGAAACTTGAATGGAACAAAACATAAAAAGAAGATAATTATAACAATAATAAAACTGCAGCACATAAAGAGAACATTTAGGCCAACTTTATAAGTCACATTTAACAGTCATACATTTATATTACTTTCTGCTCTCAATGTGGTACAATGCCACAGAAGTAAATAACTCAATTATAGAAATTCTAATATAACTTCATAATATATTAATTCTAGAATTCCACAGATCCCTTTACTTCTGGATTGTGTATGACCCGTCTCCTGCATTAATAGGTTTGTCATAGAACTTGCAAATTTGGCCACAAGGCTAAACAAGACCACAAAGTATGCTGTTGCTAGAAATTTTCAACATTCTAGAAATGGTTCTGAAAGTGGCTTGTTCCCAGTAGGAGTCTTGTAACTAGTCTCTGCCATATGTTCATCTGGCTGAATCCATATTTGCATCCCAGGAAGCACCAAGCCTCTAGGCACAAGGAGACTAAGTAGTCCTATTTTTTTTTCTTTTTAGCTGGGCATGTGATTCATTTTATTTTGTTGTTAGGCAAATAAATAACCCATATTTTCTTCCTTGAGTTACTTGATAAACAACTTTCATTCTCAAGTGAAACACTGTACTAGAGTAATTATATGGTCTTTCCTTAGAGAACAAGCTGTTAGAAAAAATGTGTAGGAGAGAAGGTGTATAAATAAAGTAGCAGAAAACAGTTTTGAAATAACATGGACCAGAAGATTCCTGGTACCCCATTCCCTTATTCTTCTCGACAACCAGGCCAATATGTAGGAATTTAAATTTCAATTAAGCCATATTCATAATTTGGCTTTAGGTTCAAGGATTATTTATGGTTATCAACATTTTCTCATCCAATTAATCATGCTCTTATACCTAGCAGATGGAATATTATGTGTGTGTTTACATAGAGGTAATGTGACTAGCCCCATCTGAAAGTGAAATCATTGTGCTGCTCTACACCGTAAGGCAAATGTGGTTACTGCTAAAAACGACCAGAAATATTATTGCTCACTAGTCATTTTTTTTTTTTGTAGAAGGAGAGTAGTTAAAAAACAAGATCTTTCTCAACAGTTAACTACCAGTAAGGTTTTCAAATTACATTGATTTATTAAACAGTATGAATTTTAATTTTGTTTAATTAAAATAGTATTCAAGACTAATGACAAAAAAGACACATAATTAATGCAGCAAATCATCTCTACCCTGAAGATATCCTCTTTCAAAATTAGTTAATAGTAGAGGTGATTATTTGTCTTGTTGCTACCTGGCTGTTATTATTGGAACTTAGTAGCTATAGCACTGTCTTACTGCCAGAATCTTGATGTTTTGTTCTTTAATATACCACTGAAATATTTTAAAGTCAATGTGTTAACAATGTTAATATACAAGGATAATATATTCGGATTTAAACTTGTGAAAGATATCAAGCCCAATAATTGGTGGAAGAAATACAACTGACATCTTCCAAAAGGAAGCACTCCAATGTAACAACACCACAAAACAATGTTGTTTTTCATGATACAGTTTTTGCATCAACATCCATTACAAGCAACAAAATACAAAAGTACAACAATGCTTGGAAATAATCTACTCCTTTAAATGTAATACAAAAGGAGCAAGTGAAGCTTGACAAGACTGATTAAAACTGAAGAATGATACAAAATTGTGGTGTAATTTTTAACCAATGGTAGATTTCAAATACTTTATGAATCGAAGTATTGAAAGAAATTTTTTGGAATCAAATGATTTCCCAGTGTCCCTTTTATGATATCATGACATACATATCTACCTAAATGTAAATTTCGAAATATAAGTTAGACAAGAGGAATAATTTCAAGGGATCTATTGTATAACATGGTGACTATAGTTAATAACAATATATTGTATACCTGAAAATTGCTAAGACAGTAAATAAATGTTAAGTGTTCTCACCTCAAAAATGTATGTGAGGTAATGGGTATGATAACGAGATTGACTTAGCCGTTCCACAATGTCTACATATATCAAAATATTATGTTATACACTATAAATATATATAATTTTTGTCATTTAAAAACAGGATACGTTGAAAAATATCTTATAGTCTTAACTGACATAATCATATCTTTTTGGTAATTTTTTAGAAAAAACTTGTGCTTTGTGATGTTTCTGAGAAGCTTGTAATAACTGCTGAATCAATGGTGATTTTGAGAAATTTGCGTTATGCTATTCTATGAAGGAAATGATACAGTAAAAGACAGCATTTATTTGATCATTAAACTGATCGTGATTGCTCTTTGACAATGTTAAATTAATACAAAAACAACAAAAACAAAAACAAAAAATACTCGGATGGTTTATCAAGATTTTGTAGCAGTGTGATCATGCACGAGAAAATAAGAGTATGAAGAAATAGTCCACTGAATGCCAGCTCTTCACGGATACTCCAGCTGTTAGACAATTGCTAGCAGTTTTCACTTTCAATTAAAAAGTACTTGCGGGACTGTTTAATACATTTAGATGCAAAGAGAGAATTTATACCTCTGGGGCGACCCAACTGGAGAAACTTATTATACTTGATCAGTGAAACATTTATATTTCAAGGCAAAGTTGAGGTGAGCTTTTTCATTTCTTGCACAGTTTATGTTTGATTAGATCAAAAAGTCAACAAATTGTGCCTTTTCTAAGACTTAAGAGGGTTGAAATGGCAATTACAAATTTACAGGTATACATTTCCTGAATACTAACAACTTGTGTAAGTTACGTACCTTCTTTAAGCCTCATTTTCCTTTGACTGGTAACATTTACAAAGATAAATGAACTTCATAAAGTTAGTTTAAGGATTAAATGATAGAATTCACGTAAAGCTCTTACCCTATTAATTGGAACATAATAATTACTCAGTTAATGATAGCTACATTATTTAACTTTTGTCACTAAGGGACCTAAATTTGACTTTGTCATTTCAACTTTAGGTGGAATCTAGGGAAAAATCAATAATCTGCTGACAATCGGATACTTTGATAAATAGGTGTGTATGAGCATCAAGGATATAGATGCATTAGAAATCTAACTCCTCAACTTTGGGAGGCCGAGGCGGGCGGATCACAAGGTCAGGAGATCGAGACCATCCTGGCTAACACGGTGAAAGCCCGTCTCTACTAAAAATACAAAAAAAAAAAAAAAAAATAGCCAAGCATGGTGGTGGGCACCTGTAGCCCCAGCTACTTGAGAGGCTGAGTCAGGAGAATGGCATGAACCCGGGAGGCAGCAGAGCTTGCAGTGAGCGGAGATCGCGCGACTGCACTCCAGCCTGGGCGACAGAGCGAGACTCGTCTCAAAAAAAAGAAATCTAACTCCTCAAATAGAGTACATTGAAAGCTTCCTTTTTATGTCTGCCCTTCTATGAATATTCCCATACCTTATCTCTGTGCTCATAAAAATATTCCCTCATTAATTAATGCTTTTGGAAAGCATTGATGCTTTCCAAAATACAGTATCTATTTTCTAAATTTCTCTCTGCAAAACTTCCTCTATTTTTTTTTTGTAGTCACTACAATTAAAATAAAGTGGAGACAAGATACCCAGGGACTCAGAGGTGAGACACATTCATTACATTAGGCTCTGCTCAGTCTATGAGCCTCATTTAGAAACAACTGCACCAGAGATTCTGCTACATTGAACAGTCAGCTCTGAAAGCTCGGTAGAGGTTGGCTTTAAGGGACTGACATATTATGTGCCATAGCTTACTTCATGATTTTAGCCTGAGAATCTGTGCAAAGTAGACCCCATGAAAATGTTTCACTATTTGGCTCTGCCCCAATTATACAAATGCACTTATAAGAGTATTCACAAATGCAATTATAAGAGTAGATAGCTCCTCACACCAGTGCAAAATAAATGAAAAGATGAAATTCTGAATATCATTTTTATGGGTAATGACTCTTATGTAAAAGGAATAAATTCCATTCAAAATAGAATCATTCTCACACATTCGCGTACAGACATACGTATTAATTCACTTATAAAGACGGGGGATATTCCCATCTCATTGTCATTGTTTGACTAATTTTTGAGAATTATATAAGACTTTCCATAGTCACTACATCCTTGGCATCTGTACTAAAATGTTATCCAGCTCTAGTAAAAGGACACACTACTAACAACGAACACATCTACTTGCCTCTCTATATTGCTACCAGCATATCAAAGGAGGTTTGGAGAATGGAAAGCATTGCCTTCCAAATATTCTCTCAAAGAAAGATCTGTTTGGAAAGGAGCACTGGAAATGCCAGAAAGAAAAACAACTTCCACGTAATTATTCCATTTTTATCAACCACCAAATAAACATTAGCAGAGAGTCTTCAAATTGGTTTGTGGGAGGTAGAATTACAGTTTATTTTAGATGTATACAGCTGCATGAGTCACTGGGGGAGAAATAAATGTGTTGATTTACCAATATGTTATATCAATTACAGACATTGCTCTGCCCAACTGCTTTTGGGATCTGCATGCTTAGTGGAGAATGAATTTAAATCTGTCCAGGTGCATATTTAGGGTTGTGCTGCAAGTCAAACCCACACATTAATGTAAAGGCATTTTTTAGGGAAAAATTCTAACACAGTTAAAAAAATTAGAAAACACTAATAATTAAAGGCAACTGTCATTAACTATTATTCAAAGTTGAAATATTAATCATGGATACTTTCTAATATTAATTCATTTTTCATAATTTCTGAATATCTTAATGATTCTTAATGATTCCCTTTGGTCAAGAACCTTCTATGAATTTTATTGCTTTTAGTTTTCTCCTGAGCCTGAGAAAGTGGAATTAGGAAACTGGGTCTATAGATATCACTTGCCTTTTCCTCATATTCTAAATTCTTCTAGAACCTACTCCATCAGGTAGTAGTGAGTAATTTGCTTAAATCATCTCATGTAGTTCATCCCAAACACTTTAAGGTAAACGTTATTATTATCCATTTTTTTTCTCCCCTTGGTAAGAAAACTTTGTTTCAGAGAAGTCTTATTTGTGCAAGGTCACACAGCCAGCATGGGGCAGAGAGAGTGAGAATTTAATCCTTGGTGATTTGGTAGTAAATTCACAGGCACTGAAGCCAAACCAAGTGCACCAGCTCCCACAAACACCCAACTAGACAGATTAAGGTTTGGCAGATATCAATAAACGTGGGTGTGTATACCTTCCAAGTTATAGGAGAAAGACTGTTCCTCTCTGATAAGCAGACAAATCATGATTTTTTAAAGTACTGCATATAGATGCAGAGAACAGATTGAAGGTTGGCAGAGATTAAGGAGGGGGTAAGGCAGGAGGGAAGAGGGTAAGGCTATAAAGGGTTCTCATGAGGGATACTTCAAGGGATGAAAATGTTTTGTATCCTGACTGTGCCAATATCAATACCTTGATTGTGACATTGCATTATAGTTTTGTAGGCTTTTTTTTCCATTGGAAAAAAACTGAGTAATGGATACACGGCATCTTCCCTGTATTACTTCTTTCTTTTTTCTTTCTTTTTTTGAGATGGAGTCTGGCTCTGTCGCCCAGGCTGGAGTGCAGGGGCGCGATCTCGGCTCACTGCAAGCTCTGCCTCCCGGGTTCACCAGTCTCCTGCCTCAGTCTCCCGAGTAGCTGGGACTACAGGCGCCCACCACCATGCCCGGCTAATTTCTTTTTGTATTTTTAGTAGAGACGGGGTTTCACCGTGTTAGCCAGGATGGCTACCATTTCCTGACCTTGTGATCCGCCCGCCTCGGCCTCCCAAAGTGCTGGGATTACAGGCGTGAGCCACCGCGTCCTGCCTCCTCTATTATTTCTTACAATGGCATGTGAATCTACAATTATCTCAAAATAAAAACATTTACTTAAAAACAGTGTAGACATCTTAACACGTAGTTACACTTAATTAGTTTGAAAGGAAAACCAAAGAACTAAAAAGTCAGACCAGTGTTTCAAAAATCCAAACACAAGAGGGAAGCTCAAAAGATAGGCAGGAGTAGGTAGTGGAATCCTGCAGTAGCACTTTGTCAATTAAGTCATTCTCACAGGTAGCAGGAGAGTCCCAGCCTCTCCTGGAGGTTCATCTGTGACATGCTAAGAGTAGAAATACAAGCCATGGCAGCCAGTGTTTGAACTGCTCTTCCCTGAGGCTGCTCACAGAGGGAGGCGAAAAACAGGGTAGAAGTCTTTCTTCAAGTTTTGTCTGTCCACACTGGCTGACTGGCTGCTCTGGTCAGCCTAATAGTATTGGTGTATCTAATGCCTGGTTTCGGAAATAGGAAGAATCACTTAGAAAATGACAAACACAGTGGGTTACCTAGGGGCCCTGGAGGGGCGATTCTGTAAGCAGAAGTGAGTGCTTACTGTACTATAATTTACATACTATCTAACAGTCTGGATAATCAAAAATTATTAATCTCCTAGCAAAATTATAGCTGTCATAGAATTATCTAAGAGAATTGCTCTACTTTGTATGTGTGTACCCACAAGGGGAGCAAAAAACAAATTAGACACTTGGAAGCAGCACACCAAATACTAAAATATCATATTTAAATATCAAAGTATTATAGATCACAAAACGAATATAGGAGGAGAAAGAGTCAGAGCAATAAAATGTTAATACTATAAGGATAAGAGAATAAAAATAATAATTTCTGGACAATTCGGGCTCCTACTCCTTCCAGATTCTCCTCCTCCTTAAGACCATTTGGAAGTAACCAGCTCTGTACTGGGATAAAGAGGCTGAATTTGGCTGCAAATAAAAATTGGTACAACTGCTTTCAACTGCAGGTGGTGGTTGCTCATTTAAAAAAATACTAAAAAAAATGGTTGGCAACACCTTACGTCATACTTAGAAAAGAACCAATGGTAGTGAAAAAAATCAAAGCAAATTAAAAAAAAACTTTATTTTGAGATAACTTTAGACTTACAGAAGAGTTGCAGAAATAGTACAGAAAATTCCCATACATCCTTCACAGCTTCCCCTCTGTTAACATGTTACATAACCATGGAAGATTTATCAAAACTAAGCACTTTGATACAATACTACTAACCAAAGTGCACGATAGAACTTTTAAAATATTTCTCACACTTTGGGAGGCTGAGGCAGGCGGATTATGAGGTCAGGAGATTGAGTCCATACTGGTTGACAGGGTGAAACCCTGTCTCTACTAAAAATGCAAAAAATTAGCTGGGTATGGTAGCATGCGCCTGTAGTCTCAGCTACTCGGAAGACTGAGGCAGAAAACTGCTTGAACCCGGGAGAAGGAGGTTGCAGTGAGCTGAGGCTGCGCCATTGCACTCCAGCCTGGGCGACAGAGCAAGACTCCATCTGAAAATACATATATATATATATATTTCTCCAGTTTTTCTAGTTATGCAGTTTTTTTGTTCCAGGATCCAATTCAAGATCCCATATTGCATTTAGTTGTTATGCCCTTAGTCACCCTGAGTCCGTAACAGTTTCTCAATCTTCCTTATCATTCATGACCTTGAGAACTTTGAATACTTCTTGTCAGTTATTTGGTAGATTGTTCCTGAATTTCATTTGGTCTGATGTTTTCTCATAATTGTATTGAGACCATGCATTATCTGGAACGATACCACGCAGGTGATGTAGTCTCCGCAGTGCGTCATATCGGGGGTTCATTATGACTATACGTATTGGTGGTTATGTTAACCTCGGCTAGGATAATGTCTGCCAAGGTTGTCCACTGTCAAGTTACTACTTTTTTCATTTGTAATTATTAAATAGTTTGAAAGAGATACTTTGAGACTATGCAAATATCCTGTTTTTGCTTATACTTTTGCCCATTAATTTTAGCCTCCATTGGTGGATCTTGCCTTGCAGCAATTGTTACTGTGATATTCTAATAGTGATTTTCTATTTATAATTTTGTATTTTAATATAGTCCCTTCTTCTACACTTAAAATTGGAATTCTTCTGCAAAGCACTGTTGTTTAACCACCTTATTCATTGATTCAATTTTTTATATTGGCATGGGGCCATGGATATTTATTCCATTCTTTGGAGTATAATCCACTATTATAATCTTTTTATTGCTCAAGCTCTTTCAGGTTGGCTCTGTGCTCCTTTCACTAGGTTTCGTCCCCGGTTCCCTTATGTTTAGCACCTGGCACTTTCCAGTATAGCAAGATGCTCTAGATGCAACTTGTATTTTCCCTGCCCCAGCCCTGGAATCAAACAGTTCTCCAAGGACCCCGAGTATTTTTTACTGCAGAACTGTATTTAGAAACTACTAAGCTATAAGCACTGAACATGCTCATTGCTATTGGGGAAATTACTGCTTCTAGTCTCCTCAATGAAGAGAACTAGGAAATATAGGTATGTATATTAACTCATGCATATGTAAGCATCTATATTTCTGTGTCTATTTCTATTCCTCTATGTGTGTATATGTATACATATTATGTATGTATATATAATTATAGTATATACAATTTTTTAGTATATCCACATTAATACCTCCACCTCTCATTCAGGACCACAGGGCTCATTCTAGCATTCCCCTTTCTTTTGTAACTTCTTACTCTTAACAGTGGGACTCCTAGCTCCCATTATCTATGATATAATAGCTATTTGTTCAATCCTAGTATACAAACATATTACTTTCAAAATTCCTCACTAATATGCATATATACAGTTCCTTTTATCTTTATTTTATAGTATCCAGTCTAAACATCATTTTCCAAATGATGGAAGGTCAGCTCCTTTCTTCCTACCATCCCCCAATGTGGTTATGTGGTTCACTGTGTAATATAGTTAAGATTCATTTGTTACTGTCTGTGTTCTACCCCCCTGCCACTTCCTAATGGACTTTTTAAATTGAAGAAAAACATTCACTTTTTTGTTGTACAGTTTTATGGATTTTGATAAATGCCTGGAGCTATGTATCCACCTCCACACTTCCACTCAGAACAGTTTTGTCACCCCCAAAATTTCTCTGTGCTACCCCTGTATAAGAAACTCTTCACTCCTGACACCAGACAAAAACAAGCTTTTACTTCAATATCCTGTATATGGTTTGGAATTAATTAGAATTAAATAGCGCATTTTAACTATGCTATAGTAAAAATGCATCTGAAGGTCAGTACACAGAAAAAGTCCAACAGGTTAAAGCTACAAACTGCCATTTGTTTTATAATACGTTAGTATTCAGATTTGGTCTTTAAAACTATTTAGGCCTAAATATATATAAAATTACACCGTAGATTTTTTTAGGGGGTAATTTTTCTTTCTTTGAATGCTTACATTTAGAGTTTCTTAAGAAGTTTATAGTTCAGCACCATCTATTCACTGAAAAGGAATGAAAATACCAGCCTTCTCTCTCCCTCCTCCACCTAATAGAAGAAGGTGGTGCTTTCTTGGAGAAGTATCCAGTACTTGTCAAAGATTACTAGAAGGGCTGCCACTGTCTATCCCTACCGAGCCCCTTTACTGAGTGTGCTGACAACAAATGGCTCATGCAGAAAGTGCTTGTGCATTTTTGTATGCATTATGATATTTTGTTATTATTGTTCATAATAGTAGATAATGGTGAAGTGGGATGGAAGACAAGTGATCACCAGAATGTTAAGAGAAGGAAATAGAAGAGATGTGGTACTTTTTATGCAGCAGAAAAAAATTAAAATCTGTTCTGATCACCATTATATGGACTTTTTCTATGCTGAAATAGCAGTTTCTCAAAGCAAGCTTCCTGGTGGTTACCATAAGTGGCTAAAAAAATTAAAGGATGAAAATGAGCCCATTCTTAAGAAGATGCTGTGTTCTTGAGATATAATCAAGCAGAGAAGGTAAAGCCTAAAGTATTGACTTTACAGTTGCCCTGGCAAGTTGTGTGTGATTCTGTGCAACCGACTACATCATTCATCAGTTTCTTTCAATGCAAAATAAACCATATCATACATAACTTTCAAGGTTGTTGTAATAAGTAAGCAAATTCAAGCATATGAAGCATCTAGTATAAATAAGTATGCAACAGCAATAAAAGCTATTATCATTATTAGTAGTATTTGTGTGTATTTTCTTATGTGATAGGGAAATCTGGTTATATAAGAGTAGCAGCATTTAATATTTACAACCAAACATATATAGTTTCTTAAAATAACCACAATTCCAAAAAACTTCAATGTGGTTATATCATTCAAATAAACTAAACAGTACTTGTGCTTCAAAAGCAAGATAATATGCATTATTGTATATTCAAAAACAACAAGACATGATCTATCTAAATTTTTATCTGTGTTTAATTCTCTTATAGTCTGTGGAGGTCCTGGAAGAGTGACTCATACCTTTTTCATCTTTGTATTTCTAGGAATTTCCAAAAGTAGTCATAAGAAAACTCTCTAAATTCAATGGAATTGTTTAGATTGAAACTAACCCAATTGTCCCATAGAGATGGTATTTATAATTTTTTGAATAAACCCATAAATTGATTCTCCCAGTCTTAAAACTTGAGAAAGTTACATTTGTTTTATCTGAGTTCCTTTCTAAGGAAACCAACCATGAGGCCTCCCAGATGGTAGCTAGGAGCTGATACTCACCAGATCATTGGATTTGAACAATGAGATGCCAGACACCTTGGCTGTTATGATTGCCTAACTGACTACCTGCCTCCTGTTGATCAACTCCTCTTTCTTACCACTCCCTAATTCCTGTTTTCCTACACATGGTTCCATTTCTTCCCTGGTATATAAACCCTGAATTTTAGTTGGTCAGGGAGATGGATATGAGACTGATCTCCCATCTCCTCTGCCACAGCACCTGATTAAAGCCTTCTTTCCTGGCAATACTTGTGTCAGTAATTGGTTTTCTGTAATGCAAGCAGCAGGACCTATACCAAACCCCTGGTATCTTGGTTAAAAAATTAGATTCAGATTATGTTCAGATTATAGCAAAGGCCAATATTTAAAGTGAAAGATGGACAGGAAACTTCTTGGGTACATTAAAATTGTCCATATTTTGGTACTTTGAGGAATCAGAATACTTAATTTTAGGGTTAGTGGAATATGTAGTTCTTTTGAGTCTATACAGTAAACAAAGCTCTAAGTATTTTATAAAGAGGTGTGAACCTAAACATAATCATTCCAACTCAAGACTATGATGAATTCACAGTGGGTTTCGGCCCACTTATGCAGGTCTAGCTTATTAGTAGTGTAGGCCTGCCAATGCTTTCTGTGTATGGCATCTGTAACTCAAGATTTGTCCCCAAAACTAAACCCTTTTCCACAGTGTGATAAATTGTAGCAGGGTAGAGAGAAAATTATTCTCCCATGTCACACATGAGGAATTTAGAGCAGACCCAGTGTTTTTAGGATTTCAGAGCATAGGCCCATCTGCCTCCTGGAGCTGTCTGCTGCAGTGCATAGTGGGGTCCAGCAACAGAGGGCAAGAGGGAGGATGAGTAAACACTGTGGGCCTTCAGAGGGCTCAGCAACTGACCTCACTCAAAATGGCAGGGACAGAGAGGAAGAAACTGACAGACCCCCCAAATGCTCTCTGACTGAGAACAAGTGAGAGGGATTGTCTCTCTCTGTGGACTCCCCAGTACCACTGTAGGTGATCTCACTTGGGCAGGAGTTAGCAAAACAGGGATCTTCACCATTAATGGAATCTCATTTTGAACTCTAGGCTAGTTAACCTTATGAAGCCTGCGGTACCAAGAAATAACAATTAACTCTGCAAAGAGGTCATTAAAATTGAGATTTTTGGAAATTTTCCTGAAGTGCTTTTTGAGTGCAGTTTTTTAAAATGCCATTTCCCCCTATCTAAATATAACGCATTGCTAGAGTGAACAGGCATTTATGTCATGCCTGCTGTTTCAGGTACTGTTATATCACATGATGGTCCTATTAACTTTATGAAGTGTAATTATCTTAATCCTACAGATGAGGAACCTAGAAATTTGAAAAGTGATTTTTTTCAGCCATTCATGTTCTTGTTCTACATTATGGTACTTTGACCTAGAGGGATCTTGAAAAGATCATTAGGCATAGTCCTGCCATCCAACATTTAAGCTATCCATAGCTGTTTTGCAGATAAGGCAATGAGTACTTAGAATTTTCCTTCACTTTTTTGTTGGTTAGTTTATGTCAAGATGAATTCTCTTTACCAAGTAGAAATTCAAATTCTTGTGTTTACATTTAGAATCACAATGGTACAACTGGAAACAAAACGCCACAAAAGATTTCCATCGCTGAATAACACTGCATTCTGACAAAAATACAGAGTCTCACTTTTTTAAATCGAGGACACTTGGGATAATTACATACTAAAAGGACTGAATCATGGCCCTGATAAGAGGAAAGCAGAAGCCTCCATAATTAAACAGAACAAAAGTAGTGTGTGTGTGTGTGTGCGCGCGTGTGCGTGTGTGTGTGTGTGTGTGTGTGTTGCGTTTAAGTTCAGAAACAGCAGACCTGGTGCTTTGGCAATGGTCCAAAGTCATTTCTGGTAAATAAGAGATATAAATAATTCATAAACAGAACATCCCAAATATAAAAAAACACAGATTTGAAAGGAAAGAAAACATTTTTGTCAGACAGATAGCTTCTAGCCAGCTAAACTAACAACATGCTTTAAATAGCATATTCTTTCACTTATTTCATAGGCAAAGGCAAAGTTCCCCCTTTCTTCTCAAAAAAGATTTACAATGTTTCTGTGTTGGGAAGTATTAATCTGAGAAGAGGAGGCACTTCACATTATGTAATTGCTTCCTTCTGTCCTTCTGATGATATCACACTGAATGGGCAAGACAGTCTTAACGGGAAACAAACTCATGTTATCTGTGTGTATCCTGAGTAAATAAAATATGTGCATTAACCAATGAGGAGAAAAATGAGTGAGTAATGCAACAACGTGATACATGTTCTCCAGAATTTGGAGAATGCAGGGATTGGTGTGTGCTCACAGGTAAAAATGTTTAAATTATCAGGAGCCCACCTGGAGTGTGCAGAGAAAGAAGCAAGCAACAGTGGTGAGAGGTGAAACACCAGACGCATATCCTTGAAAAAGGGCACCAGCCTTGTTTTCCTGAATGTGACCTCACCTGTGTGGACCATGTGGACTGGAGAAGTGACTAGTGTGGAAGCACTGGTAGCCAGGTACTGTGGGAGACTTAAGTTGTAGGGAGCCCACTAGAGGGGTCTTCAGCATGCTAGGGAATTGGAAGACTCCAGTAAAGGGCTCTCCATACCTCACAAGGAAATAATCTGCAATTAGATATCTAGCTCTTTCAGAAGGCACTAACACCATCCTAAGCCTTTTCTGCCCCATTACCTCTTCTCTCTCTTGTAACTCTCCAATGGAGAGGTAGCCTAGTGAGTGGAAGAGGAAGGCAAATAGTGAAGAAGCTAAAGCAGGCCTGAGCAGGGGAAGACAGAAACTTTGAATTTTTTAAGAGGCTGAAGTTTTGGTATTAGTACCTGGAGTGAAGGCAAGCCGCGGGAACTATAAGGGATAAAGGCTGAAGCTAGGAGCATGAAGGAAAGAAGGAAATGTGAAAGAATAAAGATGCGTTCCCTCTACTGTGTTTAGCTGGTTCAATCAATCAGTTACAACTACGTTTTCACACTGAAGTGTAAATATTGGATGAACAACCTTTGTTGGTCCCCAGTTGTTATCTGGACACATGCTGACAGTAATAAGCTTCCATTTCCCTTGTCATCAGGACTTCAGGGATGCCAATTTACAGAGCTCTGCAATTCCTTTACCTATCTTCCTACAAATGTCTATCCAGAGAGAAATGTGTATTATTATACACATACAACAAAATAAGAGAAATCCAGTTTTCTAAACATATGAGAAGAAATCAAACAGGCATGATCAAGCAGTGATCATGTTTCATGTATCATGTTTCTCAGGCAATGCCTAGTCCTCTAACAGCAATTTAACAAATATTTTTCAACCAACACTTGTGTTTCTCCTGTCACAAATAGATCTGATGCTGAAAATTTAAGTCAATGAACACATTTTGTACCATTTGCCAATTGAAACTATTGATGAGCAAAATTTTACTACTCACTTGAAAGCAGCAAATTCTTTGGTTACTTGATGCTTAATTAATCTATTAAAATGAAGTTTCTGTACTTTACTTTTTAAATTTTTTTATTTTTAATTTTTATTTTATTATTATTATACTTTAAGTTTCAGGGTACATGTGCACAATGTGCAGGTTAGTTACATATGTATACATGTGCCATGCTGGTGTGCTGCACCCATTAACTCGTCATTTAGCATTAGGTATATCTCCTAATGCTATCCCTCCCCCCACCCCCCACCCCACAACAGTCCCCAGAGTGTGATGTTCCCCTTCCTGTGTCCATGTGTTCTCACTCTTCAATTCCCACCTATGAGTGAGAACATGCAGTGTTTGGTTTTTTGTCCTTGCAATAGTTTACTGAGAATGATGATTTCCAATTTCTTCCATGTCCCTACAAAGGACATGAGCTCATCATTTTTTATGGCTACATAGTATTCCATGGTGTATATGTGCCACATTTTCTTAATCCAGTCTATCATTGTTGGACATTTGGCTTGGTTCCAAGTCTTTGCTATTGTGAATAGTGCCGCAATAAACATACGTGTGCGTGTGTCTTTATAGCAGCATGATTTATAGTCATTTGGGTATATACCCAGTAATGGGATGGCTGGGTCAAATGGTATTTCTAGTTCTAGATCCCTGAGGAATCGCCACACTGACTTCCATAATGGTTGAACTAGTTTACAGTCCCACCAACAATGTAAAAGTGTTCCTATTTCTCCACATCCTCTCCAGCACCTGTTGTTTCCTGACTTTTTAATGATTGCCATTCTAACTGGTGTGAGATGGTATCTCATTGTGGTTTTGATTTGCATTTCTTTGATGGCCAGTGATGGTGAGCATTTTTTCATGTGTTTTTTGGCTGCATAAATGTCTTCTTTTGAGAAGTGTCTGTTCATGTCCTTCGCCCACTTTTCGATGGGGTTGTTTTTTTCTTGTAAATCTGTTGGAGTTCATTGTAGATTCTGGATATTAGCCCTTTGTCAGATGAGTAGGTTGCAAAAATTTTCTCCCATTTTGTAAGCTGCCTGTTCACTCTGATGGTAATTTCTTTTGCTGTGCAGAAGCTCTTTAGTTTAATTAGATCTTTAGTTTAATTTGTCAATTTTGGCTTTTGTTGCCATTGCTTTTGGTGTTTTAGACATGAAGTCCTTGCCCATGCCTATGTCCTGAATGGTAATGCCTAGGTTTTCTTCCAGGGTTTTTATGGTTTTAGGTCTAACGTTTAAGTCTATAATCCATCTTGAATTAATTTTTGTACAAGGTGTAAGGAAGGGATCCAGTTTCAGCTTTCTACATATGGCTAGCCAGTTTTCCCAGCACCATTTATTAAATAGGGAATCCTTTCCCCATTGCTTGTTTTTCTCAGGTTTGTCAAAGATCAGATAGTTGTATATATGCGGCATTATTTCTGAGAGCTCTGTTCTATTCCATTGATCTATATCTCTGTTTTGGTACCACTACCATGTTGTTTTGGTTACCATAGCCTTGTAGTATAGTTTGAAGTCAGGTAGTGTGATGCCTCCAGCTTTGTTCTTTTGGCTTAGGATTGACTTGGCGATGTGGGCTCTTTTTTGGTTCCATATGAACTTTAAAGTAGTTTTTTCCAATTCTGTGAAGAAAGTCATTGGTAGCTTGATGGGGATGGCATTGAATCTATAAATTACCTTGGGCGGTATGGCCATTTTCATGATATTGATTTTTCCTACCCATGAGCATGGAATGTTCTTCCATTTGTTTGTATCCTCTTTTATTTCCTTGAGCAGTGGTTTGTAGTTCTCCTTGAAGAGGTCCTTCACGTCCCATGTAAGTTGGATTCCTAGGTATTTTATTCTCTTTGAAGCAATTGTGAATGGGAGTTCACTCATGATTTGGCTCTCTGTTTGTCTGTTATTGGTGTATAAGAATGCTTGTGATTTTTGTACATTGATTTTGTATCCTGAGATTTTGCTGAAGTTGCTTATCAGCTTAAGGAGATTTGGGGCTGAGACAATGGGGTTTTCTAGATATACAATCATGTCATCTGCAAACAGGGACAATTTGACTTCCTCTTTTCCTAATTGAATACCTTTATTTCCTTCTCCTGCCTAATTGCCCTGGCCAGAACTTCCAACAGTATGTTGAATAGGAGTGGTGAGAGAGGGCATCCCTGTCTTGTGTCAGTTTTCAAAGGGAATGCTTGCAGTTTTTGCCCATTCAGTATGATATTGGCTGTGGGTTTGTCACAGATAGCTCTTATTATTTTGAGATACATCCCATCAATACCTAATTTATTGAGAGTTTTTAGCATGAAGGGTTGTTGAATTTTGTCAAAGGCTTTTTCTGCATCTATTGAGATAATCATGTGGTTTTTGTCTTTGGTTCTGTTTATATGCTGGATTACATTTATTGATTTGCATATATTGAAACAGCCTTGCATCCCAGGGATGAAGCCCACTTGATCATGGTGGATAAGCTTTTTGATGTGCTGCTGGATTCGGTTTGCCAGTATTTTATTGAGGATTTTTGCATCACTGTTCATCAAGGATATTGGTCTAAAATTCTCTTTTTTTGTTGTGTCTCTGCCAGGCTTTGGTATCAGGATGATGCTGGCCTCATAAAATGAGTTAGGGAGGATTCCCTCTTTTTCTATTGATTGGAATAGTTTCAGAAGGAATGGTACCAGTTCCTCCTTGTACCTCTGGTAGAATTCGGCTGTGAATCCATGTGGTCCTGGACTCTTTTTGGTTGGTAAGCTATTGATTATTGCCACAATTTCAGAGCTTGTTATTGGTCTATTCAGAGATTCAACTTCTTCCTGGTTGAGTCTTGGGAGGGTGTATGTGTCGAGGAATTTATCCATTTCTTCTAGATTTTCTAGTTTATTTGCGTAGAGGTGTTTGTAGTATTCTCTGATGGTAGTTTGTATTTCTGTGGGATTGGTGGTGTGCTGTATTCAGAAACCCATCTCACGTGCAGAGACACACATAGGCTCAAAATAAAACGATGGAGGAAGATCTACCAAGCAAATGGAAAACAAAAAAAGGCAGGGGTTGCAATCCTAGTCTCTGATAAAACAGACTTTAAACCAACAAAGATCAAAAGAGACAAAGAAAGCCATTATATAATGGTAAAGGGATCAATTCAACAAGAAGAGCTAACTATCCTAAATATATATGCACCCAATACAGGAGCACCCAGATTCATAAAGCAAGTCCTGAGTGACCTACAAAGAGACTTAGACTCCCACACAATAATAATGGGAGAATTTAACACCCCACTGTCAACATTAGACAGATCAACGAGACAGAAAGTTAACAAGGATACTCAGGAATTGAACTCAGCTCTGCACCAAGCGGACCTAATAGACATCTACAGAACTCTCCACCCCAAATCAACAGAATATACATTTTTTTCAGCACCACACCACACCTATTCCAAAATTGACCACATAGTTGGAAGTAAAGCACTCCTCAGCAAATGTAAAAGAACGGAAATTATAACAAACTGTCTCTCAGACCACAGTTCAATCAAACTAGAACTCAGGATTAAGAAACTCACCCAAAACCGCTCAACTACATGGAAACTGAACAACCTGCTCCTGAATGACTACTCAGTACATAACGAAATGAAGGCAGAAATAAAGATGATCTTTGAAACCAGTGAGAACAAAGACACAACATACTAGAATCTCTGGGACACATTCAAAGCAGTGTGTAGAGGGAAATTTATAGCACTAAATGCCCACAAGAGAAAGCAGCAAAGATCCAAAATTGACACCCTAACATCACAATTAAAAGCACTAGAAAAGCAAGAGCAAACACATTCAAAAGCTAGCAGAAGGCAAGAAATAACTAAAATCAGAGCAGAACTGAAGGAAATAGAGACATAAAAAACCCTTCAAAAAATTAATGAATCCAGGAGCTGGTTTTTTGAAAGGATCAACAAAATTGACAGACAGCTAGCAAGACTAATAAAGAAGAAAAGAGAGAAGAATCAAATAGACACAATAAAAAATGATAAAGGGGAAGTTTCTGTGCTTTAAAATAAGTTCATATCAACCAAGATAGAAGATGCTCTGGTTCAAAAATCATCATAATTATAGACTATTTTTTCTGACACTGAGTCTAATCATCTTTACCTATTTGTAATATTTTCAAGGCTGCTTTTGAAATCTCATATTCATATCATTATTTGATCAAATATGTGTATTACATTTTCCAATTAAAAAGTTTTACAAATTTTAGTTTTTATTGACAAATAATAATTGTATATATTTATGGGGTACAATGCAGTGTTTCAACATGTAGACCAAAAATAAAACCCTAATCCTCTAAACTACTGATGAACCATCCCCCTTGGCCAGGGGCATTCCAATATTAACCTGAAAAGTTAGTTCAGGCCATGATGAGAAGTGGAGGTAGGATATGCCTCATTATACTTTCTTCTCTTTGGAATTCAGGTATAGCTGACCAGCGTTAACATGAAAACATAAATCCTACAATTGATAGAACAGACTCTGTAAGTGTGATAAGAAACATTTACAATCTATTCTCTCTGAAGCCTGCTACCTGGAGGTTTCATCTGCATAATAAAAACCTTAGTCTCTACAATTTCTTATCTTAACCCAGACACTCCCTTCTATTGATTCCAGGTCTTTAGATAAAGTCTCTCAACCAATTGCCAATCAGAAAATCTTTGAATTCAATTACCTGAAAGTACCTTCCCAACCTCACTTGGGCTACAGCTTGGTTTTATATATTTTAGAGAGACATAAGACATTAATAGATTGTGTTTACATTTAGGATCAGAACAGCACAACTGGAAACAAAATGCTGCAAAAGATTAATTATTCTTTTGATGTCTTATTAAATAAATAAATTAATTAATTAATTAAAAGATCAATTACTCTCTTGATGTCTTATGTCTCCCTAAAATGTATAAAACCAAGCTGTAGCCTGACATCTTGGGCGCATGTTCTCAGGGTCTTCTGGGGCTGTGTCACAGGTCATTGGTCACACATATTTTGCTCTGAATAAATTTTTTCAAATATTTTACAGAGTTTGAATCTTTGTCAACACACACATGTCTACATTGTGGAATGATCAAATCAAGCTAATTGCATTTCTTTCACCTTAAATATTTATGATTTCTTTGTGGTGAGAAAATTTAAAATCTTCTGTTTTAGTTATTTTGAAATATGCATTATTAGTAGCTATAGTCACCGTTTAAAAGTTCAATATTAGAAATTCCCACTTGTTGAAGACAGCAGATTTTTAGCAATTTCAGATATTTGAAATATAATGATAAACCCAATAGCAAGTGGAAAAGTGCCTCTTGAAGGATATCATAGAACTAATATGAATTACCTAAGGAGACAATGAAATATCCCTCAGACGACAGAAAACTTTAGTTGTGGCTAAATTACATTAAATGGTTTAACACGATTAGTTATCTGATTAAAAGGAAGGGATGTAAATATAAAAGGTGGGTAGTAAACTGTTTGAAAAAAATGCATATTTCTTATTTGGAGGAAGGAAAAAACTGAAATACAATCTCCCATTTAAAGAAGAAGAGGAAAAAAAGAAAACAGAAAGACCAGCGTACATCTGTTTATTAAAAGTCCAAAAAAAAAATGTATACTTCTCAAAGGCTTCTGAGGTATTTCCATACAGAAAAAAAACAAAAACCAGCATTTGTTTATGATAATGACCCTGAATTACCATGAAAATGTTTTCTGGTATCCAGAACACTGTATGTCAAGAATTCACTGAAGTATAATGTACTTTAGAAAGACGCATTGGAGAAAGCTTGCTAAAATGAAAAAGCACATAAGGAACTAAACCCCTTATTATCTCAAACATTCATTTCTATTTCTCATCTAATTCTTTAATAATGTCAGATAAATTGGATGTTACCACCTGTGATGACTCAAATTGATTTTAATATTTTTCTTGTCATATTTATGGCTAGGTAATGAAGCCTGCTTATAAAATGGAATCATTAGCCTTATGGTAGTGGAAATGAGTCTTGAGAAAGGAGAAAAGTAGGGTGTATTTTCCTATGCATACATTTCCATAAAATGCTAACACAGAGAGACACATTTTAAAAGTAACAGAAGAGGATCCAGTGAAAAAAGATGCTTTGCCAGCTCAGTACTTGCTTTGTTCTCACATATATACCTACGTAGGAAGATGAATTGAGAAATGAATTAGCTTTACTGCTGATCAAATGTACAAACCCCAAATGTAAAATAAAATAATTGATAGGAGACCAAATAGTGCTTTTGAATCACAGCAGTCATTTGTTACATTAAGAAGGAAAGAAAAAAAGTTCAGGTCTTGGAAAAGTATGTTTCTTCTCTGCATTCAATGGGAAATTACAACATTGGAAATGATTGAAGCGCCTCATTTCTGTTACCTCTGTTCCTGTTACTAATACAATTCCTTATTTTATTTTATTTTATTTATTTTATATTTTCAGTTCTGGGATACATGTGCAGGATGTGAGATTTTTTATATAGGTAAATGTGTGCCATGATTGTTGGCTGCAGCTATCAACCCATCACAATTCCTTTAAATATATATATGTGTGTGTGTGTATATACATATATATGTATATACACACATATATATAGTGCTCCAACATTTCAGGAGGACTACTGTCACTTAAGCGTGTACAAGTAATTAGATACACTCCATTTCTGTCACTGTGAAAATAGTGTTTCTCATGTGTTTGTTGAAGGCTTTTTTCAAAAGCACAAACACATGCCAACATGCCTTCCTATCCCTGCTCCATGCCGACTTAACCATACATAACCTTTGGGAATAAAACACAGTATGGCCAATAGGAAAATATTCATTAAGGAAAATCACTATATAAGGAATTTGGCCAGATTAATCCAGAGATTAGCATTAATGATATTTATTCAGATAAACTCTTGCAATAATATAAGAGGAAAATTAATTCCGTGCTTACATCGTTAAGAGAAATCATTAAAAGAAAATGTTTTATTGGATCAAACACATGATTTGAAACAAACTACACTGTGATTTGGATTTCTTATCTCTGAACAAAACATATTAGTAGCTGCTTCTCAAATTTGTTATTTCAGAATCCCTTGTATTAATTTTTCTATGAAGAATTCATGTTTTAAAAGTTATTAATCATACTGAATTTATCAATCACTTATTACTTTATAAATCAAAGCTTGTTTTATATAAGTAAAAATTCAGCAGTCCACTTTAAATGTCATTTCTGCTGGCCTTTTAAGATTGTGACCATAATAATCATAATTCCATGAAACCCCACTGGAGATGGGGTTTGGAGACAAATGCTAACATTTGGGTTCTGGTTAACCTGGATTCAGATGGGAAACGTAATTTTTTCATTGTACTCCCATAATGTGCACACCAGTCTGTGGATATTTCCAGGAGAGAGATTATGTTCAACGCATAATGTCTTTAGGATTTACTTTTAATTATAGAGCTATAAGTAAGGAAAATTTCTAGTTCAAGCAATAATTCAAAATAACATTCCTTAATTCCTCTGTTAAATCTTTGAGACAGATATTTAAAAAGAAAGGAAAAAATATATAGATTGGGAATGTATTAGTCCATTTTCTTACTGCTATGAAGAAACATCCGAGAGTGGGTAATTTATAAAGAAAAAGAGGCTTGATGAACTCACAGTTCCACATGCTTGGGGAGGCCTCCCAATCACACAGAAGGTGAAGGAGGAGCAAAGGCACATCTCACATGGTAGAAGGCAAGAGCGCTTGTGCAGGGGAACTGCCTTTTATAAAACCATCAGATCTCATGAGACTTATTATCATGAGAACAGCACAGGAAAACCTGCCCCCATGATTCAATTACCTCTCACCAGGTCCCTCCCACAACATGTGGGTATTATGGGAGCCACAATTCAGGAGTGGATTTGGGTGGGGACACAGTCAAACGATATCAGGGAGCCAGGTACTGGTTTGAGATATTACACAACCTATCTAATTTAATCATCACACTATGTTCATGGGGTATGTTGGGGTTCAGAAACCAATACTCCCAAATATGGCACTTTCACATGCTGACCTGAAGAAGAAGCCTCAAGGTCTTTCTGACCTCCCCTCCCCCAAGTCCTGCAGCACCCCCACCCACCCCACCAACACACACACCTGTCTATCCTGTCTGACAATCCTCTGTCCCACCCAAAGCACAGAATGAAGCTGTTCTCTTGAAGCCCCTTTATCTGACTGAAGTCCAGATCCAACAAGGAAGAAAACAGTGACCTCTGGAATCCTCCCTGAGTTTTCATTAACTGAACTCATATCACAGGAAGAAAGACCGAAATCTGTCAACACATCTGAATAGATTTTTGTCACAAACCATTGCCTGCTCTGCAGGCCCAACAGACTTTGTTCCCAGCCATTGTATGTTCTTCAAGCCCATTGAATTCCCCTAAAAAAATTACGACCTCCCTAAAATCATCCACATTTTCCCATCTCCAGTGTCTCTAAGAAGATGGTGTAGAAAAACTGTACCCCATTGTGTGGCGGAGTAATCACTCTATAATTTTCTCCCTGTGCATGCTAATAAATTTGCATGCCTTTTCTCCTATTAATGTGTCTTTTTTGAGTTTCTTTTTCTGTGAACCTTTTGAGGGTGAAAGGGAAGTTTTCTCTTGGCCCCTACAGGTATAATCTTCAATTCAGAAACAGGGACTTAGAGAGTCTAAAAGATTGACTATGATCACACAGTAAGTGAAGCATATTTATTACCTCAAATCCACTCAGGCTTTTTCTCTGTGCTGTCCATGATTTTTAGGTATTTAAGTAATGAAGCAATGAAGATAGTCTTTTTAAAAGAGAGGTCATTCTGTTCAGCTGAGCCCACCCTGAGTTCTGATCTTGATTATTTTCCAAGAGTTACATTAAACAATTACTAAAATTTTGTTTACATTCCCAGGTTTTACCTAATATCCTAAGAATGGAGCCAACAAATTATGAACAAAGTAATAAACTTATCACAAAATACCTTGCTTGCAGAAATACACTGTGAGAAAAAACATCCTAGTGGGCTTCATATGACAGCTTACAGCAATCAGTTCTCAGCTATAAACCAATGCTACAATCAATGCAGATAGAATACCTACTGTGCTAGGTATCAGTGACGGGCAGAATAATTACAGGAGCCACAGACCCATGGAGAAGCCATGGTCACACAGAGAGATGGGTACATGGTATAATGAAAGTGTGTATTGGAGGTCTGACCTACTTCCTTGAAGTAGTTTATATTATATAGTATAGTATAGATTGATTGAATTACCTGTAGCTTGCAGAAACAGTAGCATGATAGATATACATTTTATGTATATATTTAAGTGTATGTGTGTATGTGTATGTATGTATGTGTGTTTTTCTGTGTGTGTGTGTGTGTGTGTGTGTGTGTGTGTATGTTCAGGTGTATTTCTGAAGGGCTGAAAACATTTTCCTAAGCAAGGATAGCTATGAGCTTTGCAGAAAACAAACAAACAAAAAAACAATGTAATGACTTCTTTAGGACCCTTGGATCATTAGAAGGTAGCCAGAGAGAGAAATGTTAGCCTTTTATTGATAAATTCTCGTGCTAATGTAGTATTCACAAACTTCCTTGTTTCTGATATGGATTGAAAAAGTACATTAAAATAATCAGTAATTGCTGCACATATAAAACTTGTGCCAAATACTTCTTACAAGTATCTGGTTTCTTCATCTCTATGAAGTAAGTAAGTTTATTATGCTACTGTTGCAGATAAAAGAACAAGACTTGGGAAGTTTTAACTATTTGCCTTAAGCCAGGCAGCTAGTGTCAGATCCAGTACCTGAACCCAGTCTGTAAGACCCCTCTCTGTGTTCTTAACTGTGATTCTATTCTTCTTGTCCCGGAAACTATTTTCTTTAGATATTAGAAAAGATATCCACTCTACATACGACAGCATTCACTGAAATCATAAAGGAAAGAGGCAAAAATATTTGCTTTTAAACCTAACAAGATTCTATTTTCCACAAAAATCCTGAAGTTTATCCCAATGTTAAAAATTGAAAAATAGCCAGAAAAAGCTTTCCTTATAAGATTTGGCTTCAAGTCTTTAATAAAAGAAACTTCCATTTATTTAAATACATCTGTAAGTGTATAAAATATATTTGAAAGGAAATGTTCTACGTAGAAGAGGTAAAAGCAATACAAGTCAGGTCTAAATTTCTAAGGAAAGAAGCTCTGACCTCAGCTTTGAGCTTTGTCCTTTTTACAGCCTATATCCAGGCTGGAAAAATGGAAGAATGGAGGTTGTCATAGGTCTCTGAGGCATACAAGAGAAAAAAGCAGAGAAGAACGATGTTTTCCTTCAAATACAGGAGCTCTTGATATGCAGGCAGTGCCTTTCATTTGATATTTGCTGGAATCTTTCACAAATATAATCTCATCAATCCTCATAATAACCTTTGGAGGAGAAGAAATCTCAGTATATACTTAATGTCTTGCTTTGACGACTATAGCATATTGAGCAAGTGAGCTCAGAGGGATGGGTGATTAAAGAGAGACTGAGTATAATAGACATGTAGCAATGGATCCGGCCTTATTCTCCACTGCTGTTCACAGCCTCTCCAATAGGCACAGCTGTTTCTCAACAGCTGCCTGTCTTCTTCCCTCTCCTTCGGAGCCCAGCTGAGCATCACTGAAGGTTCAAGCACTGAGCAAAAGAATAAGGTCTGCTTTGATGAAGTCAATAGGAATTTATTTTGGCACTTTGTATTTTGTGTTTTTAAGGACCAGCTATGCATCCTATGTCCAAATGGTCTTTAAAACATAATAGTGACTAGGAGAGCATTCTAGCTTAGCAACAATTGGTTAGAGCAATAAATACAAATAATAGCTGAGGGTTTTGAATATCTAATAAAAAAATCCAATAGTCAACTCCCATCAATGACAAAACTGACGTGTAAGTCTTTAAAATATTTTAAAAATGATTCCAAAAATGAATTACCTTTTAATCCTAGAGTGATCATATTAGCAAGATGGGGCAGCTGCTTTGCAGGGACCGGGATATGTATCTCTTTATGTGGCAGTTCTATAGGCAAGTACTCACTGTTTTCTTCATGAAACAATACACACACCCATGGAATAAAAGCATCTCAGCATCATGATCACATAAAATTTATGAAAATTATATTTGGTGTTTCTGAAGCCCAAGTGGGTAGGCTGGCGGAGAGGCATTTGTGATTCAGGAAACACAGATACTGCCAGGTAAAGTTGTACGGATGGCCCCCCAACATGGTGTATTTGGAACCTGGGATCAGACAATCTGATTCAAAATCCTATCACCAACACTTATAAGATATTTCACCTTGCATGAGTTATTTTAACTCTCCAAATCTCAGTTTTCTTATCCATAAAATGGAAATAATACTTCAAAGTATTGTAATACAGTTCAACAGAGAAAATGCATTGCTTAGCACAGTGACTGGCAAGTATTAAGTGCTCAATAGGTGTTAGTTATTATGGCTACATATTCACATTTAGGTTTCTTTAGAAATAGTTTTCCTAGGAGATTTCTATTTGTTATATAAAATAAAACTTTTTTTCAATATGTATTCTCACAAAAAAGAATATATATAAATGTATGTGTGTATATATATGTGTGTATATATATATACACACATATATATGTCAGAACTACAAGTAGGTTTATTAAAAAGTTAGACACAGTAATTTAAAGAGATACAGGATCGCTAGTCAGTAATTGTGAATTATCCGCTTTTGATATTCAGACTTCTCTGATAAGTTCAAATTTCCATTTACTAGTATAGAACACCTGCTTGTATACAACATATTATATGCATTGAGAAATAACTTTCAAACTCTTCTTCCTCGTTAGCTTGCTGAAATAAATGTACTGCCCTGAATAGTGGAGAATATTAATTCTGCATAAAACATATATGGATATTAGCGGTCCAACGTCTCCATAAGGAAAAGGTCCTATATTTATTCTATCAGCCTCCTTTAAAATGCCCATCCTTAGGTTCACAGAGACCAGGCAATTGAAAAATAAATTCCTGTTTGGGCTTCTGCCACACTCTAGTCATGTTATGGTATCCAGGTACTTCAAATTAAAAGGAGAAGGGACTGTCTATATACATTACTACCGTAAACATGGTTAAAATTAAAACAAATTCCAGAATCACTGAGGGTGTGGGGAGTGGGTAGAACTTTAAAGATATTGTGAAGCAGGCCTCATACTTCTTCTGGCCACATGTGGGCACCATTTATGCCTCTTCCAACTATACTTGTCACTCTCTTTCGTAGTTTACAATCTTTTTTTTTTTAAATTTTTTTTCTTAAATTTTATTTTATTATTATTATACTTTAAGTTTTAGGGTACATGTGCACAATGTGCAGGTTAGTTACATATGTATACATGTGCCATGCTGGTGTGCTGCACCCATTAACTCGTCATTTAGCATTAGGTATATCTCCTAATGCTATCCCTCCCCCCTCCCCGCATCCCACAACAGTCCCCAGAGTGTGAAGTTCCCCTTCCTGTGTCCATGTGTTCTCATTGTTCAATTCCCACCTATGAGTGAGAATATGCGGTGTTTGGTTTTTTGTTCTTGCGATAGTTTACTGAGAATGATGATTAAAGATTTTAAACATTGGAAAGTTTAAAGTCTTTTAACTCCAATGAAAGACCTTTGACTACCCCTTACTCCCAAAAGTTTACATTTAAATTTTAGGAGTAATGTAGCATTATTAAAATGATGTCCTTTTTTAATAATAAGAGAAAATTTCAAGAAAAGTAAAACCCTATGTGTATGTATCTTAACATATTTTTTTTCTTTAGAGAACATATGAAGTGTGCATGTAGGAATATTTAAAAAAATATTAATCTCAAGGAAATGCTGTTAAATTATTTGCCTGAAATTATCTGTTAGGTCATTGATACACAAACATTTACTACTATTTTACTGTATAAGACGCAGGATACCAAAATGGGAAAAAAAAAGGTTTCTTTTCTTTATGGCCTTATAAACTAATTACAAAAAAAAGTATATTCTCAGATAATTATAATGTGGCATAGAATGTGATAAGACCGCAAAAGTGGTAGAAACTGAGGGCTGTGGATTTTGGAGAAAAAAAAAAAAAAGAAAGAAAAAAGATTCAGTTTTAGCTGGGAGGACAGGGTGTCCTGAAGTGAAGGTATGCAATAAGAAAGAGGACAGACAAAGTTCATGGACAAGGCTGCATCTTAGTTAGATGCTTATAGCTCTCAAAAAATAATTGAGGAAGGGCATTCCAGGTAGAGGAAAATATATATGCAAGCGCATAGAAGTACAATGGCACAGGGTAAATTGACACAGTGGAGAGTAGTCAGGTTAAGGCAAGGCTTGGACCAGAAAGGCAATAGATAAGTATAGTTTCAAAGAAGACATGGATCCCTATTCCTATGGATTTGAGTATGCAGAATGAGGGAAGGGTCAAAGATAACCGAGATTTTAAGCCTTGATAGCTAAGAAGTTGGTAATTCCCTTAAAAAGGAAAATTAGGTCAAGAGGAAACAGTACTTTTTGAAAACATGATAAATTCTGGTACATCATTGAATTTGAGGTACTGGGATAGCAACAGAAATTATCACCAGAAATATGAATGAATTACATTGGCCTATATGAAACTCAGGTGGCACTAGCCTTACTTGATCTCACACCATTGACACAGCCCTTTCTTCCATGGAGATGGCACAGCAAGCACTATTACTTCATTTCCCTAAGGCACTCAGAGCTTCTTTGCTTTTTGCATTTTATTATACATATGAAATTGATTTACCTTTATCTAACTAGATGCTAAGCAATCCGAGGTCAAGATTTACAAATATTTTGTCTTTATATTTTCATAGTGCCTACATAATGTCTTATGTGTGTAACAGCCACTTGAAAAATAAGAGTTTGAATGAATGGGAAAGGAAAAAAGTTATCCCATAAAACCTAAATAAAAATGAACAGAAAGGCATTGGGTACTTTCAAACAGGAATATTTTTAGTAGAATGAATACAACTGCATAAGCTGTAGTAATTAAAGTATATAATATATGACTAGAGACCCATCTCTTTGAATTTTATATTGCTTTATTGTATTATCACTATATCTCAGTTCATTTAAAAATATTCTGAGCACTAGAACATTCTAAAAAGGATTCTTTTTCTTAAATTTTAAGCCCAAGATTATAAAAAGGTGTTTGACTTTTTCCTATAAAGCAAGGAGAATAATGAGTTGGATGTACCCCTCTCTAAGCCTGAAACATTTTAAGCGCATTTAAGGTAGGTGGACCGCAATGGCCCTTCTCTGTTCTTGGAAAAAAAGTAATAGTGGTTTTAAAAAACAAACAGAAATAGCTCCGTAAATGGGTGTGACTCTAGAGTCTGAAAGCCCTCTATTCCACTTAATCCTGACAGCATTCCAGTAAGAGAGGAATTTTTATTTCATCTACAGATGACAGAACTAAATACAGCTCAGGAACAAGGGGTAACTTGTCTGAAGTCATGTGGCAATTAAGTTAAAAGCTTAATTATTACTATCATTAATGTATTTGTTTATATAACTCCAACTGTTTACTCTCAAAAATCAACTTTCCTCTTTATTGAGTATAAAAGCAAGGTTTCCAATTGCATTCAACAAGTATTGAATCCTAAATATGTAATTTTTTCTGTCAGTATTGAACATTATGTCAATGTAAAAACTGAAGGAATGAACAGTCTTATAATCTTTAATAAATTATTTCTTCTCTCAAGAGCATTTTGTGTAGAAAACTGTCCCCTATTTTCAGAACCAATGAATAAAAGTATTCCAAATATTTCCCATGTTAAATAGTTGGATCTTTCATAAGTAGACATTGTGGAAGTCATGTAGAAATTCCACATTGTATCAGTATTTTAATTTCAGCAGTTCCTAAATATTAAGAGAGCACATTTGGTTATATCAAATTCATCCTCTCATTTCCTATGTTTTAACGGTTTTATTCTACTCTGTTACCTTATCTTTTAGGAATGTGTGCCATATCTTCTAGTGTGGTACACTATTAAAAAAAGTTGTATGGCCAGGCACTGTGGCTCATGCCTGTAATCCCAGCACATTGGGAGGCTGAGGCGGGTGGATCACTTGAGGCTGGGAGATTGAGACCAGCCTGGCCAACGTGGTGAAACTCCATCTGTACTAAAAATACAAAAATTAGCTAGGCGTCATGGCGTGCAACTGTAGTCCCAGCTACTCAAGAGCCTGAGGCACAGGAATCACTTGAACCTGGAAGGAGGAGGTTGTAGTGAGCTGAGTTCGTGCTACTGCACTCCAGCCTGGGTGACAGAGCGAGACTCTGTCTCAAAAAAAAACAAAAAACAAAAAAATAACTTGTATTCTAGCTGAAAGATAATTGTTAAATCTTCCAACGTGATATGATTTCACTAGGACACAGAAAAGAAAAGAAAAAGTCAGGTAAACAAAGATAGTCTGATGCCCACTTGGAAGAATATCGCTCTTTACATACTAGTTCTATGAACTTGTGGTTGTCACTTCAAACTCTGTATCTCACCTCTCAAGTCTGTGACACAGGATGATGTTTCTACCATGCCTGTCACTAAAGTCTGTTATGAAAATCAGATAAGAAATAAACATAAGTATGCACTGCAAACTATATACAATAGATTAATACGACAATGTAAGATTCAGTTGATTTCAATAAAGTTTAGCCAATGATGACATTTTTATTTTTGAAAATTTATTTTTGGCTAGGTGCAGGGGCTCATGCCTGTAATCCCAGCACTTTGAGGACCCTATGTATTATTTTTCAAAGTGACCATACTAATTTACAATCCCACCAGCAGTATACAATGGTTCCCTTTTCTCCACATCCTCACTAACATTTGTTATCTTTCTCTTTTTGATCCAGCTGGGGCGGGTGTTCAAGACCAGCCTGGCCAACATGGTGAAACCCCATCTCTACTAAAAATACCAAAACTAGTCAGGCGTGGTAGCATATGCCTGTAATCCCAGCCACTCAGGAGACTGAGGCAGGAGAATCGCTTGAACCCGGGAGGCAGAGGTTGCAGTGAGCTAAGATCATGCCATTGCACTCCAGCCTGAGTGACAGAGTGAAACTCTGTCTTAAAAAAAAAAAAAGTTTATTTTTAATTGAACAAAAATGTGTATATTTATGGGGTATAATATGACATTTTGATCTATGTATACATTGTAAAAAGACTGAATCAAGCTAATTAACATATACATCATCCAATCAACTTATTTTTTTTGCATGAGTACATTAAAATCTACTCTTTTAGCAATTCTGAATGTACAACACACTACTAACAACAGTGGTCACATGGAAGTGCAATAGATCACTAAAAGTTATTCCTCTAGTCTAACTGAACTGAATTGTTCCCTTTGATCAACATCTTCCCTTTTCCTATCCTGCTCTTCTCCCAGCCTCTGGTAGCCACCTTTCTACTTACACTGTTTCTGGGAGACTGACATTTTCAGATTCCATATATAAGTGAGATCATGAAGTGTTTGTCTTTCTGTGCCTGACTTATTTCACTTAGCATAATGTCCACCAGTTCAACTCATGTTGTCATGAATGGCAGAATTTCCTTCTTTTTAAAGGCTGTGCAGTATTCAATGTTTACAGATTGGAAGAATTATTATTGTTACTATGTCCACACCACCCAAAGCAAGCTACAATTTCAATGCATTCTTATCAAAATTCCAGTGCCATTTTTTCATATAAATAGGAAAAAATCCTAAAGTTTGCATGGAACCACAAATGACCCCAAATAGCCAAAGCAATCTTGAGCAAAAATAACAAAGCTGGAGGCATCATACCATACTTCCTGACTTAAATATATTATAAACTATTGTAATCAAAACAGCATGGTACTGGCATAAAAACAGACACACTGACCAACGGAAGAGGATAGAAAGCCCAGAAACAAACCCAAGTATTTACTATCAATAGATTTTCAAGAAGGATGCCAAGAACACACATGGGGAAAGGACAGTCTCCTCAATAAATGATGCTGGGAAAACTGGATATCCACATGCCGAAGAATGACATTAGAATAAAAGTAAAATATTTTCTCACATCACACAAAAATCAACTCAAAATGAATTAAAGATTTAAATGTAAGACCTGAAACTGTAAAGCTATAAGGAGAAAGCACAGGGGAAAATCTCCAAAACATTGCTCTTGGCAATGATTTCTTGGGTAGATTGCATGAAACTAAAAAGCTTCTGCATAGCAAAGAAAACAACAATGTGATGAGACAACCATGGATTGGGAGAAAATATTTGCAAACCATATGTCTGATAAGGGGTTAATATAAAAAATACATAAGGAACTCAAAAAAACTCAATACTATGAAAACAAATAACCTTAATTAAAAATGGGCAAAGGATCTAAACAGACATTTCTCAAAAAAAGAGACATGAATGGCTAACAGATACATGAAACAATGCTCAACATTTCTAATTATCAAGGAAATGTAAATGAAAACCACAATGAGATATCCTCTCACACCTACTAGAATGGCTACTATCAAAAAGAGAAAGGTAACCAATGTTAGTAAGAATGTGGAGAAAAGGGAACCTGGGATTGTAAATTAGTACAGTCACTTTGAAAAATAATACAAAGGGTCCTCAAAATCTAAAAACATAATTATTATATGAATTAGCAGTCCCACTTCTGAGTATATATCCAAAATAATTGAAATTTTTATGTCAGAGAGCTATCTGAACTTCCATGTTCATTTCAGCATTATTCACAATAGCCAATATATGTAAGAAATCTAACTGTCCATCAAGGGGTAAATAGATAAAGAGAATGTGATATGTGTATACAAACACACACACACACACACACACACACACACACACACAATGAACTACTATAATGTCATCTTTTTACTCAGCTATATTTTGCGCAGTTTTATGAGGCAAAATAAACTGTTTTGTTTTCTCCCACAGATATGAGTCTTTTCACTCATTTATTTAAACTGTCCAAACTGTTCAGAGGATGGACCCAACTCTTCTTTTGACAGAATACAAATGTCAGGTTTGAAAATTTATTTTGCATGTGAAACCTTCATTTTCATGCAAACATATAAACGTAAAAGTCCAGGCAACCAAGAACTAATTAATATTTTAGGTGACAAATGTTCTCTCTTATACATGGTTATAAAACTGTGCATTTACTAATTTCAAAGTTAGCTACAAAACAATAAATGTGCTTATGAAGCTCTCTGTAGCTCAGCAGCCTTATTATAGAGAGAGTGTTGGGTTCCTTTATTGCCAGTGTTGGGCACTAGATTGGATACCACACTGCTAAACTGATATAATCTCGAAAAAACATCTCTATCTATTACTATCCGTCTCTCTGTCTATCTATCTAATCTATCTAAATGGCATAGACTTATATAGATAAATGAACACAGGAACCTATATAGTTTTATCTATGAAAGCTACAAACCCTTCTCTCTACAAATAAAAAGGAACATAAAAATGACTTCCAATCTTTCTGAAGCATCAATAAAACAAATCTGAGTCTTAAAGCAGTCAAAATATCACTGTTCTTACTGTGTTTATTCCTAGTGAGTTTTATTTTGGCTGCTGAAAACAGCTTTAACATTATTAAGATTCATCTTACTTTTATTAACACTTCAACAGTACTGAATATCTGTATATTTTATCAAAGTAGTAAAAGTTGAATTTATTTTTATATGACTGTAATAAATAAATGAGGAATAGGGCCTTTAGCCAAATAATTGAGTATTAACCTTAAAATTATTTCCAGTTTCAACATCCGATAAAACCAATCGCATTTAACCATTTCAATATTTCAATACTGCATTATGATTTCTATAGTTAATTGAACATTTGTACTTAAGAAGATATTTCATTTCATGATTTTCTGACACCAAAATCCACATAAAACTTACTGTGATGTACCAGGGAAAGCTGGACGTGGTGGATTCATTTATCCAAGCTCTTTGCCTTTCAATCACTGTGTCCTAATCTTAGCTTGTTTTGGTCTGAAAACCAGATATCCCAGCATTCACTAGCAATCAAATATAATCAATTCTGGGAAAAACTCAAATTGCTTGATTCAGTATAATGTCTATCATTTCTTTTAACATTTTATGACAATGAATACATAACAGTAATCCAAATGAAATAATACAAACTTATTTAGAATTTTCATGAAGAGAAGTATTTTCATAGGTAGTACTCCTATCAGTTAATAGTAAGGGTAAATATGTTTCTGAAGTTCTAAAGAATGGACTGTGTTTGTAAAACAGCTATAAGATCTGATTTTTCATTATGTCTATTGTTGGTATGTTTTTCTTAGATATGTGATCTTTTCTGTGTTTCTAATTCTATAATCATCAAAGAAATAGAAATATATGCCTATATCTTATAAGTTTCGTTAAAAATGTTATTTAAGATAAATGTCAATATTAAATGCAAATGCTACAGTAGAAATGGTAATAAAGTACCTCCTAGTGAGATATGAAAATTATCAAATGTACTTAATCATTTAATTTATGACAGAGGAATTCTCTAAAATCTTAATTTAGAAGAGAAAGAATTGGTAAGAAGAAGGAGAAACATAAAGGTAAGAGAAATATCTTTTGTTTTCCATGTTATCAGAGATTTCTACCTATTAGATGAATCTAGAGCACAGTCTGGAATATGCTATGTTTCCTAGAAGTTCAATCCAATAAAAATAGCGATAGTGAAGATTCAAATCATATATGATATAATATGTAAATAAAGCCATAAGATTATGCAAATGTTAAGTAGCTAAGACAGCAAAGATTTGTATGTATACATTTACCAAATAGGCCATGGCATGTCAAAAAAATAATTATGTGAGAAAATTGTTCCATGTAAGTTATTTTTATTTATTTTAAAAATATATATATTTTAAAACAGAGATGGGGTCTCACTATATTGCTCAGGCTGGTCTTGAACTCGTGGGCTCAAGTGATCCTCCACCTCATCCTCCCAAAATGTTGGGATTACAGGCATGAATCACCATGCCTGGCCATATACTCTTCTTCTATCTTGGTTTATTTAAGTTCATAAGATTGGAATGTATGTTTCATTTCTGCTCATTTTATTGGTCATAGATCAATATTCACAGTAATTTTCTGTTTACATAGTCTTATAGCTTCAAATGCATTTACATCCCATGTCCAAGAAGATGACCGACCACAGGCTAAGTATGATGACCACAGAGGCTATGATGACAGGCCTGAACTTGCACTGTTTTGCCTCTTCAGTAACATTCTCCATCCAAGGAGTTAAGTAGTGCTTATGTTTTCAACCTCAGCTAATGGGATTTACAGGTAATTGAACCCTGGGTAACCTATTAGAAAATATGGATTTTCTATGACAAGATGTTTACAAACACAATGAAATACATATATATTTTGAGTACTCCACCCATTTATTCATTCATGCACAAAACAATTTTTGAGTTCTAGACTGGCAATAGACTCTGCTACAAGACTTTGTAGATGCCAGAAGGAGCAAAACCAAATCCCTTTCCTTGACAAATTTGCTTTCTAGTGGTTATTGAACTACCTATATAAATGTGTGAAAGTGAAAGATCAGCTCTTCGAGCCAGAACCTGACAGTGGCAGGCTGTAAATAAGTTGACTGCAGGCATCATGTACCAGCATGATTGATGAAAGCTTTTAGAAAATGTCTTTACAGACTCATACCATTTAAAATGGTGTTTTTCATAAGGAATTGCTATACGGTACTTATTCCTATGAACTTGCTTCATATTTTCTACCACACTTTTGTGCTTGGGCATGCATTTGCTCTGTGGCAACCCTCCCAATACACACTCAGGATGTTAAGTGAATTCCCCACAAAGGTTTCTGTACTAGGAAAGGGAGTAGACATTTTGTTGTATAGTTTTTGTTGTTGTTGTTGTTCTTAGAGGAGTAGTATTTTTCTTACAGTGTTTTCTTGGTGACTACTGACAAACAGGAAATCAGCACAACTGAAGACAGCCCACCCTGTGAGCACGTGGACCATCATGTACAGTCAGAGGCATCAATTCAATGCAGCAGAGGGATGCTTTGGTAATTATGAAATCCTCTGAAACTGAAATGGGCAATTAGTGGATATTCCATCTTATTTTTTAATTTTCATGGGAAACTCAAGTGTATTCAGCTCTTTCACTTGCAATTATAGAGCTAATTAACAGAAATTGGTGGTGCTCTGTGTATGATAATGACACTTAGTTGTTGGCTGGAAAACCAATAAAGAATTACAAATGAAATTAAATTCAATATTGAAACAGGCCACATTGAAGAAGGGGTGAGAAGAGGTGATGGCAACTTAAACATTAGATAGTTACATGTAATACATATTTACAGCTGCCTGGACATTTATGAGTCCAGTACCCATTTATTCACTGGGAAAGTTATTTATAGACCAACAAACATTAAACTTTCATAGACCTAAACTATGGCTTGGATTTATTTTTGTAAAAAGTTCTACATTTATTTTGGGGAACCTATGTAACATTAAATCATTCAACAATGCTTTATTGTGATAGATGTGTGGAACCCAGAGACGAATAAAATATATAGTTGATGTCTTTGATATCACAATCATGTAAACACAAAAGCAGATATACAAACATACATAATCACTCATATTCTCAAACTCTACCCTAAACATTCCTTTCACCTTCTTGTTCTAACCTATTCTCATCTTACTGCTCTAACCTCTTTATTCTGAGTGTACTGCTTTCCCTGGACCTTCTCTAGGAGTGGCTGTTTTCTCTTATAAAAGTCCAATACCATAGAGTACAGAGGTGGCACAGGTACCTTTACTGCTTTAACTCTGCTAAACAAACATTCCTACCACTAAAAAGTCTGTTTTATATAAATACTCTAGAATCATGCTTTCATTACACAGCTGTTTGAGAAGTTGGGAGAGTAAACAAAATTTCATTACTTCAAAGAGGCATTCAATTAGAAAATATTTGAGTGCACACATGGTGTACAAACTCTTCAACTAAGTTTGTAAAGGATATGACAATTTTCAAATATTTCAAACCATGTTACATAACAGAACTATGGTGACACATCTAATGAAAATATAAAATGCTGACAAATCCATAGAGAAACACACAGGATATAAAATGATTGTAGTACATACAAGGAAGAGAACTATTTGGTCAGTGGAATTAGAGAGGGCTTCAGGAAGAGAGCTATTTCACTGTTATTGGAAAGTCCTAATTGTGAGTTTCAGCAAACTAAGATGTGAAAACTTTAGTAAGGATTATTTCCCACCCAAAGTCACCACAGATTTTTTAGTAAAACTGTGTTATATAAATATACTTGAAGAAAATAAAAATGAAATGCAGACAGGAGAAGAAACTGAGGTGCTAGTTCACAAAATTCTAAAGCACTATTATGAAACACATTTCTTACATTAGCAGATCACTGAAAAGGAATCTAGCATCCTGGCCTTGCTGGCAGTAGCCCAGGCATGAGATAAAACAGCACTCTTGCTGAAATAGCCACCATAAGCCTATGACAGACCCCGGATCCTGAAGAGTGTTGAGAAGCATCCGACAGTGAGGCTTGCTTTTGTGTTCCCTGGCTGGTCCTGCAGCTTACGCCTTTTCCTGGCCTAAATACTCAGAGTAGATGACTCCTTATTTTCTCCATGGAAAAGTTACATTACATAATGAAGTCACCTAATGTCAAAGTGCTATGCAAGTTATGAATAAGTAATAACAATAGAGATAGGACCAAGTAAAGCTTTACTAACCTAAGGACTGGGTGGAATTCTTGAGATTGCTTAAGGATGCTATGCTTAATTTTTTCTCAAATCCTCTTGGAGTATTCAAGTCCTACTACACTATACACCCCAGTTTCATTTTGTTTGGAGAATGGAACAATATAAATATAATTGGACTTACAGCTAGAGGCCCTAAGTTCAAATTCCATCCTGCTACTAATTAATCGTGAGCCTCCGGAAGAGTCACTTAACTTTTATGCTCCTTAGTTCTCATAGTATTCAAAAGGAGGGAGGTTTTCTCAGTGGCCTCTCTGGATTCATCATGCGGTATTATTTTGAGGGCAGCAAAATATTATCCCCAGAGTGTTCTGAAATAATACCCAGCATAGTTGTGTGCAAAATCAATAATAATAGATGATTTTGGTCAGGAATTCAATAATCCTCTAGAATATGACAAATGAAAGAGATACATGAACAGGAGTATTGAAAAGGAAGTAATGAGTAGCAGAAACCTCTGTCACAAACAGTAGAAAATGCTGGTTTGAAGAAGCATGGAGAAATGAGGGCAAAGATTCATGGCTTTTTGTGTTGATGTAGTCTCAGAAGAAGGTGTGTTCCAAGTTTTGGATTATTTTCCATGGTAGAAGCCAAAATGTGTTTGGGAATAAAGAGTTAATGACCTGAAAGCAGGCTGGGGAGATCTTAATGTAATATAAAGCAGTATGAACAAGGACATTGTTCAGAATTTAAAAACTTGTAGGCCCTGAACCAATACGACAGGGGAGGAGACTGTGTGAACCAGACATTTCAGTTTAGTAAACTGGAGTCTCACCAAACTGGAAAAGTCGATGAATGGCTGTGATTAAACAATGATGTCAGACAATAAATTTAGGAGCATATTCACAAATTGGATCATTGTCAGACTAGAAATACAACTTTGTCTGAACCTTTTAAACTGGTGACACAGTAGTGCTATCTTAGATATTTTACACTTAACCAGCTTTTCTTGAGCTGTAAAGTTGATCACTAAGGTTCTCAGGGACAGTCTTTGGTAGTCTGTGATCTTCACCAGTTTCTCAGATTCACCCAAGAACAAGAAGCTACCCCAGAGAATAGAAAGGGTCACATAGAGGATGGGCCCTAGTGTACTCCATACAATTCCGAGAAGCAACCTCATTTTCTATGAAGTATCCTAAAATCCCCATAATCAGAAATTCTAAGGAAAGGAGCAGACGAAGGGCCAATGGCCTACATGAGTCGTTTTTTGTTTTGTTTTGTTTTTAATTTGTACTAAACAGAGGCCAAGGGCTACCACTAAATCTTCAATAAATATTCAGACATTGTTAAGAGAGAATTTTTCAAGCTGGTTCTAAATGTCAAAGTTGCTATTACCTAGCAAAGGTGTTCTTCTTATTTTAAAGTGGATTTATTCTTTCAAAATAATGAACACTAAGTTCATATTTTACAGGCAAAATTGAAACAACCACCATAAAAAAACACTTTAAAATAAATTTAACTGTTCTGAGGCTTTGGCATCTGTTGGCTCCGTAGTAGCAAAATAAAGGACTTCTTCCAGATGAATGAGTTACAGAAACCAAGTTCTATTCACAGCCTATGCAGGAAATCAATGACACAGGGTAATGAAAAAGAAGAGAAAGAAACTACTTTTGCAAACTGATGTGTGCAAAGTAGAAACTATACATGGGTTCCTGACTGTTCACAATAAAAGTATTCCCCCTAGGCAGCTCCTCAGAGAGGCATGTCCTTAAATCTAATACAAAGGCAGCTCTAGAAAAAGGAAAAGCAAATCATATTTCATGCGCAGCACGATTATTTGGTAACCTATCCAGACTTTCTCTTTTCTCATGGTGAATGACTTTGTTTGGACTTAACTTTCTAGACCCTGCAAATCACTTGGAAGAATTCTGGGAGCAGCCCTTGCTCTTGAGAATTCTCTGAGATTTGGCTCCAGATAAAGAGTCAGGCATATGCAGATTTAAACATGGTATACTCATTATGTAAAATGTGAAGTCAATGAACAGCAGACAAGACTTTCAACTGTTTCCCAAATTGAGCAAAATTATTTGAACTGTTTTTGAAATTCTTAACATGCGCCATAGAAGTAGGTTTGTTTCTGAAACTTGCCTAGAGCAAGTAAAAGTCATTTCAAAACCACCTTCCTTAACCGAACACAAAAAGGATGGGCAGTGAAGAATTAAAGCAATACATAGAACTATCTCTAGTCCTTCCTTAGCCACTGTATAATTGTGTAAAAACTCCTTAACTTCTGTCAGCTTCAATTTTTCCGTGTAAAATGGACCTTATATCTACATGACAGGACTCCTGTGGGGACAGGAGAGAATATGTGCAAAACATCTGGTGCATTTTGGATATAGAGTATGTACCTAAAATAATCACTAATAATATATTAGTTGGGAATGTCTATCATCTTATGGGCTACTGATGAAAACATTTTAAAACATAAGATTGTCTCCAGCCCAAATAGCAAGTCAGTTGTCCCTGAGTCTTCCTTAGTATATCTGCAAAGCCTCCTGTGACTACTTTTTTTATTAGAGTCTGAATAGGAAGGCAAACTTAGTCCATATGAGTAATTCCTCCTAAATCATCTTCAAAAAAATTACCATTAAAAATCACCCTCATCAGTATAATCTTCACTAATTATCATGCTATGGTTTGAATGTGTTCCTTCCAAAATCCAGATGTTGCCAATGTGATAGTATTAAGAAATGGGGCCTTCTAGGGGTGATTAGGCCATGAGGGCTTCTCTCCATGTGAATGAGATTAAGACCCAGATAAAAGAGGCTCCACACAGCATTGGGCTAGCTTGCTTTCTTGCCCTTCCATCTTCTGCCAGGTGAGGATGCTGCAAGAAGGCCCTCACCAGACACCAAATACTGGCACCTGGATCTTCGACTTATCAACCTCCAGAACTGTGAGAAATAAATTTCTATTGTTTATAAATTATCCAGTCTGTGGTATTCGGTTGTGGTAGCACAAATGCACTAAGACGTAACAGAACTCCTGGGAGATGAAAATACTAAATTTATAAAAAGAGAGTACATTCTCTTCAATTATTTAATGACAACAATAACGAAGAAAGGTTCTCAAGAGGAATGAAGATGGAAATTTAGGGAAAAAGCAAGAAGAGAGATATAAAACTATGACACAAATATATATCTGAGATGTCACAACAACGAAAAATCAGATGAAGAACATTCTAGTACAGTGACAGTTTCACTACTGAAATGCATCCAATTTTGTGAACCTTTATGACAATCAGTGTAGAACTATAAATGAAAGTTGGGCTCCAAAAGTTGAAGACAAAAGGCTTATTTGTTTATGCTGAGAGTCCTTTATTTTTTTCTTCATTTTCAGCTACTCTCCCCACCCCCAAAATCAAATACCTGATTGAGATTCAGGCGAGTAGACATATATTCACAAAATTATTGCTTAGATTACATGCATACAATAAAAAACTGTAAAGTTTATCTTCAGTTTTAAAATGGTAAGAAAATAAATTTAAAAATCAAAAAATAGACATAGCCATTTAATATAGAAGACCAAATTCTACTGCTGAATCTTAACAGATATTAAAATGCAAGAAAGAAAAGAATGCTAAAAGAAGCCACACTCAACAAAATCCAGGAGCTATTTATTATCCACCAAATGCAAATTTCCTTTTAAATGGAAGTCTGTTTTTCATTTGGGCACTGAATCCCATGTGTAAAAAAAATCTATATTTTTTTGAACATGCTTTAAAAAATTGTGAGTTAATATATAACTTAAAATATGCTCGATATTTATTTCAGTCTGATATATAAATAGCTTGAATAAGTTATTTACTAAAAAAAAACTTCATAAACTCTGGCAAATATGCAAATTAATAGAACAAATATAGTTTGTATTAGCCTCTGGACCTAATGTTGAAAAATTAGGTCTCTTGTTTATAGAAACATGAATTTCCTCTGAAATTACTTTAATTTCACTGCATTTAAAAAAATTATTACATAGGTATGCACATGTACCTTAGAACTTAAAGTACGAAAACAAGTTCAGTCAAAAAAAATTATCATATTTTATATTCAGGGGGTACATGTGCTTGCTTGTTACATGCGTATATTGCGTACTGATAGAGATTAGGCTTCTAGAGTACCCATTACCCAAATAGTGAACATTTTATCTGACAGGCAATTTTTCAGCCCTCACCACCCTCTCAGCCTCTCCACTTTTGGAGTCCCCAGTATCCATTATTTCCATCTTTATGTCCATGTGTGCCCACTGTTTAGCTCCCATGTATAAGTGAAAATATTTTGTATTTGGTTTTCTGTTTCTGGGTTAGTTCATTGAGGATAATGGCCTCCAACTCCATACATGTTGCTGCAAAGGGAATTATTTCACTCTTTATTAAAATGGCCATGTAATATTCCATGGTGTATATATACCACATTTTCGTTATCCAATCAACTGTTGATGGACACTTAGGTTGGTTCTATCACTTTGCTATTGTGAATAGGACAGCAATGAACATGAGTACAGTGGTCTTTTTGATAGAATGATTTCTTTTCCTTAGGGTAGATACCCAGTAGTGGCGGTTGCTGGGTTGTGCTATTTTTAGTTCTTTGATAAATCTTCATATTGTTTTCCATAGAGGCTGAACTAATTTACATTCTTACCAACAATGTCTAAGTGTTCTCTTTTCTCTGCATCCATGCCAATATCTGTTTTTTTTTTGACTTTTTAATAATAGCCATTTTGACTCATGTAAGATGCTATTTCATTGCGGTTTTAGTTTGCATTTCTCTGATGATCAGCAATGTTGAACATTGTCTCATGTGTTTTTTGTCTACTTGTACTTCTTCTTTGGAGGAATGACTCTTCATGTCCTTTGCCCAGCTTTCAGTGGGGTTGTCTTTTTCCTGTTGCATTGTCTGAGTTCCTTATAAATTCTGGACATTTGTCTTTTGTCACAGGTATAACTTGCAAATATTTTCTCCTATTCTACAGGTTTTCTGTTTATTCTGTTGATTATTTCTTTTGCTGTGCAGAAGCTTTTAGTTTAATTAAGCCCCATTTGTCTACTTTTGTTTTTGCTGTATTTGCTTTTAGGGTCTTCATCATAAATTCTTTGCCTAGGCCAATGTCGAAAAGAATTTTTTCCAGATTTTCTTCTGTGACTTTTATAGTTTCAGGTCTTATGTTTAAGTCTCTAATTCATATTGAGTTAATTTTTGTATATGCGAAGAGATAAAAGAGATTCCTCTGCATATTGCTGGCCTATTTTTCTAGCACCATTTATTGAATAAGGTGTCCTTTCCCCACTGTTTATTTTTGTCAACTTTGTCAAAGGTCAATTGGTTGTAAATATGTGGCTTTGTATCTGGGTTCTCCATTCTGATCCATTGATCAAAGTATCTATTTTTGTACCAGTATCATGCTATTTTAGTTGCTATGGCCTTGTAGTATAATTTGAAGTCAGGCAGTGTGGGATCTCCAGGTTTGTTCTTTTTGCTTAGGATTGCTTTGGCTATTCAGGGTCTTTTCTGGTTCCATATGAACTTTAGGAGTTTTTTATACTTCTATGAAAAATGATATTGAAATTTTAGAGGGATTTCACTGAGTCTATAGATTGCTTTAGGCAGTACGGTCATTTTGACGATATTGATTCATCTAATCCTTGAGCATGGGATGTCTTTCTTTTTGTTTGTGTTATCTATGATTTCTTTCATCAGTGTTTGTTGTTCTCCTTTTAGAGATCTGTCACCTCCTTGGTTAAATGTATTCCTAGGTGTTTATTTGTGTGTGTGTGTGTCTATTGTAAATGGGATTGAGTTCTTGATTTTGCTCTCAACTTGAATGTTATCAGTATATGGAAATGCTACTGATTTCTGCACACTGATTTTTGTATCCTGAAACTTTACTGAATGTGTTTATGAAGTCTAGGAGTCTTTTGGAGGAGTCTTTAGCTTCTCTAGGTGTATAATCATGTCACAAGCAAACAGATACTTTCACTTATTCTCTTTCAATTTGGAGGCCTTTTATTTCCTTCTCTTGCCTGACTGCTCTGGCTAGGACTTCCAGTCCTATGTTGAATGAAAGAGCTAAGAGTAGCTATCCTTGTCTCGTTCCAGTTCTTGGAAAAAAAGGCTTTCGACTTTTCCCCATGCAGTATGATAACTGTGGGTTTGTTGTATGTGGCCTTTGTTATCTAGGGGTATGCTCTGTCTATGCATAGTTTGTTGAGGGTTTTTATCATGAAGAAATGTTGGACTTTATCGAATGCCTTTTCTGCATCTATTGGAATGATCATATGGTTTTTGTTTGTACGGCTGTTTATGCAATGAATCACATTTATTGATTTGTGGATGTTGAACCATCCTTGCATCCTAGAATAAAACCCACTTGATTGTGGTACATTATCTTTTTGATGTGCTTTTGGATTCAGTTTGGTAGTATTTTCTTAAGGATTTGCATCTGTGTTATCAGGGATGTTGCCTTGTAGTTTTCTCTTTTTGTTGTGTTCTTGCCCGATTTTGGTAGCAGAGTAATACAGGTTTTCCAGAAGGAGTTAGGGAGGAATTCCTCCTCCTTGACTTTTTGGAATAGTTTCAGTAAGACCGGTACCAGTTTTTTTTTTGTACATCTTCACTTCATTTTTTAAAAGTGTGGCTCAGATTCTAGATGTTATTAATAAATATAGCTTTATGCATGGGATTTAAAGTTATAATTAACTATACTATTTTTATTATACCTTAAGATAGTCTTCTCTCATAAAGTTCATCTGGCATATATGTTCATTTTCTGATGTGAATAAAATTAATTTTATGTTGATAACTCTTTTGAAAAGTATATGATACCTTTTGAAACTTGGTAATGTACTGTGGTACAAGTGAGACAGAATAAGGAATTCCTAATTATAGGGTAGTTGTAGTCGGTTAAAACATGTCCACCCACCCCAAAGATATTTATTCATATCAAATCCCTGGAACTTGGGACTCTTATTTTATGGATAAAGGGTTTTTCAGATAGATAAAGAGTTTTTGCAGATGTAACCAAGTTAAGAATTTTGAGTTAAGATCATCCCAGAGTATGCAAGTTGGATCCTGTTTTAGTCAGGGTTCTCTAGTGAAATAGAACAATGGAAAAGATGGAAATAAGGAGGTAGATTGGGAGAGGGGGAGGGGGAAGGAGAGGGGGAAGAAAGAGAGAGAGGAAGAGCGAGAGAGAGAGAGAGAGAGGTAGAGAGAGAACAGAGAAAGACTGGTTTTAAGGAATTAGTTCCCACAACTCTAAGTGCTGGTCTGAAATCCACACGGCAGGCTGGCAGGCTTGAAATTCAGGTAAAAGTTGATGTTGCAGTCCTAAGTCTGACATTTATAGGTCAGGGTAGCAGACTGAAAACTCAGACAGGATTTTTATGTTACAGTCTTGAGACAAAATTCTTTTTTCTCCAAGAAACCTCAGCTGTTGCTCTTTAGGCCTCAGCTGATTGCATGAGGCCCATCCACATTTTACAGAAGATAATCTGCTTTCTCATAAATATTAATCACATCTTTAAGGTACCTTCACAAAACACATCTAGACAAGTGTCTGACCCAACAACTGAACACCATAGACAAGTTGACCCATACAAAAAATCAACCTTCATAGTCCCTAAATTCAAAGACAAGTGTCTCATAAAAAACACACAGAGAAGAAGGCCACTTGAAGATAAAGCAAAGGGAGGTGGACACAAGTCAAGGAATCTGGCAACAGCCAGAATGATGAAAACGCAAAGAATGAATTCTCCCCTGGAGCCACAGAGGTAGTACAGCCCTGCTGACACCTTGCTTTCAGACGTCTGGCCTCCAGAAGAATAAGAGAACATATTTCTGCTGTTTTAAGGCACCCAGTTTGTGGTAATATGACAGCCACAGAAAACTGATAGCTGAAAATAGAAAATTAATATGTTCCTTATACTTTTAACCAATCAATCTAAATATTTCCTCTTTTTTCTTTTTGAGACGAAGTTTCACTCTTTTAGTCCAGGCTGGAGTACAATGGTGCAATCTTGGCACACTGCAACTTCCACCTCAGGGTTCAAGTGATTCCCCTGCTTCAGCCCCCCAAGTAGCTGGGATTACAGGCACATGCCACCACACCCAACTAATTCTGTATTTTTAGTAGAGATGGGGTTTTACCATGTTAGCCAGGCTGGTCTCGAACCCCTGACCTCAGGTGATCCACCTGCCTCAGCCTCCCAAAGTGCTGGGATTACAGGTGTGAGCCACCACGCCTGGCCATTTATTCTCTATTATATTATTTTATGATATTGTATGATATCATCTTTCCTTGTCCATTTTTCACCTACCCATACTTAAAGGATAATTTGTCAATGAAGCATTTCAAAAGCAACGAGTACCTTGCACCTAGATTTGATAATAAAAATCAATATGACCAACAAATACAGATTGTTGTTAAGTATAGTGACAATACAGAAAGAAGAAAATCAGACACTGAAGGCTATCTCTAGAGTCATGACAGCAGTGGTAGGAAAGAAGAGTGATTTTAAAGGAAGATTCATTACAATTTCACTGTGTTCTGAATTTTTAAAAAAAGAGAAATGATGACTCAAATATAACTAAATATTTGAGATTGGGGAAATAGGAAACAAAGATACATCTGAGAAGAAAGTTGAACAGAGGTGCTCTGTATCTCTCTGTCTCTCTCTCTCTCTCTCTCTCTCTGTGTGCATGTATGTGTTGACATAGGCAGTATAAGGGAAAGGTTGAAAGGAGGTGGGAGAAACAGATAAAGGTCTGAGAACTGAGCATGAATGATGAAAAATTAAGTTTGGCACATATTGAATTTCACAAATTGGGTAAACATCTTGGTACGAATGTTTTCATCAACAGAGTTACTACTGGAGAAGGTATGGAGAAAGCAAGCCAAAAATTATAGATGAGTCCATCATTAGTCCTTTTATACTTACATTAATAGGCACTGTCATCCAACAATATAATTTAATGTGATTTTTGCTACCAGCTCTGAAAATGAATAAAAATGCTACAAACAGTAAGATAAACTGTGCTAGGTTATTAATGACAAATATTAGTATTATGGGATCATTGATAAGATTTTCCTTCTAAAAGCATCACATTAAGTTTTCTGTAGTTTTTATACTGAGCTATACAAAGGAAAGAAATATATTTTAGTTTCAGAAAACAGTGATAAGAGTGAGAATGATTATTGTTCTTAATTATAACTAGGGAAGTTTTTTCTTAGTAATTTACTACACATGATGTCAGAATCACAAAATATGTTTACAAACAGCTTCAGAAACAATTTCACTTTATATAGTCCAATAACTTAAGCTTCCCCATAATTTCAGGTGGTTTTTTAAAAAAAGAAATGCTAAAAATATGGCTGGGTGCGGTGGCTCACGCCTGTAATCCCAGCACTTTGGGAGGCTGAGGTGGGTGGATCACAAGGTCAGGAGATCGAGACCATCCTGGCTAACATGGTGAAACCCCTTCTCTACTAAAAATACAAAAAAATTAGCTGGGAGTGGTGGTGGGCGCCTGTAGTCCCAGCTACTCAGGAGGCTGAGGCAGCAGAATGGCGTGAACCCGGGAGGAGGAGCTTGCAGTGAGCCGAGATCACGCCACTGCACTCCAGCCTGGGTGACAAAGCCAGACTCTGTCAAAAAAAAAAAAAAAAAAAAAAAAAGAAAGAAATGCTAAAAATAAACATATACATATTGTTTCCAGGTAGCATATAGTCTTTGTGCTTTCTGAGTATTGACTCACATGGTCCTCTTAACAACCCCATCAAACAGATACTCTTATTATTCCTACTTTATATATGAGGACATTGAGTCCCAATACAGTTAAGAATCCTGCCCAAGACCACATAGCTAGTAAGGACTGAGTCAGGATTTTATCCATGATCTAAATCACTAAGCTACACTACTCTGTGCACTGCATGCTATAAATAAAAATGACATTTACTTTAAGATTTTGTGATAGGTATTTGCAGACTTAGTAGTGTCTTTTTTATTGAAATGAAAACAAGCTGTAAAACAAAAAGATCAATTCTGAAAAGTCAAGCTTCCATGTATCCTTTGCTTTTCTAAGATCAGTGAAGATTCATCTTTGATTCATTTTGAAATTCCTTTTCTTACAAATCACGACTATATTTAACAGCCCACAGTATTCTAATGCAATTCTATCAAAGCTCTTTAAGCAAAAGAGAAAGAAAAATTCTAAAGATGGGAACCACAATAAATGGAATGTTAACATTTTAACAACAGAGAAGCAAATTTTAAATCAAAGTGAACACGAAGCTGTCAGATTAACTGCCCAGTTTTTTTTTTTTTAACAAACTTCTCTTTCTGATGAACCAAAACTTTTTTCTTGAACCACCTGAGTCAGAAAGTTTGTTTAAATGTCAACTCCATGCCATCAGATACCTTCTGGGTCAATGAACTGCATCCAACCTGGAGAAGTTAGGATGCACATAGGAAAGAAAGTACAGTTTGAGGTTTTCAAGGCATGTCACACTGGCTTCAATTCTTAGATACAGCATTATAGGCATTTACCTCTTCCACAAAGGAGAATCTTAATATGCATCAGATTCAGGCAACATTAATACTTATGTGATCAAAAGGGAAAGAGAATCAACATCAATTCTTATCCCCCTCCAAATCTTTCTACCAGCATCATTTTTTATCATACGTTGTCCCTTGGTATTGGTGACCAGTAGCCACAATGACAATTCTGCAGGGAGAGGGATGAAGGTGCCACTGCCACTGCCCTGCATGAGCTCAGACACTGAATACATCATCTTGTTAAAATGTCCGGGACTCAATGGCATTTCGCCTGGAAAACTGAGTCCCTTCCCACCACAGTGCTTCCGGTGGCAGTGGTAGCAGCAGCAGCAGCAGCTGCTGCTGCTGTTGTTCTCCTGTTCAAAATAATCTTTGGGATGTATAGAGGACATATATATACTACTAGGGTGTATGTGTCATCTTATTTTATGTCCTCAAAGCCATCATGAAATGATTTGATTCCATGAAACTAATTAAGACAGCTCAACTAATAGCTGAAGAAACTCCCATGTCTCTTCTAACATATCATCAGTACAAAAAAGCCAAGAACTTAAAATATTTTCCACTTGTTTCCAACTCTTGTTTCACAATCTACTTATTAATGAAAACCAGGAAAAATCTATACACTAGTTATTAATGGATGTATTTACTTATTGTAGCCACGTATCATAAACTATGAAATAAAAACAAAAGCTATCTTTATAACACTTTTGTAGACCTCCATATCCATAGTTCAAAACGACTTTTTTTTTTTTTTTTACAAGGGGCAAATTCTAAGACATAATTGGCAGAAAGGAGGGCATGTCAAAAACACAGAATTGTTTGTTGAATCACATCAGGCAAGTCACATTCAAAACAAACACTCAGAATTGCCTCAAGATGGGGATCAGAGTACATGCTGCACTTCATTTTCCTATCAAAAATCCCTATACGTATCAGAAGACAGAGACCCACAGCCAGACACACTCCCCACAGGGTGAAGAGTAGTGATACAAGATTGGAGTAGCCAGGGAGTCCTCCACCTCCATACATACACTTGGACCAGGGAGTGAGAAGGAGATATGATTTTCCACCACCATCCTCAGACCCCACCTAGCCCTGCTGGAGTAGTAAATTCCCCAGGTGGCTGACTACATTAGGTAGGATCAGAAAGCCTCCATACCTAGAGGACAAACTACTAGTACACTCCAACTCTGCTCAGCAACACAGCCTAACCACTCACATAACTAGTGGAGTCTGAATGCAATAAAATGTTTCAGTAGTCATATAATATTAAAAGCTAGTATTTATTAATACTAAAACACTTCATTATTCTCATAACATTAATAACTAATATCCATTAAGTGGTAGGTTTCCTTCCAAAAGCACTGCATGTGTTAATAATTTAATTCCCATGAAACCCTGTGAAGTAAGAGTTTATATATGTGAGGAAACTGAGGCACAGAAATGAGAAGTCACATTAGTCACAGGGTAACTTAGGGAATATTAATATCACAGGGCCAGCACATGGTAGTGCAGGAATTTCATCAGAGGCCATGGGGCTCTGGGCCTTATCTTCTTAACTACTTCACTAGACTTTTTCTTGAGCTAACAAGGAATCCTGATTCTAAAGATGAGCATATAGACATTTAAGGAAAGCCAATGCCATGAAAAGCAGCTAATAAATATTAATATATTTGAAAACAAGGTTAGAAGAAATTTCTCAAAAATTTAGATTAAGTATGATTAATATCATCAGGGAAATAGGAGGCTATATCCATAATAAAAATCAACTAATTTTCAGAAAAATGACAAAAATGATCACTGACATTTAAATCTCAATAGATGAGCTGAATAAGAGAATGGGCACAGCGAAAGAACAAATTAGAAGAATGAGCCAGAATTCTCCCAGAAGCTATTAAAAATACCAAGAGATACAAAGCGTGAAAGTAAAGCCAAAGGATATGAAGGACTGATTCCAATATTTGACGACAGGCTTTCCAGAAACCAAGAATAAGAAAATAAAGCATAAGGACATGTAAAGCAAGCATGGAACAAAATGTCTTAAAACTGAGGAAAGTTTTAGGCTCTTGGATTTAGAAGTTCTAATGAATGCTGGGAAAATGAGTAAAATAAACATATCTTGATATCTCATGATGAATTTTCCAGATTTATGAGGCATTTATATTTCATTTTTGAGCACCTCAAAATTAAGATAACGAAAAATACACCTAAAAGTGAGCTCATCTAAACATACCCTTTTATTTTCATGATTTCTATCATTAATGTTGATATTTTCCCAATCACTCAGGCTCCTAATGCAATGCTTTCTTTAACTCTTCCCTTTTCTGGCCATATTTGTTCTATGGTTCTACTTTATCTTCCCCTGCTATAAAGAATAGAGACTCACTAAGGCCAGCACTGGAGCCACTGTAAGACACATGTGACGTAATAAAGATAAGGGTATCACATACAAGTCTGCAATCAAGACACATCATAAGCTTGGCCTCCCAATTAGGAACTGAAGGATAGTTCTGGAACTGAGAGAGTATGTATGCATTTGAGAATCAGAAACATGAGGAATGACCATCATTACTAACGGATGCATTTCTACTCTATAGATTCCTTCTACAGATCTGCCTACCTGGGCTTCCCACCTCCAATTCACTAATTCTTACATTTCACCCTATATAGCTTTTGCTTGATTATAGTTCTTGCTTCCTTATTACTTTTAACTAAAAGTAAACTCATTTTGGTCCTAACTTTGACTCTGCCCTCATTGTCTATATTTTCTGTTTGTTACTTAAAATCTATTACATCCTAGTTTTTGTTTTACTTAGCTATCATGTGATTCTTTTCTCCTTCAGGAGACTAACTCTATACAGACCAGCTATTTCTCCTGTTAAAACAAACTCTTCTTTAATTATTCAATTTAGAAGTGTTCCTATTTGGGAATACATAAATTATTGAGCCATGTCTAATCTTTAGGATACTGCCTTCCTCTGAACTTATAATATCTGTAATTATACAACTGACTCAACAGTTCATCATGGGCTTGTTATCCAATTCACTCCTTGTTTGCTGTATTTCATAATTATTAAGTTTTTGTATTGTTTACTTAACATGGTTTATAGCTTCCTGTCTCTTCTGGGCATTCCTGTTTTAGTACTGGAGCATATTCCAGTACTTAAAGTTACTGAGTCCATTTTTCTGTCTTATGTAGCATTGAGAAAATTTAAATGCTTCAGCTTTTCATTTGTAAAATAGAGGCAGAAAGGATAAATTAACGCCTGTGGATATTATCTGATTATAATATTTAAATGGTATTAAGATGTGAAAAGCCTTGGATAAAAGACATAGGCTCCCTTACCAGAATAGAAAAAAAAGTATATTTCCCAAGTTTGGTTTCAGCACTTCTTGATTAGACAGATGTCTCTGTTTTCCCTTTGAATAAAATTCCCCCTTATTTTCTCTCACAGCAGTTCATAAAATAAGACATTCATAAATATTTTAAGTTCACAAAATAAAAAAAAATTGTTATTGATGGTAAACTGGCATGAGCAGTGCCATGGGGCCAATGCTTTGTCACAAAATATTTATCAATATCTTTATGGATAATAATACCAAAAGTAAAATCTTCCCAATGGCAATTATGTAGCTAATAGTTACATAGTTAATAGAGAGAGAAGGTACCTGATCACAAGTCTTCCCCTCACTTGCTCTGGGAACCACACCCCCACTGTGGGGGGAACTCCCAGGAGTTATGACTGCACCATGAACTGCTCACTACTCCTCACTATAGATTATTGGATGGGTTCTTGAGCCCAGATTGGCTAATTAGATTTCTCTCTCCCCCTGAGAGAGATTAGGTGACAGGGAGTCCAGTACCTCTGTCTATGGGGCTACACCATGCAGAGCAGGAGCTGTGGGAATGACCATCTATGGCAGTGTGGACTGAGAGTTCATGAAAGCTCATCTGCAGAGAGAAAGAAAAGAATGATGCAGATACACCCAGAGAAACAAGAGAGGGGCAAAGTTTAGTTCTTGGTTTGCTGTACCCTAATCATTTTAGTACATTCCAGTTTTGTTTTCGAGGTGAGTTTCTTTTTTTTTTTTTTAAGAATTTTAATGCACACAGTTGTCATTCCCAATTCTACTACTGAATATTTTTCTGTCATCTCAATGTACTGCATCTAATTTAAATGCCTGTCACCTTCTCTGGCAACTCAAATTCTAACGTCTGGTTTACAAGTCCATTCACAATTTCCACAATTTGCTTTTCTCCCCTTATCTTTCCCAGAATGTTTCACTTGTTTTGCATTTCATCTGCCCGGGTCTCTGTCCCCTGAATACACCTTAAATGTTATCTCTATCTTTTTCCCATAAGTTTTTTTCCTTTCCTCAAATGTCTGATTCTGGCTTATCACTCTAGTAATGAAGCTTGTCCTCCTCACAGGAAATGTCCCTGTCCCATCCCCCAGGTATTAATGACATCCTATGATCATTTTCTAGGTCATTCTTTGGGGTTCTATTACATATATACCATGTGGTATGAGTTTTCTTCCCTAGCGTGTAATAACTTGATTACATTGTGAGCACTGCAGGCCCACTGTGTCTAAAAAACATGTTTTTCTTTGGTTAAGAAAGTAAGAGCCTAGAAAGAATCAAAATTTAGTGGATCTGGTAGACAGATAGGCAGTCTTTAAAGAACTTTAGCTCCTTTAAAAAAAAGTTCTATAGTGATTTTCAATTATATTCTTTATATTTTACTTACAGAAGCAACAAATGAATATATTTTTACCCTAAAAACAAATCCAAGCAATATAGAATTGCACACAACATAATATGACGTTTCCCTCCATGCACGCCCACCTCCACCACATCCTCATCTCCATCCACTCCCTTCCACAGAGGTGACCATTGTTAAGAGTTTGGTATACATTGTTCCTATGTCTTACTAAAGATTTACTTGCAATTATAAACATGTTTTTCTTTTGTTAACAAAAATCAAATAATACTTTATAGCTTTTAACTTTTTTCCATTTAAGAATATATTTTATATTTTTATGATAGTACATTTAAATATACCATATTTTTTGTAATAGCTGCATTAACAGCCCAAAGGTGGGTATATAACAATTAACACAATCATTAACTTACTGATGGCTAATAGCAACAATGCCATAGTGAAAAAGACAAATAAACGTGTTTCATGTGTAGCTGAATGTGGTAACAATTCTGCTGGCTGGTTTTCCTCAAACCTTGCTGAGTCTAGCTGACTCATATGTATGCGTAGATGAGTACCCATATTGAAGATGAGTACATTTACATAGGCCTAGTGAAAATTCTCATTTCCTTGATGGCTAAGACAGGTTCTTATCTAGAACTTGAACCCAACTCTATGTGATTGCAGTGCCCACGTTCTTTTCATTATATCATGTTTCAAGTTTTAAAACATAGGTTTTCTTCCTAAATGAGTGCTTACTAAATCTTCCATAGAGAGTAAATTCTATATACAACCAGCTATTGTTGTACAATATTAGACAAAATTATTATTTCTTTATAAAATTTGGTATTTAAAAAGAGCAGCTGGTCAAAACCAGATTTCATGACATAACCATAAATTTGTATTCTTTGTGTAGACATAGCACTCTTTGTTCTAGTTGCCAGATGATGTCATTTCTAATGCACCCCTTTATCAATAACATATTGCTTAAAGATACCACAAATGAAATTTAAGTTATTTTTGAACAGGTAAAGATAATGAACGGAAGGTAATTTGAGTGATTCTCATAAAATCTTTTAACGTGAGATAGAAGACAATTGACATACAACTGCCAGGATTTTTATAACACCAGAACAGAATGCACTAGTCAAAAGAAAAGTACTTAAATACATTGTTGTAGTTTGATGTGTATTCACCTATGTGGAGTAGTAAACAAAGCCCTACAACAGTAAGTGGCTTAGTAGTAATACTTTGATTCTTAGTGTTCAAATATTAAAGAGATACAGCTTACAGGCATACCTACAAGTTTCTCCATGGTGTCTTTAAAGTGTTGAAAAAACAGTCTTAAGGTATGAGATTCTACTTTAAAAATGCTTGGCAAGGCAGTCGAAGAAGTACAAACCATAGAGAAATTTTGCTGTCTCATGAAAAGAGCAAAATGGTGATCCCCTTATTCTCCCATTGTACTAACTTTATGAAGCAGAAGAGCCTCATTTCTTCCCGTCCCTAAATTGTTAAAGAAGAGGCGTGGTTATTGACAATCTCAAATTAAAAAAAAAAAAAGATGGGGAGATATATAGGGAACGTTTTATAATTGATTCTTGACTGTGGAACAAAACTACCCAATTATGTACCAATTAATTAGTGCATCAAAGAGCATTTTATCATGACATTTATAAAGCACATCCTAGTAGGATAATTTTATCTTCATACTTTGCCAGTTAAGTGAGCTTATCTTGTTACTAGAGTAGTTGACAGCCTCTGCTTCAAATAAAAGATATTTAAAGGTTTTTCCTGAAATTCTAGTTAGGGTCCCTAATTTTGAGGAGCTGCTTATATGGTGGGCAATAAGTAACAGAACATTGAGAATGACTTCTTGTTCTTTTCTATGGCATGTGCCAGCTATCTGTGGGAAAAATAAAAGGGGAAAGAGCTTTAATAAATTTTCTTTCATAAGAGAAGCCTGTACTATGCAAGCATGTTCCCAGCTGACATAAAGAGAAGCTCTTCTTTTTGTCAATGAAAGAATTTTTAAAAATATCTTCTTGGTGTGATAATTTCCTGGTGTGATAATTTCAATCATGAAAATCAAAATTCTCAACTCTCATGAAATAAATGTCATATTTTATCTTTTATTTAGAAATTCAACATCAGTTCTAAAGTGAGAGTTTAGAGATGTATTAATATAACTCATGACTTAGAGCCAAATTATAAATGTTGTAAATTATGTAACCACTATCCCATCCCTTTTGCTGCAACTTTGTGAAAGGGAAGAAGAGGATTGAAAAGTAGGTTTTACTCACCATCAGAATTCTGTGTGTGTGTGCGTGTGTGTCTGTGTGTGTGGTGTCAACATTTGAAATTTACTCTCTTAGCAATTTTGAAATATACAATACACCACTATTAACTACAGTCGCTATGTTGTGCATCACAAAAAATTCATTCTTCCTGTCTAACTGAAATTTTGTATTATTTGACCACCATCTCCCCATTCCACTCAACTCCCTAGCCTCTGGTAATCACCATTCTACCCTCTGCTTTCTTAATATTTATCCTCCCCATCTCACTCACAAGTTGGAAGATGACTGGGGAAAGAGAAGAACTTGTAGAAAAGATACATAACAAGAATAAATAAGAAAAAGAAAAAATATAGAGAGAAGTGGAGAAAGATGCAGGCAGGGGGCAGAGAGAGAGAGAGCAGAGTAATTAGCACAGATCTGGAAGTTGTTTCTTCCCTAACTGAATACACGAGCACCTTCAAAAATCTGCAGAGACAGGGCTCTGCCCTATCAAATTCTTCCTCCACTCCAAGCTGCACTCCATAGATTTAAGGAGACAGAAAAAGAAAACAGCTGCACCTGCTGTATTAATTATACAAAAAGAGTGAATATTTTCCAAAGGTATACACTGAAAATCATAGTTTCAAACTATAAAATAATAAAAGGAAAAGAAATTAAAAATATTTGGAAAAACTCATCAAGGAGCAGGAATATATTTCAGGGAGTAGCTATATATTTCATTTTATATATGTATTTTAAAAGTCCTACTATTTTGTGGATGTGGAGGGTTCTTGGATGCTTATCACAATAGTAAAAATAATAAACTAAACACATAAAAGCCCACCCTGCATGGACTAATGATAATGATAAGGATTAGACTTAAGATCCAACTGGGCAGAAGAGTAGAACTCAGAAGAGCCCATCTCTATACACATACATATACACACTAAATCCGTACTTCGTTCTACTAATTTGTTCATTTTCTCTTTTTCCTTCCCGTTTTTTAAAACTTTTCCTCTTTCCTTGCTTTTTCTTTACTTCTTTTTTTACAGCCACGCGTGCAAAATAGGTAAAGCCATTCATTATTTTTACTTAAAAAAGGAAAAAAAAGGTTGATACTCCTAAGATGTACAAGTTAACACAAACAAAAACCTGACAATAATTCTGTTCAGTAATTATAAAAGGTGAAATGTTATATTAAAATTTGAATTAACAAAATTCGTTAAAACATATATTCGCATATACATAATGCAATGATAGTATTTGATTTGATTACATAATGAAAAAAGTGATTAAAATATATTGATCTCCATTTCCTGGTTTCTATGCTTTAAATGGAATTAGATATTATTCTTGCTTTGGCATTAGTAAGAGTTCAGTATGTTGTTATTGAGGATTTTAGAACATATTATATAAGAAATATGTATTATTTGAACTTTATTCACTTCAGCTAGTGAACTGCATCCAATAGACTTTTCCTATTATATAGAGGAGAAATCTGGTCCAGGAAAATTCTGGATAAATAAGGGACCATGATCATTTCTGGATGGCCAATAAATTACTAACCTATAATATTTCAGAAGACAATTCTTTCCTACAATGTAGTATTTAACTTGCAATTGGTAAGGTATATTTGTAAGATTCTGTGGCTGGGTGCCCTGTCTGCTTTATCTTGATAACATATTGAGAGGTCATGTGGGACTTTGTATACAGTAGGTGAAAAAGAAAGGTTTGTTGGATGAATGAGCCATTTCAACTCCTAAAAGCAGTTAAAATCTTAGGGAACAATATCAGATAAAAGGTGAGCTGAGTTAAAGTCATTTCAATACATTATTGAATATGAAGAAAATAGTTCCTCTTTTTATTTTTATTTTCCCAAGACTTTTGCAGGATCAAATATTGCAAGTTATCAAATATACTTTTAAATTTTATTTATTTTTCTTATATTTACAGAAGACATGGAAATAAATGTACCCACTGAAACAGCATAGGAGAAACAATACCATACTTTAAATTTTTATTAATTTATTTTAACAATTTATATTAAGAAAATTTACATCAGCATAGGAGAAACAATACCATATTTTAAATTTTAATTTATTTTAACAATTTATATTAAGAAAAGTTATATTTAATGTGTTAATTTATTAATTAAAAATCCAATCTCTTCCAAAAAGATGACAATTGAATACACTGAACTTTTAATTAACTTGCTGCCATTTAAGAGATCACAAAATAATCTGATTTTCTATACAGGCATTTTTAATAGTAAATTTAAAAAAACTGAAATGCTGATTTTATGCAAGGTATCTGTAAAAATTATTTATTGGTGCTTAGATATGCATTTATTTAAGAGCCCTTATACCCTGCCCCCACGTTTAGTTTCCCTGTTGTTCCAATGCCGATGATTAGCACATTCTAATTGACAATTGATTGTATGTTTTACAAGATCGTCAGCTCATTCAAGTCAGCAAGTATGTGATATTTGATATTGTCTCCACTAAACAATAAATCTGTCTCTGTAGGTACAGCTTCCCACAAAGTAGCTGTTCACCAGATATTTGAGATAATCACAAGATGAAATCCATTAGCCTACAAATTTAAGGTCAAACCCAAACCATGGTGAAAATTTAATTTTGAAGCACCTTAATAACTAGCCAGATTTTATTTTCATGATAACATTCCTCTCAGCATCTCCTCAAGCTTTAACTCTATACTTTAACGTATACTAAAAGAATAGTATAACAGACATAGTATTTGGTTATAAATCAGTCTAACTTTGGCGATAGATAATGTAGTTCACCTTCATTTGTATGCTACATGGCTTCCTAACCTTCAAAAAGATTTGGATGCAAGAAATCTAAATTCCAAAAGCAGCATTACTTTGACTTAAATGTAATGTGATATTAATAAAGTAGCCTCCCCGAGCCGGTACTTTTTCCCTTTAATATGGTAGTTTTCAAGACGTGGGTATAATGACATGAGTTATAATAGTCGTTTCCTGCAGTTAAGTATTGCTAGCATTAGAGTTGAGACTCTTGCTTACAAAATGAGCAGAAGAGTAGATTGAAGCCACAATAAATGAGGCAAGGGTTTCCAGAGTTCAGCACATCTAGATACTCAGTGAAAATTTCTTCCCTTTACTCCTTGCCCTGTCATTAAGCACAAGAAAATTACCATAGCAATCAAGTTTGAAGCACATCTTGGCAAGGTTGAGAGCTTTTACCCACTCTGAGCAAGCACAAGGTGTTCATGTTTGCTGATATAATACTGACAAAGTTTCCATCTCCGAAAATGTACTGATTGGGTAGGACTCAAGAGTGAGGCAAATTAGAAGAAGAATCCACAAAGCTTCAGCATCCTTCACCAGAAACAGTAGTTCCAGGGCAATGGCATCCCCACGTACTCCCATAGAGAGCACCAAATCTACATCAGATAACTTTTCAGGCACACAGACAGAACTGATCAGTCTTATTTCTGCTCAGGATGCTCTCGGGATTAGTTTCATCTTGCCCCACATCCTTGTGTCACTAGCAACCAGACCTCCAGGATCATAACACTCACTATGACTCAGACTTTCATCCCCTGTGCGTTCTGTGTGCATCCCCTCATTCACATCTCCACTCCATTCTAAACACTTTGTTACTGCCAGAAGCCCATGTCTATGATCACTAAATGTTCCTCTACCCTCAATGTCTTTTAAAAATATGTCCTTCCCCTTGCCATAACTCAAGTGTGAATGTACCCTGAGCACATCATTGTTTTACTAGCTCTCCCTAGTGAGTGCTTTTTAAATTTTCTTTTACACTCTGTGTACCTCAGGTCCAGGAGGTGAAGATGAGTGTTTTCACTCTACTTTTCCCATTTGTAATTCATTTAGTTCTATTAAAAACCCAAACTGACAGGCATGGTGGTGTGTGTCTGTACTCTCAGCTACTTGGGAGGCTGAGGTGGGAGGATTTCTTGAGCACAGGAGGCCAGGCTGCTACTTAAGCCATGTTCGTGCCACTGCACTCCAGCATGGGCAACAGAGTGAGACCCTGTCTCAAAGCAAAACAAAACAAAACAAAAACAAAAAACTACTTATGCCATCCAAGTATGCTAGCCGCCATTTTTTCCTCTAGTGTCATTTATAAAACTTGGGTCATTCATTGAAGATCCTTGAAGATCTATTGAAGTATCTTCTCTGTCATCCTTCTGTGTTACATCAGCATCCGGGGAATGACCCACCCAATATGCCGACATCTGATTCCTTGACTTTGTCGCCTCCAGTAAGCTTTTCTTACGTTACTTGACAGCTTCCCACTCCCATAATGATACCCTAGTCCTAACATTCACTTAGAAAAATATCCCGCCTCCTTCATCTTCTTTATAATACATATCTCACTCTGACTATATTCCTCTATCCTTTTCATTGACTCAAATACATTTAAAAATTCTACTACTTCATAATGACTTTCACTGACCAATCCACTTTTCTGCTACCCACCACCATCCCTTTTAGAGTCACTTATTTCTTTGACTTCATATTCTCTCCAGCAACTATTTTCTTCTGTTTCAAAGCCAAACTGACTTCATCTGCTTTCCTCTGTTTCTCCTACCACTCATGCTTCAGTACTCACCAATCTGATGTGTATCTGCCACACTTCTGAAAAGTCTCACCAAATTCACCTACAAAACCCCATGTTATCAAAATCAATGATGATGCTTCTACCATCATATTTTAGCCACAGATGATGCAGCTGACCTCCTCTCCCCTTCTTGAAACACTCCGCTCTCTTGGTCTCCATGATAATATGCTCCAGTGGTTTTTATATTACTTTCTTAGTGACTCCTTCTTTCTCCTCTACTTGACCTCCAAATAATGAAGTTCCTAGATAATCATTCTTGAATTGTTCAAATTTTTCAGTAGATTCCTTCTTCTTCAAGTAAACTTATCTCACCCTGGGCCTTTAAATGCCTTTTATATTTGCTGAAGATTTACATATTTCAGCATATGTATTTCCAACTCTGATCTCTCTCTGAGCTTCAGACTCCATTCGGCTGTGTGCCTGATATCTCCATATTGATGTCTAACATGCATTTTAACCTCAGCATGGCCAAATCTATGGAAGTACAAAGCTGACAATAGAGGCCTTGCATGGTGAAATGGTGTTTTTCAACATAAAAAAAATCTGATCTGGAATCTAGAACTAAATTGTAATTAAATCCAAAAGTCAACCTTTTTCTCCAATGAAGTTAAAGACTGGTCTTTGTCTATTATCTTTAGAACAACCTTAAACACTATAAAACATATGCACACGTCAGGTGTTTTTCCAATGATTTCTTAAACTAATTCTGCTACATGACATCAAATATAATAAATGACTAACCAGCATTATATGTGACTTAGTTCCATACTAGAAGGCAACAGTACTGCAAAGGATAATTGTATCGTCAATGTCCTACATTTAGGATTGTGGACGGCTAATGTTCTAACACTCTGCTTAGAGATGCTGCTGCATTATTCCTGTCCACCAAAACAGAATGCAAACAGACCCACGTGGACAAGACTGTGAAACAGGGCAAATATCTGAAGTAACCTCCACTTTCTAAGTTCTCCCCTCTCCAGACATCCAAATTCATGCAAATCTCTCCTTCTCAATCTCTAATTCCTTAATTGAAATCTATTCTCAGGGAAATATCTGATGAATCATCCCCCTGATATTATAAATTATAGTCTAGACAAATAAGTGACTTCTCTTTAACAATATATATTTATTAAATATCTATTTATTAATTTTAAATGAAAAGATAAAATATCTATTAAAAATTATGTATTTGACAATAAATTTCAATTTAGCACAGTAAAAAAAACAAACAAACAACAAAACAACAAAAGTAATCTCTAACTTGGGGGATTTTTGTGTTCTGACCTAGTTTGTAGAGGCAGTCTTAAGGCAAAGGGCTCCTTGTTAACATGGAGTTTAACATTTATATCACAATTAAGGATAATGTTTCAGCTTTTTCTTTGGACCAACAATAACTTTGCAAAAATTTCCAGCTTTAGGATAACTATCTGAGGCCAATTACTTAACTGCCTATGACCCAACTTTGCTATCCCAGTTCTTGTGGTAGAATTCTGTGAGTTATTATCATGACCCTACTGAAGAACTCGAAAATAAAACTACTTTTGCAAATACATCTTTGTGTTTATACTAATGAGGGTTAGGTAATACGTACCAGGATAACAAGCAGAAACTGCTCTAGGGTACTGTTGGAAACAAAACACTGAATTAATGTTTATTTCCTATATGAAGAGTGAGAAACTAAAAAGAATAATGTACCACTTTGGTAGGTAATAACTGTCCTGCTAACTGTAATTGTTATGTATTTCTATACATGTTAAGAAAGTAATTGATTTTATCTCTAATGCACCATGGTTAAAAAATAAAAAAATCTTATAGAGTACCTTTAACAAACTGAGAATATAAATGCTCTATACTTTAACAAAAAACAAATACTGAAATAGTTTCATATGTGCAGGTTGCTATCAAATAAAATGATGTGCTTGTCTTTTTAAAACCAATAGACAAAGGAATTGATATTGTAATGGGAACTTATCATTTTAAAATTATAATAGAAGGTTCCAACAATTCAAAATTAGAATGTATGAATATTTATTTTGCCTTGATCTAATTAAAGATTTGCCTGAATAATTACTGTTTGGGGGAAAATGCATATTAGTGAGCTGCTATGCTATAATAAATTTATATGCAAATTAAAAGCTAGAAGGTAGCAATGATATCCTGTAACAGAGGAGATTTAAAAAAAAATTTGGAGACAGGGTCTCACTCTGCCCCCAAGGCTGGAGTACCGTGGCATAATCTTAGCTCACTGCAGCCTTGAACTCCTGGGCTAAAGGGATCCTCCCAACTCAGCCTCCCAAGTAGCTGGGACTACAGGCATGTGCCACCATGTCCAGCTAATTTTCTTCAGATTTTGTAGAGATGAGGTCTTAATATGTTGCCCAGGCTGGTCTTGAACCCCTGCACTCAAGTGATCCTCCTACCTCCCCCAAAATGCTGGGATTACAGGTGTGAGCCACTGTACCAGGCTGATTTTTAAATTCCAAACTTCCTTAAAATTATGTAGAAAGCTTTTATTACTTCAACCATTGTTACCCTTTCTCTCTGTTTCCTAATTTATAAAGACATAGACATCACTAAAATATGTATTAAGAGAAACTTTCACATTTTTAAACATTTCAAATGTGATCACTATGCATTTAATCCTCATTATTACATTGTTTATATCTGTTAAAATGTAGCCTCATAAGTTTCAAAATTAAGCAATATTTTTAAATGATCAAAAAAGGAAAATTTAATGACCTGAACATTTTATAGTATTTTATAGTCACTCTCTCTCTTTGCTTATTTCTCTCTTTCTCTTTCACTAAATATTATCTTTACACAATTGGGATACCCTTTTAGAGAAAACAACCATTGCTTTTATCGTTTTCTCAGTTTATATGTTGACTAGTGCTAAGTAACCTAAGTAACGTGTGGCTTCCTGGTCACTTTTGGTGTCTTGATGCCTCTTACATTTGATATTACTAATGTAATAGGGTAAAAATAGTATTGTAGAAATGCAGCATTCACATTTGTTTTGGGCTGGAGTGCCTAGAGGCAGCTTCAGGTGCACATGTCTTACTGAGTTAGCACTCTCTTGGAACAGAGTGTCAGGAAACCATTGCAGGAGAATGTGGTCTCAGCTGGTGTCTAGCTTCAGCCTGATTGCTTGGGGAGAAATGGATGCCAATTGCACAGCAGAGTTTATTCCACTTTGGGACAAAGAGACCATCTTCCACATCCCATTATCAGTCAGTCATTGGGTGGGTAAGGGGCATGTAACTTTTTTGGGGGGTAAGACAATTCCTGTTGGACCAAGGGCAATATTCCAGAGAAAGAGCTCCAAGCTGTTAGCAGCCAACACTTAGAGCAGCTTGCTAAAGGGCATCGACAGCACAAGTGCAGATCTGAGCTGCACTCCAACAGCTGGGACAAGTAGGATCCTTGTTATTCATCAAATCTGTTCATCAATACTAATTTGCCTCTGTTAAATAAACAGCCAAGCAATTTTGCTGCTTGAGCTTACTAAACAGTATTTTCTCTTCTGAAAATTAAGTAGACCACTTTTTGTATTGAACCATATAGGGGCCTCACAAAGGGATCAGTATAGAATAGACACTGAAAGAGTTTAGGAAGAGCCTTGAAAAAACAGCTTTTCCTTTTTCCTCAAGAAATGCTGTCAATATAGATAGGCTGCAAACTGTTCATTTAGGTGTTTGACATAAGAATCAGTTTCTCTGAAACCTAACAATTTGCTCATTTTGAGTGCCCATGAAGTTTCAAATTGTTTACCTTTCTGATTTCCACGACTATAGTTGCAAGTTATTATTTACAGCTGTACATGACATAATATTGAAAGCATTAAAGCCAGAAAGGATTTATCATAGGCCATTAAGTGAGTAAATTCTTGGCTGTGCTGAGCCTTTGCCATCTCCTCAAAATTAAATATGGACAAAGAAAGACAGTTTTGACAGTTTAACCATTTTTACTGTCTCAAATACATATTATTACATGTATGAACAATTTCGGGGAGCAAACTTTAGAATGGACACCTTGTCACTCAGAATTGAAACTGGTATTCTGCAAGCCTGATGAAATTGGTACTCTGGAAGCTCACGGCTGGACAAAGACAGCATTCCCTGTGATTTGTCTTCACGTGGTGTACTCTAAATACAAGATAGTTACTTTGTGTTTCCAGGAAAATGGTCACTGATTAGTGGCTGAAAATGGAATTTATTTTGAAATCAGTTTTATTTCAGATTTAATGGAGAGACACTCAAAGACCTCACTAGAGCTCTTGCACATGGGCACCCAAGTACCTGGATGCTTAGCAATAGTAATACTGTGGTCGATGGAGACAAACCCTAGACGAAAGTTCAAAATGTTTACAGTCACACCCTTCACGTTCCCCATGGAATAAATTAATTTTACCTTAGTTTTTTACTTTACCTCCCTAAAGCGACAATGTCAGTGTCAAAATTTAAGCAACTTAGACACACGTCCAGAATCTCTTGAAAGGAAACCCTGGAAAATCAAATACTATAAAGAAATAAGAGGATCAGAAAAGTTTTCACAGGGAAAAGCCCTTTGCCACAACTGCTATTTAGGGGGAAGTTTTCACAGGGAAAAGCCATTTGCCACAACTGCTATTTAGGGGAAAAAATGTTGGTGGGATGCAGTGGCTCACACTTGTAATCTTACCACCTTGGGAGGCTGAGGCACATGGATCACTTGAGCCTAGGAGTTTGAGACCAGCCTCAACAATATAGTGAAACCCAGTCTCTACAAAAAATTAGCCTGGCATGTAGTGCCAGCTACCTGAGGAGAATCTGAGCCGTTATTGTGCCACTGCACTCCCTGTCTCAAAACAACAACAAAAGTTTATACAAACTGGGAAAATTCCACATTAATCTATCATCTTGGTTTTGTTGTTTTGTTTTTGTTTTTAGATACAGGGTCTTGCTATTGCTCTGTCACCCAGGCTAGAGTGCAGTGGCATGATCATAGTTCACTGTAACCTTGGACTCCTGGCTCAAGAGATCATCCCACCTCAGCCACCCAAGTCGCTAGGACTACAGGCACTCACCATCATGCCTGGTTACATTTTTATTCTTATTTTTTGTAGAGACAGGTTCTCCCTATTTTGTCCAGGCTGGTCTTAAAATCCTGGATTCAAGCAATCCTCGTGCCTTGGTCTCCCAAAGCTCTGGGATGTCATCTATTTTTAATCCAAATTATCCTGTTCCTGGAATCTCTAGTAGATACTCTAAATGACTCTAAAGTCCTACAAAGGGAATCTGCCACACAATGAACTCCCTGTTCTGTGTGAAGCTTTAATTGGAGGTAAAGTAAAATAAGAAAAATGTCTTGAAAATATTATAACCCTAATCTATTAATTTTTTATTTTCTTTCTTCTCTAATAATTTTTGAGGAACTGTTACGATATAGAAATATTCGTATGAATTTCAGCATTTCTTTCAGTGGTGCTTCTGTTTCTTTTCTTCTAATAATTGCAAGGAAATGTAAATATAATATGTGGAAGAGGTTAAAAGATTGGCCAGTAAAGATAATCTAGTAATTATGATGGATTCTTCCTTCCTGATGGCTTTATTTATAATTCTGTTATAAACCAGGCACTCACCCTTAATAACAATAAAAATACACATATTTTGTAGTGCAGTGCAGATAAACCATTCCCTACCCAGCATGGAGGAAGTTAATTGTCTTCTGTTGCACATGTAAAGCAGAGAAAACTAATTATTTGGCAAAGTAATAAAAGACTGAAATAGACAAACAATACACTATGGAGAGGAAAGTGGAAATTCCCTTCAAAAGAATTTCCTACCTCATAGCATCTTTAAGGCTTGAATGTGCTTCCTTTCTTCCCAATCCTTGTGTGCAGGGTAGGAATCTACACATGCAAAATCTCTACATTACCTGCTCTTTTTGGTTAAATACAAACTGATGATCACATGGATCACATGTAAGAGAAAGTTTATCAAGCCTCTATTTAAAAAGTCATAACTACAACCAACAATAAATAACACGGTCATTCTGTACTTTAAGAAGTCTATTTTCGAGCTTAATAAGAATTAGTTGTGTTATTCCTAGAATGTAATAGAGCAATGCTGCCTTATAACTTTTCAAATAGAGAAACATAAAGAGGTACCTTTTTCACTGTCCCTCAATCTTTTTCAGGAACAAAAGTTCTGGGAACATAAAGGAAAGGATAATTACCCAATATTAATATTCTGCCCTTTTCCTAGCCAGAGGTATTTAAAGTCACTCCCTACAGTCAGTTAAATACAAAGCAAATGTAAATTTCAGCAACTCCCTCTGTGGCAGAAATTAACCTGCTAATACAGGTATCTTTTGACTTCAGTAGCACTGCATACCACAGGGGCTAATGAAAGATCAAGTTCAGGTTAATAATATTTATCTCACTTACCATCCTCTCACACAATTTTTTAATGGTCAAACAGCACCACAAATTAAGGGTCAAGAGGATAAGTGATTCTAAAAATAAATATCTCATTACCAGTACTAATGATTTTTAGACTTCAAAAAAATCTGCATTCTTGTCTCTATATGTGATCAAATGGCTGCTTTTAAGTGAAAGCAGAATTTGAACAACCTAACTACACAAGTGGTTGAGCTCTAGGATATTAGCTGCTGCCCTGTACTAGGCACTTTGAGGAATATTGCCCTTTCCTTTCATTTTAAAAAATTAAATAATAAAAGAAAATAAATTACATTGTTAATTTTAAAAATTCTAAAAACATAGTAAATTATGGGGTAAAAGGAAAAGTCACCTCTCCATCTCATTCCTGACAAGTAGGCATGATTAAGACTTTATTTATATAATATATATCATAGAAGTGGAACAGTCAGGCCATAGTATGTTCAAACTACCTTGGTTCCCCACTCATTTTTCTTACTGATTTAAAAGCTTTTTAAAATACTTATAAGAAATGGAGAATTTTGCTGGTTTATGTTTTATAAATAATTTTTCCAACTGCTCATTTTCTTTTTATTTCGCCAACTCTAACAGCCTCTGCCCTGTGGGCACATCATGATTTGTCTTCCTGTACCTTCCTTGGCAAGAGGGGGCTGAGGGTGGGAAGGGTGTCCCTCATCCTGCTTTCTAAGATGTATCACTTGCCCATCAAGGGCCTCAGCTGCATTGGTGGTGAAACTCACCATGCTCCTTCTGTCTAATTTCTGGGCTAATTTTTTCTAGGTCAAGAGGTGGGTTCCAGAAATTAAGTATGGCCTGTCTCAAAGGTGCCTCTTTCAATTTGCCTCCTTGCTATCCCACTGAGTAAAAGGAAGTCTCTCTTGCTATGCATGTTTCGTTCTTTTATGACAGCTACCATCCCTATACATCCTACTTCCAATAAGCATCTTTGGGCCATTCAGGATACCATATGTTCTTGGAGGATCTACATGCCACATGAGTTAGGAGATCTGTTTCTTCTTTTAGTATCTTTCCTCAAGCTGATCCAGATTTCAGTCTACTTAGCATGGAATTTATCATCTGTGGTTTGGACTATGGCTCTTTACCAGTTTCACTGACAAGGAGTTGTGGAGTTATTCTTCTATCTTTAACATTTAGGATCCTCAATACACATAACACAAACACCCACCCACAGCCACACACACAGAGCTGGTTTCAAAATGGGGACAAAGTAAAACCACATTTACTCAGTTATTTGTTTACTAATCCATGTTAAAACAAAAACCTTTCCACACATGAAGAAACTGAGGCTTAGGGAGCCGAAGGAAGGACTCACAGCTGGAGCCTGGCAGGACTAGGATTGGAGCCCAGATCTGTAGGGCTCCAAGGTCTGAGGTCTTTTCTCAATAGCCTGCTTCTATTGTTTTTCCACTTTTCCAGCAACCTTTGCAGTTTAACAGGGGACATGATATTTAAGCAATGAACAAATCCATTTTATGTTTAAAAGGGAGAGCATTTACAGCATCCAAGCCCAATGTCATTGAAATTAGTACACATTTCAAAAGCAATCTTTGTGCATTTTAGATACTTAAATTTGGTGCTCTAGATTAGCTACGATATGCTAGCACAGTTATGGAAGAGATATACTAGGAAAATATATAAGTAATTTAAGAATGCATGCAAATCATAATCTTGTCAAACAAAGTGAGAAGATACAGAAGACACAATAAAGTATATGCAAGAGCTTTTGCTACCCTTTTTGTTCAATATATTCCCTCAAGAATGGGCATTACTTAACTAATTCTTTATCATGTCCAGGAAAGACAGTGTAAGAAAATGATCAAGAATTACTGTCATGTTACACTAGAGTGCTCAGCAACACTGAGATGCTAAATCTATCTTCCCATATTTTTTTGAGACAGTCAGTGCATCCGGAACCAAAGCTCTTCTCTTAGTTGCCCAGGATTGAACAAAGGGCCTTGCCACATTTTTAGAATGTACATCTTTTTAATACAGGAGTTTGATGATCATACCTCACACATTGATGCTCATGAACTACTTTCTAAAGCAACACTAAAAAAAAAAAAAAAAAAAAAAAAAACAACCAAATGAATGACCAGACTTGGGAATGTGCCCTAGAATTACCCTGGGAATGCCAGTATCCTGATCAACTGCATATCTTATTCTAAATTTCATTGTCATAGGACTTACCTGCACTGATCTTGTCATTTGAATTTGAAAAAGGAAAGAAATTAGCTTAGAAGCTTTCATTTTCAAAGTGACTGAAGATCTGATATATCAGATTTCTCATGAACAGAAATGATTACACCCTTCACATGGTAATTTTTACCTACTGCTAACAGAGGTTGGCTCATTTCTGCTTCCCGTATCTTGAGGCATGTGTGTCATATCACTCATTTCTACTTACTCTATCAGTGCTATGTACAGCCTGGGGGCATTTATAGGCTTCATGTTGCTTTACTTTAACTGTAGCCAATTTAGTTTGTTTTTCTCTGCAATACCTTGTATTACTGACAAATAAATACCAAATGCATATGTGATTTTGTTTGGACTGCAGATACTCATATTTTGTGGCAACTCCATGTTTTTGGCTGTTTATACCAGAAATCTTGAAGGCAGGCTGGATTCCTCTCTTTTTTTGCATTTCTACTGCTAATCCATCAGGAAATCCCATGGGTTCTAAATTAAAAATATACCCACAAAACTGCCCCTTCTCCCACCTCTCCTGTAATTATCCTGGCCCAAGTTACCACCATCTCTCATTTGTATTATAACAACAACCTCCTACCTCATCTTTCTGCTTCTTCCCTTGCCTTGTTTTAGTATATTCCTAATGTATGTTGAAATGGAAGTCAGACCATTGTGACTCATCTGATCAAAATACTTCTATGCATTCCCATCTCACCAGCACAGACATCCTAGTTCCTCAAATCACTTAAAAGAACTTACTTGCTGTTTCCCCTGTTAGTTCTCTATCCTTATCTTCTTCTCTGTTCCCTTCTCTGTCCACTCTGTACTAGCCATATTGATCTCCCTGTTCCTTCTTTAATATTTCAAGCAAGCTCCTGCCTCAAAACCTTTGCACTTGCTATTCTGCCTGCCTGGGATGTTCATCCCCTAGATATTTTTCTGCCTCATTTTCTGACCTCCACTGGGTTTTTATTCAAGTGTCATTTTCTCAGTGACAACTTCCTGATTTAAAATTGCAAAACACTGTCTTCTCCCATCACATCAGTGCTCCCTGTCTTGACATCCTGCTTTATTTTTTCAACAGAGCACATATCACCATGAGGTATGTTAAATTTTTTTTGATTGCTTACTTTTAATTGTTTATCTCACCTCTTTAGAGTCTAACTTCTATGAAGTGAAGGATTTTGACTGTTTTGTTCACCATTTTATCTACAGCCCTTAGAGCTGGGCCTGTACCATAAATATCTGTTGAATGGATCTTTTCCTGGTTTTGAAAGGAAACCAATTAAATGTCAACGATGAGAATGGTGACAACTGCTCATAATAAAATGTTGCTAAAATTGGCAGCGCTAAGATTTCTATTTGAGGAAATGAACCATTCTTTTTAAAAATGTGAAGTTGTACCTCTCATAAATATGGAAAAGATGAATTCTGAATAACTTAGGAAGTTTATAATGATAGAGTCTTTCATAGGAGAATCATCCAAGATTAATAGCTAAAAGCCTATTAGAATATTAATTGTAAAATGAAGTGAAATTTGCTTCCATTTCAAGTATGTTATTTGAAAAAGAAAAACTTAACTGCTGTATTATTCTTACATAAGAAAAATTAGAAAGAGACACAATTAATATTTGTCCTATTTCATATGATAAACACCAAAACAACTTGCAAACAAACATCTGGGGAACGTTATTGTGTAAAAAACTTAAGCAATAGTTAAAAGCAAGATTTAGTTTAAGAAGATGTTATTCGCAGATCCTCCCTTTCCTACAAAATTCACTCTTTTGCAACTTGCATTTTAAAATATAAATCCCTAAAACAAAAATAGATTTTCCAATTTAAAACTACCTTCCAAACATCCAGAGAATTGCAAATTGGATTTCTTTAATTTGTTCTGAGATAGTTACTTTTATTTACTCTCTTGATTTGTACTAATAGAAAGACCAGTAATTGGTAAATATAATCAAACTCAAAAATTTTATTAAGCCAAAAGTTTTTTTTAAAGCAAATATAAAGTACATAATGTGGAAATCATTTAAAAAGTCTACCCCATGTTTGGGCAGCCTAGGCACAAAAACTCTGGGATCTTCAGCTATCCAGACTCCAGCATCTCCATTTATCAGTGGGGTTTGTTTCTTGTACATAAAAATTGGTGTAATGGTTAAAAATACATAGAGTTTGTAAATACAGTTCCTGGGAGTGTCTTCCAAATCAGTGGGAGTTACTGTTATTAATAAAACACATCAATATCATCCAATATTTTTATAATTCAATGATATTCATTTATCACAAGACAGTTTCATGAGAATCAGTAATTGCACATCTATGGATCAGGGGACCCCAACAGTATCTCTTCTTTCACTAATGCCTCTCTTCTTTGGGTCTAAACTGGAAGAGTTAGAAGCTACCTCTGGCAAGTGAGGGAAAGAGGAGTTAAAGAACAAATGGAGGAAAGAGAATAGTTGTATATATGCCGGGGTTGAAGGGATAAAATAATTGAAGAAAATCCAAATGATGATTACACTAGACTGTAACTAATTAAAAAGTTTACTTAAGATTGATGACTAAAAGTACACAAAATACTTTGATTATAGGAGTATCAACAGAGTTGCTAGAGGACTTTTACAAATGGAGATATCCTGACCAGATTCTCCTTCAAGAAAGCATTCAATGTCCATCTGTGAGGAGTGTGGGTTAGTTGGCAGCCTCCAGCTGTCGGCTTCATCTGGGTCTGCTTCAGCTTTTAAGCCAAAGGCACAGTCTTCTCAGAGTGGCCCACAGCCCAGGATTGAGCAAGACTGGTATGACGGACTGGCCACTTCCCCACAACATGGGACTTGTCTAATGTGCATTCTGGCTGGGCTGGCAGAGACACTGTCTGGTCTACGTGGCTGTCTAATGGCTTCCCTGGCCCAACTAATTGGGCTTCCTCACCCTTCTCCTTTCACAGGTGTTAATGGTGTTAAATCTCACATGAATCTTCTGAGATTCATCTTGGGAAACTCCAACAAACTTCAGGAGTGTAGGTTTATCCCAAAGCATACACCTCTCTCTCATTCGTATTCAGCTTTGATTTCCCAGGCGTATGTCTAACCTGGGTACTCATTTTATGCCCTCAGAGTGGTCTACTGAAATCTCCTCTCTCTTAACCTGAAGTGAGGCGGGTAGAACTCCTGGGAAGGTGAGATGGGGGAGGCATAGCAGAGTTCTCTCCAATAAATCTCCTTGAAGACTCTCTCACTAGGCTTAGGATAGGTGATAGCAACATGCACCATTTTCATTTTGGAAATGGGTGGTATTGAGTCACAGTGGGATTCTTCTGAGGAAAGCCTAGGCAAAATCTACCTTTATAATGTGTCTCTGCCAAAGCTTCCATTTAAACACCTTATTATCCAAACAGGCACAATCTAACAAAATATTTTTACATTAGTAGAAATGATAATACATATAATCTAAGTGCTATGAACACTATCTTCCAAACAACTAATTTATGAGGGAAATATTCCCTTATTGTTCAAGGATATCTCACATCTATAATATGTGACGGGAAATGATTTGCAAACATAAAGGCTGCCATAACAGAACATAACTACAGGAAATAGAACATATTATATAGACATGCAACAGATACATTCCAAACCCATACATATGCATTTATGTAGTTGGTATTTACTGACAATAAGCAATAGAGGAATAGGGAGGAACCATAAATGAAATACAAGTTGTGATTTTACTTTGATTTACTGAATTCATCATCGAATGCCTACATTCTCTGATTTATCAAATTGCATATTTATCAAGTTACATCTAAGTTGAAGATAATTTCTTCTCCTGAGTTTCTAGCCTGCCTCTGTGAAATATCAAAATGTTTGGCTTGGGCATATTTCTGCTAGAACAAGTTAATTTCAACAGAAATTATTTATTTTTAAAACTGAAAATAGATTTTTACATATTTACCCAAATGTCAATTTGTAACACTATCTTGCATAATTTCTGAGGGAAGATACTATGTCCATTAGATTCAATTTTGTGCCTTTGCATCTTAAACAACACAGTTACAATGTTGAATGAACAACTTTATTCAAACCTTGCATGGCTTACAAATATTACATGGAACAATGTACATTGTATTCACAGTTTATGCAAGATATATATCCCCTGCACATATCAACCAATTCAAAACTTGTATAATTCACTGGGATCTTGATTACCAATGACAGTTTTATTGGTGTACTAGCCAAAGCAATGTTGCCACATGGAATACTGTAAACAAGGTAAACAAATACCCACCCATCTTGGAAATTTCCCAATTCTTTAACAGTAGAAAGTTAATCTGGGGGATGTTCTAGTAAATATTTTGTGCACACAGTGAGATAATAATGTTGTATATCACACTATTTCAAAGTTAGATAATTCATATATGCATAAAATCCATTAAAGTATGAGATAACAGCAAATAAATAAGTATATCTTGGATGAATAAAGACAATTAGAGTCTAATAATATAACTCCTTGGACAGATCTTCAGCCCTCTCATGTGTTAGCAAAAATATAGAGAAATTAATGGCTCATCAGGATACACATCCAGAGAAGCAGAATCCCAGTCTTCATCTTTTTTTAACTGTTTATCTTAGAAATTCCATTTTGTTTTATTTATTTACTTATTTATTTATTTTTCATACCACTCGGAATGAGCCAATCTCATTTGGTCTTCTTTATATGACACCATCTGCTTCTTATACTCCATAAGTAATAGGTTTAATTCTTCTAGGATAAGCCCACTATACTCTAGCTATTAAAATTAAAAAAAGTAAAAACTATCCCTGATTTGTAGGGACATACAATGAGGCAAAAACTTTCATTCATTATTCTTACAACAAAATGTATTATAACAAGCCTTAATTACCATTCTTTAGACCATCCTCAAATCTTCAATGGAAAGTTCAGATCAAGGGACTAGGTTCATAAACACTCTAAGAACCTAGCTCCGGGGAATAACACTAAAGCCCCCAAAGCTCTTAAAACTGTCCTGACTTAGTAGAGTCCACCTGGAAGGCTCTGTGGGATTAGGTCTCAGATAATAGTTTTACTAGTATTCCAAAAATGGATATTGGAATTAAACACATTAAATTACTATTTACATATCAACTTTTCAAAAACAGTATTTAAAAACCTCTATTGAATTAACAAGTTATTTTCAGAAACCAAAATAATAATGACTAAAGAATAACATTAAAATTTCCCTATTTTTGAATAATGTTCTAAGCACCAGTATTATATCAGAGTTGTGGCACATGCTCCTTTTGGAAAATTAACCTCAAAATACAGTTTTAACAATAAAAGTAAGTTTACTTGACTTCCTGATAAACAATTTTTTTAGCATATACAGTTTTTTAAATTCAGGATTTTGTGTATCATCTCTGACATAGGATAAAGGAAATGTAAAATGCTGCCTCCATTACTGGAAGCAATTTTAAAAGTCATTAAAACTCTAAATCTGTGCAAAACTGGCAAAACATCATATAACCAGAAAACTATGACACTTAAAACTTTCTTTTTCAGTTCATTAGAACAAAACATTGAGATGACAAAGATATTTTAGGTGAGATAATTCAAATTGTGGTTAAATATAGACAAAATAATAAAAAACAGCATACCATCAACCTAGAGGATAAAGTGGAGGATCTCTTGAAAAGAAATAAGAAAATAATAAAAAATTAAAAATCAGAAAACTAATTTAGGAAAAAAATTTAAGTATAGGACAGATGCAAATATTTGTGTCTGTAGTAACTTTCATTTATAATATTCAAAGAAAAAGGTATAATCCACTACTTCTTACATTTTTGGCTATACAAAAGAGATACAATTTGACATGTTGTTGAATATAAGAAGTCTTTGGACTTCAACCCCTCCATTTCTAGCGGAAAGATGGAGTGGGGATGGGGGTTGGTAGGAGAATCAATTCTGTCTCTGTGCCCACAGTGGGCAACCAATGCTGATTTTCTCTCTAATGGCTATGTTACCAAGAGATTATGTTACTGAAGTTCTGGTAGATATAAAACAATATGTTAAATGAAAACCTCACAAAGTTTTATTTTAAAAAAAAGAGGGCTAGCTGAGAACTTTTGGGAAGGAGCAGAAGGTGCTCAAATGTGTGTATAATATATTGCATGTTAATTACAAAATTAATATTATAAGGTCTAAACAGCATAAATATATAAATCAAACACCTCATGAACACATGGAGACCCAGTAAATTTAATTTCCTTGTGAGGCAGTGGTGTGTGTGTGGCATTAACAGTACAGGGCTTGGGGCAGACAGTCTATATTCTATTAATAATGCCAGCTTAGTTGCTTAGTTGATATACAACCTTGTGAAAGACCCTTAATTTTCTAAACCTCAATTTCCTGATTTGTTGAATGAGGATAGCATAGTTCTTAACACTTAAAAATGTTATGAGGATGAAATAAGATTATTAAAATGTGTAGCATGAGACCTGCTAAATAATAATTAATCTAATAAGCTACAGTAGTTATTGTTTTCACACACAATTCCCTTTGAGTCCAAGAGACTTGGGTAGAACAAAGCTTCTGGCTCCAGACCTCGGCAAATAGCACTTTACTCACTTCTGTGACGATTGGGGCAACTGGCTTTTGGCTGGGGGTAAGAGAGAAGTAGTAATTTCTTTTCTGTGGGGCCACCGGCACTGATGACAGTCTATCAAGAATCATATCCAACACACAGGAAAGAAGGAGGGAAGAAGACAGAATAGATAAAGAAGCAAAGATAGAAGGACAGACAGAGAGGAGGAGGGAAAAAGAAGAGAGAGATATGAGGTGGTGAGGAATCAGTAGGAGAAGCAGATGTGGGGGAGAGACAAAGAGGCAGAGAGAAAAGAGGAAGAGAGACAGAGGCAGCAAGAGAATGATAATGAGATAAAACATAATAAGAGAGCTTTAGAAAGGGACAAAAGAAAAAAGATAGAGAAATGATATGGAAACAGTGAGATAAAAATAGACAATACAAAAAGTAATAAGAGAGAGAATGACAGAAATAAAGAAAGAGAGAGACAGAGACAGAGATTTTTTCCAGCACCCTCTCCAGATGAGCCCAGGACTAGGACCACCCCTATACTTTTCAGTTATGTGAGATAATAAGTTGTCATTTTCACTACAGCTAATTTAATTAAGCAGCTATTATGTACCAGGTGACATGTTGGATGCTTAGCCAAAATAGTAATTGTAATAATAGTTCATAATTATTAAAAAGTATGCTTCTGTGTAAGGTGTAAGGAAGGGATCCAGTTTCAGCTTTCTATATATGGCTAGCCAGTTTTCCAAGCACCATTTATTAAATAGGGAATCCTTTCCCCATTTCTTGTTTTTGTCAGGTTTGTTAAAGATCAGATGGTTGTAGATGTGTGGTATTTTTCTGAGGGCTCTGTTCTGTTCCATTGGTCTATATCTCTGTTTTGGTACCAGTACCATGTGGTTACTGTAGCCTCATAGTATAGTTTGAAGTCAGGTAGTGTGATGCCTCCAGCTTTGTTCTTTTGGCTTAGGATTGTCTTGGCAATGAGGGCTCTTTTTTGGTTCCATATGAACTTTAAAGTAGTTTTTTCCAATTCTGTGAAGAAAGTCATTGGTAGCTTGATGGGGATGGCATTGAATCTACAAATTACCTTGGGCAGTATGGCCATTAAACTAGTTCAACCATTGTGGAAGACAGTGTGGTGATTCCTCAAGGATCTAGAACTAGAAATACCATTTGACCCAGCCATCCCATTACTGGGTATATACCCAAAGGATTCTAAATCATGTTGCTATAAAAGCACATGCACACATATGTTTATTGCAGCACTATTCACAATAGCAAAGACTTGGAACCAACCCAAATGTCCATCAATGATAGACTGGATTAAGAAAATGTGGCACATATACACCATGGAATACTATGCAGCCATAAAAATGGATGAGTTCATGTCCTTTGTAGGGACATGGATGAAGCTGGAAACCATCATTCTCAGCAAACTATCGCAAGAACAAAAAACGCAACACCGCATGTTCTCACTCATAGGTGGGAATTGAACAATGAGAACACTTGGACACAGGAAGGGGAACATCACACACCAGGGACTGTCGTGGGGTTGGGGGAGGGGGGAGGGAAAACATTAGGAGATATACCTAATGTAAATGATGAGTTAATGGGTGCAGCACACCAACATGGCACATGTATACATATGTAACAAACCTGCATGTTGTGCACATGTACCCTAGAACTTAAAGTATAATAAGAATAAAATTAAAAAATATATATTAAGATGTAAAAAACAATTATGCATCTGATATTGTGCATGCCTTGTTTAATCCTCATGGTAAGCCTATTATCATATTTCTTTTACAGGTGACATAAATGTTCACAGAGGTTGAGGTGCTCTACTACCCCAGACTTGTGGCTATTCTTCCTCCTAGCTATATTCTCCTTTTACAAAGTTGTTCAGGGTTTGGGCATTTCTAGATATCAAATGAAAGAGTAAATCCTTTATATGCTGTAGATTTATTAGACTCACATTATACAATTTGCTGAGTTCAGTGCCATGGCAGAGCTTCTTAATGCCAGCATGAAACTCCTTCCCTGTGTCTCAGGAAGTACCATAGTGTTAGAGAACCAGAAAGGCTGCATTTGCTACTACAGTGCCTTTGGGGCACAAATTTAGTCAGTGTTCCTAGAGGCTGCAAGGGCAAGTCACGTGAGGTTGCGACACCCTAGTGATGATGGCTGTAAACACAGGAAAAGACAGCACTAGGCATCCCACTCCCCACTATTTTAAATTAGATTTACCTATGTACTTATGTGTGAATGCACACACACACATGGCCGTTGGGAAAAATAATATTTTTATCTCAAATTACAGAAAAGTAAACTTGTCAGTATTTTTAAAAATGTGGTAACAGAATAAAATGTTACAAGAATTTTACTTAATTACATGTTATTGTTTAATTCAAATTTAAATAGATTAATATGCCAAGCTTGCAGAAGGAAGGCAAATTTTTATGATAATTTGTTTTAAAACAACTTACTTTTTAAAACACAATGTAATATAAAATGCCAAAAACAATTACATACAATTTTAAGGGCAGTAAGATCCCATTTTCAGAGAAGTAAGTAAGCATGATTTTCTTATAAGAATGCAAATTAGGTTCAGAATTACAAGGCAAAATATATTTACATCAATACTGGTAAAATAAATCACTGCTATTTATAGATCCCACCTGAGAGTCCATAATAATATTTTTTGCTGATGTGAAACAATGAATTCTATTGAAGGAAATCCTGCTTACCAGTGTTTTCAACAAGCAGTCAATTTATTTTGAAAATTATTATCTTCCTTTACTATAGTATTTAATTATGGTGAAGGCAGTTTACATTTTAATCACTTCATTAGTCCCATTTTATTACTTTTCCAAATAAAATGTGATGATTTTCAAAATGTTGGATTGGTAATTAAGAGGAGATACTACAGATAAATAGTCATTTCAATCTATGAATGCTATAAGAAACTGCTAAGGAATCCATGGTCATGCAGAAATTTCAAGGAAAGAAAGGGTGGGCTGCAGAGATCAGAAATATCAGAAAAAATATATACAAACAAGTAACTCTCCTTGGTAACATGGTCTTGTGAGGCAACAAGTTCCTATGAAATTTCCTTCACATCACTTCACTTTTCATCTTCATTGTACTGGTCCTTAGAGTCACCAGAATCTCTTACCTAAATGCCTGCAAGGGGCTATCCATGTTAATAAAACTGGCCTCTTCTTGTTTCATTCTTGGCCTTTCAATCCATTCTCAATGGTGGTCAAAACGAATTACGCACAAACCAGATGATATCTGCTATAGACTGCAGGTTTGTGTCCCACCTCAATTCCATATGCTGAATTCAAATGCACAATGTGATCATATTTGGACATGCATGGGGCCTTTGAGAGGAGATTAGGTCATGAAGGCAGAACCCTCATGAATGGAGTTAGTACATTTATCAAGACATCCCAGGGAGTTCCCTGGCCCTTCTGCTATGGGAGGACACAGCCCAAAGACAGCTGTCTATGACTCAAAAACCAGGCCTTCAACAGACACCAAATCTACTGGTGCCTTGATCTGGGACTTCTCAGCCTCCAGAACAGTGAGAAATAAATTTTGGTTGTTTAGAAGCCACCTAGTTTATGGTAGTTTGTTAGAGCAGCCCAAGCAGACTAAGACAATATCACTGTTTCTCTTTGATTCCGTGGCTTCTTTTGTTATAGGGCACATCTATTTTGTGAGCCAGAACCCCACCTGATCTGGCTCCTCCTGTTGGCCCTCCAGCTTGTCTGAGTTCCTTACTTCCTTCTCTGACTACACAGGCCTTCTTTCTTAGCTGGTTCCCAGCACTGTACCTTTTGCATGTTGCTTCTTTTGCACAGAACACTCTTTGCTGGATTTTTCATATGGCTAATTTCACCAGGTCTCAACCTAAAGGTTAATTCCTTAGAGAAAATTTCACTGATCCCTATACCAAATCCAAATTAGGATCCTTTCACCACTCTCTCTCATACAAAGCCAAATTAAGGGGCTGACCAGCCTGAGAGATGTTCATAACACTAATCCATAAAGGACCCTAATACAACACTGAAAATAAGTTTTACATAGTGGAGAAAAATGTGTTATATGAAAATACTTCTCAAGGGAAGAACTTTCTATTTTCCACTATATAACCTGCCTTATGCCATAAATCAATCACTCATCAAACATTTGCTGAATCAATAAAAATAGACTAATAAAACTGAACTCAATTCCAGCCCAGCCACTGTCACTTTTGATCCTGTGCAACATTAAAACTCAGATAACTTATAATATAAAATACCTTTAGAATAACTCAATAATATAAAATACCTTTAGAATTGTCCTATTACCAACATAAGTTTATACACTGTAGTTTACAAAGTGACATTAGGGAGCAGTCTGAATTAGTCTATCTCAAATTGTAGATCATTTATGAACGCTGCTTCAATGTTTTGTCCAATTTTTTTTCATGCTATTCATGTTTACCAATAATTTCTAATCTCTGACCACTTCTCTAAGCACGCAGAAGAAAATTAACTCTCCATATTGTCAATATGAAATCAGCAAAAGTACATTTTGTAAAACATAATTTGAATGACTATCTTGTATTGTCCTTAATAGGGGTTAAAACAGATTAGATGTCACCATGAAAGAGCAGCACACTGCAGAAAGTCAGGGTCAGAGTCTGCACATTCTTTTTTCCTACAAATAAACACTTCCCAAACTAATTGCTCGAAAATTCGAAGCAGGAAAGGCACTTTCCTTACATTAATCAAGTAAAGGCTCAGTAAAATACAGACTGCTGCAATGGGCTTCTATATTTAAAAGATTTGGATGAACAACTGTCATTTTTAAATCTTATCAAACTCATTTAAATTAGATTATATCAATAATGGAAAAGCTAGAGAAAAGAACTTGATATTTTATTTCTAATGTGGAAAGAATTTAGATTCTCCCTGGGGGTGGGGGTTACACAATTACAAAACAGGCAAGGAGAAAGCCCTTAAAAAAGCAAGACAGGCTTTTTTTTTTTTTTTTTGACCATCAATCATAGGGAAGGATGAGGACAACATCTGATTATTAAATAGGAGATATAAGTACTACCCAGAAGAAGTGTCTACATTGATTGCATATTTTAAGTGGAATAAACTGTTTAAAAACTTTAAGAGTTGCTACCAATACCTAGTATTAGGAAAATGTGATAAGTAGTTCATGCCAAAAAGCTTGTATTTCCCTTTGAAGAGCTATTGGGGGGGCGGGGAATGGTCTTACTGTGTTATGTTTAAATAATATGTGCTATAATGCTGTGTATTTAGAGAACAAGCATTTCCTCCTATCTGAGGCTAAACCGTCTTACTCATTTTTCCTCTCTGTACACTTTATTAATACATGAGACCAAAAAAAACAGAAAAGGGTGGAGGGTGTTACATGTAAGCCCTGGGTGTTAATTTCTTCAGCACTGTACTCAGAACTGTCTTTAAAACCCTGTGATGATGGTTTTAGACTTCAGTATTCTTTATTTACTTCTTACGCACATTTTACTGAAAAACTGTAAATCTGAAGACATTTAGGCCCAATGATTAGCTCTCACCGAACCTTGGTTGGGCTCTTTTCCTCTGTACTTTAAACACATTAGTTTTAAATAGCTGATGAAACTCACCCTTCAAACATTTATGAAATTTCTTTCCCATTATATTGTCATGTATTATTATTCTTGCTTTATATTTATCTTCCCAATACTAACTGTGAGGCAAGCTGGGAAACTGACCTCTGAAAAAGTAAAAGTATAGCATGATCAGAATCAAACTCTAGGTTATGGTCCCTTCTTCCTTATGTAATTTCTGGAGAAGAAATGTATTCTCAAAAATCCCTTACCATTGACTAGATTCCCTATAACTGGGTTTCCTAACATCTGTAAGCAACTATAACCTCTTTTTTTTCCTTCCTGTAGGGAAAACAAAACCTAAGAAACAAAACTCAAGGACTATACACTCATCTGTATAGATTTTTCCCACTTCTAAAGAAAGAATTGAAGGTTTCATTATCTAAGAGTGAAAATCACTCTGACCTGGAACATTCTAGAAGTTATTATGAAATGTTTCAATAATTTTGAGAGGTCTTCTCTAGGAATATCCAAGGACATTCTAGTCATTGTTTATGGTTCTCAGTCTATCTCAAGTTTATGAGTCCATCATTATTTAACTTTACCCCTTCCCCAGATATAACAAATATAGGGCATATTTTTATACTCCGAATTTTAGGTGAATTAAATTTCACATTTTACTGGAAGTTTCATGGACCCCTTTTAGAAAACTGAACACACAAAAGCAAGATGAGAAATAACTATTTTATATTTACCTTACATTCACTGTAAGGTACATATACCATTAATTTTTAAATATATTCCAAAATAACAGGCAAGTTAGCAAGGCAACATTTAAATAATGTGATTTCATGGAAGGTATCTGAATAAATTAGCAACTGTTAAATGTAAAATCATTAAATGATCTGATGATATTGTCATTTATTAAGTTTATCATTTCACTCCCTGGTCAAAAATGTATTTTTAAAAATAAATTATAAGTTACAGTTGATCAAACAGGGTCACAAAAAGAAGGCAAGATGTCATTGACAGAATAAATAGAATTGGTACTACTCTCAAAGACTTATCTAGATACTTTTAACTTTGCTAAGATCAAATGCAACCATATATATAATTTACTATTTACTATTCACTATTTTAGGCACATTATTAGTGGTGGTATTAACAGCAGCAATCCAAATGTAATGTTATGTATAGAAACCAAAGGAGTTTCTTAGTACAATACTTAGTCATGACTACTTACTAACATCATGTAGTTAATGCTAATATATGCTAACAACGTAACTATGCTACAGAATAGTGTGACTCACAAACACATGAAAATTAAAGTTCAATAATTGCCATGGTAAACCCTAATTACTGAGAATAACAAGCTAGTATAGGTGGAAATAGATATTCATTAATCCCCTGGGTATAGAATTAAATTATTTTCTACATTAATACTGTAAATCAAATTGTCGAATTCATCCAGCCCTCCCTGGAGGGTATTTCAAAAAGCAATGTCGGCCTTTCAGAACACAGAAGAAATTTAATCTACCTTCCCAGCAAATGACCTAATTCATTCATACAAATAAAGAATAATGATTTCAGTTAATTAGTCCTGTACTCCATGGATCTGACTACGTATGGATCTTTCCAATAGATGGCACATAATTACATATATTGGCAAGACAATGCGTAAACAATAGAAATGATGACTATCTCCTTTTTAATTTTATTGAAACCCCAATTAGCAAAGTGAAAGTCTTCATAACCCTGAGAGCTGTAGTATATTTTGAAAATATCACATATTTGCTCCTCTCACATTTTCTAAATATTTATCACACATGCGAATTTACATAGTGTTTATCTTTTTATTATAAGTAAAATAGCACTGGGTAAGACAAATTAACTAAAGTAGAAAAAGCATTAAAACATATTATAGTTTTGGCTAGATTTGACAGAATAAACTTTTATGATGTTTGTATATATGTATGTGTGTGTGAGAGAGTGTGAGACGGGGGAAAAAAAAGAAAAACAGGTTGTGTGAACATTCTTTACTGGTTAAACAAATAGAAAGCTCCATTGCCATGGAAACTGACAAGAAAAACAATTCTTTTTTATTTTCTATTTATTCTCTCCTCATATTTGGTAGGATATGAAGAAAAGATCAGGCTGTATTGATTCAGTGAAAACAGGAATTCCATTATAAATGAAAATAATAGTAATCCAAAAACTCTCCAATATGCTGGTTAGGTATTATTACTATTTGGGGCATGTTACTAGTGGTGGTAGTAAGGGCAGTAAAATAAAAAGTGTAGGCACAAGCAAATGTTTCTTAGTGCAATATTAACCATGGCCCATTAGCTAAGACTTTGTAAATAATGCTGATATATGCATATTGGGATTGTGAATCAGGACAAGATTCTGGTGACCAAACCCATCATCTTAAGTATATGATAAAAAATATGAGAGAAGATGCTACATAAATATTGGTAATATAACATCAAATAAACAGAGGTCCCATCTCCAATTTTTACCATCTTGGCAGATGTCTTTCACCCATTTATTGGTCAGGCAAATGTACTTGGACATTTGCTACACCAATTACGGAGGACACAACACTGAATAAAACATGGCTCCTTCTCTTAAGAATATACCAAAGAGTTGAGAAGAAAAAAACACGTAAATAACTGAAAATACTATGGTGTGGAAGGGGTTAGATCAAGACATGCACAAGGACAAGCATGAGCCCAGATTTGAAGCATCTCGACAGACTGAGTAGGGGACAGGAGAAGAGGCAATAGATTTCTTAGAGGAATTACATACACACTTCATAAGTTATTGCTTAGGTGAGTGTCCTGACCAATAACTTATGCAGTGGGTGAAGATTCCTAGGCTAGACTCCCAGAACCTCTGATTCTGAATGTCTGGGAAATTGTCTGGGAACTCACATTTTTAATATGCATCTCAGGTGATTCAGATACACATGGTCCTGAACGGAGAAAGACTGCTTTGAAGGGGCAGTGTGAAAAGTCAAGGAGAGGTATAGAAAGCTTTCTTCAAGCAACAGAGAGTTTAAACTTTAATCAAAAGGATGTGGAGGAGCCAGAGGAAAAAAAAAAAAAAAAAATATATATATATATATATATATATATATATATATATATATTTTGAGATGAAGTCTTGCTTTGTTGCCCAGGTTGGAGTGCAGTGGCACGATCTCAGCTCACTACAACCTCTGCCCCCCAGGTTCCAGCAATTCTCCTGCCTCAGCCTCCCGAGTAGCTGGACTACAGGCACCAGCCACCACACCCTGCTAATTTTTTTTGTATTTTTAGTAGAGACAGGGTTTCACCATGTTGTCCAGGCTGGTCTCTAACTCCTGACCTCGAGTGATGCACCCACTTTACCCTCCCAAAGTGCTGGGACTACCGGCGTGAGCCACTGCACCTGGCCCAGAGAAAAAAATTTAACCTGAGAAATAGGAGGGTTGAATTTATATTTTAGCAAGATCTCACAGGCAACATTGTAGAGAAAGTATATGAGTCTCACTCTAAATGTCAATAACTCATGAAAGTAAGATGTTCTAATATTCCTCAGTACAAAGCTAATTGGGGCTTATCTCCCATTATTTTAAGTGTAAATAATTATAATGCAAAATAAATCAATGCAAATCCCTAACATTTTCCTAAAGCTTATCTAAAATATCTACAAGCTCTAATTTACTGATCAAACAATATGATTGCTAAACCACATAGTTTTGTGAAAAGTAAAAGGGCCTCTCATAGCGTTAGTGACATGAGAGATGCAAAAACCTTTAGTCGTTGCTCAAACTGATGCAGCTACACTGAATAAGAAATTTATAAAATTTTCTGATACAAACATCAAGTGAAGCACCTATGAAATTGTAGTTGTAAAAACTAAGAGACATTCTACCAGGGAAAGATAAACGAGGTTGTTATTTTGAGGGGTAAGCCTGCTTAAAAACCAGAGAGACTAAACATAGCAGACTAATTAGGTGGGAAATGCAGTGATCTAAGGGAGAAGGGATACAGACTTGAACTAAGGAAGAGGGGACCAAGTGGTGACACAGGAAGTTAGTGATGGGACCAAGTGATATTAAGGATATAAGATCAACCACATAAATAATTGGTGGTGGTGGTGGGGTGTTGGGGGACTGTATGAGTATCGGGAAGCAAAAGATAATTGCCCAGGTTTCTGGGCTGGGTGATGGAGTACCTGATGTTGCCATTCACAGAGATAAAGAATACATGAGAAGAGTATGGAAAAGAAAGAGAATGGAAAATTAGTTGTTTTAAAATTTATATTAAGGTCTAATAATATTACCATATTGATGGTAATCATGCAAGCAATTATTCTTCAAACAAGCATGTGTAAAATTAGTTATTTAAGTGAGAATACAATGCATTTTAGAAAAAAAAATTTTTTTCTACACAATTGTTTTAGTCTGTTTTGTGTTGCTATAAAGAAATACCTGAGACTGGGTAGTTAATAAAGGGTTTAATTTAGCCCATGGTTCTGCAGGCTGTACAAGAAACATGGTGTCAGCATCTGCTTGGTTTCTGGTGAGGGTCTTTGGGCGGCATCAAAACACGGCAGAGATGGTCCGAGGGGAAGCGGGCACACATGCACAGAGGGATCAAGCCTGAGGGCATCCTGGCTTTATAGCAACCCCCTCTCAAGGAAATGAATCCATGCACTCGAGAACTGAGCCAGTAATAAGGGTGAGAACTCACTGACCTAGAAGGGCACTGAGCCATTCATGAGGGGTCTGCCCCCATCACCCAAACAACCTCCCACCAGGCAACATCTCCAAACATCACCACACTAGGGATCAAATTTCAACGTAAGATTTGGTGCGGACAAACAAACCATATCTAAACCATAGCAGTGATGAATTAGGATAAAGCCACAATACATCGACAAGGCTGACCTATGGTTAAGATATATAAAACCATTTGATAAATAGCAAAAGTCCTAGAAATGTGTTTGACCTAATATAACCATGACAAAATTCTTTGTAATGAGAAAATATGTAGAAGCATAAAAGCCACAGCAGTATTGGCAAAGCATAGGTAGAGACAGAAGCAGAGAACTAAAAAAGTATTTATTGTCTTAGTTACTAGGACCATTTCAAAGTTATTCATGAAGTGCGTTAAATAGCTGGAGATGCAGGGGTGATTGTAATTTAAACAATTATATTTCTGGATACTTGTTATAACATCAGGAGGTGTGTATCTGGGCAAGAGGCACTGCAATTTATTTGACAAATAAAGACTTACTATATTTCACTAAGATAGTGAAAGAAGATTTAAACAATAAGATTTAAAATCTTATTTGTAAAAAATAGGACTTTTTTTGTAAAAAATAAGATTAACTTTTTTGTAGAAAATAAGATTTATTTTTTACAAATAAGAATGTGAAATCACATTCTCTCTTTAAAGAGAAAAACAAAATAGTTGAGTAAGGAGCAATTTGTCTGTTAAAAAACAAAAGAACCTAAAGACGTACCTCTACAACCTACTTTGATTCTCTTCAGTAGCAAGATCCACATCAGATTACCAGACAGTGGGCACAGAAACCGAACAGTTACTACAAAGGAATTACGCGTCTGTTAACCTCATTCTCTCAAAAGTAGGGTCCTTGTTCAAAGAGGTTTCTAGAGGATTATGGTTGGTTTTCTCATCTCAAGATATAAAAGAAAATGCAAACAAAGCTGTTTTTCTTGCTTTCTGGAGTTATGTTAAATCCACTGCTTAATATCTCCATGATGTTTTAGTTAAATGTTTTTAAAAGCTATATTTTATTAACTTTATATATTGCAACAAAAGATTGTTAGTAGGACATTTAAAAAATTTTACTTCAGTATGTTAATATTCAACTGGTCTAAAGAAAATAATAAAATAAATAAATGTAAACATCACTTAAGAGCAGGGAATATGGAGTGAGATTTCCTCAAAAAGAGATTTTTTTAAAAGCCTGTCAAATTTTCATATTGAAGAAAACAGGAAAATAAGAACTTCTCGGGAGATCAAGTAGCTTTTTCTCTTTCATTACCTTTCACTTCCATCAGGATTAGAAAGTACGCTACCCCAGCCTTCCCTACCCCAGACCCCTCCATCCCACCACCACACCAGTGCTTGCAAACTGTTAAAAACCTACTGGAGAGGCAGTGGGAAGATTTGAGAAAGCCTGGGGCAATGAAGAGACTAGTTTGACAGGGGATCTCAAGTTCGGAGTGAGGAAAAAGCAGCAGGATTCCAATCACCATGCAGCTGCTAAACTCTAGAATATCTGAGACTGGCAGCAACCTGAACACTAACCATACACTCGAACTTCCACACCTGCATAGCATGAATATAAAATATGCAAACAAATGGAAAAAAAAAACAACTGCCGGCAGTATCCTCTTCGTCCAAGCACTTCAAACCACTATAAAGAAACTAATTTTAAAAAGTAGAACCTTCATAAATCAGTCTTGTATCAGTGTCTTTCAATTCCCACGGCTTTGCATTCTTCCTGGTCCTTATCTCATGGCTGGATGTTTACAGCAGTCTCCTCAAAAACCCAACTATCTTCAGACTCTCACCAGTATTACCTATACCATACCCCTATCAAGACCCATTTTCCTAATGTGTCGGTTGATCATCCTCTCTCTAGCAGTACCTTCCCACTCTCCTCTACTATCTCAAAAGGCTTTAAAGTGGTGGGGTCCATTGCCACTAAACAAAATCCAAGCTGGAATTCTAGATCTAATATAACACACCTAGCATAGTCGCATGCCTAATTAATACGTAATATGATCTCTATACTTCAGACATTTTAGGGACTATCCTTTCCTTGATTAATAATACCACTAATTGGCCAGGCACGGTGGCTCACGCCTGTGATCCCAGCACTTCGGGAGGCCAAGGCGGCAGATCACCTGAGGTCAGGAGTTCGAGACCAGCCTGGCCAACATGGGGAAACCCAACCTCTACTAAAAATACAAAAAAATTAGCTGTAATCCCGGGCACCTGTAATCTCAGCTACTTGGGAGGCTGAGGCAGTAGAATCACTTGAACCCTGGAAGCTCAGGTTGCACTGAGCTGAGATCGTGCCACTGCACTCCAGCCTGAGGGACAAGAGCGAGACTTCGTCTCAAAAAATAATAATAAAATAAAATAAAATACTACTACTAATAATGATGTTATTTGAAAATGATGGACAAAATCATCAGCCCTGTTATATTACTTTATCTGTTCACTCCAGACACTGTCTACATACAATATGGATAGCCTTATATCCCCAATTATGTGTCTTCTCTCCCCTTTTAAGTGGAAAATTATTTTTTCTTTTGTTTCTTCCAAATTTTATACATATGCAGATTTGTTACATGGGTGAATTGTGTGACATTGGGGTTTGGTGTAAAATTACTCCATCACCAGGTAGAGACCATAGTACACAACAGGCAGTTTTTCAATCCTTACCATCCTTCCTTCCACCTTCAAGTAGGCTCAGGTTGTCAATTTTTCCCTTCTCTGTGTCAATATGTCCTAAATGTTTAGCTTGTATTTATAAGTGAGAATATGTGGTATTTGATTTTCTGTTCCTGCATTAATTCACTTAAGATAATGGCCGCCAGCTGCATCCATGCTGCTGTCAAGGACATGATTTCATTCATTTTTATGGCTGTGTAGTATTCCGTGGAGTATATATACCACATTTTCTTTATTCAATCCACCGTTAATGGGCACCAAGGTTGAGTCTATGTCTTTGCTGTGGTGACTAGTGCAGAGATGAACATTCAGGGGCATGTATCTTTACAGTAGAATGATTTCTATTCCTTTGGGTATATACCCAGTAATGGGATTGATGGGTTGAATCATAGTTCTAAGATCTTTCAAGAATCTTTAAAATTCTTTCCACAGTGACTGAACTAATTTACATTCCCTCCAGCACTGTGTAAGTCTTCCCCTTTCTCCACAATCTCACCAGCATCCCTTAATTTTTGGCTTTTTAATAATAGGCATTCTGACTCATGTCAGAGCAAAATTCAATGCGGTTTTGATTTGCATTTCCCTAATGATCAGTGACGCTGAACATTTTTTTTCATATGTTTGTTGACCCTGTGTATGTCTTCTTTTGTGAAGTGTCTGTTCATGTCCTTTGCCCATTTTTTATGAGGTTTTTTTTAGCTTGTTAATTTGTTTAAGTTCCTGTATTAGTCCATTCTCACACTGCTGTGAAGATATACCTGATACTGGGTAATTTATAAAGAAAATAAGTTTAATTCACTCACAGTTCCACAGGCTGTATGGGAGGCATGGCTGAGAGGCCTCAGGAAACTTTTAGTCATGGCAAAAGGTGAAGGGGAAGCCAGCATATCTTTATATGACAGCAGGAGAGACAGAAAGTGAAGGGGGAAGTGCCACACACTTTTAAACCATCAGATCTCATGAGAAAAACTCACTATCATGAGAAAAACAAGGGGGAAATCCACCGCCATGATCCAATCACCTCCTACCAGGTTCCTCCTCTAACAGTGGGAATTACAATTCAACATGAGATTTGAGTACAGAGCCAAACCATATCAGTTCCTTATATATTATAGATATTTGACCTTTGTCAGATGTATGGTTTGCAAATTATTTTCTCCCGTTCTGTAGGATGTCTGTTTGCTCTGTTGATAGTTTCTTTTGCAGTGCAAAAGCTCTTTAGTTTAATTAGGTCCCACTTGTCAATTTTTGGTTTTGTTGTAATTGCTCTGGGAGTCTTTGTCATGAAATTTTTGCTGGGGCTGATGTTCAGAATAGTATTTCCTGGAATTTTTTCTAGGATTTTTAAAGCTTTAGGTCTTTCATTTACATCTTTAATCCCTCTTGAGTTAATTTTTATATATGGTTGATATGGTCTGGCTTTGCCCCAACCCAAATCTCATCTTGAATTGTAGTTCTCATAATCCCCACATGTCATTGGAGGGACCTCATGGGAGGTAATTAGATTGTCAAGGAGATTCCCCCATGCTGTTCTCATGATAGTGAGTGAGTTCTCACAAGATCTGATGGTTATGAGTGTCTAGCATTTCCCCATCTGGCCTGGCACTCATTCTCTCTCCTGCTGTCCTGTGAAGAGGTGCCTTCCACCATGATTGTAAGTTTACTGAGGTCTCCCTAGCCATGTGAAACTGTGAGTCAATTAAACCTCTTTTCTTTATAAATTACCCACTTTTGGGTATTTCTTCATAGCAGCATGAAAATGGACTAATACAGTAAATTGGTACCAGGAGTGGGTGCTGCTGTAAAGATACCTGAAAATGTGGAAGTGACTTTAGAACTGGGTAACAAGCAGGCATTGGAACAGTTTAGAGGGCTCAGAAGAAGACAGAAAAATGTGGGACAGTTGGAACTTCCTAGACACTTTTTGAATGGCTTTGACCAAAATGCTGATAGTGATATGGACAATGAGGTAGAAGTTGAGGTGTTCTCAGATGGAGATGAGAAACTTCTTGGGAAATGGAGCAAAGGTGACTCTCGCTATGCTTTAGCAAAGAGACTGGTGGCATTGTGCAGTGCTTTAGGGATATGTGGAACTTTAAACTTGAAAGAGATGATTTAGGGTATCTGCTGGAAGAAATTTCTAACTGCAAAGCATTCAAGAGGAAGCAGAGCATAGCAGTTTGGAAAATTTTCCGCCTGATGATGCGATAAAAAAGAAAACCCCATTTTCTGGGTAGAAATTAAAACTGGCTGCAGAAATTTGCATAAGTAACAAGGCACCAAATATTAATCACCAAGACAATGGGGAAAACATCTCCAGGGCATGTCAGAGACTTAATCGCAACCCTCCCATTGCAGGCCTGGAGGCCTGGGAAGGAAAAGGATTTCATGGGCTAGGTCAAGGGCCCCTCTGCTCTTTGCAGCCTCAGGACATGGTGCCCTGCATCCCAGCTGCTTTAGCTCCAGCTGCTCCAGCTAAAAGGGACCAAGGTACAGCTGGGGCCATTGTTTCAGAGTGTGCAAGCCTCAAGCCTTGGCAGCCTCCACGTGGTGTTGGGTCTGAGGGTACAAAGAAGTCAAGAACTGTGGTTGGGGAACCTCCACTTAGATTTCAGAGGATGTATGGAAATGCCTGGATATCCAGGCAGAAGCTTGCTGCACGGGCAGAGCCCTCATGGAGAATCTCTGCTGGGGCAAGTGTAGAAGGGAAATGTGGGGTTGGAGCCCCCAGACAGAGTCTCCACTAGGGCATTGCCTGGTGGAGCTGTGAGAAGAGGGCCATTGTCCTCCAAACTCCAGAATGGTAGATCCACCAACAGCTTACACCATGTGCCTGTGAAAGCCAGGGACACTCAATGCCAGCCTGTGAAAGCAGCCAGGAGGGGGGCTGTACCCTGCAAAGCCACAAAGGTGGAGGTCTCCAAGACCATGGGAGCCCACCTCTTGCAATAGTGAGACATGGAGTTAAAGGAAATCATTTTAGAACTCTAAGGTTTAATAACTGGCCTGTTGGATTTCAGACTTGCATGGGTCCAGTAGCCCCTTTGTTTTTGCCAATTTCTCTAATTTGGAATGGGTGCATTTACCCAATGCCTGTACCCTCATTGTATCTAGGATGTAACAAACTTGCTTTTGATTTTACAGGCTCATAGGTAGAAGGGACTTGCCTTGTCTCAGACGAGACTTTGAAGTTGGACTTTTGAGTTAATGCTAGAATGAGTTAAGACTTTTTGGGGGACTTTTGGGAAGGCATGACTTGGGTGTTTTGAAACGTGAGGACATGAGATTTGTGAGGGGCCAGGAGCAAAATGATATGGTTTGGCTGTGCCCCCACCCAAATCTCATCTTGAATTACAGTTCCCATAATCCTCCTGTGTCACACGAGGAATCTTGTGGGAAGTGATTAGTTTGTGGGGGCAGTTCCCCCATGGTGTTCTCATGATAGCAAATGAGTTCTTATGAGATTGGATGGATTATAAGCATCTGGAATTTCCCCAGCTGGCACTCATTCTCTCTCATGCTGCCCTGTGAAGAGGTGCCTTCCACCATGATTGTAAGTTTCCTGAGGTCTCCCTAGCCATGTGGAACTGTGAATCAATTAAACCTCTTTTCTTTATAAATTACCTAGTCTAAGTCACAGTAGCATGAGAATGGACTAAAACAATGGTGAAAGGAAGGAGTACATTTCCAGTCATCAGCAAATGGCTAACCAGCTACCCAGTATTATGTATAGAATAAGCAGTCCTCTCCCTTGTGCTTGTTTTTGTTGGCTTTGTATAAGATCTGATGCTTGTAGGTGTGCAGCTTTATTTGTGGGTTATTTAACCTGTCCCAGTGGTCTATGTGTCTATTTTTGTATCAGTACCACGCTGTTTTGCTTACGGCAGCATTTGTAGTTTGACTCCTGGCAGTGTTATGCCTCTGGCTTTGTTCTGTTTGCTTATGATTGCTTTGATTACTCAGGCTCTTCTTTGGATCCACATGAATTTTAAAATATTTTTTTCTGTTTCTTTGAAAAATGTCATGGGTAGTTGGTACAAAGAGCATTGAAACTTTAAATTGCTGTGTGGAGTACGGCCATTGATTCTTCCTATTCATGAGCATGGGATGTTTTTCCATTTATTTGTGTCATTTCTGATTTCTTTGGACAGTGTTTTGTAATTCTTGTTTAGAAATCTTTCACCTCCTTGGTTAGCTGTATTCTCAGGCATCTTCTTCTTTTTGTGGCTATTGTGAATGGGATTGTCTTCTTGATTTAGCTCTCAGCTTGAATGTTATTTGTGTATAGAAACACTGATTTATATACATTGCTTTTGTATCCTGAGACTTTGCTGAAGTTGTTTATCAGATCTAGGAGCCTTTGGGCAGAGACCATGGCATTTTCTAAGTACAAAATCACATAATAGAGATAGTTTGATTTCCTATCTTCCTATTTGGATGCCTTTTATTTCTTTCTTTTGCTTGATTGCTCTGGCTAGGACTTCCATTACTATGTTGAATAGGAGTGGTCAGAGCAGTCATCTTCGCCTTGTTCCAGTTCTCAAAGGAATGCTTCCAGGTTTTGCCCATTCAGTATGATGTTGGCTGTTGGTTTGTAATAGGTGACTCTTATTATTTTGAGGTATGTACCATTGATGACTAGTTTGCTGAGGGTTTTTAACATGAAGGAATGTTGAATTTTATTGAAAGACTTTTCAGCATCTATTGGGATGACCACGTGGTGTTTGTTTTTAGTTCCGTTTATGTGATGAATCACATTTATTGATTTGCATATGTTCAACTAACCATGCATCTCACAAATAAAACCTACCTGATCATGGTAGATTAGCTTTTTGGTGTGCTGCTGGATTTGGTTAGCTTGTATTTGTTGAGCACTTCTGCATCTAGGCCCATCAGAGATACTGGCCTGAAATTTTCTTTTTTTGTTTGGTTTCTGCAAGGTTTTGCTATCATAGTGATACTGGCTTCAGAGCATGAGTTAGGAAGGGTCCTGCTTTCTCAAGTCAATGGAATAGTTTCAGAAGGATTGGTAATAGCTCTTATTTATACATCTAATAGAATTTGGCTGTGAATTTGTCTGGATCAGGGCTTTTTGTTGTTGGTAGGTGTTTTGTTACTGATTCAATTTTGGAATTCATTATTGGTCTTTTCGGGTTTTAATTTCTTTCTAGTTCTATCTTGGGAGGTTGCATGTTTCCAGGAATTTATCCATTTTTTCCTAGGTTTTCTACTATGTGTGCTTAGAGTTGTTCATAATACTCTCTATTTTTTTGTGTGTGTTTCTGTGGGTTGGTGGTAATGTCCCCTGTCATTTCTGATTGTGTTTATTTGAACCATCTCATTTTATTTGTCTACCTAGTGGTCTATCAATCTTATATATTCTTCAAATCATCACTTTTGGTTTTGTTGATTTTTTATAATACTTTTCAATACTCCATTTCACTCTGTTCAGCTCTAAGTTTGGTTATTTATTTTCTTCTGCCAGCTTTGGGCTTTGTTTGCTCTTGTTTCTTTAATTCCTTTAGGTGTGATGTTAGCTCTTAGCTGTTAACTTAAGCTCTTTCTAACTTTTTAATGTGCACTTAGTGCTATCACCTTTCCTCTTAACACTGTGTTAGCTGTGTCACAGAGATTCTGGTGTATTGTATCCCTGTTTGCATTAGTTTCAAAGAATTTATTGATTTATGCCTTAATGTCATGTTTGGCCAAAAGTCCTTCAGGAACAGGTTGTTTAATTTCCATGTAATTGTAAGTTTTTTCAGAGATCTTCTTGTAATTGAGTTATAATTTTGTTGCACTGTGGTCCAAGAGTATGGCTGGTATAATTTTGGTTTTTATAATTTGTTGAGAATTGCTTTATGGTTGAGTGTGTGGTTGATCTTAGTGTATGTGCCATGTGCATATGAGAAGAATATATATTCTCTTTTTGTTGGATGGAATGTTCTGTGGATGTTAGGCACATTTGGTCAAGTGTCAAGTTTAGGTCCCAAATATCTTTGCTGGTTTTCTGCCTTGATATTCTGTCTAATACTGTCAGTGGGGTGTTACAGTTTCATACTATTATTGTGTGGTTATAGAAGTCTCTTAATTGGTCTCTAATTACTTGTTTTATGATCTGGGTGCTCCAGTGTTGGGTGTACATATATTTAGGATAGGTAAGTCTTCTTTTTGAATTGAACCCTTTATCATTATGTAATAACCCTCTTTGTGCTTCTTGATGGTGGTTGGTTTGAAATCTGTTTTGTCTGAAATTAGAACAGCTACCTTTCCTCATGTTTTCTGTTTTCTTGATGGATTTTTCTCTATCCCTTTACTTTGAGCCTATGGGTGTCACTGCATGGGAGATGGTTCTCTTGAGGACAGCATACATTTGGGTCTTACTTCATTATCCAACTTGCCACTCTGTGCCTTTTAAATGGGGTGTTCAGCCCATGTACATTCAAGGTTAATATTGATATATGTGTATTTGATCCTGTCATCATGTTAGCTGGTTGTTTAGACTTGACTGTGTAGTTGCTTTATAGTATCAATAACCCATGTAATTAAATGAGTGGTTTTACTTTTTTCTTTCTTTCTTCTTTTTTTTTTTGGTGGCCAGTAATGTCTTTTGATTTCATGTCTAGCACTCCTTTAAGGACCTCTTCAAAGGCAGGTCTAGTGGTAATGAATTCTCTTAGCATTTGGTTGTCTGAAAAGGATTATATTTTTCCTTCGTTTAGGAAGCTTAGTTTGGCTGGATATGAAATTCTTGGTTGGAATTTTTTTTCTTTAGCGATGCTGAATATAGGCTCCCAATCTCTTCTGGCTTATAGAATTTCTGCTGAAAGGTCCTCTCTTAGCCTGATTGGGTTCACTTTGTAAGTGATTTGCCCCTTCTTTCTAGTGTCTTAAATATCTTTTCTTTTGCATGTATTGTCCTTGAAGAATACGACGATGATGTGTTTTGGGGATGGTCATCTTGTATACGATTTTGCAAGGATTCTCTGAATTTACTGAATTTGAATGTTGACCTCTCTAGTTAAGTTGTGAAAATTTTGTGGATAATAACCTCAAATGTTTTTCACATTGCTTTCTCTCTCTCCCTCTCCTTAAGGGATGCCAATGAGTCATAGGTTTTGTCTCTTTACATAATCCCATATTTTCTGGAAGTTTTCTTCCTTTTTTAAAATTCTTTTTTCTTTATTTTTGTCTGACTGAGTTGATTCACAGAATTAATCTTCAAGCTCTGAGATTTTTACCTCACCTTACCTCTGCTCTGCTGTGAATACTTCGAATATAGAATGAATTTCTTGTAGTGAGTTTTTCACCTCTATTAGATCAGTTTGGTTCTTTCTTAAAATGGCTATTTCATCTCTCAGCATTTAAATCATTTCAGTAGATTCCTGGGATTGGGTTTCAACTTTCTCCTGAATTTCAATGATCTTCATTGCCATCCAGATTCTGAATTCTATATCTGTCATTTCAGCCATTTCAGTCTGATTATGAACCATTGCTGGGGAGCTAGTGGGTTGTTTGGAGGAAGAGGACACTGGCTTTTAGAGTTGCCAGGATTCCTGTGCTAGTTCTTTTCCATCTGTTAGGCTGATGTTCCTTTAATCTTTGATGTTGCTGTCCTTTGGATGAAGCTTTTTGCTTTTATATTTTTTGATTATTTTGACCCTTTGACTATGGTATAAGTTGGGTTCCATCAACTGGCTTCATTTCTCAATGATTTCAGGGGGCCAAGGCTCAGTTTAGCACTCTTGGTCTGCATGCTCTAACCCTAGGTGCTGGGACTAGACCCATGGCTTTGTTCTCTGACCTGCTATCACTGGAGGGGCCAATGTGTCCCCAGTCTGCTGGCAACAACACTCCAATGGGGGGTATGGGGGGTGGGCAGCAACAGTGCTTTGTCAGAGTGGTGGCAGTTGAGTCCATGTACATGTATGTGCACCAGCGCTGGCATAGCAGCAGGGTCCACACATACACATGCTCCAGTGGGGGTACAGCAGCAGGGTCTGCAAATGCTGGCAAACTGGTGGGCGATGCTGCAGATGAACGCATGCTGGCAAAGTGGTGTGGGGGAGGCTGCATGTGGTTACACACTGGCTGGGGCCCATCTGCAAAATATCTCTGATGGTTAGCCAAGGTCTGTCAGTAAAAAAGCTATGGTAGTGGCTTTTAAGATGTGCCCCATATGAACATCTGAGGCTGTGCTGCAAGAGGGTGTGGCCAGACAGGGACACTGAGAGAGGCTGGCAGACAAGGGGGTATTCAGATTAGATTGGCCCAATCCCATGGGCAAGATAGCCCTGTTCTGAACAGAACCAACAGTCAACAAAGACCAAAGCCACCCAGAGGAATTTGGCGAGTCTTGAGGCGTGAGTGTAACTGGCAATACTCCACTGTAGCAGTTCCCACACCAAACTCTCTGGGCTTCATAATACTGAGTCGTGACCCTGCAAACTCTCCAAGCAGCAATCTCTCCCAGCCTAAATGTCCACAGGGGTCATGGGGTCTCCTGCTGCTAGGATTCTGGAGGTCTGTGGCAAATGTGGGCCACAAACCATGCCTATTTAACTCACCCCTTCTCCAGGAAGCACACAGGACCAAGAATGGGTCTTGCTACTAAATAACCACATGCAGGGTTCTCTGCTCCCTCCCCCTTCAACCCAGGATCTGAGTCCTTCCTCCTTCCATTCTCTATTACTTCCTTCAGAAGATCTGCTTGGATTGTGCATCTTTTTGATGGTCCGGCCTCTCAGTGGGAGAAACTCTTCCTGTCTGTGTCTAGTTAGCCATCTTGAAGGGAGTTAAATAGAAATTTCTTGACAGCAGTGACAGTATCTTTTAAAACTTTTTATAATTCACAGCAGTGACAAAACAACATAAAAATGTGTAAGAGGATGTTAAATCCTTCACTTTTTAAAAATATTGGATAGAATCTTAGAACAGTACTTTGAGTATAAACCAACACATAACAACATGGTATAATATTTTGTTTATGTACATTAAGAGACTAACTTGTTGAAAATTTCATTGTATTACTCAATGTGTGGTCCAAGGATTAACATCATGAATATCACCTAAGTGCTTTTTAGAAATGTACAATCTCTGGCTCCACTTCAGAGCAACTGAAATCAGAATCTGCATTTTAACAAGATTCCGAGGTAGTGTGGCATAATGTCTGACAGACACCAATATCTAGTTTCTTCAGAAAGTCAACTGATTTTCTTAGTCATCTAGCACATTGTAGGCTAGGAGCCCTTTCATTAAAGATTGTATCTATATGGGATTAGATAAATTTTTTAGAGGACCCAAGCACTGAAAATATATCCCCTTCCTATATGCAACTGAAAATAAATGTATTAAATTTTAAAAATGATATAGCTCTGATGCTTCCATTTGTGACTACTTTGATACCTTTCTTAAAAATATCATATTATTTCACAAAATATTGTTGAGGGTAACCACTTTTGCTGATGTGTTATTCCTATGCTTCCTCTGCTCCTTGAGTAATCCAATATTGCATTCAGAAAATACAAAATTTTATTAATAGTTTATATATTCTGAGTTTCACCAATCAAAATATGTAGCATAAACTCTTATTTTATAAGGCATTTTGAAACATATTACCTCAACCCAGATCATCACAGAGCTCACCCTCTGATTATCTGACACAGCTGGTTCTTTGGAACTTGTCGCTCACAGCTTAAAGACATTCATGAGCTACATAATACAAACACTTTAGCCTGACACTTCTTCATCCTCATCTCCTAGTGCCACACTACATAGTCTATCCTCTCTCACACCAGGTTTGCATCTTACTATGTCCTAACATTGCAGGCCATTCTAACCATTCCAGGCAAATTCCTAACGCCACAACTTTACCCAGATTCCTACTGCTTGGAAAATGTTCCTCCTTGTTTTTGTTGAAACAAGGTTCTATGCAAGTATAATCCAAGAATGTGAAGTTCATTGACTACTCTCAGACCCCAGTGACCCAAATACCCTTCTATTTTCTGCAATGCTTATTTAATTTTGGGACATGCATTATTAATTTGACACAAATTAGTATGGGCTTCCATGGGTTTATCTTTTCATGCACAATTTGCCCAGTAGACTAAGTTCTATATCTTATGCCTCCAGGATTCCCATTATCTGTAGTAATACTTTAAACAGAAGCAATAAACATTTCTTATTGATAGCATAATGAAGATAAATTAAAAAGAACAAAGGCATGAATTAATGTATTATATAGCCAAACAAAACTTATTTGGAAATTATATGTCAATTACATTCCTCTTTCAATTAAATATTTCAGACAGAATGACATTCAAAATTTGCAATTTAGAGTATCAGTGTGCTTAGGACAGAAGGTATTCATTATTGCCTCACTGCAGATTCGAATATAAAAAATAAAGATTGTAATCATCTTATTCAAGTACTTTAATTTGACATCCTACTGGAATCACCCACAGATTTAAAATGCAACTAAAAAGAAACAAGTTATTCTTAAATATCATGAGTTTTTAAAACATCACAATATCTTCAGACTATTAAAATAAACTTAAGCTGAAACTCAGTATTGTATTGAGTCATGTTTAGCAATGCATACTAAGAGAGTGAATTTTTAAAAATAACTTATTTTACACAATAATATTATAACGTGTTTTTTTTTTTGTTGTTTCGTCTTGTTTTTCACAGAGTCTCACTCTGTCACCAGGCTGGAGTGCAGTGGCGCAATCTCGGCTCACTGCAACCTCTGCCTCCCGGGTTCAAGCGATTCTCCTGCCTCAGCCTCCCGAGTAGCTGGGACTACAGGCTCATGCCACCATGCCCAGCTAATTTTTGTATTTTTACTAGAGACGGGGTTTCACCATGTTGGCCAGGATGGTCTCGATCTCCTGACCTCATGATCTGCCTGCCTCAGCCTCCCAAAGTGCTGGAATTTTAAAGAAGGTACTTTTAAAAATCTCAGCTGATTAGCTGATTTCTTATCTAAATGATAATAGGTTTTTTGGCCAAACTAAACTTTATAGTATCTCGAAAAACTTTAATATATTGAGTTTAAATATGTGTTACTGAAATAGGATCCTCAAATGATATACTTTTAAGCATACTTACAAACTATCAGCTTTGGAAAATGTTTGAATAATATTCACTTAGTTCATCACTTTATTTGATATAATGATATAAAGTTATTTATATAACAAAAATTGCAGCATCCAAAATAATATTGAGATTATAATCATATTTGGTGAGAAGAAAAATAAATGAAAATATGCATAAATATAATTTTAAAGTGACAGGTCTACTCATGACCTATCTCATTATTTTCCAGTCTTGTAAATATTATTTTTTATCCAGTCTCTTAAACAATATTTCATTCACTTGTGAACATTTGTTTTAAAATAATCTTTTATTAGAAACCTGCAAATAATTCAGAGCCAACTCAACCCCTAAATATCAATTTTTAAAACTAGATTAATTTGGGCTATCCTAATTATTACCAAAATCGAGTCTTACATTTTTGCATCACCTTTTCTCTTTCCTCATTTAGTAGATACTATCAACAAATACAAACAGGACAAACAGGCAAATAAATGGGTAACTATTGCTTCTATGCATTTACATACTTTTTACTTTAAGTCATGATTAATAAAGACAAAGTTCCAATCAATATTTCTAATTCTAGATGGTTTAAAAATTTCAAAGTAACAGAAATATATCACTTATACTCAAATATATAAAAATTGTAAACGTTGAAAAACACAAGCTTATTTAAAGAAAGACATTGCATTATTCATTATTTGCCACTCAGCAGTCAACTTTATGTTGCGTGGTTCAGTTAAGAAAAGAATATCATTTAAGAAAAGTAGGTTGAATGGCCACTATATGGAAGATACAAAAACAAATGAGAAACAACTTCCTTTCTGCATTTTAGCTTTTCAAGAGTTATAGTCTGAATAAATTTTAAGAATTAAAATGTGAATATTTTAAAGCAAGTTTAAAGATCACATAAACCCTGAAATATATCTAATTTATCAATGGCCTTGAATGTTTCAGAACATTTTCCAGAGATTTTAAATAAATAAAGTTCTCAAAGGAAAAATACGAAACCAAAAAATGCATATCCTGTCAAACCAATTTTTAAATAAATATCTGTTAAATGAAATATTGAGAACAATTCAAAATACATGATAAACGCTGATTCATGACATCACAAGGGTTGGATTTTTCCCAAAAAATATGAGGCACAAACAGGTTTTGTGTACATCAAATTAACCATTGACATGTTCAAGGTGCTTAAACCAACTTGGCAGTCATATACTTCAATGCCCTCATAACAGAAAATTTCGAGAAAACTAGATAGACCACAGGGTCTCAAATTGCCTATAGAGGAACTTTAAAATCCCTCTCTTCTTATTCATTGGGATTATTTTTCTGTTCTGCTTTCTTATTTTTTTTAATTAAGTAAATGTTGCTTTGTCCTATCTGGTAACCCCTCTTTGTCTTGCCTTCAGAGTACATGAACATGTGGCTCATGCTAAAGACAGAATACAAATGGAATCCTCTCCCAATTACAATTGTGCTTGGGAAGAACACAGCACGGCCTTTCACTGAGCCTAACTTGAGCCAATTCAAGGTCCCTACAACAAGGCTTATGATATTTTTTATTTTCAAATTAGTTCACCATTTAGGTTGTATCAGATCCAAGTCTGAAAGATCACTCTGACCATAATAAACCCCAAAGGGAACTAAAACTATTGCTCCTTTAACAGCCTTCTGTCCATCAAAAGAAGACAAAGATGTTAAATACCCTTTTTACATACCAGCAAATTCCATTACAACATGGCATTGTACCTCATGAAAAACTCATTACCTGAATAATAATGCTTCCTACCACATTATGGTATCATGGATACTCGGCTATCATGGATATTCCAGCCGAGTCCTCACAAATTAATTAGCAACAACACTATCGCCAACATCAAAAACAGGACAACAGTCATATCTGATCTGCAGCTGTTGAAGGACAGCTTAGAACAAATCAGTTTGAGTAGGAAAGTCATCTGAGAAGTCCTGATAACATTCATGTGCAAAGCAACCCAAAGAAACTAGGACTGAACACAGGAAATGTTTTTAAAACACAAACAGAAATAGTAATTCAAAAACAAAGAAACAAGAACACATGTAAAGTCATTTGGAATTACAGTTGGGTTAGAAGTGTGGCTATGTGATTTAAAATAAGCTACCCACCCCCTCCAGCCCCTCCCAAAAAGGGAAAAAAATCAAGCTTAATACCTGTTAATTATTTTTTTAAAATAATATTTATTGTGTATATTTAAGGTATACAACATGATGTTATAAGATGCATATATGATAAAATGTTTACTATAGTGGAACAAATTAATATAGACATCATCTCAAATAGTTATCCATTTAGAAAATATTTATGTCTCTAGCTTCTATGTCTCTTTAGGATCTCATTTGCTCTTGGTGGCTCCTACATTGTAGCACTAGCATCAGGACTGCCTGAAAAATGACTGAGTACTGTGGTTTCCTGGACAATAAGCTAGCCAGGATGGGGGCTGCCTTGTATCTTAGCAGGAGGGACCATGCAAGCTCAGCTTCCTGTGGCTCCCTCTCATCTGCAGAGGGAACTGTAATATCCCATGGATTATAAGGCCTCCAAGTGCTGCGCAACTGGGGCACATCCAGAAAAGGCTTTTAAACAGCTGGCATCCTAAACACAGGCTGCCTGGCACAAATCAGCCTGGGCCGGAAGCACTCTAGCCAGGACATGGTCTTCTACAGGATGATGGGAGGATCCGAGGCAGCCATGCCTTCTCTTCTTTTTTGATCCTGGGCTATGCAGGTTTTCCCAATAAAACCTATTCCTTAACTATATAGGCTTCATAGAACTTGTCCTGAGCCCTATGGCATACAAGGTGGAAACCTGAATGATTCTCTCAAGGGACAACACACAGAGACACAGAAGAAGGCCACCAAGCACCACCTTTGTTTATAGGCAACAGAATTTCATCTTCTACTGCTAAAGTAGTGAGTTAAAAAAAAGAACACAGAAAAAGGACTTAGAGAGTAGCTCTAAGTTACTATAAGCATTGGCTTATTGTAGCCAATATAAGGATTGGCTGACATATTAATTAACATCTTAAAGGAACTAGCCAGAATTTTAAGTGACTGTTTCAGCTTCCACCATTACCTTTTGGTTACACACAGGATTATATTAGTGGGTTAAATTTCTGAATGTCAGTTACAGGAAAATAGATATTTGTATTCCCATAATCTAGATATACAGGAAACTATCAGCGAGGGCATGTTCAGAATAAGGGATGCCAATTTTTATGAGCATAGAGATCTTTAAAAAATAATGTTACTTATTTTTATGAAATAATTGTGAATAGTCAAGACGCAGGCTTATAAATTACTCTCTACATATTATCCTACTCCTTAACTAGAAGCAACAACACATAAATTCTCACAGAATGCTCATGTAGTACTATTCTTTTGGAATAAAGGCAAGGACAGGAGGGACTCTCCATGGGGTCCTGCGTATCTTGGTTCTCATCCCAGGCCCTTCACTAGATCTTGGTACCAGTCTCTGCCACAGGCACAAAGGAGCAAAGCCTACTGTGTCCATGGTGATACCTTCATCATCTGGTAATTTCTTCAGCAGCCTACTAACTCTGGAGGAAAAGGAGAAGAAGAGTAGGAGGAAGAAGAATTTTAAAATGAAAGAATTCCACCAAGCCCCTAATTCTAAAACTTTTTGCATCATGAATCATGACTGTTTCTCAGATAATCTTTTCTTTCCCTTGAGTATAAATTCAACCTCCAGGTAACCTGAGCACTGAGAGGTGGAGCCCTTTGCCTAAATTACTGAGTAGGCACATAAAAAAGAAGGCAGGGCCAGGCGTGGTGGCTCATGCTTGTTTTCCAGCACTTTGGGAGGTCGAGGCGGGCAGATCAGGAGGTCAAGAGATAAAGACCAGCCTGGCTAAGACAGTGAATCCCCATGTCTACTAAAAATACAAAAAGTTAACCAGGCGTGTGCCACCACTCAGCTACTCGGGAGGCTGAGGCAGGAGAATCGTTTGAACCCTGCAGGCTGAGGTTGCAGTGAGTGGAGATTGCTCCACTGCACAATTCAGCCTGGGTGACAGAGCGAGACTCTGTCTTGGAGAAAAAAAAAAAAAAAAAGAAGACAGGCTGGCTGGTGCTGTGCCCTAGCCTGTAATCCCAGCACTTTGGGAGGTCAAGGCTGGAATATGACTTAAGCCCAGGAGTTCAGACCAGCCTGGGTAACGTAGCAAGATTTCATCTCTACAAAAAAAAAAAAAAAAAAAAAAAAAAGAAGAAAAGTTACACATTTGTAGTCCCAGCTACTCGGGGAGCTCAGGTGAGAGGATGGCTTGAGGCCAGGAGGCCCAGGATGCAGTGAAGCATGATTGTGCCACTGCACTCCAGCCTGGGTGACAGAAAAAAAAAAAAAAGTGGGTGAAAGAAGGCAACAATATACCTAGCTTCTACTACAGTCTGTAAAATAATCATCAACCTCTGGAGTTAGAGAGAAAGAACACAAAATCGTAAATCGGCAAGAGACATAGTATGTATGAATATAGACCCATGTTAGAAGAATCTTTTCAACCATGAAGTAGATATTTTTTATAAAGTTTAAATGTGTACTGACTTGAAATTTAAAATCAGATATAATTCTAATGATCAACTCTTCCACTACTAACAGTCAAATAAAAATTATGCACCCTCATTCTACCTTATTATTTGTACCTGCTACAAAGTGTTATTTTTATAGTGCAGCCTTTCAAAACGTTACACTAAAATCCTACGATGATTTTTAACTTAGAGAAGGAAAAGCATGCTTAGCATGTCCCTATCTTTCATAAAAAGCACAGAAAATAAAACATATGTTATCCATAATCATTATCTTTGAAAACTGTCTATTCATCTAAGAAGTTTGAGTTCTTTAAATATGGTAATACTCCTCATAAAAAATACTTTTTACCACTGTTCAAAGTTAGCTGTTTCTGAGATATGCTGAAATTTATCACAAGTTTCTTAATAAGCAGGAGATTTTAGCTTTCTCAAAGACAATGGTTATTTCTGAGGGAAGATAAATGGGATGGAATCAGAAAGGAAGAATAGGGGGTTTCTAGTATGCCTGTGGTATCCTAATTCTTAACCTAGATGTTGTCACAAAGGTATCCACTTTATAACATTTTTATTTTGTCACATTATCTTGCAGCTACCTAATATTTAAATTAAAATATTATGTAGATATATGGTAGAGTTTAAATTTTGTTTTAAAGCAAATTCTTCTAAGTAAGTAAGGGAAATTACTCAAACTAGAGGAATAAATTCCCAAAGGAAGGAAAGCATGGTGTGTTCAGGAAACTGAAATAATTCCAGGGTAGCTGGAGCAATCTGAATGAGGAAGAGAATAGGACAAAATGAGACTATAGGGAAAAGAAGGGTCTGATAATGCGGAAACTTGGAAGATAAAATTCAGCACCCTCTCAACATTGCTGGAGAGTGTTCATGGACCTTCTTTTCTAGTGTAATCATTGCATTTCTTAGGATGGAATACTCCACCACTGCCATTATCATTGCCTAGATCTTCTCTAGGATCTCAGTTCTTACTGTAATACACACTATCATGATAGTATATGATGGAAAGTTTTTAGATATTTTAATTGGCATAGTCCTCTCTGAGCCTCTTCTGCATAACTGCAAATAAAAAGGAACAATGAAATAATATTGTTTTCAATCATAACAGTCTCTTCATTTTTTCCATTCAATTTTCACAAAAGGTTGGGTGTATATGTATATAGAAATTATGTATAGGATAAAGATACCATCTCAACGTATAGAAAAAAAGATACATTATTCAACAATTAGTGTTGGGACAAATAGCTAGCCACACAGGAAACAAAAAAAAAAAAAGGGAGGGGGGAGCTAGATCTGTATTTCACTCTTCCAAAAAAATAATTCCAGATGGATCAGGGTTTTAAACATTTTTAAAAACTTGTAATATTTTAGAATAAAATGGTACAATATTTAACCTAATCTTGGAGTAGGAAATCCTTTCTGTATGTCAAATAACACAGAAGCCTTAAAAAGGGTTAATAGAAAAGAGTAATAACTATGCCTGCATTTTAAAAATTCTGCATAAAAAACATGGTAAAGTTAAAAGAAAAAGCCCAAACAACTAACCTAAAAAAGAATTTTGCAACATATGGCACAAAGAGAGCAAATTTCTGTACTGAATGAGATATTCCTACAAATCAGTAAGAAAAATCAAAAACATAAAAGAAAACTGGGCAAAAAAAAATACATAGATTTGAAAGATCTTAAGCCTTTTACTTAGTCAAAAAACCTGCAAAAACAATTTAAAAAGGACTGGCTTTTTTAATAATCAGATTGACAAAATCAAAAAGATTTTTCATAAACAATATTCTTCATAGACTCTTCTCAGTAGTATAAATTTGAGCAATCAACCTATATGAAAATTTGGCAAGATGTATTTTCACTTACAAAGCATAAACCCTTTATCCAACATTTTACTTTAAGAATTTGTCCTATAGATATATAAATGTATGTATAAAAATTATTTACCATAATAATTATTGTAGCATTGCTTTTAAATATCAAAACACAAAACAATCTTAATGCTCATCAGTAGATTAATCACTACATTTAGGGATTTATATCCTTACAGTGAAACAGTATGCAGCAATTTTAATAAAATTAGTTCCTCATATACTAATGAACAAGGATCTTAAAGATACCTACTTTTAAGTGGGGAAAAATAACCGAAGTGTTATTAACAGTGAGCACAGAATTCATTTAACTATACACATACATATAGGCTAGCATAAAAGTGAAATGTTTCTCAACAGATGCTGGAGAGGATGTGGAGAAATAGGAATGCTTTTACACTGTTGGTGGGAGTGTAAATTAGTTCAACCATTGTGGAAGACAGTGTGGTGATTCCTCAAGGATCTAGAACTAGAAATACCATTTGACCCAGCAATCGCATTACTGGGTATATTCCCAAAGAATAATAAATCATGCTACCATAAAGACACATGCACACGTATGTTTATTGCAGCACTATTCACAATAGCAAAGACTTGGAACCAACCCAAATGTCCATCAACGATAGACTGGATTAAGAAAATGTGGCACATATACACCATGGAATACTATGCAGCCATAAGAAAAAGGGTAAGTTCATGTCCTTTGCGGGGACATGGATGAAGCTGGAAACCATCATTCTCAGCAAACTATTACAAGGACAGAAAATCAAACACCGCATGTTCTCACTCATAGATGGGAATTGAACAATGAGAACACTTGGACACAGGGCGGGAAACATCACACACTGGGGCCTGTTGGGGGGTGGGAGGCTGAGGGAGGGATAGCATTAGAAGAAATACCTAATGTAAATAATGAGTTGATGGGTGCAGCAAACCAACATGGCACATGTATATCTATGTAACAAACCTGCGCATTGTGCACATGTACCCTAGAACTTAAAGTATTAAAAAAAAAGAGTGAAATGTTTCTAAATATTTTACTGTTAAATTACTATCAATTAAGTTATTGATTATTTCTAGTCTTGAAGCCAAAGGATCTGAGTTGGCATGGGGACTTACATGTCATTGCACTGTGATTTTTGATTTTTAAAAACTATATGCTTGCATAGCTTTTTAAATTAAAAAATGAGGTTAAAAAAAGGTTAAACACTTGGTAGCATTGCTGATATAACTTTATTGTCTGAGAGAAAAAGAGGTGGGTGTCATATTGGTCATGTATATGGCATATATTGTCATATATTGGCTTTGACAAAGTGCAGAAAATGACCTAACCTGGTTTTACTTAATTTGTTTAAAAAAGTCATCCTCAAGAATGAAACAGAAGAGCTAGAGTTTTTTTTTTTTTTTAAATGCTTTGAATCATCTGAGAAATATGCACTTTGGTAGACTTCATCATCAGAAGTTTCTGCAAAGTTAATCCAAAAATGAGGAAGAAACAACCAAGTATTGACAGAAGGCATAGTTATGAACAAAACACTGGTCTTTATATGGATTCATTCATTGGTTCAAAAAAATTTGTATAAATTCAGGAATTGTGTTTTGCACTAATGAAACTGAAAAGAAGTGAAATAATATATCTTCTTTTATTAAGAGTATGATGGGAAAGATACACAATTAGCAAGAATTAAATTAGGTTGTTACAAATATGATAAATGCTATTATAAAGAAACAAAAATAATGCAAATGATGTAGGAGTGTGTGTGTGTATGTGTGTGTGACTATGTATTGAGGATGGCAGACCTCAGAATTGCTACATGTTTGTCATAAAGATAATAAGATCTCCTTTGAAGCACTCAGCCTGATTTAGAAGGCCTTGTCCTCAAAAACTAGAGCACACAAAACTTATGATATTCATCAATACAGAACTTTGCTGTGCATTTTTAAAACAAGTTACTTCTGACAATGAACTAAGAAACCAAATCAAGAAATCCAGTACATTTGTTGAAAAACAGAAACTGTTTATGGCATTAAGTCCTACAACATATTAAAATGCTGCTGGATGATGTAAAAACAACACATACAAATAACTTCAGGGTTCTGAGAGGCACAAATGCCACCATGTCCCACTGGGCTTCTTGTGCCATTTTTTGAGACACTCACATTTGGTGTATGAATACAGTCCTGTAAAAGTTCTTATAAGCAAGCTATTCCATAAGCACTAAAGGGACCACAATGCAATCAGGCTGTACTGGCTGGGTGTACAGATGACAGCAGCATTAAAAGTGAGGTTCCAAGGTGACCTAAAGTAATAATAACAAAATTTCCTCATAATAACAGCTGCTGTTGTTAGGCACTTCCCAGACACAAAATAATTTAAACAAAAATCACTCTGACAAGTGTATTATTACCCCATTTTTAAGATGGAAAAACTGAGTCTTAGGGACATTCACTAACTTCATAACAAAAATAAGATCGTTGGCAAATGACAGAACCAGGCTTTGAAATAATATCTTTTTGGTTCTAAGCCCTATGCTCTATATCTAGAAATTGAAAGGTGGAGAGAGACAGAGAGAGAGAGGGAGAGGAAGAGAGAGATGGAAAATGGGAGATGGAAATGGTAGAGACAGATAAAGATGGGAGATTGGAGATAGGTGGGAGTTGGGAGAGGGAAAGGGAGAAACAGAGAGAAAGAAGACACAGGGAAGAAGATAAGTAAGGAAAGAATAATCTTAAAGCCTGTGTATTACTTTTTTGTTTAAGGTATACAGATGGTTTGGAACCAGATCATTCTTAAAAAACAGAGTATAGTGGATAACAGTGTAGTTGTTGGAGTCAGAACTAATGACTAGAATTAGAATGTTGGCTCCAACATGGGAGAGGGAGAAAGAGAGAAGGGAAGAAGAGAAGGAAGGAACGAAGAACCTTAATACATGCGCACTACTTTTCTTAAAAGTACACAGCCACTGCACTCCAGCCTGGGCAACAGAGTGAGACTCTGTCTCAGAAAAAAAAAAAAGAAAAGAAAAGAAAAAAAAAGTACACAGATGGTTTGGAATCACATCATTCTTTTTTTTAATCGACGAATTAGACTTTATTAAAACTAAGACCTTCTGTTCATCAAAGGACATGCTTATGGATGTGCAGAGGCCAACCCCAGGGTAGGTGAAGATATCTGCAATACATCTATCCAATAAAGATCTCATACCCAGAAAATATGAGGACCTCCTACAAATCAATAAGAAAAATACATCATTTGTATAAAATGGTCAAAAAGACTTGAGCAGGCATTTTACAAAAAGGATATACACATGGCTAATAAACATAAAACTATGTTTAATAACAATAATCAAAGAAATATAAATTAAAACCATAATGGGAGACCTCTACACATCACTAGGGTGGATAAAACTTTAATATAAAAGTTTTGGCAAGGATTGAGCATCTAACTCTCATACACTGCTGGTGAAAGTCTAAATTTTTTTTTATACTTTAAGTTTTAGGTTACATGTGCACAATGTGCAGGTTAGTTACATAGGTATACATGTGCCATGTTGTTGTGCTGCACCCATTAACTCGTCATTTAGCATTAGGTATATCTCCTAATGCTATCCCTCCCCCATCCCCCCACCCCACAACAGTCCCCAGAGTGTGATGTTCCCCACCCTGTGTCCAAGTGTTCTCATTGTTCAATTCCCACCTATGAGTGAGAACATGCGGTGTTTGGTTTTTTGTCCTTGCGATAGTTTGCTGAGAATGATGGTTTCCAGCTTCATCCATGTCCCTACAAACGACATGAACTCATCGTTTTTTATGGCTGCATAGTATTCCATGGTATATATGTGCCACATTTTCTTAAACCAGTCTATCATTGTTGGACATCTGGGTTGGTTCCAAGTCTTTGCTATTGCGAATAGTGCCACAATAAACACACGTGTGCATGTGTCTTTATAGCAGCATGATTTATAATCCGGTATGAAAACCATGGCATGAGAACTACGTGACAAATGCATAAGCCTCAGTAGCTGATGCGATCAACTGGAAGAAAGGGTATCAGTGATGGAAGATCAAATGAATGAAATGAAGAGAGAAGAGAAGTTTAGAGAAAAAAGAATAAAAAGACATGAACAAAGCCTCCAAGAAATATGGGACTATGTGAAAAGACCAAATCTACATCTGATTGGTGTACCTGAAAGTGACAGGGAGAATGGAACCAAGTTGGAAAACACTCTGCAGGATATTATCCAGGAGAACTTCCCCAATCTAGCAAGGCAGGTCAACATTCAAATTCAGGAAATACACAGAACACCACAAAGACACTCCTCGAGAAGAGCAACTCCAAGACACATAATTGTCACATTCACCAAAGTTGAAATGAAGGAAAAAATGTTAAGGGCAGCCAGAGAGAAAGGTCGGGTTACCCACAAGGGGAAGTCCATCACACTAACAGCTGATCTCTCGGCAGAAACTCTATAAGCCAGAAGACAGTGGGGGCCAATATTCAACATTCTTAAAGAAAAGAATTTTCAACACAGAATTTCATATCCAGCCAAACTAAGCTTCATAAGTGAAGGAGAAATAAAATCCTTTACAGACAAGCAAATGCTGAGAGATTTTTGTCACCACCAGGCCTGCCCTAAAAGAGCTCCTGAAGGAAGCACTAAACATGGAAAGGAACAACCAGTACCAGCCACTGCAAAAACATGCCAAATTGTAAAGACCATCGAGGCTAGGAAGAAACTGCATCAACTAACGAGCAAAATAACCAGCTAACATCATAATGACAGGATCAAATTCACACATAACAATATTAACTTTAAATGTAAATGGGCTAAATGCTCCAATTAAAAGACACAGACTGGCAAATTGGATAAAGAGTCAAGACCCATCCGTGTGCTGTATTCAGGAAACCCATCTCACGTGCAGAGACACACATAGGCTCAAAATAAAGGGATGGGGGAAGATCTATCAAGCAAATGGAAAACAAAAAAAAGGCAGGGATTGCAATCCTAGTCTCTGATAAAACAGACTTTAAACGAACAAAGATCAAAAGAGACAAAGAAGGCCATTACATAATGGTAAAGGGATCAATTCAACAAGAAGAGCTAACTATCCTAAATATATATGCACCCAATACAGGAGTACCCAGACTCATAAAGCAAGTTATTAGACACCTACAAAGAGACTTAGACTCCCACACAATAATAGTGGGAGACTTTAACACCCCACTGTCAACATTAAACAGATCAACGAGATGGAATCACATCACTCTTAAAAGACAGAGTACTGTGAATAACAGTGTAGTTTTTGGATTCAGAACTAATGACGAGAACTAGAATCTTGGCTCCAACATGAATTAATTTGCCATATAAACTTGAGCATGTCACATAAGCTTTGAGCTTAATTTTCTCATCTGAAATAGCACATAACAGTACCCGTTTTCTAGAGTTAGAAGGAAAATTAAATGACAATATGGGTAAAGCATTTGCAACAGTGTTTTGTGTGCCAAACCACCAGAACAAAAGTTTGTGTTTAAAAACCCTCAGAACATTGAACTTAAAACACTCAAACACTCAAAATATTGAACAAAAATTTATTTTACCAATTACAACGATAATAATAGATATGTGTGAGAATTTCAATCAAAAACTACTGCTTTAGTACACAACTTGACATAACATGGCATGACTGAGGATTTGCAAGGAAATTGCCTCAAACAGACCAGCATGTTACTATTAGCAATGGTTCTTTTAGGCAAAACCTTAAGGCAGATCAGGATTTAGTCAAAGCCACAAAAGGTGACAACACTACTAATGGCTGCTCTTGCCATAAAGCACATCATATATTGATGGGACAGGACTACTGGTAAAAATTTTTCTCCTCTGCTCATAGCACCTCCAACAACAGACATCAAGATTGTTTTCCAGCTTTACTGGAATGATGTAAAAAATAGGTCCCATTTAAAAATCTAACATCTGTGAAATGTGTTTAAGAACATAAAATAAAATTTTTAAGTACTGGAGAGTGCCAGTTTGTTCTGTCCTCTGTCTTATCTGGTATTTGTAGTTTAATTCAGCATGCTTTGGTAATTAAAAAGAGCAATAATTCAGTAGTGTATGATTCCTAACTGAAAACTATGTATAAAATAAAATGTTATTAGAAAATAAATAAAAGTAGGGGACATACTCATTCCTTCCAAAATATACTTTGGCTTAATCAAGGTAATCATTTAGTTGGAATGCCAAAGTAATGTACTACTGAATTCTAGTCAGATTTTAACTTACTTTTATTGTTGTTGTGACTGAAAGGTGAAGAAAGTGTGTGCCTTAGCAAAAGTGTATAGCATGGTAAACAAGACTGTTTGCAGGCCTTCAGTTTCAGCAAGCTGCCTTACAGGGTCACATGGCTGATTTGAGCTGCTGAAGAAGTTCCCAGAAAAGAAACTTCAAAGGCAAGCTACAAAACAACTTTAATTAATTAAAAGGTTCTTTCTTCATCTTTGATTATCTCCAGTGCTTCTTGGACAGAAGCGAATGGAGAAACAAAGAACAGTTTGTATTATAGGATGAGCCTATCCATAAACTATAAACAGAGAAAGGGCATAACCACAGTGGAGCAACCTAGAGAGTTCTCAGAAGCAACTTCATGTTCCCTGAAATCTTTTGGGGACGTCATTAATTGTCGTATTTTCTTTTAAATCTAAGGGAAAAATTATCTGCTTCCCTGATTCCCAATCTCAAACAGGAATCCTCTGCCTCTTCCTCTTCCCCCTACTCTTTCTTTTCTTCTTCCTCTTTTTCCTACTCCTCTTCATCCAGTGATAGCTATTGCCTATGCTGCTATTAAGGCACTACCCATGGCTGCTTGCCAGTTACATTACTTATAGAATTTGAATTTCATAATTGTAACAGTGGCAGACACTGGTTAACACTCAACTTTAGGACAAACTCAAGCTTGTTAATCAGACCTCAACACCCTACATATTCTTTAGCTTTACTATTATACTCATCAAGGAACAAACTCTTAAATATATCAGCACTATCACTGCTTTATAAAAAGAACAAATAATGTGTTGATGAAATTTCATACCTGAGATACTGAATATAAATAAATTAGTATAAAAGAGAGCCAGAAGTCCAGAAGTCATCCTGATTATATCTTCACTCTCATTTCCCTCAGAAATCAATCTTCAAAGCTTTTAATTTTAGCTCCTAAATTTTTCTCCAGAAGTCCAACTGGCATCATCTCTCATCGAGATTACTACTACAGAATCTTCTTAATTTGTTTCAAACTCCAGCATCACCTTCCTCCAATGAATTCCCCACCTTGCCACTAGATCATTCTTCCTCAAGGATAAATTCAGTTATGCTATTCTTCAACTTAAATTCTTTAGTCACCATCCCAGGAATTATGCAGATAAAGACCTGCAACCTCCCCAACCCCTTCTCATTTTACTCAGTTCTAATGATCTACTTTCTGTCTCCTTGTGATCTCTCACCTTGGTGCTCTATTTGTCTAAAATGCGTTTCCTGGCATCCTTAAACTTGCTAACAATAACTTCTGACACCTAGGTCTTATCCTAGGTGTCACCTCTTGGATAGGCTGGGTTATGTGCTCTGTAGATTCACAACCCCCTGGGTGTCCTTCTATGGTACTTTTGTCAACCATCATGTTACCACCTTACTGCTTCTCTATTATCCTTATTCTACTATAAACTTCTTGATCCCTGGAACTATGTTTTTTCATATTGTCACTCTCAGATTCTAACCTAGGGAAGGTATTCAACAAATTATTGCCAAATGAATGAATAAAGTGAAAAATTAACTAAGAAATAATTGAATATAAGTACAATCTACTACTATATAAATGGATAGAATTTGATTGAAGTCATCAAACTCTGATAAAAATGCTACTGGAATAATATTTCTAGCATTAATACAACCAGACAGTGTAGTTACGTTCTATAAAATAAAAATTTGGGTTTGTTAATATATTACTTATCCATCTTCACAAATACACATTGCTTTATATTCAATTTCTGTATGACCAGGAGGTAAATATACTTTCTAAATTCAATTACAGTATGGATGATTGACAGGTAAAAAGGCCACAGACTAGACAGCAGGACACACACACACACACACACACACACACTCACTCACTCACACCACTTCAGCCCCATTCCTGATGCTTCCCAGCTGCTTGACTTGAAACACATCAGAGTGCCCTGAAACCTATCCTAAACCTATTCCATTTACTTTCCTTTAAAAACATTTTCTAATCCTATCCCTTGATTAATTTAAGGATTTGCTACCAGAAGTTTTTAGACATTCTTTTACATTATAATAAATCTGTAATTTTGTTAAAAAATTAGATTTGCAAACATACAGTGTTTTTTAATACATTGAAGAATTCTGTATATCCATGATATGTTAACTGAAAAAAAAATTCAAAAGGGAATAAAAGATTTAATCATTTTTAACTTGATTATCTATTAAGCAATATTTTAGATCAGGGGTCCACAAACCTCAGCTCCTGGAATGTCTGTTTGAGTAAATAAAGTTTTACTGGAACAGAGCCATATTAATTCATTCATGGATTACCTATATTGCTTGTATGACACAATAGAATTAAGTAGTGTAGAGGTAACACATGGCATACAAAGCCTGAAGTATTTACTATCTATCTGTTTACAGAATAAGATTCCTAAACCCTGCTCATTAACTTACCAAAGTAATATTAATACTATGAAGCATGCACTATAATTATCACCATTTTATGAATAATAACCTGAGGCATCAAGAAGTTAAATAATTTGCCCAACATCAGAAAGTTAGCAGATGGCAGAGTTGGGACAAATGCTGCAAGATGTGTTTTTAAGCAACCACTTGTCAAGCTAATTTAGCAGAAAGGAACTGCTATGGTCTGAAAGTGTCCTTTGAAGTTCATATGTTGGAAACTTGATTCCCAATGCAGCAGTGTTGGAAAGTGAGGCTTAATGGGAGGTGTTAAGGCCTGGGTGAGGCCCTCAAGAATGGATTAAAAACAAAACCATGGGAGTGGTTTCCTTAATAAAAGAACAAGTCTCTACTAAAAACACAAAATTTGACGGGGCAGTGGTGCATGCCTGTAATCCCAGGTACTTGAGAGACTGAGGCAGGAGAATCACTTGAACCCCGGAGGCAGAGGTTGCACTGAGCCGAGATCCCACCATTGCACTCCAGCCTGGGCAACAAGAGCGAAACTCTGTCTCAAAAAAAAAAAAAAAAGAACAAGTTTGTTGCCCTCTTGCTTTCTCTCATCCTTTTTGCCTTTCCTCTATGGGATGACCCTGTTAGAAGGCTGTGCAAATGGCAGCCTCTTGATCTTGGACTTTCCAGCCACCAGAACCGTCAGCCAGTAAGTTTCTGTTTGTTATAAATTACCCAGTCTGTGGTATTCTGTTATAGCAGCATAAACAAACTAAGACAGGAACTAAGCAAAGAATACTTTACAAAATTTCTCACTGTGTACCTCCTTTCATTCTAGAGGCATCCCTTACTGGAATACAGCTTTCTGAAGATATATGCCAGATGTGAAGCAGTATAGAAAGTATTCCAAGTTGCTCTTTGAGAAGGACAAATGGGCCCCTCTGATGATGTTGGTACAGAAGTACAGGTTTTAAGGTCCTTCTCAGCTTTAAATTCTACAGCATGAACTTATACTTCTAGAAAAATCACATTTTAGAAAATTTTAGGTTAAAATAATAAAATATTGCAAAAGACCAGAGAGTTCTCTCTTAAAAAGTCAGCAGCTTCACATGATTATATCTTTGACTTGATTAGCCCAATGATCTAATAAAAACTGACTCACATAAGTGACAGCTCTAATAGAATACTATTGCACAATATATTCATTCATTCATTCAGAAATATTTACTGAGTGCCTACTATGTGCTAGGCTCTGTTTTAGGGGATGGGGATATAGCAGTGAACACAACTGATAAGAACTCCTGATTAGATTTGTTTGTGTGCTCTGAAATGGCAGAGGCCAACCTTTACTATCATCAAAGAAAAATATATGTCTAGAAGACACCATGACAGTGAGTGGGGCTTCATGACAGTCCTTACCACTGTCTGATTCTTTACCAGTGTTTATAAATAGGTCTGTTTCTGAAAAGGTATTTTGTAAGGAAGGTAGAAGAAAACATTAATAACTTTTTAGATGAATGAGCTATGCCTTTTATCAAAAATATTTTCATCCTGCATACTCATCACCTGAGTGATTAAACAGGATTAAAAGAATCTAAGAGATCTGGACTCACATGTAAAATGGCTCTGGTGCCATTACTCATCCAAATTCAGGGAACAATATGTCATTGTAAAGAGAGTACATTTCTCTGGGCCAGGAAAATAACCTGTTTTTAACCCTGAGTACAAATGCCATTTTGAAGCAAATGTCCTTTTATGTCTATAAGTGTCCTATGCATTCATTTTATCACATTTCTTGGTTCACTACACAAGCATATCTGTAGATTATTTCAGGTACCTAAAAAATTTTAATACTTATAAATATCATGGCACACTGCAAGAAAAACGGAAAGATTTTAAGAATGATTTGAAATAGGCAGTCATAATATGATCTTCATGGTAAATCAAAAGAAATTACTTAAGAGCCACAACTGCAGCGAGAAAAATCAGAAACTTTTCCAACACATTTAGTATGAAAAAACAAAACAGTCCAAATGGAATATGCTTCTTCTCAAGATATTTATGCTTATTTTTTCTGCTGGCCAGCTATTATTTTATTAAATTTATAGTCAACTAATACAAGACAGAAATATGCCATGTTACACATATGAGCAAGTTATGGAAATAAAATTTAACAGTGTGATCTTGTTTTGAAGGGAACTAAAACCAACCTACAGAACAGTACCAAAGCTCTAGTATCTCTGAATGAGATCATATCACCCTGTAGAAGTCATTCCTTTAAGCATGAGTGATTTACATCTATGCTAGAAATATGGTATATTTTCATTAAAAGATAATCTCCAAAATATGCTTATAAAGGAGTTGATATCACGAATTAAGAAACATCTCCTGTTATTAATTACACAGAATGTGTCCTAAGTTCTGTTTAAAAATCTGTCATAATAAACATTTTGTACCTAATTCATACAAGGACAGCATTTGGCATTCTCTAGTACTGTAAATTAAATGAGAAATGTTTTACTTTTATATAGTGTGTCCTCTCTAATTTTCCAAATAGTTCTACCAATAACATAACATTTAATCTTCTCCATATGGCCTACAGAATTTTATGAACAAACTGATGAACACAATTCCTTCTACCACCAAGCTGAATTCTAGGGTAGTAATGAAATCTTTGTTTTCTCTGTTCTCTATTTTAATATTTTCATTTTTCTAAATATCAAGGTCTAATATGGCCACTGAACTTCACAGAAAAAGGAACTTTAATGAAACAAAATTTTGAGTTAATTTAAAAAATTATAAAATTAACAAAAATATTGCTATAATTTTTTGATATCTCTTTTTCAACTTTGTTCAATTTGTTTTTAGTCAAAGAAAAGTCATTAATAAGAAAACTTGTGGCTGGACACACTGGCTGACTCCTATAATCCCAGTACTTTGGGAGGCCAGGGCAGGCAGATTGCTTAACCTCAGGAGTTCAAGACCAGCTTGGGAAAGATGGCAAAACCCTGTCTCTACAAAAAATACAAAAATTAGCTGGGTGCAGTGGCACATGCCTGTAATCCCAGCTACTTGGGGGGCTGGGGCAGGAGAATTGTTTGGACCTGGGAGATGGAGGCTGCAGTGAACCAAGAACATGCCGCTGTACTCTAGCCTGGGTGACAGAGTGTGACCCTGTCTCAATAAATAAATAAATAAATAAAATAAAGGAAAGAAACCTTTTCTGATAATGTTGAAAATGTTAATAAACTAATCAGGCTAGTATTTTTAAATGATTTAGGGATTCCTCCCTAAATCATTCTATGTGGCCAGCATCATTCTGATAGCAAAACCTGGCAGAAACATGATGAAAAAGGAAAACTTTAGGCCAATATCCCGGATGAACAATGATACAAAAATCCTCAACAAGTAATTGCAAATAGAATCCAGGAGCACATCAAAAAGCTAATCCACCACATACAAGTAGGCTTTATTCCTGGAATGCAAGGTTGGTTCAACATATGCAAATCAATAGTTGTGATTCATCACACAAACAGAACTGAAACAAAAACCACATGATCATCTCAATAGATACAGAAAAGGCTTTAGCTAAAATTCAACATCCCTTCATGTTAAAAAACCCTCAATAAACTAGGCACTGAATGTACATACCTCAAAATGATAAGAGTGATCTATGACAAAACCACAGCCAACAGCATACTGAATGGGCAAAAGCTGGGAGTATTCCCATTGAGATCTGGAACACGACAAGGATGCCCATTCTCATGACTCCTATTCAACATAGTACTGGAAGTCTAGAGCAATTAGGCAAAAGAAAGAAATAAAAGGCATCCAAATAGGAAGAGGGGAAGTCAAACCATCTCTCTTCGCAGATAATATGATACTATGATACTATACCTAGAAAATCCCACAGTCTCTCCCCAAAGGCTCTTGGATATGATAAACAACTTCAGCCAAGTTTCAAGATACAAAATCAATGTACAAAAATCAGTATCATTTCTATATACCAATAATGTCCAAGCTGAGAGACAAATCAAGACCACAATCCCATTCACAAAAGCCACAAAGAGAAGATACCTAGGAATAGAGCTAACCAGGGAGGTAAAAGATCAGTTCAATACTAATTACAAAACACTGCTCAAAGAAGTCAGAGATGACACAAAGAAATGGAAAAACATTTATGCCCATGGATAGAAAGAATCAATAGCGTTAAAATGGCCATACTGCACAAAGGAATTTACAGATTCAATGCTATTCCTATCAAACTACCAATGACATTTTTCACAGAATGTGAAAAAATAATTCAGAAATTCATTTGGAACCAAAAAAAAAAGCCCAAATAGCTAAAGGAATCCTAAGTGAAAAGAACAAAGCCTGAAGCATCACACTACTTGACTTCAAACTATACCACAATGCTAGAGTAACCAAAACAACATGATACTGGCATAAAAACAGACACACAGACCAAAAGAACAGGTTAGAGAACCCAGAAATAAAGCTACGCACCTATAACCATCTGATCTTCAACAAAGCTGACAATAACAAGCAATGGGGAAAGGACTCACTATTCAATAAATGTTGCTGGGATGACTGGCTAGCCATATGCAGAAGACTAAAACTAGACTCTTGGCTTTCACCATATTTTAAAAAACCAACTCAAGATTAATTAAATGCTTAAATGTACAACCTAAAACTATAAAAACTCTAGAAGAAAACTTAGGAAATACTATCTGGGGCACTAGCCCTGGCAAAGACTTCATGATGAAGACTATAACAGCAATTGTAACAAAACCAAAAATTGACAAGTGGGACCTAATTAAACTAAACAGCTTCTGCATAGCCAAAACAAAACTATCAACAGCATAAATAGCCTATAGAATGGGAGAAATTATTTGGATATTATGCATTCCTCAAAGGTCTAATATCCACAACTTCCAAGGAACTTAAACAAATCAACAAGCAAAAAACAAACAACCACTTTATAAGATGGGCAAAGAACATGAAAAGGCACTTCTCAAAAGAAGACATATACGTAACAGTCAAGCATATGAAAAAATGCTCAATATTTCTAATCATTAGGCATATGCAAATAAAAACCACAATGAGATACTATCTCACACCAGTCAGAATGGCTACTATTAAAAAGTGAAAAAATAACATATGCTGACAAGATTACAAAGAAAAGGGAACATGTACAGTTCTGGGGTAATGTAAATTAGCTCAGTCACTTTGGAAAGCAGTTTAGAGATTTCTCAAAGAACTTAAAATAGAATTAACATTTGACCCTGCAATCCCATTGCGGGGCATATACTCAAAGGAATATAAATTGTTCTACCATAAAGACACATGAATGTGTGTGTCATAGCAGTGCTGACTGTTGCAAAGATGTGGAATCAACCTATATGGCCATCAATGGTGGACTGGATAAAGAAATATGGTACATATACACCACGGAATACTACACAGCCATAAAAAAGAATGAGATCATATCCTTTGCAGCAACATGGATGGAGCTGGAAGCCATTATCAAAACTGAATTAACACAGGAATAGAAAACCAAGTACCACATGTTTTAACTAATAAGTGTGAGCTAAACATTGAGTACACATGGATACAAAGGGAACAACAGACATTGAGGCCTACTTGAGAGTACAGGTTGGGAGGAGAGTAAGGATTGAAAAACTACCTATTGGGTACTATGCTTATTACCTGGGTAATGAAATTATTTATACATCAAACTCCCGCAACACACAATTTACCCATGTAACAAATTTGTACATGTACCTCTTGAACCTAAAAGTTGGAAAATGAAAATATATGAGGTTTCTGGTGAAATTTCCACTTAATCATCAGATAACACTCCTTGTTTCCTACAATTAAAATTTTTTGCTAAAATGCATTAGGATGTTTTGTTCAATGTTCAGAGAATTACTATGATCACAAGTGCATCTTTACTGATGACCAAAGAATTTCATGATAATTCAGATATAATTCTACATATAATTACCATTCTACCTTAAAATGGGTTCTTTGGGCTGAATTCATTTCCTGGAAGCTGGATTAAATGCTTCTCTGACACTCAATTCCCCTCATATTTTATGCATACATTGATCTTAATACTTAATAAACTACACTGAAATGAGTTTGTATGTACCTGAGCATCCTAAAGGCAGTTTTCATAGTTCTGTCATTAGTATCTACCCTCTCTCTTGCCATGTAGTTGGTGCTCCATAAATATGTGTTAAACTAAATCATTCATGGCCCATATCAGAGAAGAATGAAAAGGAAGAGCTCTCTTTCTTCACTTTCTTCAGAGATCAAAGAATATTTAAGCTTAATCTAAGTGTACACAGTAGAAAAAAATGCTTCTAAAAATGGAATACATTATAAACATTTTATTTCATAATAAGTAATGTATTACATTGATTGCTTATACCATAAGGAATGTTGACAAATATGGATGTAGGAGGACAAAGAACACCATGAAAAAAATTATGTTGACCTAATCACACTGTCTCTGTGAGTGTAAATATTAAAGAATTACCACTGCCACATCACTAAAAGAGACCTGAACAAGACACTGAAAGTGTAGAGATTTAATCTCCCTATTCTAGAAATAGTTATTGGGTTGATAAATGAAGAGAAGAGAGGTGAAGCAAAGACACGAGTTAAAATACACAAACATCGTCAATTATACTATAATTTTTTAACAGTAGATATATCATAGTGTTTTTCAAAGTATAACTAAGAAACTCAATTTTTGTTTGAAACAAGTATTATGCTTCACTACAACATGGAAAGTTACAAACTGGTTAGCTTAATTATAAAATATAAGATTAAATCCCAAACATAAAATTATCAAGAACATTAACTACAAATAAACACCACCATGTATTGAGCAATTACTGTATGCAAGGTACTACTAAGCCTTTTATGTATATTCGCTTATGTAACTCTTAAAGCTGCTTTGCTAAGTAGCTATCACTCTCCCTTTCTATTAGATAAAAAGACATAATTAACAAGTGAAATAAACTTAATTTTTAAATCAAAAGCTAAAATAATATACTTCTACTCAATTTTATCTCAGTGTTTATATAACTTCTATGAGTGCTGCTTTTGATACTTTCTTTAATTAAATTAACATAAATTTTAAAGCTTTGAAATTGAATGTTTAATTTATATTTGTATTTAATGAGGCTATTAGAATATATTAGGAAAGCTGAATGAAAGATATGGTATTAAATATAGTACCTGTTCTTTACCCTTTAAAAAAATATAGTTCTGAATCGTACAAAAGAAAATTATATGCTGAACTAACAATTCAAGATACAAATTTTGATCAAATTATGTAACTGCCCTTACAATATTATTCCACTTTCATGAAAGGGAAAAAAATGAATAAAAGGATGTGTTCAAATTTACATGGAATAGATGGATAACGGAAATGAATTTTTTGTTTCTCCTATGTTAAAAAAATTTGCAATTATAAGGAAAACCAAGGCAACCATTTTAGAGTAGAGTTCATTGATGGGTTGTTTTTTTTGTGTGTGTGTGTGTTTTTTTTTACATTGGAATAATATAGTTTTATATATAGAAAGATGTGAGGACAAGAATCAGTGAAGACTGAATTTCTATCACATAAATGAATAGTATATTTATTATAAAGAACCTAACAGCAAGTGTCAAACATGTTACCAAAGTAAAAAATATGCATGGTACACAAATCCTATTAAAAGACAAGCCAGCAAATCAAAGTGAACAATGTATAAAAAGAATTGTATGCCACAACCAATTCATATCTGTCTCAGGCATGCAAGGCTGGTTCAACATTAAAAAATCAACTCATGTAATCTAGCACATCAACAGGTTAAAGAAGAATAATTGCATGCTTATATTAAATTCAGAAAAAGCATTTGATGAAATTCAACACTCATTCATGATAAAAATTCTCAGTAAACTAGGAAAAGGGGGGGACTTACTGTACTTGATAAAGAATACCTACAAAAAAACCCACATCTAGCATTATACATAGTGATGAGAAACTCAAAGCTTTCCCACTAAGCTCAGGGCAAGGATATCCCCTCACTCCATTGCTTTTCAGTAGCATGCTGGGACTCTACTAAGACAAGAAGACAAGAAAATAAAAAGTATACAGATTTGGCCAGGCATGTTGCTTGCACCTGTAATTCCAGCTACTCAGGAGGCTGAGGTGGGAGGATTCCTTGAGCCCAGGAGTCCGAGGGTGCAGTGAACTATGATCACACCTCTGCACTCCGGCCTGGGTGTCCAAGTGAGACCCTGTTTCCAAAATTAAATATAAAAAATAATAAAAAATAAAAAGTATGTAGATTTGGAAGAAAGAAATAAAACTGTCCTTATTTGCAGATGACATGATCATCTGCAGAAAGTCCAAAAATACTGAAAAAATCCTGGAAATAATAAATGATTATAGCAAGGTTGCAGAATATAATATAATAAAATAATTTAATATAAAGCTACAGTAATCAAGACAGTGTGGTACTGGCAGCAGAACAGACAAATATTACAGATCAATGAAACACAAAATAAAGCTCAGAAATAGATCCACATAAATATAGTCGATTGATCTTTTTTTTTTGTTTGAGACGGAGTCTCCCTCTTTCGCCCAGGCCAGAGTGCAGTGGCGCAATCTCGGCTCACTGCAAGCTCCGCCCCCCGGGTTCACGCCATTCTCCTGCCTCAGCCTCCAGAGTAGCTGGGACTACAGGCGCCCGCCACCACGTCCGGCTAATTTTTTTTTTTTTTTTTTTTTGTATTTTCAGTAGAGACGGGGTTTCACCGTGTTAACCAGGATGGTCTCGATCTCCTTACCTCGTAATCCGCCCGCCTCGGCCTCCCAAAGTGCTGGGATTACAGGTGTGAGCCACCGCGCCCGGCCGATCTTTGACTAAGGAGCAAAGGCAGTACAATATAGCAAACATGGTTTTATGGTTTTTTCAACAAATGGTACTAGAAAACTGGACATCCACATACGAAAACATGGATCTAGACACAGACCTTATCCTCTTCACACAGTTAACTCAACGTGAATCCTAGAATTCCATGTAAAACACAAAACTCCAAAACTCCCAAATGGTAACATAGGAGAAAACCTAGAAGACCTTGGGTATGGTGATGACCTTTTAAGATACAACAGTAGAGACACAATCAATAAAAGAGATCATTGATAAGCTGGACTTCGATAAATTTAAAAACTTATGCTCTGTGAAAGGCAATGTTAAGAAAATGAGATGACAAGTCACATACTGGGAGAAAATATTTGAAAAGGACACATTTGATAAAGAACTGTTACCTAAAATATACAAAGAACACTTCAGACACAACAATAAGAACACAAACAACCTGATTCAAAAATGGGTCAAAGACCTCACCAGACCCTTCACCAAAGAAGATAGATAGATAGCAAATAAGCATCTGAAATGTGAAATGAATGTGAATGAAATGTCAAATGTGAAAATACGCTCCACATTATATGTCATTAGGAAATACAAATTAAAACAAGAATGAGATACTACTATATACCAAAATCCAGATCACTGATAACACTAAATTCTGCAAGGATGTGGTGCGACAGAAACTCCCATTTATTGCTGGGATGAGTGCAAAATGGTATAACTACTTAAGAAGACAGTTTGGTGATTTTTTACAAAGCTAAACATACTTTTACCATACAATCCAGCAATCACACTTTGTAGTATTTACCCTATGGAGTTAAAAACGTATGTCCATATAAAACCTGCACAATGATGATTACAGCAGCTTTATTCATAATTGCCAAAACTTGAAAGCAATCGAGATGTCTTTCATTAGGTGAACGGATAAAATGAGGTATATATCAGGGAAATGAAATATTATCTATCATTAAAAGAAATGAGTTATTAAGCCATTAAAAGACATAGGAGAATCTTAAATGCACATTATTAAGTGAATAAAACCAAGCGAAAAAGGTTATGTACTTTTTGGTTCCAACTATATAACATTCTGGAAAAGGCTAAACTATGGAAACAGTAAAAAGATAAATGGTTACCAGGGACTGGGGGATAGAGGATGAATAGTTCAAGTGCAGAGGATATTTATAATGTACTCCGTAAAATACAATAATGATGAATACATCATTATACATTTGTTCAGACCCATAGAATGTACAACATTGAGAGTGAACCCTAAGGTAAATTATAGACTTTAGGTAATTATGAAGTGTCCATTCAGGCTCATCGATTGTAACAAATGTACCTTATGGTGAGAGATGTTGATAATGCGGAGGCTATGCTCCTGTAGAGGTCGGAGATACATGGGAAATCTCAATTCTGCTGTGAAGAAAAAACTGTTCTAAAAATAGTCTTTAAAAAAAAAGGAAGGCCAGAATCTCTAATTGAACCATTTGTTATGAGTTGAAAAGTTTAAATACTTTATGATATCATACAGTGAATATTTAGTAAATAAAAAGCCACAAATCTTGTCAGTTTTTTAAACCTCACAATTTTAATTTTTCAATGTAATATTTTCTTCATTAGATTAACTTCTGAATTACACTGTTACTGATAAATTAGTACTAATTTTTCTTTTTCTTTTCTTTCTTTTTTTTTTTTTTTTTTTTTTTTTTGAGACGGAGTCTCGCTGTCTCACCCAGGCTGGAGTGCAGGGGCGCGATCTCTGCTCACTGCAAGCTCTGCCTCCCAGGTTCACGCTATTCTCCTGCCTCAGCCTCCTGAGTAGCTGGGACTACAGGCGCCCACCACCACACCCGGCTAATTTTTTTTGTATTTTTAGTAGACAGGGGGTTTCACCGTGTTAGCCAGGATGGTCTCAATCTCCTGACCTCCTGATCTGCCCGCCTCGGCCTCCCAAAGTGCTGGGATTACAGGCGTGAGCCACCACGCCCGGCCAATTAGTACCAATTTTTCTAATGACAGTATAATGCTAATTAAGGCTTCTTAATTATTTAGTATAAATAAATAATTACAGTTTCAGTTGGGAAGCTAAGTATCTGGAAAAATAAATTATCAAATATATTTCCTTTTTCGGGTAGATTAAAATACTTTTATATATTTAGATAAACTGAGATAATATATACTCACTGTAGAAAATTTATATAAATTATTAAAGAAAAGGCAAAATACTCATTTGTCAGTGACACATTCCATCAACATTATAGGCTTATCTTCATTACGATTTGTACATAAAAATACATATGATATATTGGAAAGTCCTTGATCTCAAGAACTGTTTGTAATTCATCTTTGTATCCACACAGTAAGGAATATAGAACATAAGATGTAGCAGGTGTTCAAAGTTCTGTTAAACTGCATATTAATTGTAAGAGCATTCAAAACAGCTGTATATTTACATATTTTAAAGTGCTCATGTGTACATATGTAAAATATGTATTTGTACATCTCCAACTTAAGGACAAATATGAATGAAGCTATTAAAAACTCATTAGCATAATTTGTATTGGCAAAATACTGGATATTAAATAACAGATATGACTAAAGTGAATCATATTTTAAGTTAAAACTGTTTTGAAATCAAAGACATACCATAAATATTACTTTATAAATGTCACTGGAAGCGAATTGTGACCATCTTTTTTTCAAAAGCAAAATATAACCAAAATGCCAACAAAATAATTAGTACTCTAAGCTCAGAACTAAAGGAATACCTAAAAATAAATTATGTTAACATTTAATTCACAGCATTGTAAACTTCCTGTATAAGTAATTAATTAACACATTTACTTTCTGGAAAGGCAGAAGATTGTGAAAAAGAAGCACAACAGAAACTGAGAAAGAAAAACTGCTGAAGGGATCTGGTGAAAGTTTCAGATTGATTTCTTTCAGTTCTGCTTTGTTAAAATCTCCACTCAGAAATCCATCTATGATTTATTTTTGTTGTTGTTGTTCTGAAGTAAGCTATTAGTTTTTTTTTTTTTTTACTTCTTATATTTATAATGGTCATACTGAGCAAGTCAAAATCTGGAAAATGACTTAATATTTCCATACATGTTTGCTTAAAAGATTTACTTTAAATTAAAACTGTAGTACAGATAATCTCACCACTACTATTTTGACCATGATAAAACTTGGCCATGATAAAACTTGATATTTTTTACTGTTTTATTTTCCCCTAAATAAAAGACTATTTAATTTACTCAAGGGAAATAATTACCACTGAAATGGGATACCTCGTTCAATGCTATGCTCATCTCATTCTTTTAAAGTATACTTTAATGAATCATAAGCATATTTTAGTTATTATCTTCCTACATCTTAAAAACCATCTTACAGATAAGCTAACTTTGGGTGACATTAGACAAATATATATTCAACTTATGTAATGCAGATATATTATGTGTACAAAAGACTGCTTTGTTTTGAGCTGCCACAGTGGTGATTTTCAAGGATTCATAAAGGTACAGATAGTCCCAAGTAATCTGTTCCCAAATAAAGCATTGTTCTTAAAGGATTGCTTATGCTTTATAATTGTGCTGCTAATCAGTAATTGAAAATATACCTATCCTTGAAATACCTATCTTTGGATTCATTTTGTCCTTGGGAGCCAGTGTGATGTAATGAAAAGTGTGTGACCTTTGGGGCACAGAGATTCAGGTTTGGATTGCCTTCATGCCATTTGGACCTTTGGAACACATCCCTTTACCCAAAACTATGTGAGCTCTGACTTTCTTCTAAGTAAAGAAGGGTTAATAATTTCTACCATAAGGTTATTTTTCAGATTCGAGGTATAAAATGTAAAACACCTAGCAGGAAGTGCCTTACATAGCAGCCATTCAATTAAATGAAAATTTTAGGCTAGTATTGAAATAAACAAAGCAAAACTTAAAAAATGAACATCTTATACATAGTAATATCATATATATATATATATATATGTCTTCTCTATATGTAATAAACAAGAAGGTTGCTTTGTCTTAACAAAGCAAAGTATTAGACATATTTTATGAACTGCTGAAGTGAACCCCCCAGACAGAGCCTGTCATAAGAAAAACAATGTGTTTTATTTAACTCTCTTTTTAACAAATGTTTTTTGGATTACTAGAGTTTTCTTCATCATGAGTAAAAATGCCAGAGTAGCCAGTTCCTACACAGCCAAAAATCCCACCATTTAAAAAATATATAATATTAAATGTGAAGAGCTTTTCAGGTATATGTAAGTCTTCCAATCAGGAAGTTCTATATTAAATACTCCTAAAGGAATACAAATTCATGAAAAGGAAAGGTTCCCAGATATCCTTCATTCAGTCATTCCCTTTTATAACATTTTATTCTAGCGTCCTAAGACAATCCACTGTATTTTTAGGTGGACACTCTGTTACAGTAAATATCTGTGCACATTTACTGGGATATTATCTATGAAACCAAGGTGAGATTGGTTATGGGGGGGCAAATCCCTATTTATTAACTGGTTTCTTTTTAACTTAGCTCTTCACTTTGGACTCAGATTTTGTTCATTCAGCTATTTAAACTGCCATGGATAGATAGTCTTTGAGGCCAAGTTCTAGGATTCCTTATGAATTTTCTGCCTATCCAGGAAACTTCCAGTTCATCAAAGACTGATTCTAGGTCTTAATTGACCACATATTTCTTCTTCGAGAGAACTCCACTACTCATTTTTCACATCTGTAGGGTCTGTGGGGATCTAAGGATATAGACATTTTCAACCAACTATTGTATCAAGTAGAGTGAAAGCAAAACAGCTGATCTTCTTGAATAAAACTGGTTTTATTTTATTTTTATTTATTTATTTTTATTTATTTTTCACACAGAAGAACACAGAATGTGGTCAGAACAGCTAAGATGAAACTCTGAACACAACTGCTTACTGAACTGTACAAGTTACTTCAACTCTGCATGCATCAGTCTCCTTGCCCATATAAAGAGAAAAATGATGACTCCTACCACATAAACTATCTCATTTTATCCATGCAACAACCCTATACAAAATACTTAAGAGGACTGACTTGTCCATAATATGAGTTCAAATTTCATACATAACTATGATGCCATCATTGTCACCATCATCATCACCAAACAGAAATTCCATGGTAAAGATGGCTTAAAAGTAATTTTTCCATTACCTTGGTTCTTGACTATCCTGAATACGTGGAACACATCAAATATTATTCAAATATTCACAGAATTACATATTGTAATATATGTCAAAAATGGTTTATAAAATTTAAAAAATCAAATAATCACATTAGGTAAAGCACTTTCTATTTAAGTTTTATATTTGACCATCTTAGTCAAATTTCCAGAGATACTTTTGTTACATATGAAGTAACTAATAATTCATTATTGTATTAAAATATTGTATTAACATTAAAAATTAGGACAGTCATCTCTCAATCAATGCTTTGTGTTCTTCAACTTGCTACTTCCTTCAGAAATTGAAAGTCAACGATAAGTCATTTTGTAATGTCATAAATTATAAAGTAATCATTTTAAAATAATAATTACATATAGTTTGAAAACTGAAGTTCTGAGTAGATGCTACTATAATTGTATCCGAGGTAACAAAACTAATAGTCTTAGATTGTATTTATTTATTTATTTTTTATTATACTTTAAGTTTTAGGGTACATGTGCACAATGTGCAGTTTTGTTACGTATGTATACATGTGCCATGTTGGTGTGCTGCACCCATTAACTCGTCATTTAGCATTAGGTATATCTCCTAATGCTATCCTTCCCCCCTACCCCCACCCCACAACAGGCCCTGGTGTGTGATGTTCCCCTTCCTGTGTCCATGTGTTCTCATTGTTCAATTCCCACCTATGAGTGAGAACATGCGGTGTTTGGGTTTTTGTCCTTGCGTATGCGTGTTGTCAGGCCCAAGGGCCTCTTCCATCCTTGTCAAGGGGAGTGCTAACCTTCTCTCCTTTCATACAACACTAGTGTTAGATTTCAATTATGATTAATGTTACTTCTCTACACTATAGCTTACACAAATAATATATGTTCATGTAAAAATCAATTTAGATCCTTTCTACAGATAAAAAACAGACATTCTATGGTGTCCTGAAATCTGTAAAATCAGCTGTGACATTTTCAATGTGCTGTGCTGCCCACCTTGACATTCAGTAAAGGAAATCTGTGCTCAACTTTCTGCTCCCGAATCTCATTCTCTGCACCAGCCCTTACAACTGCGCCATGAAGTTCCTCTAGAATTGTGGAGAGCACCAGCAACCCAACCACACTTGACAGCCTTGAGGAACTATAAGTACATAGGGGCTTTTTCTTTTTTTTCTCGACCATGGTAATTTTTGATTTTCAGCGGAGACAAAGAATTCCAGTGTTTTAGATCTTCCTTCAAAGATTAGCAAGAGAAACTATATTAAGGGCACTGGGGGTAGGGGTGAGTATAAACACATTTTATATATTACAGTTGGAATTACTGTTCTTCTGACTGGTCTAACTCATATTAAAGGTCGCAGTATCACCAAGTCAGGGTAAGCCCACAGAAGGGTCAGTTGAGTTATCCTTTCTATGGTGATAATCTGCACAGCCAGACTGGCACATTCCATCCCTTTTACATGATTCACCAGGAGGACCAAGCAGGAATGTAACCAGATCAGTGTAAAGGGCCTTATCAGCTCAAAGGCATCCCTTCCAATTACAGGCTATTAGAAATAAGCTATGTGCTAGGAAATCTCATTTGCCCCAAAATAGACTTGATGAAATTATGACTTTTCATATTCAGTTATTTGGGATAATAGGCTATTTTTACAATTATAGAGAGTTCAGAGGTGGTCAATCTATTAAGAATGCAGGGGAGACAAGAGACTGACAAACAGAACAAGAGCGTTGCAGACCTAGGAGCCAACTTATGAAAAATCATGAGGTTGTGTAATAGCATGTCATTCTAGGAGAAAACACAAGTAGTTTGAGGTTTATAAACAGTGGGATAATTTCTATTGAGAAAGTAAGCAGGGGCAGATGTTGCTATGGAGTCTGGGTTTTGTCAAGACACTGAAGAACTATAAGACTAAAAGTGACTTCTCCAAAATGATAAACTTTTTTTAGAAGATTACTGTGGAAACAATCACTTGGTAAGGGGATGGACTGTGAGGATGCAGCTCATCATTCCTCTAGGAGAGGTAATGAGGCCTTTAATCAAGGCAATGCCTGTAAAAATTGAGGAAAGGAGATTTCACAAAATGACAATATAGACTACTGCAAATTTGTAACAAATCATACTTAACAGTGGGGCGTATTAGGGAGAGAAAATATGTATATAATCATTTTGAAATTCTGAAGAAACTGAATTGCACTTAATTATCTTTAAAAAAGGCAACAATTCAAAAAGAAACATTTTATATCCATTAGAATATGAATAAAGAACTTCATATGCATAAAATAGCTAGTCATACAAGAATATAATTCAGACACATAAAAACAGGCAAAATTTTCTCAGTTCATTTGAATATGTAGTTAGAGGTGGGTAAGTTAAGACTATGGATAGAATTCTAGATTCTCTGAAATTCTTCATAAAAAGTGTAATTAAATTAGAAGAAATACAAGGATAATATGTTCTTTTTGGAAAGCTTATGATCTTGGATTGAATAATATAATGTGAATCAACAATCATGGCTGATAGGACTACATTCCTGATAACACATTATCAGTGTAGAATCTATGACACAAAGGTTTCATAAACACCATAGCTAAAAGATAACTCACAAAAAAGCAATTTAATGAAAGAGTTATTGAGGGGATAGAGGAGCAGGAGCATCATGTGAGAGAGTTACAATCACAATATGAGAGCAACACAAGGCATAAAACTCACCATGAAAAAGCATGATTGACTCATCACAAGACTCTATCTGTGGGCTAAAGATCAAGTAAGAAGGGACAGGGCAGTGCATGGGAGAAAAGAGCAGAGGAGGCAAGATAGGCCTATGAAACAGAGAAGACAGCCATGAGAAGATGCAAGGCACAAAACTAAGACACAGGCAACAACAGACAGCACTCAAGATGGCAATATGTCAGAATTAGATATTTGAAAAGAAATAAAGATGGTTTCCCCACTCATTTCTTGCCTATTATAGGTCTGGTTTTGAAAGCTTTGTGAGTAGGAGAGTGGGTGTGGGGGAGTTAACCTTAAGGGTTCAGTTGCAGAGCATTTTTCCATATTCATGAAGACACACACAGACCACACACACATACACACACACACACACTGCAGAGATCAGGCCAGTAGCTGTTTTCATGATGCAGATTTCTTGGAGAGTCCCTAAAACAGACATTAAGACTTTTACTTAGGGGAAAAAAAAGGCTATTAACATCAAAAATTTTAGATTGTACAAAAATAATAGGATGTATAGACATATATAGCATATACATACATATATCTATATGTGACTGAGAGGACTAAACTGGGCTTGCATAACTGCATCCCAGAATACTACAAATAGAAAGCAGGAAGGGAAACATACCAGGAATAACTGTTAGGGGTCTTCAAGTCATCCCCTTCTCACTCATGATTTTTCATCTTTTATCTTTCTGCAACCCTAAGGTCCATTTAGACAGAGTGGAAAATCTGGAGATAATTTGTAATGTTCTTAAACTTGGGGACTGGTTATGTCATAATTTTTAAGTCATTCTAAATAATTTTGACTTAATCTGTAAATAACAGTTAACACTGAAGTTCTTTTTGTTCAAGTTACCTATCTGAATTCAGTCAAAACTCTAATCTGATTCTTAAGGGAAAGTCTATCTCTTGATAGAATGATTTAGTGCATTGTTGGTTAAACAAGGCACAGTTAGAAGTGCTCTAGGGGAAGCAGCCCTTCAACACTTTTGAATTAGCTGCAGATGAAGAGATGTTTAAAATAGCATAGCTGAATTCCCAGTAGAATCCAAGCATGTGTAGAAATTTACAGCCACCAGCAACAATCTCACTTTACAACAGTAAGGGCCTTGGAGACAAGTCTCATGTCTAATTTTAGACTATCTCTAGTTCTCAGTTCAGTGCCTGGTCACTCCCTATAAATGCTTGCTGATTGGCTAAATGAAAAATATAGCCCTCATTAATAATGTCTCTGAATATTATTTTACAAGGCTAAAGCTATTTTTTTATAAGCAATGTGATATACCATATAACACATTAGGGGTTTGAAAGTAGGTAAACTTGACCCTGAAACTTTTTAACAATATAGCATTAGACAAGTAATTTTCCTAAGTCACAATTTTCTCATTTGTAAAATAGAGGTCATGATACTAACTTACAGAGTTGCTGTGAAGACAGAAATTTTAAAAACTTGCCTACTTCAGCACCTGCTAATAAAATGTACTAAGCAATTAAATTAACAGTACATAGCATTCTGATGTAAGTCTTTTATTAGCCAATGATTGAAGAATTACATAGCTAAAGATTAAATTATTTTATTAATTTTAATAAAATTAGTGCATGGAAATAAAATTAGAAACCAACCTCATATTTATTATTATTATTTCATATCTTTAAAACAGCATCTGTCTTAAAATAATTTACTATATTTTGACTAATTAATTGAATATCTATTATCTTTTACTATAAAATTATACCAAATGTAAAATGTACACTCCCTACATTATTATTAAAATTAAAATACATGCAGAGTTACTTCCATCTTATTACAAATGGGATAACAGAATAATCCTGAAAACCTGTCACTTTCAACCTCCTCATCCTGTTCAGTACATGTCCTTTGAATTCCAAATATACTATTTTCTTCTAAATAGTTTCACATATTTTTAAATAGAACACCAAGGAATGTGCTGAGCATACATTTATAGGCACATACTATAATAAGCCTTAATATCATAGCTTTATGAAAAAGACCTGCTATAACCTTATGTTTATCTGGCATAGTAGAGACATTTACATTGATATTTAACTATAATAATTTAGAGTTATAAACAGTAACTCATGTTTCCCCAATGTTATCACACATATCATCAGGTTTGGACATTTACCAAATTCAAATTGCAGCATGGCTTCTGGTAGCATAGTTTTATAGCCTAGAGTAGCTGGTAGCATTATTAATCAAATTTACCCACAAGTCATATCTTCTTTATAAGTATGAGAAAAATTATGCAGTTATACAAAGAAAATTGCATCTACAATATCAAATTAAACACAACAGTGTAAGTGAAATACAGCATTTCAGAAAAACAACCCAATCCACAAAATTCTTTAGCCTGATTATTCCATTCAAATGCTTTAGATAAATATAAGATTACACTTTTATCTATTCCTTACCACTGATCAAATGTAAGCATTATTCCATGCTAGCCCTTCATTTAAGATCTCTGTGTAAACATTTTCAACTCAAAAGCACTTTCTGTCTGTCTATCTATCTATCTATCTATCTATCTATCTATCTATCTATCTATCTATCTAATCTGTTCCTCTGTCCACCCCATTTACCCATGCATCCATCCATCCATCTACCCATCCCTAAAGTCGAACAAATAAAGATGTTGAGTACCTACTATGTGCCAGGCATTCTGCTAGGCTCTGGTGATGCAAATGTTTACAAGACAAACATTTTCTCTGATCTCAAGTTGCTTACAGCCCAGTGGGAAACAAAAAAGAAATGAGTAAACAGACAAATAAAATAATTTCAGTAAGTCTTACGAAAGAAGCAAACAAAAGGCTGACGTGGAGATCTACATTAAATGTAGTAGTAAGGCAAGGCTGATCTGAGAGGAGCTCCTTCAAGTGGGGAACTAAAGAATGAGAAAGAGGCAGCTTTGCAGATTTGGGGGGCCTTCTATAAGCAGGGACAGCATGTGGCAAGAACACAGTTCAGGAAATAGCCTGGAATTTTGGAGAAATTGAAAGAAGTACAGAGTTCATTTTATTTATTCAACAAATAAATATGTTCATAATGCTTCACTAGTATTTTGGTTGAAAAGTTCCTTATTTTCTTTTTGATACAACAGAAAGAAACTGCCTAATTGCATTAATTAAAGTAAACTATTTTTCTCAAGCTTCTATTTCTGGATACCCTTCAATTATTGTAGAAATGGCACTTAAGACAACCTTACCAAAATTATTCCGCCACTGAATTAAAGATAAACCTATTTAAGATCGGGGAGAAAAGTATTTTTTCTACCCATTTCTTCAAACAATCTAGCAAAATCATTTACATATGCTTTGAAATTACACACATATCCTTTGTAAAGAGTGTAAAAAGAACTGAATTAAATTCTTCATGAAAAGAGTTTCTTTTTAGGCTTGAGATCAGTCACAAGCAAATAACTGATATTCATGCAGTATTTCAAATTAATTGTCTGTAAAAAGCAAGAAAATGTGTTTAGCATGCAATCAGTATATAAATGCCTTAACTACAATTAGCTAATGTTTAGTTGAAGAAAATATGCATCATAAAACATGATCTATTTAATTACATTAAGTAATGCTTAATATTAAACATTAATGAGTAAATCATTACATTGATAATGGAAGTGGTATCAACTACTTTAAACATATTGGAATATGCATTGCTTCCAGAAATGTGGTCTCAATCTTATACCAACTTATTTAACCCTAGCTATGTCACCTCTTAACTTCATGTGTGTGTGTCTAGGTGTAAAGTAAATTTTTTGAAGTATCATTTTATAGGAAAATAGGAAAGGATCTGTCATACCAGCATCAATTTACTTCCATTGACCCACAGATATTTCTTTTGAAAGATACAGTAATGCTGTAAAATATATACCAGTACATAACAACACTGACTTAACTATAATGTGATATCCATTAATCATAAGCATTTTTCACATAAATTAACCATTCTAGCTAAAAGGTCAGAAAAATAAGTCAGTGATTAAGAATTCCCCCAAGGAATGTGTTACATACAGATTCCCAGGCTCCACTTCTATAGATTCTGACTCAGTTAACTGTGGAGTGGAGCCAAGAAATCTGCATTAACAAATACCCCCACATATTTCAGATGCAGGTAGACTACTGGTGACCTGCACTTTGGGAAACACTGCCTTGAGCCTGGATAATCTTAAGAAGAAAAGTGTTTTAAACACACATTGGCCTGTTTGCTGGGAGATCTTGTAACAGTATGCTTACCATTTAATAAAAACCTTCATTCAAAACTGTTGGTTCCCATTTGCTTCTGACCCATCAAAGTGTGAGAAACACCTGTCCTTTACAGTTACAGCAAAATTCATAAGGAACTAGTGAGAAACCAGTCAGATGAGATGACTAAACACTGTTCACATCAAAAGTGGAATCAATATCCTCTACTCTGTTTCTCCCAAGTTAAATGTTAGAGTACCAAGTTTCAACTTCCCCATCTAAATGGTTTAGTGTAGAACAATACATTTTGTACTCAATATTCAATATATGTTTGCTGAATTGCATTAATAAAAATAAATTTAATATTGAAAGTGATCAAGATTTTTCAATGCAACAATTAGATGGATTTAAGTGTTCATCTGTAAAAAGAGACAACTTGAAAATATATGTTCAAATTTAAAAAATGTTAGCTACACAGATAAAATGGAAAACAGGGAATTCACATAAAGTTAATTGCAAGTTCATTTTGGTCTATTCTTATGTGTGGATTTATCGATGTATATTATGAGATATCACTCTAATGGAATTGAAAGAATAATTTAGATTCCCCAACAGTATATATTTAACAAGGCACAATCTACTTGCTGACATCTTAAAGATAGGTATGAGGATTGTCTCTTCTTGTATCTTTATTTTAACTTGAAAACTTTATTTTAACTTAGTGGATTTTTTGAAGACTACACTACCATAGTTTATTGTCAGGGGAAGAGAGATTTTATTATTAAAAATGGATCTGTAGCTTATCATATTATGTATACTCTCTTATTGCCACTTCAACCAAAAATTCATGCAAGTTTAAAAAAATGACTTTCCAGGAAATTAAATTGTAAAAATCTAGACATTAATGTTATTTCTAGATGTGCCATTTAAAAACCCTTACTATGGCTGATTTCAAACACTTAGGAAAATTAATGACTGCCAGATGAAGTATATACTGTCTGTGGACATGGTCAGGTTTAAGCATAGTTTGCCTTTGAATGATCCTTTCTATTCACTCACCGTCTTCTGTATAATTAATAGCCACTCTCCCAAATCACATGCCAATTAATGAGATGCAGATAAAGGCTTAAAGGTCTGTACTGCAATTCAGTCTTAATGAAAGTCAATATCCTTTTGCCAAGAAAGCTCAGATCACATTTGGCTTTCACAGATAATTAGGAGGGTTTTCAGAGAACCAAATAGCAGCGACTGGTAAATATTAGATCTTTTAAATAAATGCCATATTTAGCAGGAAAAGGAACTGTTAGAAATGACTTTTCAATTTTACAGAAATAAGTGTGTTTAATTCTCTTAAAATGATATTTAAAAGTAAACAAGATAAGCATATATATACACATATCTAAAATGGTATTCCACATAAGACTTTTCATCAAGTATAATCATTTGAAAATAGTCCTTATTTACATGACTTGATTCCTCTTGTATCAAATGTTGACTCTTAAGACATGTAAAAAGGCTCTCCATTAACTAATTCCATCTTCCCTGCTTCAAAGTCTTTCTCACCCTATATAAATGTGGCATGGGCATATTAAACTACAGAGTCTATGAGATAGGTACATGATTTTTATTTTATGAAGATACTGAAGCCAGTTAAGGAGTGAATTCTGATGTTAAACAAGGGCTTTGGATTTTGAGTATCTTTTTCTGTTACAACTCTGCCACTCTAAATTGGTTATATAAATAGAAGATGGTCAAATCACTTATGATGGCCTTCTTAAATTGCTTTAGACACAGGTAACACTAGACACGTTGAGACCCTACACAAGGAGTACTTTGACCTTAAGTATAAAGTTACTTACAGTATCTGTACTGTAGGAGGGACAACTTGATCATCAAGAAAGAAAATAAAGTCAGGCATTGGTTCCCTTCTTATTGTTACTTCTTAGTGACTTTTTTCATTCCCTTTTCAAGGCAAGAACTAAACCCACTTTAGGAAAACTGATACACAAACAGTAGGTGAGAGTCTTTCCTTCGAGCAGACACTGGATAAAAGCAGAACTTTTCATGGAGCTGCAAAAGTTCCATGTAAAGAATATCTGCCAAATTTGTAGAGGTCTATAAACTCCAAACTGTGATTTGATGAGTATGTCTTGGGAATCTTTCAATTTTCATACCTCCGAGATGTTATGAGACACAAATAAAGGTATTTGTTATTTACTTATTTTTCATTAAAAATTTTATCATTTTATTAACATCATATTATCTAATTTAATGCTCATAACAGCCTTATGACATGGATCTTACATTGCCCCCATTTTCAGATGAGTGCTCAAATGCTCAGAGAGATAACGGTTATCTGGCAAGTAGTTAGAGAGCCCAGGTTCACACTTGTGCAGTGCAGCAAATTTTACACAATGCACTACCTACCTGCTGAGCTGTGCACTGAAAATGCGGCCTTATTTTCACTTGCCAATCACTTACTGAGTTCCTGTTATGCACAAGACACTGGATAGTTGCCAAAGATGAATGTATTTGGATCAACAGATTAAACAGAAGAAAAATACTCCACACTTTTGCTTCCACTACACAAACATTCCTTGACATTTCAACACCTGTTCTTCTCAAATCATTTGGTATTTCTAATACTTTAAAGGTGCTTTTTCTCTAACAGCCTATAATACAAATACAGACTATCACCTGGAATAAAGCATGTTGTCAGAAAAGTTAGGATGGAGCTTTACATCTTTGCATGTGTGTACAGAGCTCCCCTCACCAAAATATGTGTCTGATGGACAGAACCCAGAATCTGTGGAGTATGAGACGAGTTAGTCAACTACTCCTCATGTAACAACTTTTAAAACAAGAATTTAAGGCTCTGATCTCACTAACTGAAATGTTTTTATACCAACAAGTTTATCAACAGGCAAATAGCTGATCAACCAGTATTCTGTAATATAAAATAAAATCTCTGGTGACCTTAAATGAGACATCTCTACAATTTCTTTCCTATTGCTGCAAAGAATAATTACTGAAAAAAAGTTTGACAAATGTGAAAAGACAATTACCCTTTATCAATTATATGTTAGAAATTAGTAACCTCCCCACGATTCCAGGTTCCTTTCTGAAACCTGTCAATTATCTCGTTTCAACAAAAGGTACGATGAAAACCTTTCTTTAATGACTCACAGAAGCACTGGATTAAACAGTGTATCTAAATGGAGTAACCTCAAGGTGCACTGCAGCACCAAAATAGCATATGATAACTAGAATTGAAGAGTCCACAAAGTGAACTATGTACAATATTTATTTAACCACCAGGACTGACAGTTAAAGCAAACTTTTGATCAGCTCCACATCATACTGTATTATACGGAAATGTAATTTGGAAATTCTGCAATAAAATCAAAGTAATACGTGATGGTGTCACAGATTTCAAAGCTGGTAAGGTAGAATATATCTAGGCAACTTCTGCCAATTTTCCAGATGACAAATCTCAGTTCTAAAGAGGTAACATCACTTCCCCAATGTCAAATGGCAGTGTTTCCCAGAAGTTGACCTGAAAACCAGATTTCTACCACCCATTTCAGAGCTCTTTCCACAAAATAACGTGCACCCACACCATCTAACCTCTTTGCCTCTTCCCCCTGGAAGGAAAACTCGTGAATCCAAATCCTCACTGACACACAAACCAAGAAAATTCCAACTGATGTCATGAGGCACTTGAAAATGTTTTTCAATTAAAAGTAAAGTTTAAATTGGTCAACATGAAAAGTTACACATGATTCAACCTATGTACTGTGGCTGCAGACTAACTATATTTCAAATAATGTACTGGTATTTGAATGACAGAAAACAGATGGGGAATGAAAAAATCAAGAACCTTTTGTGTTTTCAGTCATAGCTCTAAAAGTGGGGGAAAAGAGAAGATTTACACTGTGAGCAGCTTCATTGCTCCAGAGTTTGTACAGTGAGGAATAAAAACTCTTTATACTAATTTGAATTTTAAACACACCAGAATTACTAATAACCAGTCTTATGACAGTAATTAAGATTATTTCTAAAGTGATTAAGATTCTCTACATACTATTTGCTATATACACAGGGGGAAAATTGCCCTGAATAATTCAATCCCAGACTGTTAAAGAGTGGCTGTTAAAATAAGACGAGATAGGACTGCGCATTGTTTTCCAGCTGGGAATCCCAAATAGAAGAGAGGCACATAACATTGACAGGGATGGATTGAGAGCTACTGGAGTCCTATATCTGAATGCACACTTGGGCTGTGTTAGCCCCTAGCTTCGGGAAAAATTATAATTACCTTCTTCTCTTTACTGGAGGGTATTTATAATTACCCTCTTCTCTTCATCTTCTCCTATCCTCTCCCTCCCAAGCTAGGTAGAGCCCAACTGATGAAACAGAAGATGCTAGGGCAGTAGGAGTGGGAATTCCACCTTACCCAAGGATACACCTTCTCTTCCTCACATATTTGTATATAAGAGCAGGTGTATCCTTGGGTATTCAGGGTCAAATCAGACCTTCAGTCAGTTAGTCTAGGATCACACAGCCAGAAAGTACATCAGAGTTTCTTCTCTAAAAACAACTTCCAGCCACATAAAATCCTGGCCCTAGAGTAAGGAGGCAAACCATTATTCCACTCTCATCCAGCACAGACTTCCTTGATGCCCATCAGATGGGCTTGAGGGAAAGGTTGCCCACTGTATCTGTTTCTGACTGGCAATATACCATCCTAAACAGTGAGGATGGAGAAAGTGAGCACTACCATGATTCAGAAATTTATTATCCCAAGTGAATTACAGGACATGTGCACACACATACAGATATACATACATATAGATACATGTACACACCTACACATATACACATACACATATATACACAGATACATATATGCACACACATGCCCACACACATCCCTGGGGTTTTTTCAAACTCTTAAAGGAAAAAAAAAACTGACATTATATAGGACCCAAGATTAGCCAAACCAATTCTGTGGAAGAAAATGAAAATGTGGACTTTCTGAGTCAGATGACATAAGAAACATTCAAATGATGACTAAGGGCAATAACACCCAACAGGAGGTTGTAGACTCTGTAAAGTGCAGCTCTGGGCTTTGTCCCAAACACAACTAAAAATAGGTCGATTTAACTGCTGAATAGAGGGCTGCACTGTGAAAAGCAGCTGAAAACTGACTCCATAGTGTCATCTGCTAGTCATTTTCCCACTGCATCACACTTCACTCATATGTTAATAGTACACACCGTGACCAGAATAGTGTTAAATGTTATACCAGTCCCATGAGGGGAAGCACAGAAATCAGAACAAGGAGCTGCTCATGCTGGACTCTGACACTCAAGTGTCGTGGGCAAGTCATAACCCTTCTCTTAGCTTTTTCATTTATACAAAAAGAAATTGAAAAATGTTTCTCATGCCTACCCTAACAATCAAGTAAGCTATCAACCAAGGTAGTAGATGAAAATAGTTTCCTAAACATCAAAAGACTATAGAGATGTAACATATCTGTAATAGCTATTATCCACTTTCCAAGCCTGGGAAATAAAACAGTGTACACATCTCTCTTCAATAATCAATAGCATTCTAGATCTAGGCTCAGTATAGAGGCCCTCTCTCCCCATTCCACCATAGTTTTGCTAGACCGATTACAAGTTATAGTCAATTCTCATTATTCCGGCTTTACCACTGGAGCTGAAACCCTGGCATCTACCTTTGAGGCTCCCAGCAACCACCCTGAAGTTACTAGAACACCAGGAGCAGAATATAAAACATAACCCGCAAAGACCCCCAAGTTGGCTGTTCCAGAATGGGCTATCAATACCAAAGTTAGGTGCAGCCTACATCACAACCCATGTGTTCTAACCTCTCATAGAGTCAACTGGCTCTTCTGGATGATAATTCTGCTCTTTCTGCTGGAGTTATCATTTGAATGCAATCCTTGAAGCCGGAATTCAGCCATCAAGTTAATATGTACAAAAAAAGCCAGAGTCCAGAGACTTGATGTCACCATCAAAGAGGAGGAAGCAGGATTTCTTTGCTTGACTAGAGAAGGCTGTGGTGGTTGGAGAGCAGAGAGCAGAGAGCATGAGACAGAGCTGCAAAAGCACACAGGTGTCAGACCATGCAGGATCTCATGGGCTACAGAAAGGAGTGTGGTCTTTATATTGTGTTTTATGGGAAACAACTAAATAGTTTTAAGCAGGGCAGTGACAGGTCATATTTACAATCAGAAAAGATAAATACAGCTGCAAATCAGAGAACAATCTTGATGCATTAGGAAGTTTGTGCAGTGTCTCTGGAAACAGATGATGCCAGCCTAGATGAGGGTGTTAAGAGGAGAGAGGAAAACAAGTGGATTTAAAGGAGATATTTAGGAGGCAATAGCAACAAGACTTGGGGACAGATTGAATTCAGGGAGAGAGGAGGAGATCTCATGAATGACTTAGGTTTCTGTTCAATTGGCTTGGTGGTGGTACCATTTGCTGAGATTAGAGAAGAAAAGGCAAGGCTTGATGCTGAAGGTTATGCGTTCAGCCATAGTAGTGTTGAGTCTGAGTCTTGATTGGAATGATTCTTTTGAGATGCAATAGTTGGTACCGAAGAGAGGAGAAAATAATTCATAATGAAAATTTTCTGAGAGGGTTGGGGATACAGGAAACAAAACCCAGAAGCAGGGATTGGTATGAGATGAGTAGGACCCCTGTTATGTATGTAACTTAGGGACAAAGTTGAAAGATTGGCTGCAGGTATGGATAGTTTCCTGGTTTGGGCTGAGAGAATATGAGAGTTCCCAAATGACTTTTATTTTCTTCTGGATGGAAGGAGTAGAGTCACCTGTAGAAAATGAGGTGAGTAATAAAAAGCATGAGAATAGAGAAGATCTGAAATAGTTATTGAAAGTTTTTTTAAAAAAGTTTATTGACTAGAGGGAAAAAAGTACAGCTGTTGCACAAGTTTATGTCAGGTTGTAATTTCATAAACAAATTAATGCTTAAAGGTTACTCAAATTGTGGACCATCCTGGATCAGAAAGGAAGAAAGAGGCTAATGGAGAGAAAAGGAGGGAATCGTTGAATAATTATGCTCAAAGAAAAAAAAATGTGTGATCAGAGAAGGGGTTATCTGAGGTAGTGTTTAAAATCAGAAACAAAAGGTGTGGAAAGCCTGGAGCAGTTTAGAACTTTTGGGTATCAGAGAAAAACTTCTAGGGCTAAGTGCATACTGTGTACAGTATGCTCAGATATAAAAAGAAATGGATGATCATCACTGATTATCATTTCTTAAAAGGGGGCAGTAAGTGGTCTAAACTATTTTTCTCAAATGAGAGTTCAATTTGAAAAGTTCACACAATTCAAGGAATAATTCTCTGTATATTGCTATTTCACATAAAACTATTTTAAGAAATAATAGGCCAATATGAACACACATTTTATTCTGTCTCAATTCAAACCCTTTTCATCACTGTTACATACCTTCCCTGCTTTTACTGACTTTATATGTTGCAATTAGAAAAGTAAGCATTTTGAGCAACGTTAGCAATGTCAGAAATACTGAATTTAAAGAGGGAAGGAAGGAAGCAATTACCCCTTTTGGTGTGTTCCATGCATTAGCTGTAATTTCCATTGCCCGTTTTCTGAAAACTCATGTCTGTACCATTTATGGTGAAAAGCAAGTCAGACTTGCCGCAATCAACCAAACATTCCAATTCAAGTCACTCTGGGAAGAATTTCAACTCAGAACATACTGCGGAAATTGTCTACTGGTTTGATCATATCCACTGGTGGACACGGCTTTCAGAGTAACTTGGAAAATAAATTATAATTTGATAACTACGAACACTAGGCACAAAGTAAAATAATTACAAGGGCAGTCTTTTATAATGCCCTTTCTTATTTATGTTATTATTTGGAGTAGGGTACATATAAAATGTTTCACAAAAATCTGTTAATTTTGCAGGAAAAATAAAAACTAGTTTACTTTTTAAACAATGGCATGCATTATTTTTTTAAAAAATATTTCATACATAAAACAAATGATTTCCTAAAAAGATGTTGATACAAAGCTTCATATTTACCAAATTATCAGAGATTATTACATTGAGAGTCTTAAAACTTTAAAACAAATAAATCTAATTAAAATCAAAGTTGGAGTTTAATAATCTTTTTTGTAATTTCCGTTTTCTCACGTATTTAAGTAAAATGACCAAAATGTAGCATGATGACTGGCTCATCATACTACAGTTGTCTTTTTTAAATGATAAAAATTTAAATTTCCCAAGTCATTTCACAAGAAAACACATTAATCCTTGAAGTTATTTATTAAAAAGTATACCCAGTGACAAAATCCCAACCTCAATGACCATTTTAAAGAGTATCAGGAAATAAATATTTTGGAGACATTGTATTCACCATGTCATTTTTGGCCAAAAACCTTCAAAGATCTTCCAAACTTTATAAGCTCAATCTTTATTCATTCAACCACATTAAGTGAATGTCTGCTTCATGCCAAACTCTACCAGCCCTTCTGTGGACAACGTCAAACAGGGAGAGAAAGAATCCTGTAAAGCCCACAAAGAGCATCAGGACCATGATAGGAAGATGTGCTAAGTGTGCCGGGAATGGAAAGAAGCTTTCTTAAGGGAGGGAAAATTCTACTGGTGGGGTCCCAGAAAAGCCTTCTAACTTCATTAAATCATCATCTCTTGTCATAAAACTAACTTAGTCCATTCAGAGTCCTTTGGGTTAGGAATTTTCTAAGGTTTGTCTGAAAATATATTCAGTATCAAATATGCTTAAACACTCAACACCACTTAACTTCATGGCAATGCAATAATCAAGTATGATATCAGAGAAATTTTAAAGTGTTGTTATCAAGTAAAAAAAGATACGCATCACTTGCAATAAAAGGAAAAAGAAAACAGTACCTTAAACTGTAACAAAATGAACATGCAAAGTAAAAACTGTAATCGGAAAAAAATTTCAAATTTATTATAGCTCTCAGCATCTTTCCTATGCTGATGACATAGAAATCTTAATGCAAATAAGTCTAAACATGCTATCTATGGAAACCACTTATTTATAATCTTGCTTCTTTAGCTGCATATTCAAACTGAATAACAATAAACTCAACTATTCCAGATCATAAATATATGTTTATTGTTATTCCTCCCTATTTAACGATATTGAAATTAACGTCTTATAGTTTTACATGCAAATTAAGAATCTCTGCTCTACTGAATAAATATGAAAGTGAAGAAAATAGAGAAGAGAGTCCTTGTTTTCAAATTTTTTATTCATAACATCCAAATTTCAAGATGCAAATCATAAATCAAAATACAAACTACAATCCCATAGGTAGCTATAGGAAATGTGAAAGCATCAAAAAACAACATTCTGGATATATGGGCAAAGATTTTTGCTTAGAAAGCAAGTAATAAATTACTACTGGAATATGATGATGAGATCATCTCTCTAGTCATCTAACCAATATTATTTACATATATACTAGGCAAAAGTATCTAAAAATGAAGAAAGATAAATGAAAATTCAAATCTTATTCAGGACAAGATTAATGTCTAGCAGTAACTAGTAAATGCGAAATACGTTAATTATCATGAGAAGGAAAAATAAATATATGAATATGCAAATTCACTAAAGAGAGCATATTCACTTGGGATTCAGAAGGGCAAGATTCAAGCTGAAATTTGAATGAATAGTAGAGTTTGCTATGTTTAGCTAACAAACTAGATTAATATGTCATTTATTTAGGCTAACAAGGAAATACTGAGTCCTATATTTTATTCTTTTAGGGATTAATATTTACCAATTTATGGCATTCAAAAATAATCTCTCTCTAAAAAAAATTGCTTCTCTGTCTTCTTACAAAGAAGACATCTGCATCTGCCAGGCACACTGGCTAATTCCTATAATCCCAGCACTTTGGGTAGCTGAAACAAGAGGATCACTTGAGGCCAGGAGTTTCAGACAAGCCTGGGCAAGTGAGACCCCACCTGGAAAAAATAAGTAAATAAATAAATAGCCAGACATGGTGGCATGTGCCTGTAGTCTCAGCTACTCAGGAGGATGAGGTAGGAAGATTGCTTGAACTCAGGAGTTTGAGACTTCAGTGATCTGTGATCACACTGCTGCACTCCAGGCTGGGTAACAGAGCAAAACCCCATCTTGCTCTGTACAAAAGTTACAAAATCTTTTGTACAAAAGTTACAAAAATGTTAAAGTGACCTGGAGGGCTTTCTAATGCAGGCTTGGGGGTCAATCATTGGACAGCAGCTTCCCTGCGCACCCAATGCAAGGAATAATTTTAAATACGCTCATATCCTTCCTACACATAGTTCCCTGTCAGATGCCCTACTCCCAAGAAAGGCCCAGCTGGAATCAGGTCTAGTTATATACCAGTAGAAGAAATCCACACTGCATAATTAGAATAATCAACCAAGCCTTTCACTCAAATATGAGATGAAAACCAAGAATCAACAGATTCCCAAGGAAAGAAGAGGACAAATTGATAATTCAAGATAGCAAAGAAAAGTCAAACACACAAACTAATAACACTCTAATATTCAAGAAGAGTATCACATTCATAAAAATAACTGGATGCTCTGAAAAGAAGCAATCAGAGAACATTACAAATATTTAGAAGTTTTAAAAATTCACATTTTAAAAATTAATAGAAAGTTTAGAACATAAAGCGGAATCAGCCAGGATATAAACCTCAGAAGAAGAAAAACATGAAAGTAAAGATAAAACAGACAGAGGATCAACATAGTAAGTTACAGATATGGCCAATTGGGATTTATTTTGGAAAAGAAAGAATAAGAATGAAGTTGGAGAGGAAGAAAAAATCAAGGAAACAATAGAAAAAAAAGAAACCCAGATTTGAAGGACACAAGTGTTTATATTGAAATTAATATGAACCTACAACGCCTAGACATAAATCATGAAATTTTACAGCACTGGGGATAAAGGAAGAACCTAATAGCTCCTGAAGGCATGAGAGGCAAGGAAGTAATGATTTCCAAATGATGAGATTGTCATCAAATATTTCAATATCACAGTGAAAAATAGAACACAGTTGATCCATATCTTCAAAGTATGAGGAAAAAAATATTTTGAACCTAAAATTCTATGCTAAAGCAAAATATTAATTACATGTGAGGAAAAACTACAGATACTTTCATACTTGCAGGCATTCATTCAGTTTATCTCCCACATACATTTATATGTCAAATATATGAAGATCAATCAGGCAAAAGAAAGGAATAAAAAGCATTCAAATAGGAGGAGAGAAGTCAAACTATCCCTGTTTGCAGACAACATAATTCCATATCTAGAAAACCCCAGTCTCGGCTCAAAAGGTCCTTAAGCTGAAAAACAATTTCAGCAAAGTCTCAGAATACAAAATCAACATACAAAAATCACTAGCAATCCTATTCACCAAAAAAAATCAAGCTGAGAGCCAAATCAGGAACACAATCCCATTCACAATTGCTATAAAAAGAATAAAATACATAGAAACATAGATAACGACGGAGGTGAAAGGTAACTACAATGAGAGTTGCAAAACACTGTTCAAAGAAATCAGAGATGGCACGAACAAATGGAAAAACATTCCATGCTCATTGATAGGATGAATCAATATTGTTAAAATAGTCATACTGCACAAAACAATTTATAGGTTCAATGCTATTCCTATTAAACTACCAATGACATTCCTCACATAACTAGAAAAAAACCAATTTTACAATTAATATGAAACCAAAAATAGCCCGAATAGCCAAAGAAATCCTAAGCAACAAAAACAAAACTGGAGGCATCACACTACCTGTCTTCAAGCTATACTAAAGAGCTACAGTAACGAAAACAGCATGGTACTGGTACAAAAACAAACACATAGACCAATGAAACAGAATAGAGAGCCCAGAAATAATGCTGCAAACCTACAACCATCTGAGCTTTCACAAAATGAAAAAAAAACCAAGCAACGAGGACATACTCCCTATTCAATAAATGGTGCTGGGATAACTGGCTAGCCATATGCAGAAGACTAAAACTGGACCCCTTCTTTATACCATACACAAAAATCAATTCAAGATTTCACGATGAATATGCCAAAAGCAATTGCAACAAAAGCAAAAATTGACAAATGGGATATTATTAAACACAAGAGCTTCTGCACAGCAAAAGAAACTATCAACTGAGTAAATACACAACCCACAGGATGAGATATAAATTTTGCAAACCGCATTTGACAAAAGACTAATATTCAGCATCTATAAGGAACCTAAACAAATTTATAAGAGAAAAACCAACAGCTCCATTAAAAAGTGGACAAAGGACATCAACAGACACATTCCAAAAAAAGACCTACATACGACCAACAAGCATATGAAAAAAAGCTCAACATCACGGATTGTTAGAGAAATGAAAATCAAACCCACAATGAGATACCATCAAAATGGCTATTATTAAATACTACCAGTCAGAATGGTTATTATTAAAATGTCAAAAAATAACACGCCGCAAGGTTTTGGAGAAAAAAAATGCTTATACACTGTTGGCGGGAGTGTAAATTAGTTCAACCATTGTGGAAAGATGTGTGGCGATTCCTCAAAGAGCTAAAAAGAGAACTTTTTAGAGAACCTTCAACCCAGCAATCCCATTACTGATCATATACCCAAAGGAATATAAATTGTTCTATGGTAAAGACACATACATGTGTAGGTTCACTGCTTATGATAGCAAAGATATGGAATCAACCTAAATGTTCATCAATGATAGACTGGATAAAGAGAATGTGGTACTTGTACACCATGGAATACTATGCAGCCATAACAAAAGAACAAGATCATGTCCTTTGCAGGAACATGGATGGAGCTGGAAGCCATCATCCTTAGCAAACTAATGCAAGAACAGAAAAGCAAATACCACATATTCTTATCTATAAGTGGAAGCTAAATGATGAAAGCTCATGGACACATAGAGGGGAACAACACACACTCGAGCCTCCTGGAGAGTGAAGAGTGGGAGGAGGGAGAGGAACAGGAAAAATAACTAATACCTGGGTGATGAAATAATCTGCACAACAAACCCTCATGACATGAGTTTACTTATGTAACAAACCTACACATGTACCCCTGAACTTAAAAGTTAAATAAACTTTGAAGATTATATGTATATATATAATAATAAATACATATATCTTAAGATATATGTAAGGAAGGAAAGAAAGGAGGAAGGAAGGGAAGAAGAAAGGAGGGAGAAAAGGAAAAAGGAAAGGAGACGGGAAAAAATATTAAAAACAAAAACAAAAACCAAGTAAAAATCAATGATAACCAGGAAAGAATAAATGCAGATCACTTGGTGAGAGTTCTGCAGCTGGCTCTGGAACAACAGACCCAAACTTGGGCAAGACGGTAGAAGGCACCAGAAGATGTCTCCAAGGAAAAGAGGGGGATACTTAATTTTCATATAATTTGGTCAAAATCTGTGTAAATAAAAGTCATTATGTAAAAATTATAGCTCCAAAAGAGTCATTTAAAAAAAATGGGCCAGGCGCAGTGGCTCACGCCTGTAATCCCAACACTTTGGGAGGCCAAGGTGGGCAGATCACAAGGTCAGGAGACTGAGACCATCCTGGGCAACATGGTGAAAACCCGTCTATATTGAAAATACAAAAATTAGCAGAGTATTGTGGCATGCGCCTATAGACACACCTACTCGGGAGGCTGAGGCAGGAGAATCACTTGAACCCAGAAGACAGAGGTTGCAGTGAGCCAAGATCGCGCCACGGCACTGCAGCCTGGGTGGCAGAGCGAGACTCCATCTCAAAAAAATATATATATATTTAAGAAGATACAGGCAACTTCAGCAAAGTCTCATGATACAAAATCAATGTGCAAAAATCACAAGCATTCCTATACATCAATAACAGACAGAGAGCCAAATCATGAGTGAACTCCCATTCACAATTGCTACCAAGAGAATAAATTACCTAGGAATACAACTTACAAGGAATGTGAAGGACCTCTTCAAGGAGAACCAGAAACCACTGCTCAAGGAAATAAGAGAGGACACAAACAAATGGAAAAACACTCCATGCTCATGGATAGGAAGAATCAATATTGTGAAAATGGCCATACGGACCAAAGTAATTTATAGATTCAATGCTATCCCCATCAAGTTACCATTGACTTTCTTCACAGAATTAGAAAAAACTACTTTAAATTTCATATGGAACCAAAAAAAAAAAACCGTATAGCCAAGACAATCCTAAGCAAAAAGAGCACAGCTAGAGGTATCACTCTACCTGACTTCAAACTATACTATAAGGCCACAGTAATCAAAACAGCATGGTACTGGTACCAAAACAGATATATAGACCAATGGAACAGAACAGAGGCCTCAGAAATAATGCCACACATTTACAACCATCTGATCTTTGACAAACCTGACAAAAACAAGAAATGGGGAAAGGATTCCCAATTTAATCACTGGTGTTGGGAAAACTGGTTAGCCATATGCAGAAAACTGAAACTGCACCCTTTCCTTACACCTTATACAGAAATTAACTCAAGATGGATTAAAGACTTAAATGTAAGACCTAAAACCATAAAGACCCCAAAAGAAAACCTAGGCAATACCATTCAGGACATAGGCATGGGCAAAGACTTCAGGAATAAAACACCAAAAGCAGTGGTAACAAAAGCCAAAATTGACAACTCAGATCTAATTAAACTAAAGAGCTTTTGCACAGCAAAAGAAAGTATCATCAGAGTGAACAGGCAACCTACAGAATGGGAGAACATTTTTGCAATCTATTCATCTGACAAAGGGCTAATATCCAGAATCTACAAGGAACTCAAACAAATTAACAAGAAAAAAACAAACAACCCCATCAAAAAGTGGGAGAAGGATATGAACAGACACTTCTCAAAAGAAGACACTTATGCGGCCAACAAACATACAAAAAAAGCTCATCATCACTGGTCATTAGAGAAATGCAAATCAAAACCACAATGAGGTACCATCTCATACCAGTTAGGATGGCGATCATTAAAAAGTCAGGAAACAACAGATGCTAAAGAGGATGTGGAGAAATAAGAACATTTTTACACTGTTGGTGGGAGTGTAAATTAGTTCAACCATTGTGGAAGACAGTGTGGCGACTCCTCAAGGACCTAGAACCAGCAATACCATTTGACCTAGCAATCCCATTTTTGGGTATATACCCAAAGGATTATAAATCATGCTACTATAAAGACACATGCACACACATGTTTATTGCAGCGCTATTCACAATAGCAAAGACTTGGAACCAACCCAAATGCCTATCAATGTTAGACTGGATAAAGAAAATGTGGCTCATATACACCACAGAATACTATGCAGACATAAAAAAGGATGAGTTCATGTCGTTTGCAGAGACATGGATGAAGCTGGAAAGCATCATTCTCAGCAAACTAATACAGAAACAGAAAACCAAACACCACATGTTCTCACTCATTAGTGGGAGTTGAACAATAAGAACACATGGACACAGGAAGGGGAACATCACACATTGGGACCTGTTGGGGGTAGGGGGATAGGGGAGGGATAGCATTAGGAGAAATACCTACTGTAGATGACGGGTTGATGGGTGCAGCAAACCACCATGGCATGTGTATACCTATGTAACAAACCTGCACGTTCTGCACATGTATTCCAGAACTTGAAGTATAATTTAAAAAAAGAAGATATAGGATACTACACAATTTTCAGTCATTCTTATTTGTTCGTGTACTGAAGTCTCAAATAAAAGTTTGCCATACAATTTTAAAAATGGGGACAATAATATTCACCTTACAGTGTTTGATGATTAAAGAAAACAATATAATCCAAATATCCATCCCACTGCCTGGCATATAGTAGACATTAAAAGTTACTTTTCCTCTCTTCCTGTCTCAGCACTCATCCTATCTTTATTAGTGTTTCCTAGGCAACTACCACAGCATGCCAAAGTGCTTTCCTAGTGGATGCAAAAGACATCTAATAATTTGAACTAAAGTAGAAATAAAACGCACTCTCTGGAAACAGGCTAGGCAAATTCTATAAAGAAGAAATTGCAGAATTTAAAGAATCAAATGGACATTTTCATTAAAGGCATTTGGTAGAAAATATGACTCCTCAAATGTGTTCAAAGAAAGATTTTAAAACATAAGGTGAAAACATAGATTATTAGGCAAATTAGCATCTTAAGTTATACGCTCATTTCTGAAAGCAAAATGAATACAATTCTGTTTTAATGGCACTGCTTATGTAAATATATTAATACTTATTTCAATTATATTAATAAAAAGCATATTTGACCTTCAGATTTTAATAGATGTTAAACACTTTCCAGGGGTCTTCAAAAGAAATCAGTGTTTGTTACATCTGGTTTCAATTGCTCTTCCAACTTGATACTGCTTACCACTCTTATCCAAACCCTCCAACCCAGCAGGACAAGGGCTCTGCTTATTGCTCTAAGAGCTACAGGCATTCTTTCCACTTTTACTTGAAACGAGTATTAGAGGCTCCACTCTTCCTCCAACATCAGTCTCTTGACTGCCTTAAAACCTCTCAACCTGGTTCAGCTCTTTTTCCTTTACCTCCTGCCTTGAATATTTATGGGTTCTTATCGCCTATACCAATGTGGTAGTAAGTTAAAAGCTAATTATGTGATAATGATTTTTCTACATAGATGCTCCCTCTTCCTATCCAGGCTGATTGTGTCATTCCTTCTAGTATAACCAGGATTTAGCAGATGCTCAATAAATGTCTGTGCTAGTAATGTAAAGCTGAAAAACAGTTAAGAACAAATGGTAATTACATTGTTTGCCAAAACAGATAATTTAAAAAAATATTACATACCTGGAGAAGTCTGCCTTTCAATTCATATCTGGATATCATATTTTAAGAAAATGTAAATTACAAAGCCAAGTATCTACATAGATGGCCAATGGTTTAGACCGCTTCTATGTACATGAATTCTCAGAATCTCTTCAGGGTCCACATGGAGAGACAATGGGTGGAGATCCCTATCAGGTGGGGCTCTGTCTTCCCAAGCTTCCCACCACAGCCATGTGATTTTACAGGCAGAATCACCAGGGAGAAAGATGACATGTGTTGCTTAAATGTTATTACTCATATTGATATACATTATTAATTTAAAAAAAGCAATTTACAGAGAAGATGCTTTGGTATTTAACTCATATTTAATTTCAAATAGAAAATGTCATATTTTGTGTAAATGTGCCTTTTAAAATTAAAAGTACAAAATCAGTTTCACTTGATGTAGCCTCATGTGTTTATTTTTTGCTTTTGTTGCCTGAGATTTAGTTTCATATGTAAAAAATAATCACCAAGACCAACGTCATGGGGCTTTTCTTCTCTGTTTTCTTTTAGGAGTTTTATGGCTTAGGATTTAAGTTTAAAACTATAATTCATTTTGAGTTGACTTTGGGGAGTGATGTAAGATAAGGATTCAATTTCACTTTTATTTTGCCTGTGAATAAGCAGTTTTCCTAACACTATTTATTAAAGAGGCTCTGCTTTCCCCATCGTGTATTTTTTGTGTCTTTGTCAAAGACTAGTTGACCATAAATGCTTGGGTTCATTTCTTGGCTTTCTATTCTGCCCTATTGGTCTTTGTGTATGCTTTTATGCCAGTACTACACTGTTTTGAGTACTATAGCTGTGTAATATAATTTGAAATCAGGAAATGTTGTGCCACCAGCTTTGTTCTTGTGTTTTAGCTATTCAGGATTTTTTGTATTTCCATGTGAATTTTAGGATTACTTTTTCTATTTATGTGAAAAATGCTATTGGAATTTTGATAAGGATTTCACTGAATCTGCAGATCGCTTTGGGTAGTATAGACATATTGACTGTGTTATTTATTCTACAAACACAGGATGCCTTTCCATTTCTTTGTGTCTTAATTTCTTTCATCAATATTTTACAGTTTTCAGTGTACAGCTCTTTCACCACCTTGTTAAATTTATTGCTATTTTTCTCATACTATCATAAATGGAATTATTTTCTTAATTTCTTTTTCAGATATTTCACTGTTAGTGTACAGGAAAACAACTGATTTTTGTATATTCATTTTGTGTCCTGAAACTTTACTGAATATATTTATTAGCTCTAACAGTATTTTGGTGGAGTCTTTAGAAACTGTAATATATAAGAGCATATCATCTGCAAACAGACACAATTTTACTAGTTCCTTTCCTATTTAGATGCCTTTTCTTTCTTTATTTACCTAATTGCTCTGGCTAGGGCTTCCAGGGATATGGTGAATAGAAGTGATGAGAGTAGGGATCGTTTCTTTGTTCCTGGTTTTACAGGAAAAACTAAGTTTTTCACTATTATGTATGATGGTGCAGGCTTATCATATGTGGTTTTTACTGTAGTGAGGTACATTTCTTTACACCTAATATGTTTAAAATTTTTGTCATGAAAGGATGTTGAATTTTGTCAAATATTTTCCTGCATCTATTCATCATATGATTTTTTTTTTTTTTTTTGAGATGGAGTCTTGTTCTGTCACCAGGCTGGAGTGCAGTGGCGCAATCTCAGCTCACTGCAACCTCTGCCTCCTGGGTTCAAGAGATTCTCCTGCCTCACTCAGCCTCCTGAGTAGCTGAGACTACAGGCGCCTGCCACCATGCCTGGCTAATTTTTGTATTTTTAGTAGAGATGAGGTTTCACCATGTTGGCCAGGATGGTCTCGATCTCCTGACCTCAGGTGATCCACCCCCCTCAGCCTCCCAAAGTGCTGGGATTACAGGCATGAGCCACCGCGCCCAGCCTATCCATCATATGATTTTTATCCTTCATCCTTCACTCTGTTAATATGGTGTATCAACTTTACTAATTTGTGTATGTTGAACCACCCTTGTTATCTCAGGGATAATTCTACTTGATCATGGTGAATGATGTTTGTAAAGTGCTATTAAATTTGGTTTACTCTGGTTTTGTTGGGGATTTTTGTATGTATGTTCATCAGGGATATTGGCCTATAGTTTTCTTTTCTTGTAGTGTCCTCATCTTGGCTTTGGTGTCAGGATAATGATGGCCTCACAAAATTAGTTTGGAAGTATTCCCTCTTCTTCAATTTTTGGGAAGAGTTTGACAAGGATTGATATTAGCTCTCCATTAAATGTTTGGTAGAATGCACCAGTGAAGTCACCAGGTCACTGAACTTTTGTTTTTCTTTTCTTGGTTAGGAGACTTTTTTATTATTAATTCTGTCTCCTTACTCCTTATTAGTCTTTTCAGATTTTCTATTTATTATTGATTTGGTCATTGTAAGTTGTATGTCTTTAGAAATTTATTCATTATTTCTAGGTTTCCAGGTCATTGGTGTATAATTGTTCATAGTTTCTTATGATTTTTTGTATTTTTGCAGTATTAGCTGTAATACCTTCCAACTTCTTTGTTGACTTTCTCTCTCGATGACCTGTCTAGTGCTGTCAATGGAGTATTGAAGTCCCCCACTATTATTTTGTTGCTGCTGTCTATCTAATTTATTAAGTCTAGTACTAATTGTTTTATAAATTTGGGAGCACCAGTGTTAGCTGCATATATACATGTGACTGTGATAGTTTCCTGTTGGACTAGTCCTTTTATCATTAAAAAGCTTCTGCACAGCAAAAGAAATAATCAGCAGAGTTAACAGACAACCCATAGAGTGGGAGAAAACCTTTGCAATCTCCGGGTGGGAATGTAAACTAGCCCAACCACTATAGAAAACAGCATAGAGAACCCTTAAAGAACCACAAGTAGATTTACCAGTTGATTCAACAATCCCACTACTGCAAGAATGGCCATAATAAAAAAATAATAGATGTTGGCATGAATGTGGTGCAAAGGGAACACTTTTACACTGCTGGTGGGGATGTAAACTAGTGCACCCCTATGGAAAACCATATGGAGATTCCTTAAAGAACTAAAAGTAGAACTACCATTTGATCCAGCAATCCCACTACTGGGTATCCACCGGGAGAAAAGGAAGTCATTATATGGAAAAGATACTTGGACATACATGTTTATAGCAGCACAATTCGCAATTAAAAATATGGAACCAGCCAAAATGCCCATCAATCAATGAGTGGATAAAGAAATTTTGGTGTGTGTGAACATATATTTATAACTCTGCCTTAAAAAGAACAATACAATGGCATTCACAGTAACAGTGACCTGGATGGAATTGGAGACCATTATTCTAAGTGAAGTAATTCAGGAATGGAAAACTAAAATCATATGTCCTCATTTGTAAGTGGGAGGTAAGCTATGAGGATGCAAAGGCATAAGAACAATACAATGGATTTTTGGGACCCAGGAAAATAGGTGGAAGGAGGGGTGAGGGATAAAGACCGTAAAGTGGGTATAACATATACTACTTGGGTGATGAGTGGACCAAAATCTCAGAAATCACGACTAAATAAATTATTCATGTAACTAAACACCACCTGTTCCCCAAAAACCTATGGAAATAAAAAAATAAATAAAAATATCTTCCATCTTTTCCAATTTTATTTATTTGAGTCTTCTCTGTTTTCTTAGTCTAGTTCAGTTTTGTCAATTTTGTTTAGCAGCACAGCAGAAGACACCATCAAGAAAATTAAAAGGCAACCTATAGAATTGGAGAAAATATTTGCAAACAATTTATATGATAAATGGCTAGTATCACAATATATGAGAAACATACATAGCTGAATAGCCCAAAAACAAATAATCTGATTTTTGAAATGGGCAAAGAACATAGATATTTTCCCAAAGAAGACATACAAATAGCCAACAGGTATATTAAAAGGTGTTCAACATCACTAATCCTCAGGGAAATGCAAATCAAAACCACAAGATTTCACCTCGCACTTGTTAAGATGGCTATTATCAAAAAGTCAAAAGATACATGTTGGTAAAGACATGAAGAAAAAGGAACATTTATACTGATAGAAAGAATGTAAATTGGTACAGCCAATATAGAAAACAGCATGGACTTGATATAGTTTGGCTGTGCCCCCACCCAAATCTCATTTTTTTTGTTTCGTTTTGTTTTTTTTTTTTGAGATGGAGTCTCGCTATGTGCTCAGGCTGGAGTGCAGTGGTGCACTCTCGGCTCACTGCAGCCTCCACCTCTCAGGTTCAAGTGATTCTTATGTCTCAGCCTCCCAAGTAGCTGGGATTAGAGGTATGCGCCACCAAACCCGGCTAATTTTTGTATTTTTAGTAGAGATGGGTTTCACCATGTTGGCCAGGCTAGTCTTGAACTCCTGGGCCCAAGTGAATCACCCACCCCAGCCTCCCAAAGTGCTGGGATTACTGGTGTGGGCCACTGCACCAAGCTCAAATCTCGTCTTGAATTGTAGTTCCCATAATCCCCATATGTCGTGGGAGGGAAAGGGTGGGAGGTAATTTAATCATGAGGGCAGTTATCCTTATGTTGTTCTCATGATAGTGAGTTCTTATGAGATCTGATGGCTTTATAATGGGCTTTTCCCCCTATCACTGGGCACTTCTCCTTCCTGCTGCCAAGTGAAGAAAAACGTGTTTACTTCCCTTCCACCATGATTGTAAGTTTCCTGAGGCCTCCCCAGCCATGCTGAAATGTGAGTCAATTAAACCTCTTTTGTTTATAAATTACCCAGTCTCAGTTATGTCTTTATTAGCAGTGTGAGAACGGACTAATATAGGAGGTTCCTCATAAAATTAAAAATACAACTACCATATGATCCAGCAATCCCACATCTGGGTATGTATCCAAGGGAAATTAAATCACTATGTCTAGAGATATCTGCATGTTCATTGTAGTATTATTCACAATAGGCAAGATATATAAACGGCTTGGGTGTCTGTTAGTGGATAAATGAATGAATAAAATGTGTCAAGTATATACAATGAAATGTTATTTAGCCTTAAAAAAGGGGGATATCTTGCCATTTGCAACAACATGGATGAACCTGGAGGACATTATGCTAAGAGAAATAAGCCAGGCACAGAAAGGCACTTATATGTGGAATCTAAAAGAGTCAAACTCATAGAAATGGCAGAAACGTGGTTATCAGGGTTCAAGTGTCAGGGCAAATGGGGGAGATGCTGGTCAAAGGGTATAAACCTTCAGTTATAAATAAATTTTGGAGACCTAATGTATAGCATAGTAACTATAGTTTTTTTAGTGTATGGAAATTATAGATTAAAACAAAATTATCTATGAATACTTATACAATTTCAATCCAAACAAAACAGTCGCTTAAATTTATGATTGTGTTTGGATTGTTAAGTTTAAAACCTATACTTTTTAAACTTTCTAATACTATAATCTGAAATTTTGCCCTGGCCTAATTTTGGCTAATAATTTCCTTATATGTAGAAATCCTTTTTGGAAATGTGCTTACTTCCAAGATCCCCTAATCTGACCTTAAAAGTATTCTTTAGAAAACATCTAGGAAATGAGAAATAAAAATTTCTAGAAATGCCTATTTTTTTCCAAAAAAGAAAATTCTTCAACTGCACTATTTAACATCAAGCCACATACCTAAGGACAAAAGAAATAACTGGTGAACAAAGTAAGAATATTCAGAAAGGTGAAAAATTCTGCCCAGCACCCTCACTGTACTTCACCTAGTGCAGTTGTGCTTCTGTGCTGCTATTCAAGTCACAGCTAAGTGTGGGAAGATTGTTAAAAATAAGTTTTGTGGTTGGAATAATATTTTTATAGGTTCACTTTACTCAAAATCTCTCTTTTTTCTCTGAGTCAGAGCTCACATCTACAGAATAAAAAAAAGAGAAAAAAGAATGTATCAGCCAGTTAAAAAACTTTTTATAAACCTTATTGGCAAAACTTGGAAGCTAGTGTTCAATAACGCATGTTTTTTTCCTTCATAAGAAAAGAAACAGAATCAAAAATCCCACAAACATTTTTATATGCCCTACCACCCTACCATCTGCAAGGTATTATCCTAAATACTGTGGGGAATAAAAAATAAGTGAGAAATCCTCAATTTTTACCTACCCGTCTGTCTCCTTCCATACTGTCCGAAGGAAAAATCCAAAAGTTTCCCCTCTCTCTTCTTTCCCCAAGTCCTCATATAGCAGTTTCTCAACTTTGCCCAAAAAGTAGTACCCTTAACAGAAGGGGAAATGAGACACATACCCTCAGGGACTTGATATATAAAGTCAATGTTTATGAGTAATTTCTTTTGTTTTATATTAAAACTTTAAAAATTTTATAAATTAAGTATTTGATTTTGTTTCTTAACATAGCCTTATTTATTTCATTACAATGTTTTTCTCTCACAACTTTAAGCAAAGCTGATACTTCAAGAAGTTATGCCATGTTTATTCTGTGGCTTTTCTTGGGATGTTTGGCCACTCTGAAAAGAACAGACTAGCAATTTTTGTTTTCTCCCAACAGGCACAAGTGCCATGTTCCACATTCCTCCTGCCCACAGAGTTTCCTAATGTCCATCTTCACTACAATATCCAGGGCAGTAGATTACAAAAGCCTTCAGAATGATTCACAAACTTTGAATATTGCAGTAACCAGGTGTTTAAACACATCTGTTTTTACTAAAGCACAAATGGCCCAACAAACAGGCTCATTTTAATTCCCAATCCAGTTAATTTGCATAGATAAATTCAAAGAAATGAAAAGAAAATAATGGATGTCTTAGCCTGGAATATAAGTGTTCTAAAATTATCATATGATATCAGCATTTGTTAAGGAAGTGACAATCCTTTCTGTTTCATTCCTTTTTTAAACAAAAAACTCACTTATTTTTTGTTTGTCTAAGCTACTAACACATACGTTGTGAAATATACAGAGAAAAGAGACATTTACTTTATCCCTTTTACTTGTTTGCATTGTTTTGTTATTTATAAGAAGCATGCATTACTTTTGTAATAAAAAAGGAAGTAAAACTACAGCACTTGGAATTTTCATCTATACTCACTATAAATTTGTTTTCATGTAACATTTTCAAATATATTAATCTAAAAATTAAATAGTTAAAATATATCTGTGGTCAACAGTTCAAAATAATAAATTTGTTCACTGGGCTGGGCGCGGTGGCTCACACCTGTAATCCCAGCACTTTGGAAGGCCGAGGTGGGCAGATCATGAGGCCAGGAGTTCAAGACCAGCCTGACCAACATGCTGAAACCCCGTCTCTACCAAAAATACAAAAATTAGCTGAGTGTGGTGGTGTTCGCCTGTAATCCGAGCTACTCAGGAGGCTGAGGCAGGAGAATCACTTGAACTGACAGAGCGAAACTCCAACTCAAAAAAAAAAAATTCGTTAATTGTCCCAAATGAGTGACTTTATCACAGGCAATTTATAAGACCATCTACACACAGCTTGTAATCCTGTTTAGGCAAATGAAAACTGATCTCTTTCTGGATACCTTGCATTACCAGTCTAGAACAACTAGTCTTCTCCCTCCTTCTTCCACCTACCAGTAAACTCATGGATGTTCAGATGGGTCACTTATCTCTGTTGAAGTAAGGAGACCTTTATGTCAGAGGCACTGTCTCTTTTACAGATTAATTTCAGCTGGCCCTTGGCCAAGCGCCACAGGAGGGGATGTTGTCAACTTAGCATTGAAGCCCAGGAGAAAATGATAGTTCTGTAACTATCACTTTCCAAGTGGAAGCTCTAAATTTGATACAAACCATAAAAGAGCTGCCATTACAGAAGAGAAGCAGCATGGAATAGTAGAAGGGCATCCATTCAACTTTACTACAACACTCACACTTGTGTGTTCCCCAGCTTGTGCAACTCACCTAGCATTTATCTAATTTGGTGAGATTTCCAGTTAATGCCTTTCAAATTTTATGGCAATATTTAATATTTAATCCAAAAAAGCTGTAAATGCTCATCATTATAATCTATGTGTATAAGCTGTCTCTTTAATACTATCTATATGTGGATGATAAAACTTAATTATTCACAAATTTATTGAAAACATCTATTCTCTACAGCTCCGAATTAGATCTGGTACCTGTCTGCAAAGTAGTTAGAATATCCTAATCTACCCTTCATGAAATTTTATGTACGAAATACGTTTAAAGGGAAAAAATTCTCAAGGATCATGATTGTTGATTTAAATGGCTATTATTAATACATTACCTAAATATCTACAAACATATCACTAATTACAAAATCTGTCAGCTTATATCTGACAATAATAATATAGTTTTATCTACACATATTTAATTTACAAATTAAATGCCAGCATGGCAAACCAATAAAATTTGAACTGACGAAAATTTTAGCATTAATTTAATATGACAATCGCTGTTTTGCAATTTATTTAGAGTATTGCATACAATGGCACAGGCTCTTTGGAGTTCGGCATGATTTTTTGATCAACATTTGATAAATCAATTCCTCCAGCAGTTTTCAGTAACTGAATTACTGCAAAACCTTTCTCACAGTATGCATTGATGATATTTTAATATTCATTTGGTGCTAATGCATTAGCTCCATATTAGTCTGACTCTCTTCTGTTAACCTTAGCTCATGATAATGAAAAGAGACCTATTTAGTTCAAATGAAAGAAAAAATGGACACAAATATGCATACTACTACTGAATGCCAAAACTGTTATAATGGCATCATAAAAACGATGCAGAATCTGTTCAATGTGCCAATATATATTATTTCATTATCATCAAGATAAAAAAATATATAACTTTTGTGGAAAACTTTCAGACCCATACGAATGCAAATGTCACTCTTTTACATCCAAGAAAACACTCTAAAGAAGAATTTTGGTTGAAGGCAGGATAAACACATGAGTCAATAAAAGCTATTCTCATATATATCCATTAACTACTCAACTTGCAACATGTCATAAGTGAAGAAAACATTAAATGTAAATTCTATCTGCCAAATCCATGACCAAATAAAACATAGTTTTAAACATTCAAACCAAAGCGTACACTCTCTCCTTGATCTGGTTAGGTAGAATGCAAAGATAATAGGCTTTGAAATCAGAAAACTTTTAGAAATATTAGGTAACCTCCCCTAAGAGGCAGTTTCATTATCTATAAAACGGAGATAAAATATACACTCAGGCTATTGTAAAAATGAAACAAGCTAACATAGATCATGTTAGGCAGGGTGTCTGGTACAATAAATATAAATCTCTTCTTTCATTCTAGCTAATCTGTACTATTTCCTTTGGGAAGAAAATTTAGAGATAATTATTTGATGTTATTACATCTAAATAAAATCCATATTCAAAAATATAAAGAAAATTAATTTTATGTAAGTTGACTAATGTAATTCTCCAAATATATAATAGAAATTTTAGGGATCAACATTTATAAGAAAATAATGAACTCATTTAAATAAAACAAATTTAGTGTTCTTACAGTGTTGACAAGTGTTACTGTGGTACTATATACTGTTTTTTGTCCATGCTTCCTGGCTCATAACTCCAAAAGCTCTAGTTATAGTTTTTTGATACAATGTTGGGTGTCACAGGCTTCAGGAAGCAGAATCTCTCTCCTGCCCTCCTTTCACCTATCCCAAGGCAAGACTCTAATCTTTCCCCACCTTTCTGATTGTAGATTTTATGATCCTCCCCAGAGTCCTGCCCTATACCCTGGGGGAAGGAATGATGACACTGTGAAGCTCCCATAAAAACCCAAGAGGACTGGGTTCCAGAAGTTTCTTATGCCTTGTCCTACGCATCTCTTTATCTGTATCCTTTGCAGTGTCCTTTATAATAAACCACTAAATACATTTCCCTGAGTTCTGTGAGCGATTCTAGCAAATTAATCAAATCCAAAGAGGGGGTTGTGGGGACCCCAGCTTGAAGCCAGTTGGTCAGAAGTTCCAGAGGTCTGGACTTTTGACTGGTTTCTGGGGTGTGTGGTTAATCTTGGGGATTGAGCTTCCAACCCATGCAATCTTACACTACCTCCAAGTAGAGAGCATGAGAACTGAATTAGAGGACACCCAGCTGGTGTCTGCTGCTTTTGTCATAGTATTCTGTGTTGACTGTTGCGGTAGTATGAGATTAGAGGAAAAACATGGTTTGAGAAAGTTTTTCCCCTGACAGACACTCTCTGGTAATCTTCACTTGTTAGATGGATTCTATAGGCTAGTATTCATAGTATGAAAATTTAAATGGGCTTTGCTTTATCAAAAGCATACGCCACTTTGGGAAATTTCCACTTATACCAAGAAACATCATATAAAAATCATAATTAAGACACTGGCATAAATCTGTCTACCATTAAAGCTACTTACTAATTGAAAAAATGATAATATGGCCCTGTCTCATATAATTTAATATAATGAATAAAGAGTCTATGATTTTGATATTGATTTACGTAAATAATACATTTGTTGTGCATGTGTTTATACAAAGATATGGATGTTCCTTGACTTATGATGGGGTTACATCCCAATAAATCCACCATAAATTGAAAACATTATAAGCTAAAACTGCATTTATTTATTTATTAATTTATTAAGACAGGATCTTTCTCTGTCACCCAGCCTGGGCTGCAGTGACCTCTGGGCTCATGCAATCCTCTCACTTCAGCCTCCGGAATAGCTGGGACCACATGGGATCACAGCTCTGTGCTACCATGCTCGGCTAATTTTTGTATTTTTTTTGTAGAGACAGGCTCTACCTATGTTGTCCAGATAGGTTTCAAACTCCTGGCTTCAAGTAATCCTTCCATCTCAGCCTCCCAAAGTGCTGGGATAATAGGCATGAGCCACCGTGCCTACTGAACATCATAGCTTAGCATAGTCTACCTTCAATGCGTCCAGAACACTTACATTAGCCTGCAGTTGGGCAAAATCATCTAACACAATGCTTATTTTATAATGAAGTGTTGAATATCTCATGTAATTTATTGAATATTATCCTGAAAGTGAAAAAACATATATATATGTATATATAAAGTCTACACACATGAATATACTCTCACACAGATCTATACACCTGTATATACTATATATACATACATCGGCATACACACACACACTCACACACACACATGCATAAAGATAGGCTCTGCAGTATTTTTTATAATAGTGAAATTTTAAAATCAGAGTTTATAAAAAGAGGGAAAAGGTCAATTTTATGTAATTTTCCAAAATGTAAAAAGCATATTTTTACATATTTAGGAATCTACATTAAATTACTAATGTGTAGATTTGTTCTCAGCCTATCTTTTAAAGGTTAACATAGCATCTACAGGTTATATTCCTAAAAACAATACTTGTACAACAATATAATGATATAATTTTGGTAATTACTCTTTTGAAAAACTTTAATTTCTGATTCACATGTAAGTCATCACTACAAATCCTGAGAATGAGTTCAGTTAACAAGAATCAAAAGATTCATCACATCTTAACTCAATAATCAGAATTTCAACTCATATAGGTAGTAAACAAAGAATTCAGTTGTTTTTTTTTAAGAAAATCTAGGTAGATGCCTGCTCATATCCCCTTAGATCTAGATAATAGGTTTAAATTTCTTATACTCTGTGTAGAGACACTGCATGGTGTATGTAGGCAATGAGAATATGTGTCCTCATATTTTCAGGGGTGAAGATAATCCAAACTGGAAAAAGGAATTTAGAACATTTCTATTTAATGACAAGCCTCTAAAGAATTTTTTCAACGGTGTTATAATTTGATCAGCATAATCACTCTTAAAATCTAATATAATATATGGAAATCATACTGTTTAAACAGTCCTATAACTCAGATAACATACAATGTTCCCTAGTGAATGGGAATATCTCCCAATACAATATGAGATTGAATAATCAGAATTTTGAGATATGTCTGATCATTATGTCTTTATATCCTCAGACTTTAAGTTATCATCTAAACTTTAAGCAGCACTTATAAAGATTTCCTATGTTAATTGATAGTAAAGGATCTGCATGAAAAAGCTATGAGCACGTTTATTTTCAGCCTATCATTTTCAACATAAGTGAAGATTATTCATATTCCAAATGTAAATTCAGACTCACTGAAATAAAGTTCACTATATCACATTAATTCAAAGCATCATTCAGATAGACAAGACTTTCCATATTCTAGGTTTTCATTTCTTATTTGGAGAGAAAAATCCAAAGTATGTAATTTCTAAGTTTATTTTATTTTTCAAATTATACATAAAACATAGTACCTGAGGCTCTATGTGAAATGGCACTTGAAGGAAATAAATGAAAAGGTAAAATCCTATACAAATATTACAAAATTCAAGTTTTAAAGGGTCATATTAAAAATTCTTTTGACAAGAGTGAATACAGCCTAATCTTCATTATGACTTAAAGCTCCACAGAATGATTAAAGTATGGCATCTGATATGGTTTGGCTCTGTGTCCCCATCCAAATCTCATGTTGAACTGCAATCCCCAGTGTTGGAGGAGGGGCCTGGTAGGAGGTGACTGAATCGGGGGTTGGGGAGACAGACTTCTCCCTTGCTGTCTCCAGATAGAGTTCTCATAAAATCTGATTATTTCAAAGTGTGTAGCACTTCCCTGTTCACTCTCTCTCTTTCCTGACAGCATGAGAAGGTATGCCTACTTCCCTGTAAGCTTCTGGCATGATTGTAAGTTTCCTGAGGGCTCCCCAAGAGCAGAAGCCTGTACAGCCAGCAGAACTGTGAGCCAATAAAACCTCTTTTCTTCATAAATTACCCAGTCTCAGTTATGTGTTTATAGCAGTGTGAGAATGGACTAATACAGAAAATTGGTACCAGAGTATTGGAGCATTGCTATAAAGATACCTGAAAATTGGAAGCAACTTTGGAACTGAGCCATGGGCAGAGGCTGGAACAGGCTGCAGGGCTCAGAAGAAGATGAGAAAATGAGAGAAAGTTTGGAACTTCCTAGAGACGTGTTAAATTATTGTGATCAAATGCTGATAGTGATATGGACAACGAAGCCCAGTCTGCGGAGGTCTCAGATGGAGATGAGAAACTCATTGGGAACTAGAGCAAAGGTCACACTTGTTATGCTTTAGCAAAGAGACTGGTGACATTGTGCCCCTACTCTAGATAGCTGTGGAACTTTGAACTTGAGAGAGAAAATTTAGGATATCTGGCAGAAGAAATTTCTACACAGCAGAGTGTTCACGATGTGGCCTGGCTGCTTCTAACCGCATATGCTCATATGCATGAACAAAGAGATTATCTGAAACTGGAACTATATTTAAAAGGGAAGCAAAGCATAAAAGTTTGAAAAATCTACAGCCCAGGCATGTAGCACAAAAGAAAAACTCATTTTCTGGGGAGAAATTCAAGTTGGATGTAGAAATTTGCATAAGTAAACATGAACTGAATGTTAGTAGCCAGGATAATTGGGAAAATGCCTCAAAGGCATTTCAGAGACCTTCCCAGCAGCCCCTCCCATCACAGGCCTGGAGGCCCAGGGCGGAAGAATGGTTTCATAGGCCCCCTTACTCTATGCAGCCTTGGGACAGGGCTCCTGGCATTGTGGCTGCTCCAGCTCTAGCCATGGCTAAAAGGGACCAACGTACAGCTTGGGCTGTTGCTTTGGAGGGTACAAGCCCCACGTTTGGTGGCTTCCACATGGTGTTAAGCCTCTGGGTGCACAGAGGGCAAGAGTTGAGGCTTGGGAGCCTCCACCTAGATTTCAGAGGATTATGGAGATGCCTGGATGTTCAGGCAGAGGTTTGCTGCAGGGGTGGAGCCTTCATGGAAAACCTCGACTAGGGAAGTGAAGAGGGGAAATGTGAGGTTGGAGCCCCCATACACCAGCCTGTGAAAGCAGTTGTGGAGGCTGTACCCTGCATAGCCACAAGGGTAGAGCTTCCCAAGGCCTTGGGAGCCCAACCCTTGCATCAGTGTAGCCTGGATGTGAGACATGGAGTTAAAGGAGATTATTATGGAGCTTTGAGATTTAATAACTGCCCTGCTGGGTTGTAGACTTGCATGGGGCCTGTAGCCCCTTTGTTTTGGCCAATTACTCTCATTTGGAATAGGAGCATTTACCTAATGCCTGTACCCCCAATATATCTTAGAAGTGACTATTTTTTTTTTTCAGGCTCATAGGTAGAAGGGACTTGCCTTGTCTCAGATGAGACATTGGACTTGGACTTTTGAGTTAATGCTGGAGTGAGTTAAGACTTTCAGGGACTGTTGAGGAGGCATTATTGTGTTTTAAAATGTGAGAAGGACATGAGACTTGGGAGGGTCCAGGGACAGAATAATATGGTTTGGCTCTGTGTCTCTACCCATATCTCATGTTGAATTGTAATTTCCAGTGTTGGAGGAGGGGCTTGGTGGGAGGTGATTGAATGATGGGAGTGGACTTCCCCCTTGCTGTCTCCTGATATAGTTCTCATGGGATCTGGTTGTTTCAAAGTGTGTAGCACTTGTTCCTTAGCTCCCTGTCTCTCTTGCCAGCCATGTGAAGATGTGCCTGCTTCCCCTTCACCTTCCACCATAAAGTTTCCTGAGGGCTCTGCAGAAGCAGAAGCCTGTACAGCCCACATAACCATGAACCAATTAAACCTCTTCTCTTTATAAATTACCCAGCTTCAGGTATGTCTTTACAGCAGTATGAGAATGGACAAATATAGTGTCTCATTTGGAAGAGTTTACCTTCAAGTGGATGAGACAGAAACCAAAAAGAGAACGAGAGTGAGAAAGAGAGAGAACTCCAAATGAAGGAAGCTAATTCTTCTACCTAGGGAAAAGAGGAAGACTTGGTGGAGCTTTAAGATACCCCTTGAAGGAAAGTCTATATAAATGGAGCAGGAGAGCATTCCAGATCAAGGGAATAACATGAGCAGCACCACAGTGTCAGAAAAGTATAAGGAATGCCAAAGGGATGATGAGGAGCCTATGGCCAGAATGCAGGGCAACATGAATGGGAATGGTAGTTTAAGACCTTGTATACCATATATGTTTTAATATTTTTCTGTACTGTCATCGTCTATACCCCATTCTTACATGGGGAATGCCCTATACAAGATCCCTATCTTATGTCTCTCAAAGAAACAATAAAAATGAAACATAGTCATGTTCACAACCTTCCTTACAGCTATGGTGCAGAAATCTAGCCTGGGATCTCCACATCAGACCCAGCTGCCCAGCAAGCTGGTGACATGGAGAAACAAATATAGTGCAGGCTCCTTCCCTGCAAAAGTGGTGACCACTGAAGCAGCAAGGAGGGAAAATGTTTCCAGGGTCAGTGCCTGGTGACTAAGGTCTGGTGAGTGCCCTTGCAGTGGCACTTGACATCACACTAGATAGGGGCTGACCCAAAACTCTAGGCCCTGTCGCTGTCAGCCTAGAACTCAATCTGTTTCTTAGGCTATGTGAGGATTCTGTGAATTGCACAAGATCCTTTTTAAAAAAAATTCCCTTCTATATAAATTAACCAGAGGTGTTCCTTTTGCTTTCAACCAAGAATCCTAACATGCCACGCAAAATTGCTTGGCCTTTATTTTATAGGATACATTGAAACAAAAGTGAATTAGAGGCAAATTAGTTTTCTCCAAATCTGACTTTGATTTAGAAGTGTTATTTCTTTTTATCCTCCAATGAATTTCATAAAGTCTTTCAAGTTCCCCAAACTTTTACATAAGGACATGTGTATTAATTAAAGGTTTAAAACACTATAAATATAGATTACCATTTAATCAGTACTTTACTACAGCTTTGAAATTCAGATTTTTTTTCAGCCCGAGTTAAATTTTGCCAAAAGTGTGTTTGAATCAACAACTAAGAGGTTGTTCTCAGTGTAGTTCCCAGATCTGTCTCGTCCAAAACTCCTCTGCAGAAATTTGATTTAAAAATGCATTGAATAGACCCCTTTGCTGTACAAACTTTGAAGATGGATACTGTCTAAACAACAGCTGGTGATTTATGAGCCATACAAGTCAACACTTGACATGTGGCAGCTTCAGTTTAGAGCTTGAGAGCTGTAAATGTTGTGCTGTAACACTTATTTTAAAATGCAATATTTCCATGTGATTGACTCAGAATTTGGTACAAGATGAATCAAAGAGTAGCCACATCTCATTTCTAAGTGGAACAATTTTGGGGTTTCTGTTCCATCTATTCTTCCTTTTTGTTCAAGCACTTCAATTTGTGAATAACTCCCCTTATGCAACTATTTGTTATCCCTGTTGTGGATGAATACGCCCTGAAAATACAAACTGTGCTAGATGAATATTTTGTCTAAATGATACATTGTCAAGAACCAACCTTTCTAAGGGATGACTAATAAAGGCCTCAAGAGTGATGTCTGTCCTTATTTATTTGGCAGAAGAACATGAGTGTTCTGAGGTAAGGCCCTGTAGCGACTCTAATTTAGGGACACAGAGTAAAAATATAGACTGCCAAAATTAAACAAAAAACGTCTTTGATCTTCTTATTTCATATTTCACGTATATGTGACTACTAGGACAAAAGATGATACGTAACAAAGAAACCTCTTCCATGTTTGTGATCAGAAAGAGAGGTTATTTAAACACTAAAGGGACTGCTCAAAACAAAATAAAATTTCAGAATGTTTACCTCAGAAATGTGAATTTGAATTCTTAAAATTTTCTCACAATAATGAGAGATAACTACCAAGAGAAAACATGATGTAACTAAGGAAATTTTGTTTATCTTTACGAGAAATGTCCTTCTTGTATGGCAATTAAAATAGCTCTTTTAAGTAGTTTGTCTTTCTTTGATAACCTAGCTCTCGTTTTGATTCATTTAATGTGAGTGTAGAGTTTCTATTTGAGCAAGAATTTCTTTCTGCATTTCGGAGTGCCAAATTTAGACTAAGTGTTCCTAAGTTTGTAGGATTTTACTCTGCAAAGTCCCTCTCAGTGAGACCTACGCCTTTTAATAAAGCAACCTGTTTTCTCATTGCTTCCCTTCTCTTTTCCCAAATCTTATTCACAACAGACCGCTATTGGAAATAAAAATATGTCAGCATTATTTTTGGAAAACAAAATATGGGGTATCTATGTTTAATTACCAGCACTATCCAGGACCAGTACTCAGCCTTATTTTCACATGCCAGTGCAAATGAAGAGACTATCCTGACAGACAAACAAAAGCTTCCTCCTAACCTTTTCAAATCCAGACTTACTCCTCCAGAACCTGCTACAGACTGCTGCTCCAGTTACCTTCCTAATAGGCTATCATAATCACAGAACTACACTACTGAACAACATAGGATAAACTGCATTAAATTCAAATGATTTCTTCTATATTTACTCTATGCCTATCAACTGGCAATAAAACCACTATGTTTGTTTATTTTTCATTTTCTCACATTAAAAAAAAAGCACTTTAAATTGCAGTAAACAGGGCAACCACACCATTATACATATTAACATAATCTGATCAAATATAGGAGAGTTCAAGGTAGTGCCCCCACAGCCCTAATTATATTGTAATGTATATCTTAAATAAAGATAATGATTTGAATTATATTTTATCTCATTCTTTTCACATATTATGTCATAAGCATTTTTCTATTTCATATAATAAATATTGAGATCATTTTTTATAATTTTGTCTGAAATTTTACAATACAAATGCACAGTAGTTTATTAACCATTTCCATCTATTGTCTAGGTTGCCTCACATAATAAATATCATTTCACACAAATCTAAAATCATCTCTAGTTTCCTTAGGATAAATAACTAAAAGTGGCATTGTTAGGTCAAAGGATAGGTTATGCATAAGCAACACTGAAAACTTGAAACCAACACTGAAATTTTAAGTGTCCATTTCACATGAACATCAAGAAAAAGTGTTAACAGCTGGTGTTCAAGAGTTTCAAAATTACTATCTTTAAAGAAATTAAATGCTAGGTACAACTTCTAAAAAATTCATCCAATTAGAATTAGAATTATATGAAATAATTTAGAATTATATGAAAAAATTACATGAAAGAATAGAATTATACAAAAGAATTTAGAGATAATGTTAAATGAGTGTAGGGTTATATAAATCCCATTCCAGGGGTATACTTATTATCAACTATTTTTGGAAGTTTTGCTGATTGAGTAAGTCTCACTGAATTAAAAAACTGTCAATGACTTTTAGTGGTACCTAATGATTCTGTACACAAGTAAAATTAACTTAGCTAACATTACTTTGACTAAAAGATCTTCTTAAAAATAAATACATCAAGTAAACACTTCTGTTACACCCTTCTTTATTTAGTATTTTAAATATAATATTCAGATTTAGAAATTTGTTATTAAAATGAAATATTTTTTACATTGGATTTTTCCCAACATTAGCAGAGTAACTGCTTGTGTATTTCCAAGGAAAGGGGTTGGACAAACATGAATTGAAAGAGCTGTCATGCTGACTAAGCCTGACAACCTGATGCTAATTTCAAAATATTCCTCAAGCTGACAGAAATGGCCCTCCTTTCCACAGAATTTTACTTTTAATGGATGGATAATGGATGTTTCTTTGTGGCCATCCAGGCTAACAGAGTTTGCACCGGGTCACTTCTGAGTCTGCATTCAGTTCTAACCTTTGTTTGATGGCTCATCAGCCATGCCATCCTCCAATCATGGAGGAGGTTATCATGAGACATTTATCTCAATATTCCAGTGCTGCTTTATATATTTGTATCACTCTATGCTACATAAAGCATTTTTTAGATCTGTTATCTCATGTAACTGCCACAATCTGGGAGGAAAGGTAGGGGATCTATTATCAGTCTTCAGTTCAGAAAAGCAAGGTGATAAACTAGCTAATGTCGGAGTTAATATAAAAACCTATGTCTCCTCATTCCAGGCCAGTCAACATTCCTTTATTTCTTCTAACGTTCTCCAGGCCATTTGAGCAAGAGTAATCTTATTGGTTAAAATGTTGTTATATAAGTCATTTACTGCCTGAAAACAAAGTAAGAGCCTTAGAAATTCTCAATATGCCTTTAAAAAAAAAAGACTTTCTCTTTTTAAAATGGGTATTAGTCAATATTTTAACTCTAATTCAGAATTAGCATAAGAACTTTCTGGGAAACACGGAAACATTATTGCATTTAATATACATAAACTAATACATGGATCAAGAAGATGTCAACCCTAAGAAGTTGATGCTGGACTTTAGTATCCAAAAGTTATAAACCATTGATTATTATTAATCCTTTGTAGATAATATAGGTGTGATGGGTAAATTTATGTGTCAGTTTGGCTAGTTATGGTGTCCAATTTTTGGGCCAAACACAAGTCTAGATGTGGCTGTAAATGTATTTTCAAAGACATAATTAACATTTAAATCAGTGGACTCTGAATAAATCTCATTCTCCATCATATTGTATGTAGGCCTCATCCAATCAATTGAAAGTCTTAAGGGGAAAGATAGGTTCCTGAAGAAGAAGAAGATGGTCTACCTCCAGACTGCCGTTATACTTGAGCCCCAACATCAACTCCTGCTAGAATTTCCCATCTTTCAGCCTGTCCTGCAGATTTTAAACTTGCCAGCCCCCATGGCAGTGTGAATCAATTCCTTAAAAAAAAAACTATCAGAGACTCTGATAGATAGCTAACTCTCATATACATATATATATATATATATATATATATATATATATATATATGGTTTTATGGTTTACATTACATATGGTTTTATTGTTTATATACAAATATATGGTTTTACTGTTTACATACAAATACATGTTTTTTCATACATCCTATTATTTCTTTTTCTGTAGAGAACCCTAACTAGCAGAGTAGATTAGCTTTATCAACACCACTTCCCAAGATCCTTCTCCTTTCCCTTCTTCTGCTAAGAAAGCTAGAATGTAAATACTCAATTTATCTGCCTTGCAGCTACACTTGGTTATATGACACAATTTAGGGAGAAGTCCATGGGGAGGACTTTCATCCATGCAGAAAAGACAAAATCCATGCCAGGAAACAGTTTTCCCCCTCCCTACCTAAAACTAGAATTAGATACTTAAAAAGTGTCTGAAATCTATATGCATGAGAACAAAAGCCAACACTTGAAGAAAAGGCAGAGTAAAAAGACAAAAAAGTATGAGACCCTAACAGCATCATTTAGTAACGGCCTATATATCTATACATCACCTATACATCACCTACACATCTGGAAAATTGAAAAGCAAAAGCCACTGTGGCCAAGTTTTCTGTTCTCTTTAGTAAAATACATTATTAACTGCCACAATAACTTGTATAATGTCTTTATACACATCTATTCAAATATCTATAGATCAAATATCTATAGCATTCAGCTGGTAAATATCTCTTTCCTTATTAAAAGGTTAGTAAAATATAATTTTAAGAAAATAGAACTATTCAAAGCCCACGTATAACTTATCAAGCACTTAATGATTTCCTTAATTATAATAATTAAATAATGGCTGTGTTTAATAGGCTCGCATTTAGAGCTACGCTGGAAGAAATCAGCCCTTCCAATCAGCTGAGATCCATGAAACAAGATGAGGATGTCAGTCTGTCCATGGCACAAATGGTTGTAGGACAACACTAACAAATAAGAATGGAGACACATGTGTAGGCCGGATATATTTTTCACAAATATACATGTTTTAAATTATTTTCAAAGCCACACTAAACAGGAGTTATTTTCGGTGCATTATTCAAAATGACAAAAAAAAAATTCAGTTAGCATGATATATGACCTTACAACTGTTACTATAGGCAGACTGTAATAAAATCAGGAGGCTGAGACAAAGGCAATTTAAAACCGACTGAAATGGAAAGACTGATGTGCACCAGACACAAATTTGCATAAAGCTGTTTCCAAAATAAAATGAAATTAACCTAGTTACCTACGTGTTCCCAGAATTCTAAGATGTTACTTTAATTGGTAGGGTAGAAGAGATGCTCAATCCCCAGCAGTAGGAGAGTATTCTCCTTCATACTTTTCGTGGTCCCTCTGTGGCTGTCATCTCATCTGTAGTCTTCCCATGGCTTTTTGACAACAGCTGGGACTCTTAGGTAGTCACTGATGCAGTCAGCCTTATGGGGGTAAGGGTCTCGGGTTTCCTCTTTTGGTTCTGTGACTGCCTCATCTACAGCTTTGATGTAGGTGAAACTAGCCTGACCGTCCTCCCCTCAGGGCATCATATGCAGCTCACCTTGTTTCATTCCTTCTCTATGCTTGGAAAGTTTATCATGAAGTCCTCCAGGCAAAACTTCATACCCCCCCCCCGCCAGTGATGCCTCCTTTTAAACATCTATGGTGCTTATCTATGTATAACTTATCAATGCCATGTTAGCTTCTATGTGACTCATATTCTTACTTGGCTATCTTGTTTCCATAGCTACACTCTTCAAGAAAAATGGTTATGTGCTTAGAATAAGGGATAGCTTTTTTTTTTTTTTTTTGAGATAGAGTCTGGTTCTGCTGCTCAGGCTGTAGTGCGGTGGCGAGACCTTGTCTCACTGCAACCTCTGCATCCTGGGTGCAAATGATTCTCTTGCCTCAACCTCCTGAGTAGCTGGGATTACAGGCATGAGCCACCATGTCTGGCTAATTTTTGTATTTTTAGTAGAGATGGGGTTTCACTATGTTGGCCAGGATGGTCTCAACTCCTGATCTCAGGTGATCTGCCTGCCTCGGCCTTCCAAAGTGCTAAGATTCCATCCATGCTTGCTTAAGCCACCATGCCCGAAGGCATAGAATTTTATACCTGGTAAGTACTTCCAATACATTCATTCAGGTATACTCTGATGTCCTGATATTTTTACTGTACGAGTTAACATTTTGTTTAAACTCGAGAAATAGTTGTACCTTTCTAAAGAGATTATCTGGAGCATCATCATTTTCATATTCTATCAACAGCTAAGCATATGGCTAAATTCAACACAAACTTGCTTACTATGGTAATTTTAATAAAGGTGGTAATAACCCCATTTATCCATAGAGATTTTCACAAGGATTTACTAACAATATAAAGAAATGTAAAAGACACTCCTAGAAATTAAAAATTATTAAACACTAATGTTAAAAATTCCTGGAGCAATAAGGATTTCAACAAAGTTGTAGCTAGTTTGTGGTTTTTTTTTATTTTTGCTATTTAACTATTCCTGAGAAATTTCCACTATGTGTATATATTTTTGAGCAGTAAATGAGAAATCTTCATTCTAACCTACACTAATCACCAGAACAAGGAACATGTTCCACTACAATGATGAGTTTTCAGAATACAGCCCATCAAGTGAAATTCTAGTGTGATGTGTGTGCCCATGTCCCATGTGCACTTTGTTCCTAAATAGTATAGCTGAAAGAAAAACAATTACATTAAATAAAACTGACAGCCTATATTTTTATTCTTGCCCTGAGGCACAGTAAAAGATACAATTTTCTGTTTCTACCGAAAATGAAAACTTTATTCTTACATATTTTTCCTGTAAACATGCTAAGGACTAGAAGAAATGTAGCAATTTTGATCTCTTTCACTCCTCACAGATCTCTCCTAGAACAACAAAGTGACTCTAGCTCCAACTGTCTAGTAGAGAGAATGCTAAAATGGATGACAGTAGTTCATTCTGGGCCTTTACTGTCTGACCTTTGTCACCTACCTCTTTTCTTTCCCATTTCCTTATATTATATATACTTGAACTTGTCTATTCCAATCTGACATTGCAGTTTTAAAATAAAAATGAAATGCCATTCTTTGAACTCATAAGCAGAATTTCAGTGTAACATTGTGAGAAGAATATATAGTCTTTGAGATAAAATAAGCCAGAGCTCAAAGCAAGACCCTAACAACTCTCTAGCAGTGTGATCTTGGGCAAGTTATTAAATTTCTCTGAGCCTGTTCCCTCATTTGTGGCATAGGGCAAAGAACTCACTTAATCCCCTTTATAGCTCAGAAAACTGTGTTAAAGCACCCAGTACACAGCTTGGTACATAAATGTGGTCAATATTGTTTTAGCTACATATCAATATAAATCAATTTTATGCTTATTACTATCATTATTTTATACACTCAGAAATGTTCATTTAGATTATTGTTCATCAGCAGCATAATAAAATACCAGATATTTGAGACTTGTTTAGCATAGTTTTAATTCTATAATGAAAGAAGGTAGAAATTAATAGAACCACACCGAGCTACAGATCAGCATTTAGTTAGGTATCTATACTGGTTTTTATGCTACAATAAGTCTTTGTTCCAACTGCCATTTCCTCCACAAGTTACATGATACCTTAAGTGTTAAAATGATGCAGAGACTCACCTAAATTTACTTCAACTGTAAATATAGCATCCAAAAGAAACAAAGCTAATCAAAGCAGCTGTACAAAATGATGCCAGCATTATCTACCAAACTGTTAAATAAAAAAACTTGTTTTATTTAAAAATAAAAACTATTAGATACAGTTCTAGATTAATTTGGCCAAGCCATGTAAATTCTATTCTACTGAAAAAATGACAAATATGAACTAACAAAAAATTTATTTTCTCCCTCTAATGATCAGTGAAGTTGAGTACTGGAGCCTTTCACAGGGTGGGGGGTGGGGAGAGGGAGGATCAGGAAAGATAACAAATGAATACCAAGTTTAATACCTGGGTGATGAAATAATCTGTATAACAAACCCCCATGACACACATTTACCTATGCAACAAACATGCACATCTTGCACATGTACTCCCGAACTTAAAAGTTTTAAAAATGTATTTTCATAATTTTCTACTATTCTAAAATTTATGATTAATAACCACATGAATTGGCCAATAAGAATCACATAAAATTATCATTCTTGATTCATTTTTCCTAGGAATTGTGGGGGCTTCAGGTCAACTACATATCCTATAAACTCACACACACACACAAAAACTGGAATTTAACACTAATATGGAGAAATGGAAAACAAGAAAGGGATTAACCACTCCAATCCTTTAAAAAAATGTTCCTGTAATGTGTTCAACCACAAATCTTTTGGGAAAAAAATAAAATGAAAATACAGTTTCTTTAAAAAAAATACAAGTGTAAATGTTTTACATAACCAGGAATTGTCAGTATTATTACTTATTTACACACGAAACTGATATGTGCCACTATACAATAAAACCTGAAATACAACGAAATGCATTTTCCTTCAATCATTCACAGACATTTTCCTTCAATTATTACAGTTGTCTGCCAAATTTGATGAACTCAATTTCACTCGATATCAACTGTTTCAATCAATTCTGCAAACGACATACTTGATGAAATGGATATTTGGTGTAATTCAAATGCAATTCAAGTTTTACAAGCTTGGATATTTTAAGGGTTTTGGGTAGGTTGATTTTTTAATCTACAAACACAATGTCCCAAACACAAAACTTAGTTCTTGTGACCATTTGTTACAAATGTCAAAAGTTTTTTTTAAGAAAAATGTAATTGAAATTCATAATGTGTCCAAGAATTCCAGAGCAATGTGGTAGTATTTAACAGAAAATGAACCATTTCTAAAATGAATTGAGGCAAAATAAAACCTGCTGATAGCACTGAACAATATGAAGACCAGAAAACAAAGAAATATTAGAGGCATAAAGAACATAAAATGAAAATTCAGTTGAAATTTAAAAAAATTAGAACTTAGTTAAGAAAAAAACAGAATACTAAAATTTACGTAAATCAGGGCCTTATAGGACCTCATGAAAATATCTACATTTATTGTTTGTTTCAAGTAAGTTTGTTTTATTATTAATACACTATGATTCATTAGGTCGCCTAGGTTTCAACAAAACCAATTTGTGGTATACTGTTAAATGCTCTTTAAATAAAACAACAGATCAATTTCAATAAATTTAAAATTATTTATACACTTGACCAGGTGTTAGACAATCGACATGCAGAAGTTAGTGAATTGAATATATAAATATTATGTAACAAATATGTATACCAACAAGAGTATTTATCAACTATATGCTTATAACCAATGGAAAAAACACAAACAAAACTATAAAATATGTCATCAGAAGAGCAAACGCTCAATAACAAAAGTTATTTGATTATGGTAAATGTTTCTATAGACTTTCTAAAGTCAGAAGACATTCTTGCTAAAATTTGATTTACCACAACTGCATAAATCATTAAGATTATTTAAAAAAAAAGGGAAACCAAAACAAGATGAAGGTCAAATATGAGAAATGCAGAATTTTAAACAACCGTAGGGGAATCACATGAATCTTAACATAACCAATTATATGGGTGGAAAATCAATGATCATGGATTTATATTTTAAATTAATCCAAGGTTATGCTGCTCTCAGTCTGTTTACAGTAGAAGTACCTACAACTCAATTAAGACACAAAATAAAACTATATGTTCATAAATCTAAACTCCAGTTACACAAAATAAGACACATATCTTAAGAGATTTGGCACACCAAAATAAAGACATTTCAGATGGAAACTTTATTAAATGATTCTGTATTACAAAAATAACCTGTGGGCTTGACAAATAATATCATGTAAATAATCAATAAGTTGGCCATCTAAACTGAATTTTCAAGGGAAATAAAAAGAACTTTGGTTCGTGACCAAATAATAATGTGTGATCAAGTTCCATGCTATATGCTTTAATGGCCCCAAATTTGTTTTGTAATCCTAATTCAGAAACTCTCAATGACAGAATATATTGCATTCAAGGGCTGGTAAATCACATAAAATACACAGAAACTCAAATTTACAACTGGAGATTTATTATCCTATATGTCCATTATCCTCTTACTGGCCATTTAATAATAAAGAATATCCATAACTGCCCTCACAATCTCATGCAGTGATAAATGCTTTATATAAATGCATATATATATACATGCACACACACATATATACACACACATTAGTATAAGAAATATTCAAGAATACCTAAAACGTGTTTTAATATTACAATTTCTCCCTTTCAGATCACACTAAGCATTTCTTTAAAAAAATATAAATGGTGAACTCATAGAAGCAGAGAGTAGAATGGTGTTTACCAGAGGTTGGGGAATGGAAAATTGGGAGATTTTGATCAAAGGATAGAAAATTTCAGTTAGATAGGAGAAATAAGTTCAAGACAGCTATTGTACGTTGTGATTATTATAGTTAATAATAATATACTGTATACTTGAAAACAACTAAAATAGTAGATTTTAAGTGTTCTCACCACAAAAATATGATGAGTATGCAAGGTAACGCATGCTAATTAGCTTGATTCAGCCATTCCATAATGTATACATATATCAAAACCACGTTGTACACCACAGAAATTTGCAATTTTTATTTGTCAACTGAAAAATAAAATTTTAAAAAGAACATGAAGTTATAAATAAGGCAGATCATTCAGCTGTTTAAAATCTTTCAAGCCTTCCCATTTCTCTTACTAAACTTCTCTTCCATCATCTGGCTCCTGCCTCTCTGGAACCTTACTCTCATGTCATTTCTCCCTGAATGTTTATATATCAACCACATTAGCCCATAACCAATTCTACACACATCTCAGTAAGGCCTTAGTCTAGATATTCAACTCTTCCCAGGTTCATTCTTATGCTTTACTTCTGGGCTCAAATGTCACCTATTCCCAGAAGCCTTCCCTGGTGAAATACTCTGAAGTGGCCTCCGCATTTAATCTTTCCTGCATAATATAGCTCATTTCTTCTCAGAGTTTGTGATCATCTATTTGTTTACTTATTTTTTATCTCCCTCCATGAAAATATAAATTCCACAAGGACAGAGAACTCACCTATCCCACCACTCAGCAAAGTATGTGTTTTCCAAGACATACTCAGTAAATGTAGAATAAACAAATGAGACATATTAAAGAGGGATAATCATTATTTGAGGAATTTGCTCCTCTTTTAAAAATTTTTTTAGTAGTCTAAAAAGGCTGGGAATTTGTGTGTTAATTGGAGGATGCTATGCAGTGCATTTTCCTCTTGCTCTCATAGAAGTGCATGCACTTCTCTTAAAACAATAATTCAATTGGTTTGAAATGCTAGGCAGCATTAAAGTAAAAAAAAAGAATAAAGATGATATCTAGGTACTGGCATAAGAATAACTACAGAAAGTTAATTCTATTTTTTTTTTTTTTTTTTAGAGGGAGTCTCACTCTGTCACCAGGATGGAGTGCAGTGGCATGATCTCGGCTCACTGCAACCTCTGCCTCCCAGGTTCAAGCAATTCTTGTGCTTCAGCCTCCCGAGCAGCTGGGACTACAGGCACATGCCACCATGCCTGGCTAATGCTTGTATTTTTAGTAGAGACAGGGTTTCATCATGTTGGCCAGGATGGTCTTGGTCTCTTGATCTCGTGATCCGCCTGCCTCGGCCTCCCAAAGTGCTGGGATTACAGGCATGAGCCACTGCGCTCGGCCGTTAATTCTAATTTTAAAAGCATTCAGAACAATGTTGAGTAATATGTCACCTCTTGAGATAAACAAAAATTGAGGGCAGAGGAGGTAACATATGTATCAAGTTGTCTAATGTTTGAGAGAAACTATGGAAATATAAAAAAGAGTGGTTAGTAGGGGGTTGGGGGAAGCTCTCTAGGAAGATAGAGAACAGAAATTGATTTTTCATTATATGTATTTTTATGCTTTTTAGTGTTTGAACCATTTTATATTAGTGATTTAGTTCAAATCACTAAATAGAACTTAAATTTTATATAATTTTCAAACAAATTACTAAGTTTAATAAATCAAATCTTAAATTAAACTTTTTAATTCTATGGCTGTGATACAATTTATTTTTTAATTTTAAATATTAACTACTTTACCCATGAATATAATTTACTTAAAACAAATACATTTATGCAGTCTGATAATACTCACAATGGATTTGTACCCCTGCCTGCCTAATCTGGGAAAGTTATTCAGCTAGATGATCCTTACTTTTCTACTAAAAAGTTTTCACAAAGGGCTGCAAAGCCATACATGATATCTGCCCTCATATCCCATGTTTTTTCCTCTCTCATCCCGTTTTACTACTGTCCCAAAGTGCCTTCTTCAATTCTAGTTTCCCTTGCCTTCTGCCTAGTTCTTGATCTGCCAATTGTGTTTCCAAGGGGACTTGTCCACCTACTCTTTCCTGCAGAAAAGCTTCTCCCTCAGACATCTGCATAGCTTAAATATCATCTTCTCAGTGAGGTCCATCTAACCACCCTATTCATAACTGCACACCTACCACCCTGCATTCATTTCCCCTGCTTATATTTTGTCTTTCCCATTATAAAATAAGTTAGGGAAGTTTGTCTATTTTTTTTGACTGCTACAACTCCAGCACTTGGAACAGTGCCTGGCATATTAGATGCTCGATAAGTATTTGTTGAGTAAATGAATAATGAATGAAACTCGATGTTCACAAAGCAAAACTCACTCCTCTTCACCCTCTCCCAATGGCTCAAACACAACAACCACCTATCTTATACCCTATCTCTAGGAATATTATTTTTTTTCTTTTTCTTCTCTTATACCCTATCTCTAGGAATATTATTATCATCCAAATCCAAACCTAGGCATCATCTTAAAAATTCCCACATCCCACTCCTACATCTCTAATCAATCACTAGTTCTGCAAATTCTCTCTCCTCCTTAGCTCTTAAGTCCATCTCCTCACTTCCATTTCCACTATGACTTAAAATTCATCTCTCACTGGGTCTGGGGAAATAGCTGTCAATTGTCACAATCTCTAAGAACAAAAACCTCCAATACATCCTTCTATGCTCCAGCCATCAAGAGGTAATCTGATCACGGTGCTCACCTACTCAGAACTCTTCAAAGCTCCCCATTATCTACAGAACTGATTTTCCAACATGACTGCTCATTAGAATCATCCAGAAAGATTTTCAACAATACTATGCATGGGCACGGCTCTAGACAAATTATATCACTCCAGGTAATTCTAAGAACAACTGATCACTGCACAACAAAGGAAACAGCTAACAGTGTAAAGAAACAACCTATACAATGGGAGAAAATGATTGTAAACCACATATCTAGTAAGAGATTGATAACCAAAATATATAAGGAATTCAAACAATTCTACAGAAAGAAAACAAATAATATGATTAAGAAATGGGCAAAAGACCTGAATTGACATTTTTGAAAAGACATATAAATGGCTAACAGATACATGAAAAAAAAAAGTTAGACATCACTAATCATCAGGGAAATGTAAATTAAAACAACAATGAGCTATCACCTCATGCCTGTTAGAGTGACTATTATGAAAAGATCAAAAATAACAAGTGTTGGTGAGAATGTGGAGAAAAGGGAACCCTTGTACACTTTTGGTGGGAATGTAAATTAGAATAGCCATTATGAAAAACAATATGGGGGCTCCCCCCAAAATAAAAATAGAACTACCACATGTTCCAGCATTTTCACTTTGGGGTATATATCCAAAGGAGAATGTTATCAGTACATTGAAGAGATATTTGCACACCCATGTTTATTACGGAATTACCCACAATAGCCAAGATATGGGATCAACCTAAGTATCCATCAGTGGATGAACAGATAAAGAAAATGTGCTACATGTATGCAATGGAGTACTGTTCAGCCATAAACAAGAATGAAATCCCGTCATTTGCAACAACACGGATAGAACAAGAGGGCATTATGTTAAGTGAAATGAGCCAGATACAGAAAGACAAACTTCACATGTTCTCACTCATGTGGGAATTAAAACAACAACTCATGAAGACGGGGAGTAGAATGATGGTTGCCAGAGGCTGGGGGTGGGTAGAGTGTGTTAAAGTGGGAATGGTTAATGGGTACAAAAATACAGTTAGATAGAATGAGTAAGATCTAGTATTTGGTAGCACAATAGGGTGACTATAGATGAAAATAGTTCATCGTATATTTTAAAATAACCGAAACAGTGACATTGGGATGTTCCTAACACAAAGAAATGATAAAAGGCCTGAGATGACAGATATCCCAATTACCCTGAATTGATATAGGCATTGTATGCCTGTATCAAAAAATCACATGCACTGTATAAATATATACAACACATACCATACAAATTAAAAATAAAAATGTTTTAAAGTAAAAATAGAAGAAATTCTCTCATCTGTGACAACATGGATGGAATTGGAGAACGTTATGCTAATGTAATAAGCAAGCACAAAAAGACAAATACAGTAGTCCTCCCTAATCCACCATTTCACTTTCTGTGGAGGGTTTCAGTTACCTGTACTCATCTCTGGTCCAAAAATATTAAATGAAAAATTCTAGAAATACACAAATTATATGTTTTAAATTGCACACTGTTCTGATAGAGTGATAAAATCTTGAGTCATCTTGTTCCATCCTGCCCAGGACATGAGTCGTCTCTTTATCTAGTGGATCCCTGCTATAGATGCTACCTGCCTGGTGGTCACTCAGTAGCCACCTCGATTCTCAGACTGACTGTCAAGGTATCATAGTGCTTGTGCTCAAGGTATCATAATGCTTGTGTCAAGGTATCATAGTGCTTGTGCATAGTACATGTTTTACTTAATAACGGCCCCAAAGTGCAAGAGTAGCGATGCTGGCAATTTTGGTATGCCAAAGAGAAGCCATATAATGTCTCCTAGGAGTGAAAAGGTGAAAGTTCTGGACTTAAGAAAAAAAATCGGCTATGCACGATGGTTCACGCCTATAATCTTAACACTTTGGGAAGCCAATGCAGGCAGATCACTTGAGCTCAGGAGTTGGAGATCAGCCTGGATAACGTGGCAAAACCACGTCACTACAAAAAAATAAAAAAGTTAGATGGGCATGGCGGTGCATGCCTGCAGTCTCAGCTGCTCAGGAGGCTGAAGTTGGAGGATCACCTGAGCCCAGGAAGTCGAGGCTGCAGAGGGTCGTGATTGTACCACTGCATTCCAGCCTGGGTGACAGAGTGAAACACAGTCTTAAATAAAAAAGAAAAAAAAAAATCTTATGGTGGGGTTGCTAAGGTCTAATGTAAGAATGACACTTCTATCCATGAAATTACAAAGAAAGAGAAAGAAATTAGTGCTAGCTTTACTGATACACTTCAAACTGTAAAAGTTACAACCACAGTGTGTGATAAGTGCTTAGTTATAACAGAAGGGCGTTAAATTTATGGATAGAAGACAATGAGAAATGTGTTCCAACTGATGGTAACTGGGTTCTGTACTACAGAGGGTTTCAGGCATCCACCAGGGGTCTTGAAACCAATTCCTTGGCTGGGCATGGTAGCTCACACCTGTAATCCCAGCACTTTGAGAGGCCAAGGTGGGTGGATCACGAGATCAGGAGCTCAAGACCAGTCTGGCCAACATGGCAAAATCCCATCTCTACCAAAAATACAAAAATTAGTCAGATGTAGTGGCGCATGTCTGTAATCTTAGCTACTCAGGAGGCTGAGGCAGGAGAATAGCTTGAACTTGGGAGGCGGAGGTTGCAGTAAGCCAAGATCGTGCACCAGTGCACTACAGCCTCGGTGACAGAGTAAGACTCTGTCTCAAAACAAAAAGCAAACAAACAAAAAAAGAAACCTATTCCTTGTGGATTAGTGGAGGACCACTGTACCACATGTCCTCACTTCTACATGGAATCTAAAGCAAATGAACTCATAGATGGAGAGTAGAATGGTGGTTACCAGGGACTTCAGGTGGGGTAAATAGGGGGATGACAATCAAAGATTAAAAAGCCTCAATTAGATAGAAAAAGTTTGTTTTTTTAATTGAATCTGTTGCACAGCATGGTAAACATGGTTAATAATTGAATACTGTACATTTCAACATAACTAAGAGTAAATCTTGAATGTTCTCTTCAGAAAAAATTGTCAAATATTTGAGGTGATGAATAGGTTAATTAGCTTGATTTAATCACTCCACACTGTATAAAAAATCATTATACCACTTTTTACCTTATACATACATATACAACTATAACTTGTTAATATATAATAAGAATAAAAATGTTTTATTATAGTTATACAAATCAGTGTCATTGACAGAATGCCAACTGATATGGTTTGGCTGTGTCCCCACCCAAATCTCATATTGAATTGTAGCTCCTATAATTCCCACGTGTTGTGGAAGGGACCCGGGGGAGATAACTGAATCATGGGGCCGTTTCCCTCATACTGTTCTCATGGTAGTGAATAAGTCTCACAAGATCTGATGGTTTTACATGGGGAAACCCCTTTCACTTGGTTCTCATTCTCTCTCTTGCCTGCTGCTATGTAAGATGTGCCTTTCGCCTTCTGCCATGATTGTGAGGCCTCCCCAGCCACGTGGAACTGTGAGTCCATTAAACCTCTTTTTCTTTATAATTTACCCAGTCTCATGTATCTCTCTATCAGCAGTGTGAGAAAAGACTAATACACCAACTATGTCCACTGAGTGCAACTGATTAGTTGACAACATCTTATAGATATTAACAGTTTTCCTACCTTTGCATCTATTTGCACATTTATCCCAGCATTCTGTAATACTGATATGTGTAACTGTCTTTGGGTTCTTCTCTGAACAGTTGGTAGCATTATTTCTTTATTAATTGATGAAATAAATAAGACCTTCAATGTGTATATTTTTGCAAGAATCATGATTTTACCTTCTAAAAAAATATATTAGCAGAATAAATTTTTTTTTTTTTTTTTTTTTTTTGAGACGGAGTCTCGCTCTGTCGCCCAGGCCGGACTGCGGACTGCAGTGGCGCAATCTCGGCTCACGGCAAGCTCCGCCTCCCGGGTTCACGCCATTCTCCTGCCTCAGCCTCCCGAGTAGCTGGGACTACAGGCGCCCGCCACCGCGCCCGGCTAATTTTTTGTATTTTTAGTAGAGACGGGGTTTCACCTTGTTAGCCAGGATGGTCTCGATCTCCTGACCTCATGATCCACCCGCCTCGGCCTCCCAAAGTGCTGGGATTACAGGCGTGAGCCACCGCGCCCGGCCAATTTTTTTTTTTTTTTAAAAGAGAATCACTGATCTACAATGTATGATCTAAACCTTTGAATATTACATAAAAAGCCTTTCACAATTGGATTCTAACTACAGCTTTTGGGCCTCACATCTCCCACCTGTACATATGCTGGAACCAAACACATTATCCAGTGTACTATTCTTCCATCTTTGCCTGCCCATGCATCCCCACTCACCTGGCATTGCCCCTATGTGTTACTTCCAGTTTGGAGGAGGCATTTTCCTGCTCTCCTCGGGCATTTCTTCCCTTAAACTCCTGTGTATCCTGTACTTTCCGCCATCATAGCAGTCACCTATAGCAGTGGGCTCAAAACTATTTGTTGAGAGTGATGGCATAGAATCAAAATTACCCATTTAAGCTTTTAAAAAATCTAAAAAGTTATTATTTAATCACACATGTAGTTCTGATACCTTCGTCCATCAGAGATCAAATTATTTAAGTCAATGTTAAAGCAATCGAGCCAATGTAGACATTCCACTCATAAGAACTCTCTTATTACGTATTACTGAGATATAATAAATAAACACAACTATAAACCTTAAGCCTTGTACAGTGAAAACATATCTTTATGAGAATGTTTTAAAATCCACCTTGGATATTTTTTAAGAAAAGGGTAATTAATATATGAACCATGAAAATCAGATCGTGAGAAAACATAGAGTTGTCAGTGATGGCTTAAAGTCCAATGATTAGTTCTTTGGAATAGACGAGTAACAGGCCAGACAAGAACAGAAATGCAGAAGTGTTCATTACTCTCCTGTGATTCCCCAAAAGGAAAACAAAGCAAAACTAACTTTTAACAAATAGTTAGTTTGATTAAAATAGACTTGATATTTGAATATGGAAAATTGATAAAAACAAATTTACACAGTGGTCGAAACCCTGAAGCCAAATTAGGGTCACCTGAGAAGTTTTAAACACTATCCATGCTGCAGGCCTCACCTGTAAGAGATTTTGACATAACGGATGAAGGGTGGGGTCCAGCATCAGAATTTTTTCAAAGTCCATTGAAAATTCTATTGCGCTGTCAGGAACCACTCTGAATGAACACCTTCCCTATTACAGCAAAGCCCACCATACAAAAATAAATAGCAATGAAAACCTATCCAATCAACATTATCCCACTCCCACGAGGGGAACAAATAATATAAACATTATAAGCTGGAAAATAGTAATAATAGTTAACCTTTATGCAGAGTTTATTGTGTGGCAAGCATTATTCTAAGGGCTTCTAATACACTGACCTTTTTATGCCTCACAACAGCTCTGTGAAGTTGGCACTATTTCATGCCTTTCTTCTGCAAAAATAGCTAGTAGTTGTAGAATGCTTAACACTGTGAGACATTACTCTGAATGCTGCTATTTGCATTGACTCGTTTAATCTTCATAACAGCTCTAGTGAGTAAGCACTGTTATTACAACAGGCTCTCTGTTGTAATAACATCCACATCAAAAGATATGGAAGGCCTATTGTTCTACACCATTTTATATAAGGAACTTTAGCATCCATAGATTTTAGTATCCATGGGGGTCTTAGAAACAATGCACCTCAGATATGAGGGCTGACCCATTGTAGACAGATGAGGAAACAAAGGCACAGAGAGGTCAAATAACTTGTGTAAGGCCACACAGCTAGTGAATGGCAAAACTAGAGTAAGAAGCCAGGTAATCTAGTGCTAAACTTAAAATACAAAGTCCTAGTTATTTGTGTGATTCAACAGGCATAAAATATATTAATATACAAGAAAATTACTAAAAATGTCTTTATTTTTCTCCTCTTCAAGGGATAGATATATAAACAAAAGAAGAGGCTTACTTAAGAAAACTCAAATAAGAATAATTTCGTCCTAGTTCTGAGAGAGGTACCAAAGTTGGACCCAACTAGAGATATTTCATGACCTACAATGAAAAAAAAACAATTTAGAAGGATGTCAGAGATGAGAAACCCAACTCTATATTAGATTTGAAACCAAGAGATCAGTAGGAAGCCTGACTCCTCCTTCTTATGCACTCCATGAAGACAAGGAAGGCATGTGTGTTGTTTACTGCTGATAAAAACTGCTCAATAAATACATTTGAGCAAATAAAATCATTTAGCTACATAAGATGTGAAATGACTGAATTCTAAGGCAGAACATTTTCAATTTATTTTAACACCATATTTTTTCATATTTTATGAGATACTCACGTATATTAAATATCCTTACTTCATATAACATTATTTCTGTACAATGGGTTATCAGATTATTAAAATACAGTTTTAATAAAAATGCCGATTTTTCCATTTTTTAATTTTTACATGAAAGTTTTACCTTAAAATTAAATTATTATTATAAAAGCAGACCTTTTAAATAATCATCTCAGTAGCTAGGTGACCACATTTCTAACCCAAGCTGTTTAGAATTCTCTGAACCTCTTCTGTGCTCCGCGGTTTGGGGGGCCATCCTGTCCTTACCTAGTTGGTTTCCTCCATTTGTGGTTGGTATATTTAATGTCTACCCTCCTCTTGATTAGCAAAGCATAACTATAGATCTGCCGTTAATCAACAATACAATAGCCACACTCTGGGTTCTCACCAGAGAATATGCATATCTCAAACTTCCTGTTGGGCAACCTCATATCAAACATTTGAGTGAGACATAACATCCTTGAAGGGCTCTTTGAAGAGTATGTTATATTTTAAAACAAAATCAAGCAAGGAACCAAATAATAGTACACTATGACCATAACTGTATTATCTCTAAGTTGAATTTCTTTTGTAGAATTGCCCTTTTCAGTTGTAGCCCTGGCTTCTATTGAGAGAATTATTAAGGAACATCCAAATTAAACCACGCTACTCTATTTATAAAAGTGGTGCTAAGGATGTGATCTGCTACATCCCTCACAACTTCCTTCTGTTCTCTAGGGGAGATTTCTCAGGTCTCAGTATCGAAAGAAGTTAGAGTTCTCTTTCATGCCAGGAAAACAGGAACCCAACATGTATTTTTATGGTTTTATCATATTTTCTGCATACTTTTCTCTTATTTCTTCACATTTTAATTGTATTTTACTATAAAGTATCTATATTAATATTACACATATTAATTTCTTTAAACCACCACTTTTTGAGACACAGAAACTCTACAAATAAACAAATAGCTTTGCAATAAAAAATAATGAAACTGAAAGAGATAATGACATGTTCAGATACCACTGACTGTGAAGAATGATTAGCATAGCTTTCAAAATTACAAAGGTTGAGTAAAACTTTTTAAATCTCAAAAAATTAATAAATGCATTTCGTTCATCTGTTACTTCAAAAATTGTGCCTGCTTATTTTTTAAACACATTATTTTGATTCAGTTAATTTAGAAACGTGTTATACACTTTCTAAGACAGAGTATCTTTAAACACAGATCACGACTCAAACCGATTTATATGTAGTTAAGCCTCAACTAGAATGTTGTTTAATGGTTAGGACAGTATTTAAGAGAACATTAGAATTGTGAAGAACTGCAACTCCTCAATTTTTCAGTTTACTTAGGCTTTTTTGTGGTTCAATAATATCAGATAATGACTCATGTAACTCAGCTGATTTTGTTTCTAATTTCAATGAATTTTTTTAACTGAAATGCCTGATTAACAGCTATACCTGGTGCAAAAATAACATGCTATAATAAAAATTAAATGCAATATAGTTATATAGTAGAATATATTTCTCTGTAATTTCAGCATAATTCACTAAATAGAAAAGAGACTAAAATAAATGTTTCCCAAAACATAGCTTTTTGGAGACTAAGACAAAGAAGGGGAAAGTAGGAAACTGACCTGGAATTATTTCAGGAAATTAGAATGTTTGTGATCAATTAAAGAGAAAGAATATTCAAAGTTTTTAAATTAATATGAGTATTTTTGTTATCACAGAGCTTATTTCGAATTGCCTGTAGGCATCTTCCAAACTTAACATTTTTCATAATTGTAGTAAATCATCTTCTTAGAAAGCATAAATTGTCACAATTTAGGTGATAAGACATCAGTTAGTGATAAAAATGAACTATCTAAGCCTACAACGCTTACCATATCATGCTTCTCCATCAACTCAGAATGCAATTTTATTTTGTATAATGAAGAAAACAGTGTGGAAGAAAAGAAGTTTTACAAAATCGATGCATGATGATTTCATCTGACAAGTGGGATGAGAGTGGGAAGAGTAGGTGTGAGAAGCTTACTGCTTTTAGTAAAGTTAAAAACTAAATTGTGACTGAATCAGACCAAGAAAAGATTTTGAAAGACTGAATTTTAAATCAAAATCCCTGTCTTATACTTTTTCATATATATGAATATACTTTGGGGGCATAAACATGTTCATGATTGAGTAAAATCAACATTAGAAAAGAGGGAAATTTGGCTGGGCGCGGTGGCTTACGCCTGTAATCCCAGCACTTTGGGAGGCCAAGGCAGGCAGATCACCTGAGGTTGGGAGTTCGAGGCCATCCTGACCAACATGGAGAAACCCCATCTCTACTAAAAAAAATACAAAGTTAGCTGGGTGTGGTGGTGCATGTCTGTAATCCCAGCTACTCGGGAGGTTGAGGCAGGAGAATCACTTGAACCTGGGAGGGGGAGGTTGCAGTGAGCCAAGATTGCAGCATTGCACTCCAGCCTGGACGACAAGAGTGAAACTCTGTGTCAAAAAAAAAGGGAAATTTATATGGAATAGGAAGCTAAGAAGGATGTGCAGCAGCCCTATAAGAATAACACAGATATTTTAACCTTAAAAATATGTTATTAAGAACTTATTGATAGTTCAGTTTCATATGGTACAGCTTTCTGATATTACTTACAAGCTCAGGAAAACACTTCCAGAACATATCCTTTTGTGAAATAATGTAATTTCCTAGGGTGTTTACAGACTTTAAGAAACTAAGATTGAACATAAAACATTCTAGTGTAAAATTATCACTTTAAGGAGTCTAATGAAAATCTAGTTAGTCTTATGAAATAATTTTTAAAACTACAGATAAATATTTTTACCAACATAGAACCCTGCTGTCTTTGAAATAACATTTAATTGAATGAAATAGATATCTTCTTTGGCTCTATTTTACTGCAAACATTAAAATGATAAATACAAACTATTCTTAAACTGACTCTTAGAAGAAATGCAAAACTCCTTCAAAGGGAGAAGAACAATAATCAGAATTAAAATTATTTTATGAATTGAATATAAGTGATCTTGTTAAAAACAAAATCAAAAAACAAAACTTTCAGTTCTGCTAATACACAAAATGAACATGAATGTATAAATAATTTTTAACAGTGAGAATATTTTTGTTATTTACTAAAAACATATCTATAATAAAATGTAACTATGTTATATGATATACAATTTTAATGGCCAAATTTGTAACATATTAACTCTTCCATAAATTAAAGTATTTTAAATATGCCTCTCAGTCTCACTGGAAAATCACTTCATTTTCTACAGAATATTATCATGAAACTTGCAATATGTGCATTATCTAGTTCAAAAGATCAAAACTTTTATGCCTATGTAAGCCAGGCAGGGAAAATAAACGTGAAAGAAGAGTCTTACAAATAATAAGAGGACATGAAGGGAACTGTAGATTGCCTGCCTCTGCTAAAGGTGTCAAAAAACAAAAACAAAAGCAAAAAACCTTAAAATACTCTATGTGCCAAACAGTGTTTAAGAGCCATATGCAGCCTCCCAAACTGCCAGATTGCAGCTCTAGAAAAGCAGTAGCCAAGATAGAGCTCAACCAAAAGTGTGATCTTTGCCAACAGGAGAGGCCAATAAATTCTAACACTTGCAGAGTGAATAGAATAGAATGCATGCTTCATTCAGTTAGTAATCTTTGCTTATAAAGTTTGAGGTATAACCCATGAAGTCTGTTGGTTATTAACATCTGCCATATGGCCTTAAAACAAGATGCCTCAATCCTAAGTGGGAAAGGGAGAATCTCAATTTAGACTCTCCAATGATCACAGGCACACAAAGAACCAGTCTGTATAAGGCTCACCCTCAACCAAAGGCCTCTTTATTCTGAACAGGTCAGACCATGCTGGAGGCCTAACTGTGATCTACTGTGGTCTGGGTGCACATCCAGTGATCTTTTAAGATATCTGGATTGGCCTATATGAGCACATTAATTTACTAGGAACCTGGTGAAAAGCAGTACATATCAAAATACATTTGAAATTTATTTTATCTATCACCAAGCGGAAGGAAATAGAAAAAGTGAGCAGAGAAGACAGAGAAAAAGAGCAAGAGACCAACAAGCAAGACATATTTCCCCAGACCACCTGGGCCTTATTGAGAGAAAGGCCAGAAGCTGCAGATCATTACCTCAAAGACCTGAGGTACACCAGGAGGAGGTTCCCACTGCCTTGAGAGACAAGCCCCTGGGTGTTCATGAGTTGACTGGAGAATGAGATACTACTCACTTCCTTCCCTACTGAAGATGCCAGAGAAATTCAAAAAAGGGGGCCATTGTTCTGGCAATTAATTTAGAAATCTATACTGTAATTTTTTTCCTTATGTAGATCTGTTTGGGATTCTTTATATATGTATATTAAATAATAACTTGTTAAGTAATATTTTCCACACAACATCCTCAAATTCAGTTATATATATCTTATACATATTAGGTGCAAAGACTGAAACAGATATTTGTAATGCATTTTTAAAACAGGTGTCCATATTTCATAGTAAGTTTTTTTGTTGTTGTTGTTTGTTTGTTTCTTTGAGACGGAGTCTTGCTGTCTCCCAGACTGGAGTGCAGTGGGCTATCTCGGCTCACTGCAAGCTCCGCCTCCCGGGTTCACGCCATTCTCCTGCCTCAGCCTCCCAAGTAGCTGGGACTACAGGCGCCCGCCACCACGCCTGGCTAATTTTTTGTATTTTTAGTAGAGACGGGGTTTCACCATGTTAGCCAGGATGGTCTCGATCTCCTGACCTAGTGATCCGCCCGCGTCAGCCTCCCAAAGTGCTGGGATTACAGGCATGAGCCACTGCGCCCAGCCCATAGTAAGTTTTACTAATACTGAATTCCTCATATTTCTAAAATACTGCAACATACTGGTTTCTTATTCTTTGCCAAAAAAAGCTTAACTCTCTGAGAATTTATTTTTTATTTTGACCCTTTTGATGTAAATGAATCACCCATCCATTACTAATGATTATTAAGTGAAATATATGAATCCATGTTGTATAATATAGTACGTGATATCTATAACATTAGAACAATAAAAACTAACATCTACTGAAAATTTACTATGTGACAGACACTACATTAAGGGCTTTACATGGATTATTTCACCTAATCTTTCCTGAAATGTATGAGATAAACACTCTTAAAATCTCCACTTTCAGTTGAATTACACACGACTTAAAGAAGTAACTTGCAAAAGACAATTAAACTAGTAAGTGTTAGGATGGTGGCTCAAACCCCAGTTCATATCCCGCTATTACCTTTCTCTCTCTTTCTCTTTTACAACATATTTTTAATAGTATATACAAACACAGAGAAAGTAATTTCAGTTTAGCAGTTAAGAAGAATACTAGAAGCTTCAATCCTGGATTTTTAAAAAATATAACTTATATTCAAGGAAACTATACAATTATATATTTTATTTAATAATTATTTCAATTCTCTTTTTATAAGATCTGTAAGCACGTTCACCATTTTTAAAAGATGACATTCTATCATGAACACTTCATCTATTCAAACTTAAAAATCATGAACATGCCACCTTAACAGGACTCTCAACTCTGAAAGAACTTTTGTTAGGAGGATAAACCAAAAAAAAAAAAAAAAATCCTAAAATTTGTGAAAGGCATAGATAAAAGAAATTTAAAAATTTACCAAAATTCTATCACAGATAGTGCTTTTAAAAGAACTATGGGAAAAAAAGTAATGATCAATTTCATAGCTTTTTTAATGAGCAGATGTAAAATCTCACCTTTACTGAGAATGCCAACCTGGAGTAGAATAGACCAATCTTTCTATATAATATGAACAGTATCATATATGGACACCATTTCCACTAACATAAAATCCAAATTAGAAAGTGAAGTATGGGATCTGTGAATGTTATAACCAGTTTAGCTGTGCCCCAAGTTACGTACTTAGGTGTCTCATGAAACATAGAACACAATCTAGTATTAAAATTTAGATATAATCTCTTTGTATATGTATCTTTACTAGTTTTGCTAACAATGCTTTTTCACATATCTCTTGGTAATAAAATTTACCATCATTTCTCTATATAAGACTTTTGAGATTTTTTATTAGAATTAAATCAATGCCTCCCTTAAATAAATACTGTTTAAATAGCTCCTTTAATGACTGAAATCCCAATACAAAGTAAATTCTATATAATAACTTAGCAAAACATAAAGTCAACAGTACTTATCTAGAAAATATTTTATAATGCTAGGAAAACATGTTGAGACAATTAGTTTAGTTTTATACGGATTCATAAGTCAGTGATGGTCAAGTGTCAGTCTAAATTCAAATGTATTACGAAAAGTTATGGAAAATGTTATATTCACCAGGTTACAGCCTGTAAGACTTGGAATCTCTTTTGTTTGCTCTTACATCAGTTAATAAAAGGATCTAAGATTGCACTTATTCTAATAGACAGGGTGCACATCTATAATATAACTTCTCTTCACTTTAACCAGAACAAAGGCCTATATTATAAATAAAATATTAAATCAATTTTTGAGCTCCCAATTTTTGTGCATATCTTACTGTCTTGAACATGAATGAATGGAATGCTAGGTGAAGACTAGGCCTTCACAGCAGAATCAATGAGAACTTGAAAAGAAGAACACCTAAACACTATCTTGGTTAAAATTTTATATATTATGTTAAGGTAATAAAGTATCCTATAAAACACAATAATTTCCCATCTATATTGTTAACTACAGGTGAGATTTTTTTACTTATCCACACAAATATTTTTTTACTTATCCATGCAAAGTAAATACCTGCAAAACAATAACAGCATGTAAACAAAATCAACTGAATATGTTCTCTGTATTGAATATTTTTGTCTTTTACTTTGTTTTATAACAAAGGAAGAAATATTTTATTGAGTTTATTCTAGATTACCTGTCTCTAAACTGTAATGTTTTTACATAAATTTTTATCCTAAAGGGTAGTTGTAGGATAGTTTTTACAAATTACCATTTTATTATCAAAAGAAATCAGCAACATAATCATTTCAAATTTTCATGCCTATTTCAAATGACTAATAAATTTTACTTTCTGTAATGTATAAAATATGTCCCCAAAGTATAAATACCACAAAGTATGAAAGAGAAAGCAAAATTAACTATAGTGAGACTACACTTACAATACAAAAAAAACAAATGAAACTGTGTGTTTGGTGACTTCACAGGGAACATATTTTCATAAAATGTTTCTTCTATACTAAGTGACATGAAAAGTTTGAAAACATAAGCAAAGGAGTTAAGATATAATTTACAAAGCTGTGCACTCCGTAGCTAAAATAATACTAAATTCCAACTACTTGAAAACCAAACTATACTAAAAACAATACATTATTTTAATGTTAAATAAATTTTTACTAAAATTATCTTTTAGGAAATCTATTTTAAATAAAATGTTATTACATTTCAAAATCAATTTCTGAAGAAAAAATCTCTAAGTATTTCATAAAAATGATCACGGCAATAAATAAATAGCTAAGATTATTTAAATAATGGTTCCTTTTCAGAAAATAGCATAAGAATAGACATAAACAAATTTTAGGGAACCTGTCAAAAATACTAAGCAGCTACTGCACACCATTTAAACTTCTGCTTTTTTCCAGACAACTCATTCCTTTTGTATGCCTAAGGAAATACAGTGATTGGAATTTTGTGAATACATCTACCATAAATGATACACTATTAGTTTACTTTTCTGATACTTTTAAAAATATGTTAAATTTCCACTGGAAAATATCCAAAGAAACTTCAGATTTTAACCATTTAAAAACAAAGAGATGCCATTACACACCTAACCAAAATAAAATAAAATAAAATAAAAAGGCACAGTACCAAATGCTAAAGGCTACAGCTAAAGAGAAGAGTAAAATTAAACCTCTTGTTAGAAAAGGGAAATAGATTCACATGTATATAAGCACCAATAAATCAAGCAGGGGAGGATATAAGCATCTTCCAGAGATGTGGCCATAAGTATAGGCCACTGCTTAAAGTTAAGGGGCATGCTAATAACAAAGTCTCAGACAGGCCTGACACCTAATGAGAAAGTTATCTCCCACTCTTGTATCCCTTAAGGGCTGCTACTATCACTTTCAAGTAAATACAAAGATACAGAGAGAATGAATAGAATCGCTGCCCTAGATTATAAAATGGCATGTATATGTACTATGTGAACATTTTCATCACAGCTCCATGCTTACCTCGTAAGACCAGACACACTGAGTCCCACCAAAACGGCGAACGCATCTTCCTACTTCCACATCCTCATGAGTCGTGTACATTTCTCTAAGGCATTCACCAATATGTGGCACCATCCTCCTGAGAACTTCTCGGCTAAAGATCATGCCAGGTCCTCCCATACAGAAGTTTTCCCCAGGCTCCAGTCCCAGCTTTCCAAGCTCTTCAATATTCCCCAGGCCAGTCTGTCCCAGGTAGAGAGGCTTACTGCTGTTTAGCGATCTAAGAAACTCTTCTAATTTATCACCTACAAAAAGAAAGGCAACAATTACTATGTCTCCTTATTTCATAATCACTTATCATGTACAAGGTAAGGGACAGAACTTTCAACATTGTGCTTAAAATCCTCAGTCTTACACAACTGAAAAGAAGAAAAAGCCTCTTCCAATACTCTATTATTTTTAAAAGACTAATTCATAGTTATTAATTTAAACATATTAAAATTGTACCAGCTTCTGGTTAAGGTCACTGAAAAACCTTAACAGCTCTGACAATCATCAATTTTCTGTAAAAAGTGAAATAATGACAAGGAAAGTAAAGACAGGTTTCTTAGTACATTTGAAGTAACAAGAAGTTCCCAGGAATATAAAATAATATTAAATACTGGTATTTAGCATTGTTTTGGCTGACTCTTAATACCTAATAATTATTTTTTACTCATAATTGGTTTAGTTCAGTGTTTTGCCATTAACTAAACTTCAGTCATATACAACCCGCACAGTTTTGGAGGATGTTTGAATCAAACCTGTCTTGAAATTTAATTTGGGAAGGCACCTTTTTAGAAAAAAGTTTGTCAAAAATTAGTGTAATTGGTTTCACTTGCAGTTTGTTAAGTTCAGAAAAAACGTTTAAAAATAAAATTTTGCAGCTAAAACAGTTGAGAAGCACTTGGTATTCCAAGTGATACATTGGAATAAGTAGAGAGTCACCTTCTTCATATTCCCAGTCAGCATCTTTACTACCATTTTTGATGAGCACAGCATCTGCAGTCATTATCTTGATCCCATGCCTTGCCCCGTGTATCTCAATGAGTTTCAGCTATTATTGGATTCTTAATTCAAAACACATTTCATTCTTAATAGAAATTGAAATAATATGTCATTTTAATGTTCTGAAGGACAATCTTTCAAAGTATTAAAACAAATGAAAGAAGTAGGTGCTGTTAATGCATTTTATAAATTCCCTGCAAAATGTGGCAAACTTCTGCCAGGAAACCTTTGTAATTTTGAGATATCCAAGGCAAGGAACTTAAAGTAGAGGAAGCTTTCTTCTTTGAGTCAATCCTAAATACCACTGTTAAAAATGTAATGAGACCATTCTTTATTTTTATATCCAATTATCAGTATTTTCTATTCCAACCTGCTCTAGAGTGACTTCCCTCCTTCCAATCCAAAGCCAAGAAATCTCTAGTTATTATGATTACACTAATTCCTTGTGCCAAAATGCAACAGTTTGGGTTTATTGTTTGGCTTTTTGTTCGTTTTTCTTGCATTATGTGAAAAGTACTATCCGAATCAGGAGGAAGCAATGAGGCTACGAGTAGAAAGGCATAAAATAAGGAAGGGCTGCCCCCCTTTGACCGGGAAGCAAGGAAATGTGGAAAACACAGAGAAACCTCATTCGGTACAACCCTGCTGCTTCCCTTGCGTTGCTCCCCATCTCAGCAACTGGCTGGACTGGAAAGATTCACTTCTCTGACCTAAAGAACTTTGATCCGCTGAGTTTAGAAATTCTCTGTCCAGAGCCGCCCACATTCCGGGAAAAAGACCGCGCCTCTTTTAAACTGACAAAAAAAGTTTTTTCTTGCTGTGGCTGCCTGTGGTTCTGGGAAGGACTTCCAGCCTCTGCTTATCACCGCGGCCAACAAAATGCACTGGAAAGGAACCAATACTAGTGTGTGCTAGTACAGTCTGCTGTTCCCAGGGGTCTGGCTTATTAGCGGGTGCTTTCCTCTTTTCCCCCACCACCAATTCCTTACAACATGCCCATCCTCTCAGGGTTTTATTGAGGTGTGGCGGGGGGATGGGGGACGGCTTGGTGCTGAACTGTAGCGGCTGGAAGGAGCAGCGCGCTGGCACGGTGGGGATGGCCAAGGACTCCCAGTATGTGGAGAGTTGAGCCAAAGGGAAGGGAACACATAGGAAAGGGTCCGGGACAGCGAAGACGATTCCTCAATCTGAGCAGTTCCAAAAGTGCGCTAGATCCAGTTTAAACAAAAGAGCAAGATCCAAAGCCAGAACACTGGATCTCCAGACTAGTTGTAGCTAGCATCCTCCGTCTTCCCTTCCTGAAGACCACGCCCCTCTGGACCGATTGGGGAAACTACCATCAGCAGGGGCTTTCAGAGGAGGGCAGAGTGGGAATGGCCTTTGGTTTAGCTCTAAGGTTCCTTTTCTAACCTCTCCGACGAGGTAAAGACTAAGGGACAAGCGCGAGGCGGCACCGAAAACAGCAAGTGAGGAAGGCGAATAAAGCCAGGCAGGTGTGAGGAGGGTCCAGATTGCAGAAGACGAGGAACGGGCTACGAATTGTGGGCGGATGCAAGGGGTGGGGAGGGCGGGCCAGGGCCTGTGGGAGCCCGAAGCACGTGCTGGCAGAGAAGCAGCGGAGGGGCTGGGCAGGGGCTAGGACCGGTTACAGAGAAAGGAGTCGGGGAGACTGGCAGGCTGGAAAGCCGGCGCAGGGAGGTCACCTTTGATGTAGACATCGTCGTCGGCGCGCATGAACCACTCATACTTGTCCAGGTAGTGGTCGTGCATGTACTTGATCATCATGAAGGACTTTTTCTGGGGAGGATAGGAGTCGTCCACACCCGGTAGCGCGATGACAGGCAGGGGTGGCGGGGGCTGGCCGGCGTTGGGGGGCTGCTGGCTGGAAAAGAACTCCACGCGGCCCGGGATGAAACGCGCCCAGGTCCGCTGCGCGGCCAGCGCGCGGCTGCCCAGGTACTTCTGCGCGGTCATCACCCCCACGTACAGGAAGTCCCGGGGTCGGGCGCTCGGGGCGGCAGCGCCCCCGTCCCCGCTGCCGTTGTGGCTACTCCCCGGCCGGCCGTCTCTCCGCTGCCCAGCCGCGCCCCCGTCCTCCTCCTCGGGCTCCCCCTCGGCCGCTGGAGCACCGGGAAGCCCCGTCGCGCCCTCAGGCTCGCGTCCTCGCCGCCGCTGCTGCAGCGGAGGTGGCTGCTGCCAGGGGCTGCTTCGAAAACTGGTGATCCCGGGTGCTGCCTCGGGCAGCGGTGGCCCCTGGAGATCCTGGCGCGCGGGGGGCGGCGACTGCTCCTGCCGTGGTCGGGACTGGGGCTGGGGGAGCGGCTGCTGAGCGCCGGCGCGGGGGCCAGCAGCAGAGCGACCGTAGTAGGAGCAGAGGCTGGAGCCACGTCTCTTCCTCTCGCTCAGCTCCGCCACCCTGGGGGCGATGAGCCAGGACGCGGCGGTGAAGCCCAGCACCAGCCCTAATGCCACGCTCATCCACGGGCGGCGAGAGCGCACAGCCATCGCGGCTGTCCCGGGCGCGGACGCTCGCTGGGCTGTCGCGGCGCGGCACGCGGTTTCCCCGGCTCACACCCGCCCCTCCTCCGCCTTTGCGCCCCCAGCCGCGGCCGCAGCCGGCCGCCTAGGCGCCGACACCGGCTGGAGGTCGAAGCGCCGCGGACGCCTCGACTGCCGCGGGCTGCAGCTGCCTGCCGGGCTCCCGCTCAGCTCTGGGCCGGGGCTCCGAGCAAGGGTCGGGAGTGAAACTTCTCCCGGCGGCGGCGGTGGCGGCAGCGGCGGCAGCAGCGGCAGCTGGAGGAGCTGCAGGAGGAGGAGGAGGAGCAGCGGCGGCGGCAACGCGTCCGCTCCTAGGCTGCCACCCTGTCAGTGGCGCGCCTGGGCCCTCCCTCCTCCCTCCTTCCCGAGCCCCCGCCCTCACTCCCGCCTCCCGCTCCCCCCGCCGCCGGGCTCCGAGCTGGCCCGGAGGAGGAGCCGCAGGCGGCACCGCTGCCAGCCGGAGAGAAGCGCGGGCCGCGGTATTTCCCCGTCACCCGCCCTTGGACGCCCCCCGTCCGCGCCTCAGTCCAGAGCCGGCCTCCTCTCCGGAAGGAAACGATCCCTGTCGGGCCGCCTCCGGCTTGCAGCGCCGACGCCCCCTCTTCCCTCCTCCCCCAGCTCTTGCTCTTCGTCCCATTTCCCGTCCCGTCCCGCCCCTCCGCTGGCCTCCCGACACTCGTGTCTGGGGGCTCTACTGGCCTCCTCCCGGCGCCTAGGCTCCGCTGACCTCATCGGCGGAGCTCGGGTCCGGGAGCCCCCAGCAAGTTCGTTGCTGTCCCACCGTGCTCTCCTCCCCCGGCCCACAGCCGGGTACGTCCTGGCGTGACCCTTACCACTCTGCCCCGCCCCAGGTCCGCCAGGGCGCCACTCTTCGCGTTTTCCGTCCTTTCCACGTTGTTCTTACCGCTGCCACTCCGCGCCTTCTCTCTCTAGTCGGTCACTTGTCAGGAAACCAAACGTCCCATCCCAGCACCTCTCCTCCCAGCCTAACTTCCCTCCTACCTGCATCGTCCACCAGCTCTCCTCAGTCCTTCACAGAAGCACCATTGTCGTTAGGGTCTCTCCTAAGAAAATCTCTGAGGGATTGGAAATACTTATCCTGAAAGGCTAAGGGAGTTGGTGGTGTGTGGGGGTTCAATCCCCAAAGAACGTAAAAATCCCATGTCCTCCACCTGTTGAGTTGGAAAATGTGGGGCTGCCTAATGGTCTCCCCCTCGGCTCTCCTGATGATATCTGTTCAAGAAATGAGAACTATGGTCTATTTTCAGTCTTGGTAGAAGATTGGCTCAGTGGGACTGGCAAATAGTGGAGAAATGGGCACACATTCACAGGGCCAATACCCTGAAGATCCAAACGAAAGAAATTCTTACCCCCACAAAATAAGTGAACTTAATCAAAAAATAAAATGGAGGATATGATTTTTATTCTTGCCTATGAACCGTTTTATTTTCTAAGGCAAAGACAGGAAAATTTTACCTCTCCAATGAGGGAGGAAAATTGTCCAGCAACAGAATCTCAAAAAAAGTTAAGCTGTATTGGCCAAAATCATTGTGCCTTAGTTACGTTAGGAAGAAATTACCTGAAGGTATATGATTTTTGAAGAAGGGAGCATTAACAAATTTCTCTCTAAAGGTTGTGCATAAAGCTATAGTCTGGGGTGCATTTGGCATCCCAAGTACTTCCTTCTCTTCAAATTTCAGTCTTCTGTTTTAGACATCAAACGCAAAGGGATGGTATTGAATGGCATTAGACATAATGGCTCGATCCAGCGAGGTGCTGGCAGCGTCCCTGGAACACTAGGCCTGCCTGGAGCCTTTGGAGGAATGGTTCTTTCCACACCGGTCCCTGGCTGTGCATGAGCACGTCTGACTAAATGTTTCATCTGCTGGACAATGAAGCTCCTTTTCCATGTCTAGGTTTTTCCCAGAGACACTTGGGAATACAGATTACTGGGCTCTCTCAAAGTTAAATTTTAGTTAGAATACAAAGCTAGTCAAACAGGCCCCTTCTGATTTTTAAATCGTCAAAGGCATTTTAAAATTTCTAGAATAGTACTATTCAATAGAACTTTCGCTATAATGGAAATTTTTTTTTATTTGTGCTGATAAGACAGTAGCCACATAAAATTATGGAGCATTGAAAGGTGACTAGTGTGATTGAAGAAATGAATTTTCATTTTATTTAATTTTAATTACTTTTTATTTAAATAGCCCCATGTGGCTAGGGGTTACCATGTAGGACAGCACATTTACAGAGGATTTCCTATTGCATATGGTCAACAGTAAAGGACAAATAAGTCCACCTACACACCAGTACCCTCTCCCCTGCAGTATTCAACTGGGCTTTATGGTAATGGATGCCATTCATATTGTTGATCTACAAAATCATTAATTCTCATTGGGCATAAATAACCCAATTCATCAACTGTTTGGAATATTTGGAGAGGAAGTTAATTTCATTCACTTATTCAACAAGTGTATATTAGAGATTAAACATTAGACAAGGTGGAAGGCTCTGGACATGGAGATGTCAACAAACTATTCAGTGCTTCCCATCATGAAGCTTATAGTGCATTGAAGAAGACACATTAAACATCACACTAGGAAATGAATTACAATGGTGATAAATGATATGAATAGAAATACAGAGTACTCTGAGAATATTTATAAGAGCATCTAATTTAGTATGGGAGTCAGGGAAGGCACTAGAAAAGATTCAGATAAAATGAAATCATTGAAGTGATATTACATATGAGACAAGTGACCTTGGGCAAGTTGTGAAAATTCTAAGTTTTTGATTTCTCATCTGTAAATTCATTTCTGTGAGGCTTTATTAATATACTATATGAAGTGCTTAACATAATGTTTAGTTCATTGTAAACACTTGGGAAATGTTCTCATTTTCTAATCCCTTCCCTTATGCTAAAACGTCTCTCTCATGGTATCTATCATCTTATTTTTATTACATTTCATCTTTTCATTTATTTAACAGATACTTATTTAGTATGTACTGTGAGGCAGACACTATCACTGAGAAAAAAAACGTAGACAAAACAAAGTCCTGACTTCATGGGACTTGTATTCTAAGAGGAGATTACACACACACACACACACACACACACACACACACACGCATGCATGTGTGTATATGAAGTATTTTTACATATAAAGAAATATCTGTAATATGTCGGTGTAAGTGTTTATTTAAAAAAAAGAGAAGGATAGTGAGTGTATTATGTGTTGGGTGAGGCCACTTAAAACTGATACGTCAGGAAAGTTCTTTCTGATACTTTTAGCAGAAAACAGAAAAAAGTGAGGAAACTAATCCTGAAGATATCTGAAATAATACTTTTCAAGGAGAAGGAGTAGCTAACACAAGTCTTTGACACAGACATGGCATATTGAGACGCAGCAGAGGCCAAAGTAGATTGGAAAAAGGAGGAAGCGGATGACTTGTTGATAATTTAGGTCAGTGCTGAATAGAATTATAATGTGAGCCACAACTGCAAGATATATAATTTAATTTTTTTCTAGAAGCCTCATTTAAAAACAGGTGAAATTGATTTTCATACTTTTTATTCAACTTAATATACCCAAAATATCGGGAGATATTTTACATCCTTTTTATTAGTACTAATTTTTCAAAACCATTGTGTGCTCATCACTTACAGCACACCTGAATTCAAACTAGCCACATTTCCAATGTTCAATAGACACAAGTGGCTAGGGACTACCATATTGGACAGTGCATATATAGATCCTTGCAGACATTCATAAAGACTTTGGCTTTTATTCCGAGTGACAATGAAGCTGTTGTGTAGAGTAGTGATCTGGTTTTTATTTATTGTTTACAAAGATCATTCTAGCTCCTATGGGGAGAAAATAAACTGCAGTGGGACAAGGGTAGAATTAGAGAAAACATTTAAATCTTTATTGAAGTGACCTCATCACTTGAGAATAGAAGGGAAAAAACAAGCCTCTTTTTTTTTTCTTCCTGCACAGTGTCTGCCCCTTTCCTTATTTGTAATAAGTAGAAGCTTTGGGAAAAGATTTTTATGTAAATTTAATTTTATATGTATTCAGATTCCTGTTATTTGTGGGTGTTATTTGTGGGCGTTTCCCAAAGTCAGTGAAGTAATTTTCTCATCTCACTTTAGTTCTGAAGATACATGACTTTTAGAGGAGGTAATTTTCTGGGAAATCTCTATCAAGAACTCACTTTTTTATTTTCAAAACATTAAGTAATAAGTTATAGGAATAATTTTTAAAAATGTCAATTGGATGTAAGGGTTGTTGAGGAGGAAATTTTCATGGAACTAACATTGAAGAAAAATAAACATAATTGCATACCAAAATATAATAAAAATCTATATACTGTGTTAGAGGAAAGAATACACAAATATAGGTAATTCTATAATAATAACTCTGGAAAAAATGTCTCATATAGTTGCTGTTCTTATCTAAGCAAGAATGTGCCAATAAGTATACTTGTGAACCATCTCATAAAATCTCTGTGAAGCACCTCTATAGTGGATTTTGAGAAAAAAGCAATAATAAAATCCTTCTAAAATTATAATAGTTTACAAAGAAAATTACAAAACTGATTTTCTGTCTTTCCTAAACCCTTTAACTATTTCAAATATGTCCATATTAGACTACAGTAACATATGAATTATTTGCCACCTTCTCTGAGCTGTAGCTACTGGAACATAAGGTATCATCTGGATTCACAGTGAAGACAGATTTCTTCTTGTAGAGATTGTGTTCCTGTGGCTTTGGAAAGACTTTAATGTCAACCACCCCAAGACAAAGTCTGCTATACTTAGCAGAGAGTCTTTGAGCAAACTGCTCTAATGGGACTACATTAGATATTAAAACTAATTGGAAAAGGTTACTAATAACTTTAAAATCACAGAAAAGGCGCAAGTGACTTTAAAGGGTGGAATCATTCTTTGATCATTTATGAAAGTAAAAGGTCAATATATACATGAATGTTCAGTTTATGCTTCTGTTACAAGGTATAATCAAGATTAGGCTTGTACTGACACTTTGAATCAGGATTTTACTAAGCTATTTTGAATGTTATCATTTTTTCTTGACAGATCAAGGCTGAGTTAATTTCATTTGTGTGAAGCAACTGTGGCATCTAGTGGTTAATAATCATAATGGTAATTCAGTTTGTTCCTAAGGGATAAATTGTGTTACAAAATATTTTTATATTGCCAAGGAGTATTATAATCAGAGGGACATAATAAGATAACAATTTGATTCTATTTTTATTTTCTCAGAAATCAGCATGAGAAGATGATCAAAATTCATATATTGAAACATGAAAAGGTAAATTATTTATGGCATATCATAAAACTATGTAAGTTTCAGAGCCTGGTATTAATCTGCATTTAATCACCATGAAAATATTCCAGTAAATTTTTTTACACTGAGCAGATTTGATGCTACCAAAGGTTTATTAATCAAGAATTACTTTTTAGGTATGATAATGCTATTGTAGCCTTGTTTTTTTATACAAAGAGTCCTTATTTTCTGAAATACATACTGAAATGTTTATAGATAAAATGGTATGATATCTGGGATTTAAATATATGGGATGGAGGGAGGTGCTAAATGGATGTAGATGTGAATAGGGTCTGATTGGCCAGGTATTGATTACTATTAGGGTAGGTAATTATCTTCAGATAAATTTGGATCTCTATAATAAAAAGATTTTTAAAAAATACTTCATTTGTTTAAGGTCAGAACATACTCTTCATTTATTTTCTGTAGATTTACCTAACCAAGATATGGTCCACTTGTTTAAACAATCAGTGAGAAGATCAATTGAGGAGGAAAGAATGAAACTCCTCCTGTCACTTAGGAAAGGGTCAAAAAGCAATCAATTGAAATAAAAACATCCACTTCTTCCAGCCCTTCTTGGCCCCATGACAGTCTGAGACATAAGCAAAATACTCGGTCAAGCTTTTACAAAGAAAAAGGGACTATTTACACATGAGAATTTTTTCGTAAGTAGTAATAGTCTCTGATTAGGTAATGGGCTGCAAAATCTCAAGTTCCTAATCACTAAACTGAATTTATGCTAAAAAAAAAAGATTTTTATTTTTAATTGCCTCCGTTCACTACTTTCCTAAAATATGAATAATCTCCAATTCAATATTTCCTATCTCGGAAAACTTAAAATAAAATGCATGTGCCACCTTCTTTCTGTTGCTTTAATTGTCAACCCTGTTAATTATTGGTTTCCTTTCCTGTCCCATAGATCTGTGCTGTTCAGTAGAGATATAATATTATCCACATATGTAATTTAAAATTTTTTAGTAGCCACATTTTACAAAGCAAGGACATGTGAAATTAATCTTACTAATATACTTTATTTTATTTTCCTTAATGTATCCAGTTCCAGTAGAGAGTAGAGTTGTGGGTATTCGAGGCTGGGAAGCATAAGGGGGAGGAGGAGGAGAACTTGCATAAAGGATTCAAAATTACAGCTAGATAGGAGGAATGAGTTTGGGTGTTCTGAAGCATCACAGGGTGAATATGGTTCATTATCATTTTTGTATATTTCCAAAAAGCTAGAAGAGAAGATTTTTGAATGTTCACAGCACAAAGAAAGGTAAAATGTTTCAGGTGATAGGTATCATATGCTAATTACCCTGATTTGATCATTATATATTATGTACATGTATTAAAATATCACTCTGTATCCCATAAATATATACAATTATTACATGTCAACTAAAACTAAACGGATGGGGGAAGCTAAAACATTTTTTAAATTAAAAAAATACCATTTCTGACTATTAAGCCTAAAAACATTTTAAATGACAGAGACAATTGGATTTCAGGATGTTTACAGGATTCATTGTGCTGCATTCCGAGATATCAACATATGAATACATTGCATATTTATACACATAAATATGTATGTATGTATGTGTTTACATACAGAAACACTATATATATGTGTGTGTGTGTATGTACATATAGAAACACACATATATACATTTCTTTATAACCACATATCATGACAAGTTAAACATAAGAGGAGAGATTAGGGGTCTTTCCTTTTCCGTAATGATTACTCTTATTTAAATTTTAGGATACCTTACTAGGATGTAGGAGAAGTTAGATACCATATCTCTCAACCCCGTGTCAAGGGGATATGGCTTAGGCTTAGCAAGTTGGGTATTCTATCTAAGATTTTGTATCTTGAGTGAATGAGACAGGAATAATTTATAATTCATCTTAAGGTGCTGCATACAGCAGTGGATTTTTATTTAAGTCTGTAGTGAACTAATAATGACACAAATATTTCAATAGTTATTTAAAGTAAGGATTTATGACTTTCAACAGAATATTGGCACCGGGAGAGCAGATTATTTTTCTGCAAGTCTTCAAAATTCTTGGGGGTGTTTGAAAATATAATTATTTTCTTTATGATGTTCTTTGAAATCAACAAGAACAAAGACACAACATACCAGAATCTCTGGGACACATTCAAAGCAGTGTGTAGAGGGAAATTTATAGCACTAAATGCCCACAAGAGAAAGCAGGAAAGATCCAAAATTGACACCCTAACATCACAATTAAAAGAACTAGAAAAGCAAGAGCAAACACATTCAAAAGCTAGCAGAAGGCAAGAAATAACTAAAATCAGAGCAGAACTGAAGGAAATAGAGACACAAAAAACCCTTCAAAAAATTAATGAATCCAGGAGCTGGTTTTTTGAAAGGATCAACAAAATTGATAGACCGCTAGCAAGACTAATAAAGAAGTAAAGAGAGAAGAATCAAATAGACGCAATAAAAAATGATAAAGGGGATATCACCACCGATCTCACAGAAATACAAACTACCATCAGAGAAGACTACAAACACCTCTACGCAAATAAACTAGAAAATCTAGAAGAAATGGATAAATTCCTCGACACATACACCCTCCCAAGACTAAACCAGGAAGAAGTTGACTCTCTGAATAGACCAATAACAGGTTCTGAAATTGTGGCAATAATCAATAGCTTACCAACCAAAAAGAGTCCAGGACCACATGGATTCACAGCCGAATTCTACGAGAGGTACAAGGAGGAACTGGTACCATTCCTTCTGAAACTATTCCAATCAATAGAAAAAGAGGGATTCTTCTCTAACTCATTTTATGAGGCCAGCATCATCCTGATACCAAAGCCTGGCAGAGACACAACCAAAAAAGACAATTTTAGACCAATATCCTTGATGAACAGTGATGCAAAAATCCTCAATAAAATACTGGCAAACCGAATCCAGCAGCACATCAAAAAGCTTATCCACCATGATCAAGTGGACTTCATCCCTGGGATGCAAGGCTGGTTCAATATATGCAAATCAATAAATGTAATCCAGCATGTAAACAGAACCAAAGACAAAAACCACATGATTATCTCAATAGATGCAGAAAAGGCCTTTGACAAAATTCAACAACCTTCATGCTAAAAACTCTCAATAAATTAGGTATTCATGGGACGTATCTCAAAATAATAAGAGCTATCTATGACAAACCCACAGCCAGTATCATACTGAATGGGCAAAAACTGCAAGCATTCCCTTTGAAAACTGGCACAAGACAGGGATGCCCTCTCTCACCACTCCTATTCAACATAGTGTTGGAAGTTCTGGCCAGGGCAATTAGGCAGGAGAAGGAAATAAAGGGTATTCAATTAGGAAAAGAGGAAGTCAAATTGTCCCTGTTTGCAGATGACATGATTGTATATCTAGAAAACCCCATTGTCTCAGCCCAAAATCTCCTTAAGCTGATAAGCAACTTCAGCAAAGTCTCGGGATACAAAATCAATGTACAAAAATCACAAGCATTCTAATACACCAATAACAGACAAACAGAGAGCCAAATCATGAGTGAACTCCCATTCACAATTGCTTCAAAGAGAATAAAATACCTAGGAATCCAACTTACAAGGGATGTGAAGGACCTCTTCGAGGAGAACTACAAACCACTGCTCAAGGAAATAAAAGAGGATACAAACAAATGGAAGAACATTCCATGCTCATGGGTAGGAAGAATCAATATCTTGAAAATGGCCATACTGCCCAAGGTAATTGATAGATTCAATGCCATCCCCATCAAGCTACCAATGACTTTCTTCACAGAATTGGAAAAAACTACTTTAAAGTTCATATGGAACCAAAAAGAGCCCACATCGCCAAGTCAATCCTAAGCCAAAAGAACAAAGCTGGAGGCATCATGCTACCTGACTTCAAACTATACTACAAGGCCACAGTAACCAAAACAGCATGGTACTGGTACCAAAACAGAGATATAGATCAATGGAACAGAACAGAGCCCTCAGAAATAGCATTGCATATCTACAACTATCTGATCTTTGACAAACCTGAGAAAAGCAATGGGGAAAGGATTCTCTATTTAATAAAAAGTGCTGGGAAAACTGGCTAGCCATATGTAGAAAGCTGAAACTGGATCCCTTCCTTACACCTTATACAAAAATTAATTCAAGATGGATTAAAGACTTAAACATTAGACCTAAAACCATAAAACCCCCAGAAGAAATCCTAGGCATTACCATTCAGGACATAGGCATGGGCAAGGACTTCATGTCTAAAACACCAAAAACAATGGCAACAAAAGCCAAAATTGACAAATGGGATCTAATTAAACTAAAGATTTTCTGCACAGCAAAAGAAACTACCATCAGAGTGAACAGGCAACCTACAAAATGGGAGAAAATTTTCACAACCTACTCATCTGACAAAGGGCTAATATCCAGAATCTACAATGAACTCAAACAAATTTACAAGAAAAAAACATCCCCATCAAAAAGTGGGCGAAGGACATGAACAGACACTTCTCAAAAGAAGACATTTATGCATCCAAAAAACACATGAAAAAATGCTCACCATCACTGGCCATCAGAGAAATGCAAATCAAAACCACAATGAGATACCATCTCACACCAGTTAGAATAGCAATCATTAAAAAGTCAGGAAACAACAGATGCTGGAGAGGAAGTGGAGAAATAGGAACATTTTTACACTTTTGGTGGGACTGTAAACTAGTTCAACCATTGTGGAAGTCGGTGTGGCGATTCCTCAGGGATGTAGAACTAGAAATACCATTTGACCCAGCCATCCCATTACTGGGTATATACCCAAAGGACTATAAATCTTGCTGCTATAAAGACACATGCACACATATGTTTATTGAGGCACTATTCACAGTAGCAAAGACTTGGAACCAACCCAAATGTCCAACAATGATAGACTGGATTAAGAAAATGTGGCACATATACACCATGGAATACTATGCAGCCATAAAAAATGATGAGCTCATGTCCTTTGTAGGGACATGGATGAAATTGGAAATCATCATTCTCAGTAAACTATCGCAAGGACAAAAAACCAAACACTGCATGTTCTCACTCATAGGTGGGAATTGAACAATGAGAACACATGGACACAGGAAGGGGAACATCACACTCTGGCGATTGTTGTGGGGTGGGGGGAGGGGGGAGGGATAGGTTTAGGAGATATACCTAATGCTCAATGACGAGTTAATAGGTGCGGCACACCAGCATGGCACATGTATACATGTGTAACTAACCTGCACATTGTGCACATGTACCCTAAAACTTAAAGTATAATATTAATAAAATAAAATTAAAAAAAGAAAATATAATTATTTTCACAATCTTATTTAATCATGTTAACATGTGTTAGGTTTGTTATTTTAAATGAAATAATAAATGTTTAATTTTATCTCATTTTAAATTTATCATGCAATATATGCTTGAGATCCCTTAAGAACAAAATGTTTGAGATTGCTAGTCTAAAGAAATTCCTTACTTTAGTTTTTTTTCTGCTAGAAGTACCAAAAAAAATTACCTAGGAAAAATTAACAAGAGTTAGAATTTCCTGTCCTGGCCATGCGCGGTGGCTGATGCCTGTAATCCCAGCACTTTGGAAAGCTGAGGCAGGTGGATCACCTGAGGTCAGGAGCTCGAGACCAGCCTGGCCAACATGGCAAAACCCCATCTCTACTGAAAATACAAAAATAGCTGGGTGTGGTGGCACATGCCTGTAGTCCCAACTACTCAGGAGGCTGAGGCAGGAGAATCGCTTGAACCCGGGAGGCGGAGGTTGCAGTGAGCCGAGATACCGCCACTGCACTCCAGCATGGGTGACAGAGTGAGACTCCATCTCAAAAGAAAAATAATAAAAATAATAATAGTAAAATAATTTTCTGTCCGTGATGGAACATCAATAGTGGGGTGACATATAGAGTAACTGGCCATGAATTTGCATTTTTGAACTTTGAATTTTTTTTTAAATTACACTTTAAGTTCTGGGATACATGTGCAGAATGTGAAGGTTAGTTACATATGTATACACGTGCCATGGTGGTTTGCTGCACCCATCAACCTGTCATCTACATTAGGTATTTCTCCTAATGCTATCCCTCCCCAAGCCCCACAACCCCCACAACAGTCCCCAGTGTGTGATGTTCTCCTCCCTGTGTCCATGTGTTCTCATTGTTCAACTCCCACTTGTGAGTGAGAACATGTGGTGTTTGGTTTTGTGTTCTTCTGGTTAGTTTGCTGATAATGGCAGTTTCCAGCTTCATCCGTGTCCCTGCAAAGGACATGAACTCATCCTTTTTATGGCTGAATAGTATTTCATGGTGTATATGTGCCACATTTTCTTTATCCAATCTATCATTGATAGGCATTTGGGTTGTCTGCAAGTCTTTGCTGTTGTGAACAGTGCTGCAATCAGCATATGTGTGGATGTGTCTTTATAGTAGAATGATTTATAATCCTTTGGGTATATGCCCAGTTATGGCATTGCTGGGTCAAATGATATTTCTGGTTCTAGATCCTTGAGGAATCGCCACACTGTCTTCCACAATGATTCAACTAATTTACACTCCCACCAACAGTGTAAAAGCATTCCTATTTCTCCACATCCTCTCCAGCATCTGTTGTTTCCTGACTTTTTAATGATCGCCATTCTAACTGGTGTGAGATGGTATCTCATTGTGGTTTTGATTTGCATTTCTGTAATGACCATTGATGATAAGCTTTTTTTCATATGTTTGTTGGCCATACAAATGTCTTCTTTTGAGAAGTGTCTCTTCATATCCTTTGCCCATTTTTTGATGGGGTTTTTTTTCTTGTAAATTTGTTTAAGTTATTTGTAGATTCTGGATATTAGCTCTTTGTCAGATGGATAGATTGCAAAAATTTTCTCCTATTCTGTAGGTTGCCTGTTCACTCTGATGATTTTTTTTTCTTTTTTTTTTTTTTTGCTGTGCAGAAGCTCTTTAGTTTAATTAGATTTCATTTGTCACTTTTGGCTTTTTTTGCCATTGTTTTTGGGTTTTAGTCATGAAGTCTTTACCCATGCATATGTCCTGAATGGTATCGCCTAGGTTTTCTTCTAGGGTGTGTATGGTTTTAGGTCTTACATTTAAGTCTTTCATCCATCTTGAGTGGATTTTTGTATAAGGTGTCAGGAAGGGGCCCAGTTTCAGTTTTCTGCATATGGGTAGCCAGTTTTCCCAGCACCATTTATTAAATAGGGAATCCTTTCCCCATTGCTTGTTTTTGTCAGGTTTGTCAAAGATCAGATGATTGTAGATGTGTGGTGTTGTTTCTGAGGCCTCTGTTCTGTTCCATTGGTCTACATATCTGTTTGGTACCAGTATCATACTGTTTTAGTTACTGTAGCCTTGTAGTATACTTTGAAGTCACAATAATAGTGGGAGACTTTAACACCCCATTGTCAATATTAGACAGATCAAAGAGACAGAAAATTAACAAGGATATTCAGGACTTGAACTCAGCTCTGGACCAAGCGGACCTAATAGACATCTATAGAACTCTCCACCCCAAATCAAAAGAAGATACATTCTTCTCAGTGCCTCATTGGACTTATTCTAAAATTGACCACATAATTGGAAGCAAAACACCCTCAGCAAATGCAAAAGAATGGAAATTATAACAACCTGTGTCTCAGACCACAGTGCAAGCAAATTAGAACTCAGGATTGAGGAACTCACTCAAAACTGCACAACTGCATGGAAACTGAACAACCTACTCCTGAATGACTACTGGGTAAATAACAAAATGAAGGTAGAAATAAAGACGTTCTTTGAAACCAATGAGAACAAAGACACAATGTGCCAGAATCTCTGGGACACATTTAAAGCAGTGTGTAGAGGAAAATTTATAGCACTAAATACCCACAAGGGAAAGCAGGAAAGATGTAAAATAGCCACCCTAACATCACAATTAAAAGAACTAGAAAAGCAAGAGCAAACAAATCCAAAAGCTAGCAGAAGACAAGAAATAACTAAAATCAGATCAGAACTGAAAGAGATAGAGACACGAAAAACCCTTCAAAATAATAAATGAATCCAGGAGCTGTTTTTTTTTAATAATAAAATAGACCGCTAGCCAGACTAATAAAGAAGAAAAGAGAGAAGAATCAAATAGACACAATAAAAAATGATAAAGGGGATATTACCACTGATCCGACAGAAATACAAACTACCACAAGAAAATGCTGTAAACACCTCCATACAAATAAACTAGGAAATCTAGAAGAAATGGATAAATTCCTGGACACATACACCCTCCCAAGACTAAACCAGGAAGAAGTCAAATCCCTGAATCGACCAATAACGAGTTCTGAAATTGAGGCAGTAATTAATAGCCTACCAACCAAAAAAAGCACAGGACCAGAGGATTCACAGCTGAATTCTACCAGAGGTACAAAGAGGATCTGGTACCATTCCTTCTGAAACTATTCCAAACAATAGAAAAAGAGGGATTCCTCCATAACTCATTTTGTGAGGCCAGCATCATCCTGATACCAAAACCTGGCAGACACACAACAGAAAAAAAGAAAATTTCAGGCCAATATCTCTGATGAACACCAATGTGAAAATCCTCAATAGAATAGTGGCAAACCGAATCCAACAGCACATCAAAAATCTTATCCACCATGATCAAATCGGCTTCATCCCTGGGATGCAAAGCTGGATCAACATATGCAAATCAATAAACTTAATCCCTCACATAAACAGAATGAATGACAAAAACCACATGATTATCTCAATAGATGCTGAAAACACCTTAGATAAAATTCAACACCCCTTCATGCTAAAAATCCTCAATAAACTAGGTATTGATGGAATGTATCTCAAAATAATAAGAGCTATTTATGACAAACCCACAGCCAATATCATACTGAATGCACAAAAGGTGGAAGCATTCCCTTTGAAAACTGGCACAAGAAAAGGGTGCCCTCTCTCACCACTCCTGTTCAACATAGCATTGGAAGCTCTGGCCAGGGCAATCAGGCAAGAGAAAGAAATAAAGTGTATTCAAATAGGAAGAGAGAAAGTCAAATTGTCTCTCTTTCCAGATGACTTGATTGTATATTTAGAAAACCCTATCATCTCAGCCCAAAATGTCCTTAAGCTGATAAGCAACTTCAGCAAAGTCTCAGGATACAAAATCAATGTGTGAAAATCACAAGCATTCCTATACTCCAATAATAGGGAGCCAAATAATGAGTGAACTCCCATTCACAATTGCTACAAAGAGAATAAAATACCTAGGAATACAACTTACAAGGGATGTGAAGGACCTCTTCAAGGAGAACTACAAACCACTGCTCAAGGAAATGAGAGAGGACACAAACAACTGGAAAAACATTCCATAAGCATGGATACCAAAAATCGATACCATAAAAATGGCCATACTGCCCAAAGTAATTTATAGATTTGATGCTGTCCCCATCAAGCTACCATCAACTATCTTCACAGAGTTAGAAAAAACTACTTTAAGTTTCATATGGAACAAAAAAAGAGCCCGTATAGGCAAGACAATCCTAAGCAAGTGAAATGTTTTTAAGTACATGATTGTCTCCATGTTTCTAGAGTCACACCTATTGTTTTTTAGGAATCCAGTAGTTTGAATGAATCGTCTGAGACCAATATAATTTAAATTTTTCAAGACTTCTCTAATTTATATACAGTAACAAATTAATACCTTTAACAATTTGGGGAATATACTTCTCATTTCTACAAAAATAAGCTCCAGGATAGTGCGTTACTCTGAAGTTCCAATCATTTTATATTATTCCATCAAAGAAATAATGTCTTGATTAGTTAATTCTATAGTTGGACAATCATAAAATTTAGTGAGGAAGGAAGATAACCTTGCCATACCAATAAAGTTGAAGGAGCAATTATTTTCCTTTTGATGCCAATTGGAGCTCTAGGAATAGAAGGAATGCTAACTCCAAATTAAATTTTGTGAGTATGAAAAAAGTAAAATTGCACGCATAAGTTAAATTCTAGAAGAATTTACAAGTGGTCATCATCTAGAAAATGCAACAACACTATCGTGCAGGATCCATAGTATGGGGTGGAGAATGGTGATGATGCTTTCTCTCACTGGGCCCCTGTGGCCTTATCTCTGAGTTTTTATTAGGCAGAAAGAGGACAAGAAGAATAGCTTCAAGCCAAGAATAAGAGCAAATATTATAAGTTAGGGTGAAGCACTACATTCTTTAGACCCCCACTGAAGCTTTGCTCACCCTCCATTCTACAACACACATTATTTTTGTTCCAGACTGCTCTCCCCATGTCGACCTTTACAGAAAAGCAGACAGGAATAAAACAGTGCCATCTGAATCAGATTAAAATTAAATCTAGGTTTTAGTATTAGCAGCACAGCATTAGGATTCCAGGACACAGTACAGTCATCCAAGTCATCTGAAACCTTCTTGTATGCATGCAGAACCCAGTTGGCCATGACGGTATACAAATAATTAAAACGTTGGCACCTAGGTCAGTGTTTTTCAAAGTGGAATATTACATAAGTATTTCTAATGCTTTTTTGTGGCATAACTATTAATAGTAAATCTGAAATCCTACTGAATTAGAATCTCTGAAGGTAGGGGCCAGGAATCCACATTTATAACACAATAAATGTGAATTAGAAATGCTAAGCAATTCTTAAGCATACTAGAGCTTGTGAACTACTGTTTAAATCTTCTTGATAACTTGATAATTCAAAGTCCTAACAGCATACTTTAAGTTAATATAAAAACTAATATGAAAAGCAAAACTATTATACCCTTCTACTTACATTTACCAATCTCAAAAACATGGATTGATGGCTAAAATCCTAGGTTCTCCAGTACAGAACAAAATTACCTTCATTTAATTTTGTTTTCAAATTGAATATATGTATATTTCCCTAACTCTTGGTTTGAATTACTCATAAAGCAGACTTTGAGATAAGGATGTGAGAATAAGTTGTTTATTTGTAAAGTGATCCCAGGGAATACTGGTATAAAAGTTGAAAAGTGTAAAAGGAAAACTAAGGGAAGAAAAGTAGCCAAAAAAGGATAAATTCTGAAGCCAGTTACCATTGTAGATAATAGAGCATAACTCTGCTTGGGAAATTCTGGTAGTCAGTGTAGGCCATGGCCCTTAGACTTATCGACTGGAAAAGAAGTTGGGATATTTATACACAAACACCTTCATTCATCATCCTAGGGGACACTATCTTGTATTGTGGCACTTGTAGCCAGCCCCTTGCACAGTCAGACTGCGCTCCACCTGCCAGAGGAAGCCCCTCAGTGAAGAGTTAAAAGGGCTGGTAATTGCAAGATAGAGCATTAGCAAACACTGAAGTGGTAAGGAGAGGAGATGTGGGTAGGACCCTGGTAGCCTCTGCTCTAACCCACTAATTGAAAGTGATATTCACTCCTAAAGCAAATTTCTATACTACTACAGATATAAACCATGTAAGTAACCCTTAATACACCAAGTGAATTTTCAAAAAATGTGCCTTGCAAATTCAGAGTTCTGTAAATTGAGGAATGTATCTTATGTATACAATCCACTTTATGGGACTATTGGGGCTGCTGATGTTTTCCCTGTTGCCACTTCCTATTGAACTACCAGAATTCATGGTAGGGGACCACTACTGCCATCATACCATGTCTTATTTTGGGGGATTCCCTTTGACTATTAAAAAAAATTACCAGGGAATATTTCAAACATATGCAAAGTATATAGACTAGAACTCTCTGTACAGTTCATCCAACTTCAACTCGTGACCAATTTTATCTATATCACCACCGGCTTGATCCCTAATGGATTATTTTAAAGCAAATCACAAATGCAATATCATTTATATATTAATATTTCAGTATGTATCTCTAAAAGATAGGGACTTTAAAATAACCAAATTTCATGACCTTACAAAATACCCAAGAAACATTTCCTAATATTATTAAATATTATTCAAATTCCCAACAGTCTCATCAGTTCCATATTTTCACAATAGTCTCATCAATTCCCTATAATCAGTATTGTTTTATATGCTTCTCAAGCTTCTCTAGTAGGTTATGCCTCTATGTCTTTGTCTTTTTTTTATATTATATTTAGTTAAAAAGAAAAAACTGGGTCATTTGCCCTATGGGGTTTCCTACAACCTGAGATTTTGCAGATTCCACCCCTGTGGTGTCATTTATCACACGTCTCTATGTTCTGTATGCCCTGTGAGTTGGTAAGTTGGTATAGGGTGTAGAGAATTGCCAATACAAGTTTACTTTTTTCTTCTTGAACCAAAGGACTTCATAGACAGCTTTATGTTCTTTCAGAAGGAGACATGTAATATTTGTCTATTTCTGATGTAAGCAGCTGTTTATAATTAATTCCTATATTCATCAATTCATTTGAAGTTGCAAATGGCAATATTCTAATTCTACCATTGTTCTTCCTTGTTTCTGAAATACTTCTATAAAGAGAAAACTTACTATTATCTAGTGGTACAATATGGATAAAAATAAGATAAATAGGTCTTTCCTTTTACTCTTAGTTTTTGGTGATCTAGAGATTTGAAAAAATGATTAATACCAATGTCTATGCTCAGTTCCTTAGAAGACCTTGCTAAGTAAAACTAATTGAAATAATCCCAAAATGGAAGCTTATTTACACTAGAAGCAATCTTATTTTCTGCTATGTAATCCCTAATCATATCACTAATATTTCAGCCTACACATCAAGACATAAGTTATGGCTGTGAGAAGAAAAAGAAGCTATATTTTCCCATTTTTACTTTTTTATTCGTTAGGTGGTATTTATTGACCTTTTAAAATTTGGAAACATGTAGGCTATGAAGGTAAGGTAGAAAGCTGGACATATATATATATATATATATATATATATATATATATATATATATATGGAGAGAGAGAGAGAGAGGTACACACACAGTTCCTAGCCATCTGGAACTTCTGGTATATTATATATGAATTATTTATGAATCGTAGGAAATTGTGCTCAAAAAGAGTTCAGTGGGATTGAATTTGGGAAAGGAAAAAACCTGCTAAACATGGTTCTTTTATACAGTGAGTGTTTATATAGTCATTTTCTATGTGGTTTTGGCTTCAGCTGGGGTTTGCTGTCTTTTCCTGTCTGTATTGATGCCCCTTTTCTTCTTAGGTTATTCATTAATGATACAGTGATGTCGGACATCAAGAGACCTACATTGCAGTCCATGCTTGTAGGGTTGCTACAATATCTGTGAAACTTTCATAGAAAATTCAACTCTGCTAATCATTTATTCACCAGTAAAAATAGGGGTATTGGGCTAGAATAGAGGTGAACAAACTATAGCCCATAGGCTAAATCCAGACCATCACCTGATTTTGTATGGCCTACAAGTTAAGAATGATTTTTACATCTTAAAATGGTTTTACATTTTTAAATTGTTACATTTTAAATATTATGTAAGTACCCACACAATATCCTCAATTTTGCCATTTGGCCTGCAATACCTAAAATATTTAATATTTGGCTTTTTAAATAAAAGTTCACCAATCCCTGGCTACAGCAGTGATTTTTAATCTGTTTTCAGTAGCGGAACTTTAAAAAAGAGAAAAGAATTATGATACAAACTCCTCTGCTTAAAACAAATAAATTGTACATTTACTTAAATCAATTTAAAGTTGTTAATAATTGCTTACTAAAAAATTCAGTGAGGAACAATGAGGTTTGATGAACATGATAGACGTAAGGAAGGAACAATTTTGACATTGAGGATTGTAGATAGCAATTGCAGTCTTAAAGAAGATACAGCCTACAATTTATTCCTGTGGATATTTTTGTTAGACTAGTTCAAATATAAAATCCTGCATCAAGTAGATAAGTGATTATAAATAGTAGCATTTTTTTAACAACTCACCTTGCCATCTGAGGACACTCTGAAATTAAACTGATCCAAATTCTTTAAAAATAAGTAGAAAATTTTGATTTTACTTACAACATCCAAGAAGAGCTCTCGTAATCAAAAAAATAGTAATTAGACAAGAAGCATCGACAATTGGAAATAAGAGATAAAGCTGTCTATATTTCAACACTTTATGTTTTCTGTTTTTTTTTTTTTTTTTTTTTTTGAGGTGGAGTCTGGCTCTGCCGCCCAGGCTGGAGCGCAGTGGTGCGAACTCGGCTCACTGCAAGCTCCGCCTCCCGGGTTCACGCCATTCTCCTGCCTCAGCCTCCTAGTAGCTGGGACTACAGGCACCCGCCACCACGCCCGGCTAATTTTTTGTATTTTTGGTAGAGACGGGGTTTCACCGTGTTAGCCAGGATGGTCTCGATCTACTGACCTCGTGATCCGCCCGCCTTGGCCTCCCAAAGTGCTAGGATTACAGGTGTGAGCCATCGCGCCCGGCCAACACTTTATGTTTTCTTGTCATTGCATCACTGAGGAGCAGGCAACCAACAGATCAATTTGCTGCTTTAATTTTATGTTAGTGGATATAAGCAAGCTTGAATTTAAAAGATATCAGTGAAAAACAACAGCCTTCTTGCTTAATGGTTCCTTAACATAATGTTCAAGTATGTGCATAAATATGACAGTTGCAGCTTTATTCTGAAGTTCAAGAAGAAACAGGTAACTTTAAATTACAATGGGATTAAAGTTAGTATAATTTGGCATTATATTTTATGAGAGATTAGATTAAAAGCAAGGTGAAAATTGGGTTGAGTGAAAATTACCCTTGAAAACTCCTTATTTGCCTATAAAGTAGATTATACATGGTTTTGGATATGTATATCTTTATGTAATGCATTTTATGCCACTTAAGTTTGAGGACTACGGAACTAGACTAAGAGGAAAGAATATATTCATATGTCTGAGAATTCTGCCCTTAAAATAACCTACTACACCCTTGCAGTGAGTACAGGGTGGGTAGAGAATTCAGAAATACTCCTTGTGTTCAATGTTTATCTTCCACTGACATTCTTTAATAGCTTTGCAAATTGTTGTGTGGATTAAGTTAGTTAAACAAGATGAACACCCCCAGCATAAGGTCTGGAAAACAGAAAGTGCTTAATAGATATTCCCTATATTTGAATATGACTGAAATATACACTCACACACATTTACATAGAAAAATGTGATTTCTTTTTTTTTTCTTGAGAGGGAGTCTCGCTCTGTCACTCAGGCTGGAGTGCAGTGGCTCGATCTCCGCTCACTGCAAGCTCCGCCTCCCGGGTTCAAGCCATTCTCCTGCCTCAGCCTCCCGAGTAGCTGGGACTACAGGCGCTCGCCATCACGCCCGGCTAATTTTTTTGTATTTTTGGTAGAGATGGGGTTTCACCGTGTTAGCCAGGATGGTCTCTATCTCCAGACCTCGTGATCCGCCGTCCTCAGCCTCCCAAAGTGCTAGGATTACAGGCGTGAGCCACCGCACCCAGCCGAAAAATGTGATTTCCTGGTCCATCTGCCTAGTGGCCTTTGCTCTTTGACTCCACCCATCATCTAGTCCCCTTTTCATTTATTTGGCAAAGATTTACTGAGCACTTGCTTTGTGGTCCTGTTCTAAGTGCTGGGATTTCATTAAACAAAACAGATCAAATTCTCTCACCCTTGTCTTGGGGAGCTACACACTGGTGGGGAGTGGCAGACAATAAAATGAAACATATTTTAACTTTGTACAGTACATGGTGGCTCACGCCTCTAATCTCAGTACTTTGGGAGGCCGAGGCAGGCAGATCACGCAGTCAAGGGGGATCAAGACCATCCTGGCTAACATGGTAAAACCCTGTCTCTACTAAAAGTACAAAAGTTAGCTGGGCATGGTGGGGCACGCCTGTAGTCCCAGCTACTCGGGAGGCTGAGGCAGGAGAATCTCTTGAACCGGGATGCGGAGGTTGCAGTGAGCCGAGATGGCGCCATTGCACTCCAGCCTGGCGACAGAGCTAGACCCTGTCTCAAAAAAAAAGAAAAGAAAAGAAAAGAAAACATAAGACAGAGAAGTGGGTTAAGAACTTAGGGATAGGGAGGCAGTTGTTAAAGATGTGGTCAGGAAAGGTCTCATTAAGAAGATCACATATGAGCAAATACTTGAAGGAGGTGAGGAAGCAAAACGCTGTGATTCCTGTGGAGGGAGCATTCCAGGCAGATGGAAGCGTGATATGTGCCAGAAGCAGCAAGGAGGCTGGGATGGCTGAAGGGGAGTGTAGTAAGGGGAATGTCATAAAAGATGAGGTTAGCAAGGTAAGGGATATGCCCTGTAGCACCTGTTGGCCAATGTAAGGCTTTCACTTGGAGTGAGATGGGAAGCCATTGCAGAGATTTGAGCAGAGGAGGCCTCTGACCTCGCTTAAGTTTTAACACACATTCCTCCCGAATGGGCCTCATGGAGTAACATCTTATGTGATAGGTTCTCAAATTAAGTTTTAAGCTACACACACATTTCTTCACAATATAAAACTTTTAGGTTTACCTGCTATTTTTTCATTACAGCATTAAAAATAGCCAAAAACACTATTTTTGAATGAATTCCAATCAAACATTTCTGGAACCCCTAAGACCCCACCTGTGGACCCACAGAACATAGGCTGATGTCTCCTGAGTTAGATGAGCTTAAAAACTCTTCTAGTTCAATGTTCTGTGTAATCCTCAGTCTCAGAATGCCAGATAAGTTGGCCTGACTTAGTTTCCAGCTATAGGTATTTATGTCTGACCTCTTTAGTTCGTTCTCTAGCTGTTTTTAAATAGTTATTCTTCTTTTCCTGCAAATGGCATCTCCTTATTCCTTCATCTAGCTGCTGATTAGGGATCCTCCTGGCATTTATTTTGGGCATTATCTCCAACTCATTGGAGCTTAGATGTATTTGATTAATAGCACTTCAAGATGGCTAAAGTTGATGAGATTTTCTTGTCACTTGCTATATTATTTCAGAGGTATCATTAATGAAACTGTTAAGTCAAGCTACAGATCATGGTTATGTATGTGTGACAGGAATATTGTTGTTGCTGGGTTTTTTTCAGATAATAGTTTGTATTTATCTTCAGTTTTTCTCCTTCTTCCTCCTATTTCAAGCTGGTAGCCAGACCGTTTATATTTCCTTGCTCCCAGCCTCTTTTGCTCTTTGCAGAGCTGGAAGTAGAGTCCTCCTGAGGACAACAGCTGTTTCTATCTATTGAAAAAAGTATTAGCTCATGGATGAGAGCATTTTGGCTATCCCAGCAGGTAAGGGGAGAGTGGAGAAAGGAGTGAGACCTTTGAAGCCAGGCAGTGATGACATTTCTAGTTTCTAAAAGGGGACCAAGATCTGTGCGTCCCATAATGTTTGGTGACTTGAGTCCCTCTAGTAGCAGCCTCCAGGGATTTGGTACCCTAGACACAGTGGTCCCACCTCAACAAAAACCCAGGACACCCAATAGAAAGAGCAGAGAGAGTCACTAGACCAGAAGGTACCATGCATAAAGGAGTGATGGATATATTAGCAGAAACCACTGAGGACCCATATCCTTTGAAGCATCTCAGATACTTGATCCTGTGCAAAACCCTAAGACTTTAAATAGCCCTGATGGGAAGATGTATCCTAGAAATGTCTGAGATTTGATTTCATACTGTCCCCTCAAAATAGAGGACTGAAGATGAACTTAAGAAGACTTAAAAAAATAAATGTTGCATGGCATATATATTGAATATGTAGACCAAGACTTATGGCATCCACAATCTTCTCTCCCTCAGGCAATAATGACCTAGAAATTTTTTAAAAATAAGCTCTCTTTCCCAATGACACTTCCTTTTTACATAAAATGTTAATTAAGTGCTTGCCGTTGCTTCAAGTTCTTGTAACTTCTGAACGTATTTCATTAAACATGATTCTTAGAAATCACATTTATTCAGCTAAAGAATATGAATAAATCTGACATTCATCCTATAGAAATTTTTCACTCTGATTTGATACTCTGAGGAAGTTACAAGAGTTAGGATGCATAAGATATTAGATTATTTTAAAAATATTATCACCATATGCTAAAATACTAAATCAGACTAATGTCTAATTTCATCCATTTAAATATATTTAATCCTTAAAATTTGATACTTAGATGTGATGTCATTACATTTTAGCCTAGACATGTGAATTTTGTACATTATTCCTGTAATAGCAGTGCAGTTGGATACATAATTTATCTTTAAAAGGTCTGATGACTTAGACATAATGTGAACTTTGGCAATTTGCATTTGTCTTTGCTTCTATTAACTGAAAAATGAAGATAAAATTTACCTCATGATGTTTTTGTGAAATTTTATGTGGTGTTTTGTGCTTTAAACAAGTTTAGTAATTCACAAGGTCGAATGTTAATTTTTATTAATGGGCATTTAATAGCTTTTGAAATTTTATTTATTTATTTATTTGCCTGCCCAGCATCCTTCTTTTGGGGAATCATCTAACCGCTCTTCTATAGTAATCCTGTTCTGTCTTTGTGGTTAAGCGGGGCCAAATATAGTACATAGCTGTCTCAAAGCTCTGACCATCATGTAACCCCAATAAGTCTAATCATACCCCTCCACAGGATCATTGCCAGAGATTATAGGAAAGATGCTCTCACTTTTCCACGATGTCTGACTGCAAGGGCATTGTGAGCCTGGAGCTGCTGGGGGACTCATTTTAGACATATGGAAACAGTTTGAGTATGAAGCCACACAGGTGACCTTCTTGTTGTTTAAGCATCTAAATACAGCAATGTTTGGAAACTCACTTCTAGATTTTTAGTTATGTGAGGCAATTTATGCCATTTTTTGTAAGCTACTTTATGATGAACTTCTGCCACTCACAAATAACAGAATTTTCACACCCACATACACACACACACATAAATGGTGAAGTGTGCTTTGAAGTCAGACTTCATGTAATCAAATCCCAGCTCTTTTCATATTAGTCGAGATTGTGTGCATGTATGTTTGTGTGTGTGTATTATAGCATAGTGTCTAGACCATGAGATATGCTCAATAAATGCAAGATATTATTACACCAAATAAGGTGTACATTAAAATATTACATGGTTAAGAAGAGATACATTTAAAACAACCAAGTAACAGTATAGAGTTTTTAAAAACCCAATACTTCAGCAAAGAAGAGATAGAGAAAATATAGGGCAGTGAAATTAAATGGAGCTCAAAGAAAGGTGAATAAATTCTTAGTGAAAAATAAGAACATAAAAAAGTGAAGACATAAATTCATGTATTTGATGACACCAGCAGCACAAAATCCATGAATCAAAAGTTGCCAACCAGTGCTCCAGACATTCTATTTATTTTATTTTTTAAACGGAATATTTGATGCTGGCACTGAAACAAAAACTCTATGGATAGCACCAAACCAGCAGATATTCTAAATTGGCAGAATTTTTGTTAGCTATTTCAGTACCTTACTCATAAATTTTCCTTAATTTTTTTCTAAGGGTGGTGTTAACAGAATTATAAAAACTTGAATATTAAGTTTCCACTTTTCTGGAAATTTTATACACATAGAGCAGACATTTCTACAGACATGTTATAACAGGTATTTACTGGAATATGGTTCCTGTCTGGGGTTTTTAATTAGTTAATGAGGCAACTAAAATGATAATATGTTAAAATTAAATTATCTGTATTAAAACAGGAAAATAAATTATATAGTAACAATTATTATATTACAATGATATTTTTTATTAAATCTGGTGTTTTATTTTAAGTATAGGTAGTCAATTCCTAGGCTTAAGTCAAAATGTAAGAATCTAAACCACATGTAAACTAATGTAGTGTAACACACAGAACAAATCATCAAGACTTTTTATGACACAGACTTTTTTGTTAATATCTTGTAAATGCATCCACCTGTTCTGTAAATATTATTTTTTAACAAATATTAATATAATTTTAATTACTTTTTCTCTCATATGAATTCAGTAAGTATGCTTTGGAAAGGAAAGATAGCAAAATATCATAAAAGACTACAAATATTACCATTTTACTATAAATGAATGAATAAGAGTGACTCAATTTGAGTATTATTGTAACTAATTATTTCATCTTATATAATATCAACACAACCAAATAATTTAAATAAATATTTAAACAATATAATCCCTACATTTTTCTGCTATTTGGAGTATTGTCTCTAAATTGCCACACTTAGATTATATATAATTATGTGAATACACTGAGCTCTGTTAAACCACTAGATAATTGCTATGGTATTAAATTCACACATATACTACACAGATGTCCAAAGAATGCAGGGATCCTTTATTTTCTGTAGCTTTTCTAAACTCCACAAGGAGAAATAGGCACTGGAATTAAGGGGAATTTCAACAATAAATGATTATCTTTTGTTTTAAATAGTGTATTTTCAATTTTAAAAGTCTTTAATGCATTAATTTTTTTTAAATCCAAAGTTAAACTGCCCGCAGCGCTTTCCCTTTCACTTTCCTCCTTAAACTGGTAGCAGGGTATAGAGGAAAGAGTAAGGGCTTCTCCATGGCAAGCCAGTAAAGGTGGCTGAGATCTTTCTACTCACCTATCCACCAATGCTTTAACCCGTAATGGTGAAGAGGGCTCACCCTCTGTGTGGTCTTCCAGTTCTCCAAATAGAGGACAAAGCAAAAGCTGTTCTGTTTTCCCCTTTCTACCCAACACACATAGTATACATCCTTATGATGCCAGGGACACTAACCTGGAGATGGGAAGCCAGGACCCAGGTATTTGACCTCTACTTCCAAAGCCTCTGTTGCCTTTTCTCTCCTTCAATCCTAGGTCAATAAGGGTGGGTTCTCTCTTTCTCTCTCTCTCCTCTCTGTATGATAATGACTGCCTCTCCATTGTTCTGATTTGGTTCTGTTTCTGGTTTATGGTAAAATTCTACTATCTGGTCAGCAAGTCCTAGCTCCAGATACATTAATAAAATCCTTTTCTCAACAAAGTGTGACTTTCGAGCTTATTTTCAGGTTTTGACTCAAAAATTCCATTCTGAAATTCAAATGTTAAATGTTGACTTCTTCCTCTTGGCACCTTTCTTGTAACAATAAAAACCTGTCCTGAGGAAAAATCATGCCCATGGAAGAATGGAGGCAGAAGAGTCACATAAAAGGAATTTTAGAAAGATAAAAAATGTAGACTACATTTCAAAATCTATTATTTACATTTCAGTTAGAATAAATCAATCCTTTGCTTATCCAGAAGTGGTGAAAGGTCACACGTGCATTGTTATCATCAATGACAACATCAAGTTAAATGTGTTTAGGCATCATGAAGGCTTATAGATGAGTAAGAAAATTAGGTAGATTGCAAAACAAGTTTAAGCATATGAAAATAGGAAGAAGAGTGAGTGTATTTACAGAATATATGAGAGATGTTGTAATAATCTAAATATTTTGGAAATGTAACTACCTGTTTATATGCTAGAAAATATTAGAGAAAACATACTGAATTATAACCCATTGTTAAGTGTTAAATTCAGCATATATAACAATTAGATTCACAAATGAACAATGGATTAAACATAATAAAATTTTACTCTGTGAGAAAATTATAAAGATGTCTTTCAAATGTGGCATATGTTCCCTGGAAAACTGAAAAAGTCCACCGAGCATTATGACTGTTTTTTAAAAAGTGGTAAAAGATGGAGCAACATGGCTTTCTTTTTCAAAGCGCTTCTGTCCATGAATTATCCCCTCCTTCCCATTAGTACTTTAATTAAGAAATGCATTTCAGTTGTCTTTTACACAAGAATAGAACTATGACTGTATTTGAAGAATAATCAACATAGAAGAGAAATGAATAATGACTATCTTCCAGAGGTAGAAACTTTGCTTCCTCTTATTTTTTGAGGAAAGGGAAGACATCTTTCTTCATTTGTATGAAGAATAGTTGCATTACATTGGGTGAAAATTATGGAATTTCAAATGTTTGTTATAAAGCTTTATATTGATGCTGCATAGTCAAAGGTGAATTTGCTGGTTATTATGCTATTCTCTCTACCCGGCAAACCCATCCTTCCATATTCACTTTGAGATATTGGAGTTGAATCTGCAAATCACATTGCTGCTTTTGACTGGCTTTCTTTCGGCTTAACTGATATCAAGCACTAGAGAGAGACTCGAGGCTATAGGAGGGAAAATAAACTGTTTCATCTGGTTTGCTTTGTGATTGTTTCCTGTTTGCTTTGTGATTGTTTCCTATTTGCTTCCTACTTCCATAAGCATCATCTTATCAATACTTCTAAAATGAATTTCTGATAAGGGAAGTTGCAGTACCTTTCAGTAGCAGTGTTTGAATCCATTTCATATTTTTTCCAACACTTTTAGAATCAACCTTATTATATTTCCCTTAAAAACCCTAGCACTGTCCAGATTGTGCCATCCTGAGAGACATCAGATTCAGTTCCATAGGGCCCCTCCTTCAAGCTTCTGTTTTCAAAATTCACTGTTTCCTCAAATCTAGTGTTAATAGATGCTTCCCGCAGTTGATATTATTGTGATCCTTAGTGTTCTTTTTTGCATTTACTAGATGAAAATTACTTATGTTGTTTTTCTTTTTGTGATTTTTCTATGAATTGAAAAATAAAGTATTTGCTACGTTTTGGGGGTATGATGTTCTGTATAGCAATATCAATATGTTCCATATATTTTCTAAAAATATTACTAAATACATTAATTAATTGAACTTTTTAAAAAAGAAAGAAAATAAACTCTGGGTGATAGGTAGGTAATACTATAACACCCATTTTACAGGCAAGAAAACTGAGGCACAGAAAGCATTAGGTTCTTACAAACCCATCAGATGAACTAGAGGGGCAGACGTATTACTGGACTTTGACTTAAGAATCATGCCTCTGACACTGTCATCCAGAATTCAGGAAGCTATTACCACCATTCATAATTCTGGAAACTCTTGCTGTCACTACATCATTACTGTTGACTCAGCTACCCTGAAACAAGTATTTTGCAATGGAATGCCTATCCTCTTTATGTACCACTCTTTACAGTTTTCATTGCTTCCAGACCCACAACTAACATAAAATCCCTGCACGCTCAAGGTATGATAGGCTGAATATGCTGCCCCCAAAATGTCCATGGCCTAATTCCTGGGTCTTGGGATTATATTACCTACATGGCGAGAGAGTCTTTGCCGACGTTGTTAAATTTAAAATCTTGAGATCCCGGGTTAACTGGGAGGCTCAGTGTAACCCAAGGGTTCTTATAAGAGGGAAGAAGGAGAATAAGATTCAGAAAGAGAGGTGACAAGATGCTATCAGTCTGGCTTTAAATGTGGAGAATGGGGCCATGAGCCAAAGACTGCAGGGGACCTTTAGAAGCTAGACAAGGCAAGGAAATGGATTCTCTTTTAGGGCCTGCAGAAGGAATGCAGCCTTGCTGACTATTTTAGGACTTCTCCAAAACACTGAAAGAATACATTTTTATTGTTTTAAGCACTAAGTCTGTGGTAATTTGCAGCAATAGGAAACTAATATACTGGGGAACAAATACAGAGTCTCAGGAGGAGACAGCTTACACTCAAAAAGAATTGAAAGATTTTGCTGAGTTACACAGACAAATCTAGGGAATGCATATGAGATGGTCCCACTAATGTCGTATTCGTTCTCTGGTCTAGCACTTTTAAATTTCATCCACACATCTACTTCAGTGGAGGTCATTACTGCGTTGTTAAGCAAAGCTGAGCCAGCTCATCAGAAGAGAGAGGAGAGGTGGCCTCAGTTGTCAAGGGAAGTTTTATAGGATTTGCTTGTTCGGGGCTCTCAGACTCATTCCTTTCTAGCCTAAATTCAGCATTTCAGTTCTCAATGTGCCATTGATTTTCAGTCAACCCCTAGACTTTACCCAAAAGTCCTAGAGAGCCAGGATAATTCCACTGCAGGATCAGACTCTGTCTTGTTGTTGGTACTATTTAGGCACATTCTCTGTTTCCCCTGGACCTGCATCTCCACTCTCACCTGAGCACGCTGTGCTTTCCTACCCATCCTATTGTTACTCAGGTGTGTCCAGCTCCCTGTTGGGCATCATGCGGACTCTATTCTCTGCTTAACAAAATTTTACCTATTTTTAAAGTTATAATTCATATTTAATTTTCTTTTGAGTTCTTTCCTTTGTGAAGCAGGTTCATTTTGCACCAGTTATTCTATCTACCACTTGCGGGAACACTCACTCACATGTTAAAAGCAGCTTTATTACTCTCAGATAGGCAGCAAGGGACAACAGAAGCCTAGGATGGTGAGCCAGCCCCTAAGGCTCAGGAAAGCTGCCAGGCATGGATGGAGTCTCTTGTCTGTGCTCGCCCCATGTCTCAACACAGTTGAGGGACCCGAAAAGCATTCTGCTCTGGGTTTATATACCCCAAGGGACACTGCAATTGCTGGACTGAAGTGTTGCAGACCAGACTGCTCTAGGAGGGATGAGGGTTGTTCCAGAAATTTCATCCTTGTCTCATGATGTTTTCTTCTCAGCACATTCTATATTTCCCCTGAGAACTACAAGCAGGAAGAGGGGACAGCTGAATCAGCCAAGGCCCTTTGGGGACCTGCCCTCCTGCATCTTCAGTTTCCTCTTTAGAGCAATTTATACTTGTACTTAGATTAATGCCCATGATTCTTCGTGTCTATTAAATTATTTTAGTGTTTGATTATGTAGGAACTCATTGCTACTTACCTTCTCTTTTTTGAATAAATGTAACTATTCAATTGTGCCTAAGCACTTCAGGAAAGTCAATAACTCATGGTTGAATGAATTAAAATACATAATAAGTAGAAGTAGGTGTTTTCCATACATTTTTTTTAATGAAAGAAAGGCTTGTAGGGATTTTTTGTTCTTGTTTAGAGACAGGCTGGTGTTGAACTCCTGGGCTCAGGTGATCCACTTCCACCAGCCTCCTAAAGTGCTGGGATTATAAGTGTTAGCCACAAAGCCCAGCCGACTTGGTTTTATTTTTATTTTAAAAGTAAAATTGACTGAGGTTGTAAGCTTTTGGCTTTCCAGAGCGTTTTGATTTTCTTTACAAATTACATTTCTTTATATGAAGCTTTAAATTTCCCATGGAAACAATTCATTTAAAAAAACCATTAGTGGGGAATTAAGAATTTGCCGACAATTTTATAGGTGAGATGGAAGAAATCAAACTCACTAACTGATAATTTAGTAAATTATCATTGGCTATAACACTTAGTATCCCTGCTCTTCCCTCCCCTCACATTTCATTTTGCAGAGTTGCTTTCTTTTTCATATAGGATCGTGGGAACTAACCTAAGATGGTTTTGCTCTCCTTAATAAGCTTATCAAAATATCTTAGTTAACAAAGCTGTTTTCCCAGATTTGAATTGTTGTACTAGTTGCTACAAAGTAAACACATGTTTAAACTTTTACAGCAGCATAAATGGCTTTTTCTAGGTTTATATGCATAGATAGTTATAGCTGCATATTGGTTGATGTCTCCTGGTTACACAATTTTATTTACCTCCTACAGTCACAGCTTGGTTCTCTTTTGAGACATTAATTTTTCTCTTGAATTACTATTTCTTAATTCTCTTTAATATTCACAATATTTTTTTAGATCAACTCTTTCCATACTCTCAATTCTATTCCTTCTGCTATGGCATTTATCCATATCCATTAAGTTTTCTGGAATTTTAATTACTTTCTGGTTTTATATACAACCCTAGATGTTTTGAGAATTTGCACAATAGGAGTATTGGGAAATAGTTATTTCTTTAATCGATGGGGTGAATCTTCCTTCATCTACTGAATCTTCATATTTCCTCCACTTCATTAACTTGGTCTGCCACCACATCAACTTTGGTTCCTGTTAGCTTCTATTTTCTCTTTCAATTACTGACAAGGAACAGTGGGTGGTGAAACGCTGCATAAACACACACTGAGGTGCACCATACTCTGCATTCACCACCAGTTTCTAGCACAGCAATGGCAAAGATGAAAGTAGGGATTAAATGAATCATACTAATGTAGAAAACAAAACAGGGACTCACAGTAGACAGATTTGTGGTCGATGGAAGTTGCATGTTTGTATGCCGAAGACAAGGAAAATTAAGTAGCAAGGAGAATAAAAATAATAAATGCAAGAAGTTATAGGGATTTACATATTTCCCTTGAATAACTCTTACAGCAACAATTATTTTAAAATAAAATCTCCTAAATTTTTATCTTGTACTTACATAAAACGAAGTCATGGCTGTGAGTTATATAATTTTCAAACTCAATCCATCATATACTATCTCCAGAAACTTTTGGTAAAATTATGTATCTTATTTCTCAAATAAAACAAATAAAATATAAATAGTACTTTGTCATTTACCCATCAGTTCTTTCCCTTGGATTTTTACATGGAAATCACAGTGACCAAGTATGATGACTTTACCTCCCTCACAAATGCAGCTGAAATGAAACACTAAATGTCAAGTCTATTTCATAGGTTCCCAGAAAAACAGGAAGAGTTAACATAGCAAAACCAGAAAAGTAGGGAATTCGTGAAAGCCATAAAGCAGACAGGAAAAAAATTGATCTCAAAAATCTCAAAAATTTGAAAACTCTGAAATTCTATAAAGGTGATATAGAAAAAAATATTTTTTTAGCTGAACCTAAAAATAACCACAAGACTAGAGAGCACAGCAAGGACTGAATGAGAATGTAGGTTTAAAAAGGTAACAGAAGAACTAACACAGTCTGAGTAACTGACTCTGGTTTTTACCTTGGACCATTCTCCCACCCCTCCCATACCCACCTATGCCTGTCCCCACTGCCCACTCCCATAGCTATATAATCAATGGAGGTAGGGTTTTCAAGTCAAAACTTCTATTTAATGCCTGATTATATTATTTGGGGGTGATATTATTATTTAAATTTGTTACATGAATTGAGAAATATAGAAGGAGATATTGGTGTTTAAAACTAAGAAGTTAACCATTAGCAAAATAGAACTCTATAATAGTATTTACAAAATTACCAACACAACACAAAAAAGAGTGAAAAAAAAAGTACCCAAAAACTGATTAATCCAGCAAACATAAGAAAGGGGGAAAAAAGAAACATCTATAACAAGTAGCCATTTTTTAAAATAAAGAATTAAGCAAAATGATCTTTCCCCCAAATCTGCCATTGCACTGCTATCAATGCTTCAACCATCCACACATTCCTCTGCATATACGGGGATGAATTTCTTAAGATACCTCAGGATGCCGAGTTAAAAGTCAAGCCGCTTGAGTCCCTTAAGCCAGTTCTTAGGGTAGTGCTTATCAGAGTTAAGAGCAGAAGTCTGAATTTGATTAATAAAAATTAAATTTACTATGCACCACAGTGGGCAGCTGTAATTAGACTATCACCAAACACAAACTCCCAAGCCTTAACTGCCTTCTTCCCTCCCTATGGCACCCAAGGGTGACTTACTGCCTCCTCTTCCTTGCCCTTCCTTCCTTGTAATGCTACCCAGGCCAATTACCTTAACGTTTACATTTAGCTGTGTTCATTACACAGGAAATGACTTCATTACCATCTTCTTTTTTCGCTTTGGGGATGTTAGAGTAAAATTTTACCAAACTTTCTATATCATCAACTCTTTAGTCTACCAGGAAGGGGCAGTTGAGCTAAAGTTAATCTTGGACACCATGAGTCTGTAAAGGCATGGTAAATCTCACATAGCAAGGCAGTATTAGAGTTTAGAAGAGTTGAGCAGTGAACAGAATTTTTTTAATTTCTATTTTAGGTTTGAGGATACATGTGAAGATTTGTTACATAGATAAACAGGTGTCATAAGGGTTTGTTGTACGTGCTATTACATTACCCAGGCATTAAGCTCAATATCAAATAGCTATCTTTTCTGCTTCTCTCCCTCCTGCAACCCTCCCACTTCAAGTATACCCCAGTGTCTGTTGTTTCCTTGTTTGTGTTCATAAGTTCTTACCATTTACCTCCCACTTATAAGTGGAACATGTGATATTTGACTTTCTCTTCCTGAGTTAGTTTGCTAAGGTTGATAGCCTCCAGCTCCATCCATGTTCCTGCAAGAGACATGATGTCATTCTTTTCTATGGCTGTATAATATTCCATGGTGTACATGTGCCACATTTTCTTTATCCTTTATTCTTTATTCTAGTCTGTCATTGGTGGACATTTAGATTGATTCCATGTCTTTGCTATTGTGAACAGTGCTGCAATGAACGTTCACATGCATGTGTCTTTATGGTAGAATGTTTTATATTTCTTTGGGCATACACCCAGTAATGGGATCGCTGGGTTGAATGGTAGTTCTATTTTTATCTCTTTGAGGAATCACCATACTGCTTTCCCCAATGGTTGAACTAATTTATACTCCCACCAACAGCGTATAAGGGTTCTGTTTTCTCCGCAACCTCAGCAGCATCTGTTATTTTTTGAATTTTTACTAATAGCCATTGGGACTGGTGTGTGAGATGGTATTTCATTGTGGTTTTGATTTGCATTTTTCTAATGAGCAATGATATTGAGCATTTTTTCATATGCTTGTTGGCCACATGTATGTCTTCTTTTGGGAAGTGTCTTTTCGTGTCCTTTGCCCACTTTTTGATAGAGTTGTTTGTTTTTCTCTTCCAAATTTGTTTAAGTTCCTTATAGATGCTGGATATTAGACCTTTGTCAGATGCATAGTTTGCAAACATTTTCTCCCATTCTGTAGGTTGTCTATTTACTCTCTTGATTTTTTTTTTCGCTGTGAAGAAGTGCTTAAGTTTAATTATATCCCATTTGTCAATTTTTGCTTTTGTTGCAATTGCTTTTGGTGTCTTTGTCATGAACTTTTTGGCTATTTCTAGGTCCAGGGTGGTACTGCATAGGTTGGCTTCCAGGGTTTTTATAGTTTTGGGTTGTATATATGTCTTTAGTCCATCTTAAGTTGATTTTTGTATTTGGTGTAAGAAAGGGGTCTAGCTTCAATCTTCTGCATATTGCTAGCCAGGTATTCCAGCACCATTTATTGAATAGGGAGTCTTTTTCCCATTGCTGGTTTTTGTCAGCTTTGTCAAAGATCAGATGGTCGTAGATGTGCGGCCTTATTTCTGGGCTTTCTATTCTGTTCCATTGGTCTATGTGCCTGTTTTTGTACCAGTACCATACTGTTTTGGTCACTGTAGTCTTATAATGTAGTTTGAAGTAACGTAACATAATTCGTCCAGCTTTGTTCTTTTTGCTTAGGATTGTCTTAGCTATTCAGGATTATCTTTGGTTCCATATAAATTCTAAAATAATTTTTTCTAGTTCTAAGAAGAATGTCTTTGGTAGTTTGATAGGAATAGCATTGAATCTGTAAATTGCTTTAGGCAGTATAGTCATTTTAATGATATCGATTCTCCCTATCCATGAGTATGGGATGTTCTTTTATTTGCTTTTGTCTTCCCTGATTTCTTTGAACAATGTTTTGTAATTCTCATTGTAGAGATTGTTCACCTCTGTGGTTAGCTGTATTCCTAGGTATTTTTTTAATTTGTTTTTGTGGCAGTGTGAATTGGATTGCCTTTCTGACTTGACTCTAAGTTTTGTTGTTGGTGGTAGGTGGGATAGGAATGCTAGTGAATTTTGTACATTGATTTTGTATCCTGCAACTTTGTTGAAGTTGTTTATCAGCTGAAGGAGATTTTGGGGCTGATACTATGGGGTTTTCTAGATATAGAATTATGCTGTCTGCAAACAGAGATAATTTGACTTCTTCTCTTCCTACTTGGATGTTCTTTATTTCTTTCTCTTACCTGATTACTTTGGCTAGGACTTCCAATACTGTGCTGAATAGAAGTGGTGAGAGAGGGCATCCTTCCTTATGCTAGTTTTTAATGGGAATTCTTTCAGCTTTTGCCCATTCAGTATAATGTTGGCTGTGGGTTTGTCATAGATGACTCTTATTAATTTGAGGTATGTTGCTTCAATATGTAGTTTATTGAGAGTTTTTTAACATGAAGGAATGTTGAATTTTATCAATGGCCTTTTCTACATCTATTGAGAAAATCATGTGCTTTTTGTCTTTAGATCTGTTTATTTGATGAGTCACATTTACTGATTTGCATATGTTGAACCAACCTTGCATCCTAGGATGAAGCTTACTTGATAATGGTGGCTTCGTGTTTTGATGTGCTGCTGGATTTAGTTTGCAAGTATTTGTTGAGGATATTTGAATCAAAGTTCATCAAGAATATTGGCTTGAAATTTCTTTTTTGTTATGTCTCTGCCACGTTTTTGTATCAAGATGATGTTGGCCTCATAGAATGAGTTCGGGAGAAGTCCCCTCTCCTCAATTTTTTAAAATAATTTCTGCATATTTTCATTGTACATCTGGCATAATTCAGCTGTGAATCCATCATGTCCTGGACTCTTCTTCCTTCCTTTCTTTCTTTCTTTCTTTCTTTCTTTCTTTCTTTCTTTCTTTCTTTCTTCCTTTCTTTCTTTCGTTGTTGCTAAGCTATTTATTACTGATTCAATTTCAGAGCTCATTATTGGTCTGTTCAGGGAATCATTTTCTTCCTGTCTCATTCTTGGGAAGGTGTATGTATTCTGGAATTTATCTGTCTCTTCTAGGTTTTCTAGTTTGTTTGTGTAGAGGGGATCACAGTAGTTTCTGAGGGTTGTTTTTATTTCTGTGGGGTCAGTAGTAACATTCCTTTTCTCATTTCTAATTGTATTTACTCGGATCTTCTCTTTTTTCTTCTTAATTAGCCTAGCTAGTGGCCTATCTATTTTATTAGTTTTTTCAAAAAACCAATGCCTGGATTTGTTGATTTGGTTTTATTGTTGTTGTTGTTGTTGTTTTGTTTTTTGTTTTTTTGTTTTTTTGACAGAGTCTCACTTTGTTGCCCAACCTGAAGTGCAGTGGTGTGATCTCGGCTCATTGCCACCTCTGCTTCCCGGGTTCAAGTGATTCCCAGCCTCAGCCTCCCAAATAACTGGGATTACAGTCATGTGCCACCACATCCAGCTAATTTTTGCATTTTTTAGTACAGATGGGGTTTCGCCATGTTGGCCAGGCTGGTCTTGAACTCCTGACCTCGGGTGATCTGCCTGCCTCAGCCTCCCAAAGTGCTGGGATTAGAGGCATGAGCCACTGTACCCGGCCTTGTTGGTCTTTTGAATGGTTTTTCATGTCTCAATTTCCTTCAGTTCAGCTCTCGTTTTTGTTATTTCTTGTATTGTTAGCTTTGGGGTCAATTTGTTCTTGCTTCTCTGATTCTTTCAGTTGTGAAGTTAGGTTGTTAATTTGAGATCTTTCTAACTTTTTGATGTGGGCATTTAGTGCTATGAATTTCCCTCTCAATACTGCCTTAGCTGTGTCCCAGAGATTCTGGTATGTTGTATTTTTGTTCTCATTATTTTCAAAGAACTTCCTGATTTTTGCCTTAATTTCACTATTTACCCAAAAGTCAGGAGCATGTTGTTTAATTTTCATGTAATTGCATGGTTTTGGGTGATTTTCATTGCACTGACTTCTATTTTTATCGTGTTATGGTCCAAGAGTGTGGTTGGTATGATTTCAGTTCTTTTACATTTGTTGAGTGTTGTTTTTTGTCCAATTATGTGGTTGATTTTAGAGTATATGCCATGTGGCAGTAAGAAGAATGTATATTCTGTTGTTTTCAGGTGGAGACTTCTGTAAAGGTCTATCACATCCATTTTTTCCAATGCCAGGTTTAGGTCTTCAATATCTTTGTTAATTTTCTGCCTTGATGATGTGCCTTGATTATTCATCTGTCAGTGGAGTATTGAAATCTCCCACTATTATTGTGTGGGAGTCTATGTCTCTTTGTAGGTTTCTAAGAACTTACTTTATGAATCTGGGTGCTCCTGTGTTGGGTGCATATATAAGATGGCTAAGTTCTCTTGTTGAACTGAACCATTTACCATTATGTAATGCCTTTCCTTGTCTTTCTTGATCTTTGTTAGTTTGAAATCTGTTTTGTCTGAAATTAGGATTGCAACCCCTCATTTTTTCTGTTTTTCATTTGCTTGGTACATTTATCTCCATCCCTTTATTTTGAGCCTATGAGTGTCATTACATGTGAGATGGGTCTCTTGAAGACAGCACACCATTGGGTGTTCCTTTTTTATCCAGCTTGCCACTCTGTGCCTTTTAAGTTTGGCATTTAGCCCATTTACACTCAAGGTTAATATTGATATGTGTGGGTTTGATCCTGTCATTGTGCTGTTACCTGGTTATTTTGTTGGCTTGTGGGGTTGCTTTACAGTGACACTGCTCTGTGTGTTTAAGTGTGTTTTTGTATTAGCTTGTAGCAGTCTTTCCTTTCTATATTTCATGATCTCTTTTAAGGTAGATCTGGTGGTAATGAAGCTCCTCAACATTTGCTTATCAGAAAAGGATTTTATTTCTTCTTCACTTAGGAATCTTAGTTTGGCTGAATATGAAATTCTTGGTTGAAGTTTTTTTTTCTTTAAGAATGTTGAATAGAGGCGCCCAATCTCTTCTGGCTTGTAGGATTTCACCTGAGAGGTCTGCTGTTAGCCTGATGGGAATCTTTTTGTAGGTTACCTGACCTTTCTCTTTAGCTGCCTTTAACGTTCTTTCTTGCATTTTGACCTTGGGAAATCTGATGATTATGTGTCTTGGGGATGGTCTCCCTGTGTAGAATCTTGCAGAAGTTCTCTGTATTTCCTGAATTTGACTGTTGGCCTCTCTAGCAAGGTTTGGAAAGTTTTCATGGGCAGTATCCTGAAATATTTTCCAAGTTGTTTGCTTTCTCCCCCTTCTTTACTCCAGCTTGATCAGAGTCCATGAAAGAAGCAATAAGGAGTAACTAGAAGCTTTCTAGATGTACAGACATGTATGGTCAAGTTGGCCCTTAAACAATTCACACTCTTTTTCTCTGTCCTGATGCTTAGTCTGCATCATGAACCCAAATTCCTCCCCAGATCATCTCACAAGTACAAATTGGGCACATAGGCAGGTAAATCAAGTTGGCACATACTATATATTTTATTTGCATGTGTTTATTTTCTCATTATAATATCCTTAATGGGGTAGACTTCTTATTATTATATTTAGGGCATCCTGGACTGATTTACTGAAATATAACTTTATTTTTTTACAGCTTTATTGAAGTATAACTGACATAAAATAAACTGCACATATTTAAAGTGCACAATTTGATATGTTTTGACAAAAGCATACATCCATGAAACCATCACCTAAATAATGGATTATGAACATGTACATCACCCCCGAAAGTTTCCTTGTGCTCTTTGTCACACATCCCTCCCTCTCCCACCCCATGTGTAATTTTGAAGAAGTCCAATTTGTTAATTTCTTTTTTTATAGTTCATACTTTTGTAGCATATTTAAGAAATATTTGCTATGTCCACATCACTAAGATTTTCTGCTTTATTTTTCTAGAAAGTTTGTGGTTTTTACTTTACATTTAGGTCATTGATCCCTGTTAAGTTACTTTTTGTATACAGGGTAAGGAAAGGGTTGAGGTTCTGTTTTTTTCTTTTCCTTCTTTCCTTTCCTCCTTCTTCCCTTAGTGTCTCTCTCTCTCTCTCTCTCTCATTCTCTTTCTCTGTATTACTACCTCTCTCTCTCTCTGCCTCCCTCCATCTCTTTTCTCCCTCCCTCCCACCCTTCCTTCCTTCCTTCCTTTATTATTATTACCAATTATTCATGAACCATTTGTGGAAAAGATTACCCTTTTTATTGTCTAAAATAAATTGATTATCTAAGTAGTCAAACATTTCAGCGTTTTAGCTCTAATTGTAAGTTCCCCATGGTATCACTGGCTCCCCTCTCTCTGATCATTAACAAAATATAAGTCATTTTTTTACTACTTTATCTTTTCTCTTATTTCTTTCTTTCCTCTCTGTCTGTCTACCATATTTAATACTGTCACAATATTCAGCAAAATAAATACGTTTTATATGAAAGCAGTCATAAAATACATCACTTAAAATACATTCCTGAAAGCTATTTCAGAGATGTACCCAAGCCATACATTAAATTGTATCCTAGAAGATGGTGGAACATGGTGGACCACGAAGAGAAAAATCAATGAAATATACAGTGTAAGAGCATCTTTTTATTTCTTTTAAAAATTGATACATAATGTATATACATATTTATAGGCCACATGTGATATTTTATTACATACATAGAATTTGTAATGATCAAGTCAGTGTATTTGGAGTATCTACCACCTCCAGTATTTATAATTTTTATGTGTTGGAAACATTTAGGGTCCTATCTACTAACTATTTTGAAATATACACTATATCATTGCTGACTATAGTCACCTTACTGTTCCGTCAGACCTTAGAACTTTCTATCTAGCTGTATAACTGTATGTTTGTACCCATTAACCAATCTTTTAATCTTCTTCCCTCACACATCCTTCTTAGCCTCTGGTATCTATCATTCTACTCTCTACCTTACAGTGAATTATATCTTATTGGGCTTTTTAGAGTCTTTGGTTAGTCTACAGAGTACTGTTGTATATTATCAATATTACTCTTTAAATCTAAAGAGATTTAAATTGCTAATAAAGTGAAATATTCATAGTTTTCTGTAAATCTGTATTATCATTTCTCAATAAATTTATACAGTCTAGCTTTCCTCCACTGTTAGAACTGTTACTATTTAAGGGTTAATTGGTTTATTTTCAGAGGCCATGAAGTATTAAAAAATATATATATGTTTGTATGTACGTGTGTGTAGCTACAATGAAATTTGCAAAAGTTAAATATGCATAAAGAAAGCTATCAAGTACAAATAATTACTAAAAACTTTAGATTGCAGAAAAATATTAATTACTTTATAGAAATGAAATTTAAAGTATTACAAGAAAACATGGAAGATAGTAGTAGTATGTCTGATGAAAGTGTGCTTCATGTTCTCCACAGAGAGGATATAGTGATCAATTCCTAGTGACACTTATAGAAATTGTTTCAAAAATATCAGTGTAACCACCAGGGAACAGTAAAAGTATGTTTAACATCCTAAAATTCAGAGGGGGATAAAATCTTCTATCAGTCCACCAAGAAACTCCAAAGAAAGGAAAAATAGAAAGGGCAAAAATATACAAAACAAATGCCAGTTATATCAGTTGCCAAAATGATGCAGAAAGTTTAGAGTGAAAGGACAGAAGGATATTTCAGGCAAATTGAATAAGAGAAAAACAAGGGTTACAATAAAATTTATATCAGATAAAATGATTCAAGTCCAAAGCATTAAAAATGAAAAAAGAAAATGTGTGTTAATCACCAAGAAGATATATAGTAATACATTTTTTGTGCCTAAAATATAGCATAAAACCATTAATTAAAAGTTTAGAAATAAATTGAGAAACCACAGTCTTCAAATAGATTTAAGTACTGCCCATACATTTGCAGATCAAATAAAAAAAAAGGAAACACATACAAATGGAAATGATACAAATAAATAAAATAACAAATACATACATATGAATTTATAATAAATAAGAATGTATGGGAGAACTTAACAATTAAATACATGTTACTTCCTTGGATAGGAAATCCTGTTGAAAAGCTGTTTATATACAAGCGTAGCTACAATATAAAAATTATGAAGATAAAATTTATATATATATAATTTTTATATAAAACCCTATGTACCTTTTTCCAGATTTCTTCTCTTTAGCATCTGTTATCTTCATGAGTTTTTACCCACCTTCTGTCAGTTTCCCTGAATTCTTTTGTTTCTAAATTGGTGTTTCTTATTCATCTTACCAAAGTATTTTCTTCTTACTGATTTTTTTTCATTTTAAAATTTTGTATACTAGTCCATCAAAATTCTTTTCTAAGTATTTTTCAGTAATATCAAGTGTTGCTTAATTCAGTGTAGGGCAAATACATATCACCTTGAGGGCATAAGGGGTAAAAGTCCTGTAACTGGTTAATGAAGGTACTTCTGGATAGAAATTTGTTTCTTATTATTCAAATCTCATTGTATGGGTTACTGCCTACTTGTGGATTACTGCCTATTCTTACTAATTCATATTACTAACTTGAATCTGACAAATGTGAGTGAGCACACATTTGCACACTTTCCTGGGGAAAAAACAGCAGCCAATTTCATGTGTGGCAGCGTTTTTCTCCCTTTCCCTCATTATTCTTCCTGATACATAAAAACTCGAAGGCTAATTTCTGAGAAAAGGACATTTAGTGATGTGAACTAAAGCAGAGGAACGGAGATTCTAGCATAACAAACTTGGCAGTTTGTCTAATTGAGCCACAAGGTCTGAAGTACTTCTTTTCCCAGTTCCCACAAGATTCTCCCTCCCACCTCCCTTCTCCAGGCCCTATCCAGAGTGGGACTAACTGGACTTGAAGGACTGATTGAGCCTGGATTGGATGCCAAGGAGAAGGGACCGAACCTAGGGGGTTAACGTGATTGAAAGAATCATAGAGCTGGAGGAATGTTGAGCAAATGAAAAAGAAGGCCAAGAGAATGTCCCTACCAGCAACAGGGATAGCCAGAGCCATGCCCCTAAAACATGATCAAAAGACCATTTGAGGAGAGCTAGGACAAGTTGAAAAGAGTGGACAAATGGCCCATAAATACCGACCCAACTGGGAGCTCCGTGTGGAATGAAATGTAACACTTGAACTCACAGTAAAGAACTGTTTATTTCTTTACTTTGAACCCTGGGTTTCTTCTTGACTTGGAACAGTAAGGTTTTTATGAACTATTATACCCTTCTGTCCTCTAGGATAGACTAGGATAGATTCATAAGTTCAGTAAACAAATCCTATATTCATATTTTATAGCTTCATATCATATCCAGATCATTATATTGTCTTTTATTTAAATTCTAACTCTGAAAGTGAATCCATGAATTAACATCTTGCTATCTATTTTTTTTTTTGAGACAGGGTCTCACTCTGTTACCCAGGCTGGAGTGCAGTGGCACAATCATTGCCCACTGCAGCCTTGATCTCCCAGGCTCAAGATGGTCCTCCTCCATCAGCCTCCTAAGTAGCTGGGACTTCAGGTGCGCACCACCACTCCTGGCTAATTTTTTTTTTATTTTAATTTTTTTCAGTAGAGATTAGACCTCACTATGCCCAGGCTGGCCCTGAACTCCTGAACTCAAGCAGTCCTCCCACCTTGACCTCCCAAAGTGTTAGGATTATAGGCATGAGCCCCTCACCTGACTACCTCTATTTTCTTTTCTTTTCTTTTTCTTTCTTTCTTTTTTTTTTTTTTTTTTGGACAGAGTCTCCCTCTGTCACCCAGGCTGGAGTGTGCAGTTGTGCAATCTCGGCTCACTGCAACCTCCGCTTCCCGAGTCCGAGTGATTCTCCTGCCTCAGCCTCCCGAATAGCTGGGATTACAGATATGTGCCACCATGCCCAGCTAATTTTTTTGTATTTTTAGTAGAGATGGGGTTTCACCATGTTGTCCAGGCTGGTCTCAAACTCCTGACCTCATGATCCACCTGCCTCAGCCTCCCAAAGTGCTGGGATTACAGGCATGAGCCACTGCGCCCAGCTGACTATCACTGTTTTCTATTTGTTCAAATCATTATCAATGAGGAAGAACCTGAGTTAAAACTTTGTCCCCGCCAATCACTAGCTGGATAACCTTAGGCAAGCTGACTTTCCATTCTCTTGTTTCAGTTTCCTCATCAATAGAATGAAGATATTAATGCAAGTCTTAACATCTGCCACAGTTCACCTTTTGCATCACTCAAATCCACTCAAGGCCCTCATTAGTTTATTCCACTTTCTAACTTAATCTTCAAGGTGGTGGCGAGTTATAATACTTATAAAATATGGATTAGTAGGACCAACTACATTCTTTCCTGCTGCAGTTAGTCCCAAGGCCACAAATGATATTCATCATCTCTTTCTTCTACCACTCATTGTAGATCCTTTACTTTGGCTATCACCTCTGCTATTCTACAGTATTTGTCCCTTGCACAACCTAGATATTCATTCTTGAGTGGTCTGAACTCTTTACTTTGGTAGGTTTCTATCATGTTGCATGAGCATTACCAGGCCTGAACAAAATAGGGGGTTCCCTAATGAACCCTCTGAATTCCAAAAATACTCTGCATTATCCCCATGTAGCAGCAACTCTTATCTCTGCATGACAATCAGTGTCAATTTTCCTTGCTGATATAATGAACCATTTCTTTGCTTGCTAGTCTATAGGTTTGCTACATCTAAAATGCCCAAGTGGAAGGCATAGCTTTAGGTTTCATGGAACCTATATTCTGGTCTAATAGAAGTAATCCCATTTCCTCAGAAACCAGGGCCTCTTGTCCAGGGAACCCAGTGGATCATTGGGGTTGATGGTGAAGAGGGCTACACCTTCTTCCACACCTTGGTTCCTAGATGCATTTATTTATTGCACTTGAAATACTGAACTTTATAATGGCTGTTGGTTGATATGCTGCATCTTGAAGAACAGCACCCCAACTCCTTGAGGGTGTCGTTTCTATCCTGGTGCTTTAGATTTACCTCTAAGAGGCCAGTCTAATGTTCTATTGGGTTGACAGCTTATGAAGAATGACAATGTGTTGGGACCAGTGGACATGTGCCCCATGCCATATCTGCTTTATTCAAGGTGGTGTTATATAAGATTCCATGACAATAAATCAGAAATTCTGAGCCCTCAGTTAGTAGTGGTGGCCAAAGTACTATAAGAAAGGATGGAAAAAACATGCATCAATTTCACCAACCCCCAAATTGTTGCCTTCTCCAGGCTGAAAGAGGTCTGATTTACCCAACTTGCCACTAAATGGCTATGTGGTTTTTGAGGAATGGTGCCGTATTGAAAGTTCAACATCAATCTTTTCTATTGACAGGTGGTAATGGTAGTAGCATGGTAGTAACTATGTCAGCCTTGGTGAAAGGGAGCACGTGCATAGCCTTTATCCCTGTCACCCTACAACCCCATTTAAAGGCTGATTTTTCAAGCTTTGTGCTGACTTGAAGGGGGCCTAAATGGCTTTCACTATTTCACAAATCATCCTATCTTTCTATTTGTTCAGTGCCTCTTCTGCAGTGTCTGTGGACATTGATGTGAGACACAAAAATCTGCACATTTTGTTCCTACTCCCTTGTGTCTTCCTAGCTGTTCTTAATATTTCAATCTTACTCTTTCCACGTGATTGACCCATTGACTAAGCCATTTTTTAATGCCAAGAAGTCTATGTATATTTTTACTTCAGATCACTTCCCTTCCACATCTACTTGATGGCAGGTATACCATTCAAAGCTGGGCCCAAAGGAGGGTTTCTCACTGCTCTCTTTTAGGGCCAACATTGAGTGGGATTGTAATATAGAAGCAATACACTTTTGAATGTTACCAACATGACAACTTGAATGCATCACATTCTGACAGCCGGTCTTGGGGAACCCCCACATGGCCATAGGTATGAGCTGTGGGATTGGCCTCACTCTAATAGGGGAAAGTGACATGGAGAGGGAATCTGGGCCGTCTTCAAGTTTCTGATTCAATATGCCCCCCTTTGGCCTGATCTTGAATGTATCATTTCCATTATATGCATTACTCCTCAATCTTATTACTTGGCAGTTCTGACAATATACAAATAATGATGATAGGCATCTATTAGGGCTCAGTGGCAGATTAGGAGCAACTGTGCAAATGATGAATAGTTTTGTGTTGAAGACAGCATGATTTTGCTCCAAAACCGTAGGCAGTCTGTGCTGTGACTTCTCTTGGAGTTTGCAGAAACCATATATGATATCCTTATCTAGGTCAGGAACTTCTATCACCACAGCATCTGCTATAATATAAGGCCCAAACAGCAGCAGTGCTTGTAATCCAGCTTGAATCTACTGAAGAGCCCCACTCAAACCTGGCACCTTTTCATATCACCTTATAGAAGGGGTTCATGTCATCTGCCTTCATTCATCTCACTTTTGCAGGGATCATTTAAATGGAAGCTATAATGAGAACTTGTATCTTTACATCTTTTAAGGGTTCCACACAGGATGGTGTATTTCTTCTAATTTGTTAGAGCCTGACTGGGCTGAGCAGGTTCAGGAGCTTCCATGTGGCCTTTCTTCCCCTTCTGGCTCTTACTCCATGGGCTAGGGAACAGCATGAGGGTACTGCTGGCTACCAAGTATATCCATCACAATTCCACACTCAGGGACCAGGGAACTGAAATGTTGGTTCCACTGTGAGATAAATTTTGAGCAAGACTCTGTCACAGGCCTTCGCATTCCTACAGGGAAGCCATGATTGTTTTTTTGTTTCCTCTATTAGCAAAAGCTTAGACCCCTATATACAATTTCCCCTGAGATTTGAATATTTCTTTTTCCTCAATCATGCACATTATCTGAGAAAATGGTCATAGACTTCTTAGAAGAAGGACTTGGGGAGTCACTACTGTAAACACTACGCAGGCATTTCAGCATTCTTCCTCGAGAGGACTCAGTCTTTTCTTAAATCTATGAGTCTAATTCTGAAAATAGATTCATGTCTGGAAACTGGACAAGAGATGATGACTTTCCTTTGCTGTGGCTAACATAAGCCTTCTGCTTCTGCACTCTTGATCACTTTTTATTATAGATATTAAGAAATACTCTTATTGGCTTCCCATTTGTCTTGACCCTAGGATCACTAGGGTCTAGAAGTCATTATTGTTTATTTGCATGGGTTAGGGATTTCTCACAGTGCTGCCCATTACAAGAATTACATTCATCTTGACTCTGATAATTTGGTGCTGCCACCTGGCCTTGACTAGTCTGGTATCCTATCATCTCCAGGTAGCTCAGTTCCATAAAAGTATGTCTTACTCTCAGTCCTGCCTAAAGAGGACAATCACAACTGAGCTTCCCACTGATGCTGGATCTGCTTTACTAGCACATTTCTGTAGCTAGAGTGAAGGGGAGTTTCCTTGGGACCTTCAGGAGAACATAGTCAATTATAGTCTGGTGTTGTAATAAATCTATTCTTAAATGACTAGTTTCCTGAGCCTTGCCTCAATACTCATTCATAGACTTCCAGCCTATCCAGCCATCATTTTTTCCAACCTCAGAGAGCTCTATTAGTGATCTATTAGGAATTAGTGATCTATTAGTAAATGTCATTGCTAGGACATTAAACATTAAATCACAGGGTATCCTAATCCATTCACTGTATGTTATTTTGGTCCCTGCCAATACACATTAGCCAGGTCCTAAAGTATTTTTGATGAATAATCCATTTCCTCCAAAGCAAGAATAATGCTTTACTGATCAGGCCATGTTGACACTGAGTCTAGTTAGTGGTCTAGAAGCAATGAGGGAATTTGGACAAATCTTGAGGTAGGCCAGCATCATTTTACAAGGCATATACGTCACTTGAGGATTTCAAATGATCTCCAAGCAAGGAATGGATATTATAGCAACAGGAGGGGACACTTCTGCTGCTGGCTTAGAAGGTTCAGGGTAAATCTTGGAGTGTAGGCCTCAAGGTCAGCCATCCGTATATCCTCATCTCAGATCTCAGGATCTCTCTCCTCCTTTATTGTGGCCCCAACATTAGCCTAGAAGACTTGCCAAGGCTGTTAATTTAGCCATCTTGTAAATCTGCTTCTCTCAAAATCAGGTCCTGGGACTGAACTTTAAAACAGTGCTGTCCTCTGACATGAGAAGATGAGGGTTGCTTTAAATGCTACTACAGAGTCCTTCTAGGCCTTTCACACATTGAACTGACTTGACATAACTGTCAACTCATCTGAAACTGAATAAACAGCACAGAACAACTACTAACCAGCTTCACAATCCTTATAATTATCATTCTGTCTATCTTGCTGAAATGCTGGAAACACTGTATAACCCAGTACATTCCTCCCATCTATAACTCAAAACAATTTCACCAGCAGTAAGAGTCTTATTCTAGCATTTCTGAAGATGTCACCAGTCCATCACACCCCACTAACCTACTTAGGTAATTATTGCCATCTGTCCAGTATACAATCCAATTGCATAATCCCATCCCAAAAGTCTGCATCCTAGAATCATTTTTCGTACATATTATCTTCATTTGGATTCCTCCAGAAGCCAACTATGAGGCAGGGATTCAATTGTAAGTAATTTATTTGGGAGGAGATCCAGGAAATACTCTTGGGAAGTGATCCAGGAAATACTCTTGGGAAGTGGGGAAGTGAGAAATGAAAGTAAAAGCAGCCAATGAAAAGTGCATTGTCAAGCAAGTTACCACTGTAGATAAGTGGGGCTTAAACCTCCTGGGAGCCAGTGGGGAACACATGACCTCAGAGTAATCTCATCTAAGGGGAGAAGGAGCTGGGTTTTTTAAACACCTAGTCCCATAAGTACTTGGTTTAAGGCTCTTCCAGGAAGTCTTAATTCTCTGACACTTCAGTGAATACAGGCAGAACAGGCTCAAGCATCCAGAAAAAGTTTCAGGCAAATAGATACATATGCTAAAATTTGAAAATGCATCCAACCTACACTATAATGTTGAGGTCTCGGGGGATATGATTGGGGCCCAACAGTGTCATAGGGTTGTGAGATTAAATAATTTAGTAAATATCAAGTAGTTATAATAATACCTGGCACATAATAAATGCTTAACATATGGTTGTTTATCATTATTATCATCATTACTATTTGGCACGTCATTCTGACAGTTATTTGAAGTGTACTTTGATGTGAGTACCTACGTGATGTCAAAAAGGGTCATATAGAAGAAAAGTCAAACATCTCATTATTGTAATGTTTTAGCATAAGAAATGATAAAGCAAAAATTGTTCATATTTTGGTCTGGGACAAAAATTGTACATGCAGTAATTTATGTTCTCCTTCTGGGGAGAAATATGCATATCTTTTTAAATGTTTAAGCAATTTTCTGACAAACTTGGAAAAGATTGAGAGCTTTAGGTAGGCAGCTCTCTCCCAGGTGACTGTCAATCAGGGGTCTAATGAGCTTGAGCTAGATACTTTTTTAAAAACTTGTATCTATTCTTACTCTCTTTTCCTATGAAATGACCCTATCAGGAAAGATTCTGTGATTTGGCTTCTTCGGAACACTTCCCTCATGGAAAACCTGAAATAAAAACTTTAACATGCATTCATCATTCATTTCTTTAAAAAGTGTTTTTTATTTTATTTATTTTTTTGAGACACAGTCTCACCCTGTTGCCCAGGCTGGAGTGCAGTGGCATGATCTCAGCTCACTGCAACCTCTGCCTCCCAGGCTCAAATGATCCTCCCACCTCAGCCTCCTGAGTAGCTGGAACTACAGGCATGCACCATCACACTGGGCTAATTTTTTGTGGTTTTTTTTTGTAGACACAGGGTTTTGCCATGTTGCCCAGGCTAGAGTTGACAATGTAGAGGTCAATATAAAACACCTCTTCTTTGCCCAGTTTCTGAGCAACGAGACATAGATGCCTTTGCTATACATGAATGTAATCGGAGAACAGATTTTAAGGCCTGCTTCTCAAATGGGCTCCTGTGCCCTGAAATGAATTTATTCCCCTCTCCAGAATCAACTGCCAGAGCCCTCTCACTTCTCTTCCCCAATTTCCTGAGACAACTTAAGCTAGTAAGGTTACCGGGATGACAGAAAGCAGGTGAAACTGCAAAATACCCATAGGCAAGAAAGTTCTTGTGGAGCAAAGAGTAGTAGAGAATGCATCTTTCTGCCAGTAGCTAGCTGACAGGGAAAGTAGCAGAGAGAGAGAGAGAAACAGAGAGACAGGGAAAGAGAGACAGGCAGAAAGAGACACAGAGAGAGACACAGACAGAGAGACAGAGACAGAGAGAGAGAGATAGAAAGAGGCAGAAACACAGAGAGGCAGAAAGACACAGAGAGATGGACAGAAAGAGACAGAGAGAGGCAGAGAGACACAGGGAGACAGATGGAGACTGAGACAGAGTGACAGAGACAGAGATGAGGGAGAGAAAGAAAAATTGACCTGAATGAGCTCCCAAACTTTCAAATCAGATAAAATATCTTCCTTCTCTGGGAAAGAATGAGAGAAAGGCAAGGACAAGCCACCTCTGGTGAAGAATTCTGGAACATATTAAGCATCAGGAGGTAGGGAGAAGTGAGGGAGACATGTGAGCCCACACATAGGAAGACATGTTGCCCACTCATAGAAAGATAAACTTGTCTTTCTTTAAAGAAACATCTTTAAATAGTAACTGGCTTTGCAAATCAAATGTTAATAAACAAACCATAGTTTAGTGGTTCACTAGATATCAATACATCTAAAGGACTAACGCATGCTGCTTTTCTGTAATAATAGGCCAGAATCAACAGCTGAGTACAGCATGCTGGGGAGTACATCAAGCACTGCTGGAACACACAGGAACACTTTCAGGATGCTAGGATATGACTTAGTAAAGGTATATTTGTTATCTTGCAGAAGCACTGAGAGAAACTGGCTTCAATGAGAAAGAGTTTTAAAACCAAATAGCAAATAGAGACTATGCTATTAATTGAGTCACAATAATATTCCTAGCATACATCGTGCATGACGGAATTTTTTTCTACCTGCTGAGCTCATTCTCCCTTTTTGTAGGGTTTGGTGGTTTGGCCAGACAGTTGATTTTCTAAGACACATCTGGCTATGTCATTAAGTTATTCCTGAATCTTTTGGCTATTGCCAAAGTGGTCTGCTGGTTAAAAAAAAAATCAGAGTGCCATCTTGGGAAGTATTACTCTTGCAGACTGTTGTTTATAGTCCAACTCAGTTATCCAGACAAAACTATTTTTTAACATTATACATAAAATCCTTTAAGAGAAAATGCAGTTAAGAGTTTATGTCTTTAGTTATATTTCAGGTTAGTCACCACAATGTCCATTTCCTGTCTTGACAGCATTTTCTTTTACTTAGTTTCTTCCTTATTTACAATACACTGATTAGGGGCATCAAAATGCTTTTAAGTGGATGGTGGGGAGATTCCTTCCAACAGATTTTTAACCTTTGGAGAAATAGAAAATATACATTAAGAGCCTCTTCCTTAAAATTCTTAATCGAAATGGGATATAAGTAGAAACCCTAGTTTATTTCATTTTCCTGTTCATTTTATCCTTTTGCTGAGCTTAGATTTTTGTGGGTGTTCAAGTTAAGAGAAAGTATTTATGGTATATGACTCATCTCCAGGTAGCTGACAGAAAATGTTGAAACACTGTACTTTTATTCTCACTCTAAATATATAACCCCCTTATTGGTGCAATTTTATCGTGCTCAAAGTACTTTAATAAGCAACTACATACCAATCTTTCACAAACTTAAAAGCTAATTTTTTTAACATCACCTATTTGCCACTCTTCTAAAGACTTATATATACTGATTGATTTCATCATACTCAAAACTTTATAAAATGAATTTGATTATTTTCATTGTACAGATGTAGAACTGAGGCCCAAACAGTTTACATGACTTGTTCAAGAGAGAGGTGGCACTGAGATAACTATCAGGCAGTTTTGACTCAGACCCTGCATTCCTCCCCCAATAAATTATACTGCCTCAGTGTATACTTTTCTTGTTCACATCTGAGAGGAAGCTAGACAAACATCCTGACAGATTAGGGAAGGAAGAAACATTTCCTTCCTAGCCCGCAATTTCCAGTCTCTTCTTTAGTAGCTGCATGAAGGTCAGATGACCAGTGTGTTGTCAGCAGCCTTGAAGTGTTTCTTCTCATTTCCTAAGGGGACACGAAGAAGGTCAGGGTTTTTAAAGGCTGCAGTTGCAACTTAGAGAGCGATCCCCGACAAACAGTCTACCCAAGAAAACAAGGAAGCAAACAAAATGAGAACAAAAACTTCGGTCTTACTTCAACCAATGGTGCTTCTAGTTACTGCATTTTCTTCATTTGAAATTCAGGGGCATGTTCATAAACCACATAAGGGTTAAAAATGGAAAATAAAATGAAATCAAGAGAAAGGGAATTCCCAACAAATTAGCCACCATTTCTATTGCCACCAGCACCACTCACCTAAATCATTGCAATATTTTTTCTTAATTTGCTTTTACCCTTGTTCTTTCTCAGATAATATCAGTTCTTGCTGTAATAGCTTCCCATTGCAGCCTAAGATCCCCAAATCTCTTCAAGACCCTTCAAGTTCAGGCTTCTAGTTATTTCTCCAGTCTCATTCTCCTCCTATTAACTACTTGTCAGCCTCATTGAGCCTCTCGTAGTTTTCTGAATACATGTTTCGATATTATTGAGGATCTTTGCACTTGCTGTTTTCTTTTCCTTGAACTCACATGTAAAACTTCTGTAATCCTCCAGGTCTAAAATGTCACTTTCTTAAGCCTTTCCTCATTTTTCACTGCTAATGAAATATTGTGGTCTATTCTTTCCTAATAACTCTTTCTATTCTTCTTTGAAGTTATTACAATTTGTTATACTATTCTTATTTGTGTCATCGTTCGTTTGAATCTGTCTGTTCACTCACTAGCATCTAACCCACTGAATACCCAGCCCACACATCACAGTGTCTGTCACATAGTAACCACCACCAGGTGGCGCCAAAGCACAGCAGGGATGAGGGTGGATTTGGATCACAAGACAGACCCTGGAGCTCTGGCTCATCAGTTATTTAATTGACTTGACAATATTCCACATGCATTTTAAAGATTCGAATATTGAACTCATCTTCATTTTAAACTTAAAAGCTGTTTGACTCCTCACCCCCAAAATGTTTTACAGTGAGGGTTTATGGTATTGTGTTCTGACCCTACACTCTAAAAAGAAGTTGAGAGTTAAGAGAATTAGAATATATATTTTGATGAACTAGCCATATCTTGGTTCTAAAGACCACAATTCAAAAATCATAAAGATACAGAATTCATCTCAAAATAAAAGACTATTCTAATCATGAGTGTTACAGTGAAACCTACTTTGGGTAGAATAACTGAATTCCTATCACTTGAGGCCACATGCTCTGCTGACCAGATATTGTTAAAGACATTCAAGCTTCTAGAAGCAGTTTGAACTAGATAACCATAGAGACCTCCAATCCTAATATTCAGTGCTTCTGAAGCACAGTTTAAATATTTTAAAATATGTAAAAGAATTTTAAGAATACTAGTTTAGGAACAACTTGTATTTTCATGGGAAGTAATTCACTTTATAGACATACCATACTGTCCAAAACTTCTTGGATATTGGAATCAGACTGATCTGAATTAAAACCAAATTCTGCTACTTTCTAGCTATGTGTCCTTAGACAAACTATTTTACTTCAATTTTTTCCTCCGTAAAATGGGATGAGGCTAATTTACTGAGTTATCACTAAGCCTTCCTCAGGCAAAGACAACTAGTTATATTTACTTTTTAAAAAATATTCTATTCTGCTATAAGTATATAAAAATTAAAAACCAACAAATGGTCTATTAGCAACAAACATCATTAACAAAATCTCAGATGTTTTCTTTTGCCTATTCCAAAAACAATGATTATTTATGAGTCACTTTTAAGTGGCAAACAATGTAGGGAGATTTAAGTTAAAAAGATTTTTTAGTTATTAAATCTATTTTAAAAATAGAAATAGTTTGGAAACTATTTTCTCCTGTTCCAGTATGGGCTGGGCACAAATGCTCTTTTCTTTTAGTTTCCATACTCTGGATAATTAGGAAACAAGAGGACTTAGTGCAAAAGAACATAGAAAAAAAAATTTCTGCATCAACAGGAGTGCTGGAGAGGCAAAAGGACCTTTACTTTTATTAGCTTCAGAAGCTTAGTGGAATCAAAAAGGTCACCCATCACTCATAAAGTGAGAAGTAATATTGAAAAGCTGAGAGACAGGTTACAGAGGCTTTGATAATAAACCAGCCTAAAGCCAGAGCTACCTAGGCTTAAGCCCTGAAAATGACTGTGGCACTAATATAAGCTTCAGGGGGGTTTATTCCAAAATTCTGGCCATGTTTTATATAAAGTACTAGTTAGAATAATATGAAATGTATTTCTTTTTTTTTCCTAAAACTAATCTGCAAATGTGGCAGAGAACTGGACTCAGAGGGCAGAGAGTTGGATTATCATCCTGACCTAGTTTTTCACTTGTGCTGTGAGAGACACTGAGTCTCACTATAAGTCACTAAAAGCTGGGCCTCAAATTTCCATATCTGTGAAATTTGCAGGTTGAGGCAAATCATCTCTCAACCCTCAAGTTCCACTCAGCTCCTAAGGCTTCTCATTCAGTGTCTAAAAATTTATTCAGTAGGTCAGTAAGTCAATCAGTATTTCATCAAAAACTTCATTGATCACCTTATGTTGGACACAAAGATTCAATTTATTCAACAACAAATACTGAATGAGCCATGACTATGTACCAGGCCCTGTTCTTAGCCCCAGGATACAGCATTGTAAAAAAGAGACAGAAATTTCTGCAATCCTGTGGCTTATCTTCTAAAGGTGAAACAGGTAAGAGAAAGGCAAATAAATAAAATACATCCATTAGTGAGTAGTTAGTGTTATGGATAAGGCCAGTAGGAAGTATCAGGGGTTGAAATTTTGGGTTTCACTGGGAAAGAGACTTTAGATTAAATGCAGAAAGGAGATGAGGAAGCAAGCTATGTGAATATCTCGTGGAATAGTGTTTCAGGGGGAGAAAACAGAACAAATATGTCCCTAGCAGGTCCAAGGATCAGCATGGAAGCCAGTATAGATGAAACAGAGTGCTTTGGGGACAGAGTAGCAGGAGAGGTGTTTTCTTCCATTCAGACTCTGGAAGGAAAAGTGGACAATCACATAGGATAATTGAGAATTTGATGAATGGAGTATTTATAAATGTGAATGGAGGTAAGGGAAGCAAACAAGAGACAATGAAGGCCCTAGGGAGGTCTAGGCTTCCAATGGAGTAGAGAGAGGGATGGCCAAAGCATGGAGGGAGCTTTTACTATAGATGTAGAGGAGACTAATACAGAACACAGTTCCCACAAATATGAGGCCTGGAAAGGAGAGATCTAGGGGAATAAATATCCCTACCTCTCTTGTCTCCTACTCTTCCCTCTTCTGAAAGTGCTCCCCATTGTTGAAATCATATTGGAGCTGAGAAGGGAACCTGCTGATGTGCTCACATAGTGGAGGCTCTTTAGGCACAGATCAGGGTGGAGAAGGGTGGAGAGTGAATCGAAAGAGCAAAAATACATAGTAGCGCATGAGCTCAGAGAGGTAAAAGGATCCAGATTATGTAGTACCTAATAAAGCATAGTCAGGAAGTAAGGACTGTTTTTTTCTTAAAATAATATCAGTTCCACAGAAAAGTTAAAACAGCAGTATAAAAACTTCTACATTCCCTCCATGTTAACGTTTTCCACATTTACTTCGTTACCCCTCTCTATGTCTCTAGCTGGCTAGATACAGATTTGGGAATTTTCGATATCCTGTAACAGGAGATTAAGTAAAGCATCTGGGCAAAGATGCAGGTCAACAGGTAGATATGGCAATAACTTGTTAAAATTTATTTCCGATTGAAGAGAAAGTATGAACTAATCATTCAGTATAGTGGCTGAGTAAATGGACTCAAGGAATATAGTCTGATTACCAGGCAACTCCAAGGCAATTCCAAGCTGAGGTTAGTGATCACGTGTTTGAAGTGAGACAAGTTAGCATAGTTGTGTATTTTTCCTTAGTCACTTTTGGCTTCATAGAGTTGAAATTAACCGGCTAGTGGTAAAATCAAATGAGAGACTTGAAGGACAATAGATAAAGGAGGCGAGGGCATTTGCTGGGAAATGGGTTTGACTGACGGTGACATTTAAGCTGGGAGAGGAGAGATGCATAAATGACAGGATCAGGGATTTGAAAATTTTGAGGATATTGTAGGATTGATGTTGTGGGGTTACTAGGAGCGAGCTGGAGAGATATGAGTTCAGAGAGTAGCATCTTTGAAATTGGGATTTTGGAGGGATTGTAATTATTTATAGTGACTAGGTGAAGGGGATGACTAAAGGATGTAAGTAACATGGCGGGGGAAGATATCAAGGATTAAGAAGGCAGAGTATTAGATAGATCATTTATGTTGCATATGAATGTTACTAAGGAGTTGAGGTGGAGATTGACAGTGGCAAGGAAACATGCAGGGAATGAAAGACAATGTCCCAGCAGTGGTAGATAATGGCAATAAGAAAAGCCAGGAGAAGTATAGCCTGATAACATAAAATACAAAATGACATTTTTAGAGATAGAGGGATAATGGCATGGAAGCAGCAATGAGGACCAAGGAGGTCACTGATTCCCATCTCCAGGCCAGTGGAATGGCAGGAGTGGGAGAGAAAACAGCCATTATTTAGAGAGCAGCAGAGGAAGGAGTGTCCTTAACTGAGGTTCAGATATTACTAGAGCAAAAAAGTGAGGAAAATGCTCAGAGAAATGGATGAGGACACAGGGGATTTTGTTAGAAAATACTTTGAGTACTAGAAAGCACATGAAAGTCTTTCAAAAGCCAGGGAGGCTTTTCATTTCAAAAGGCATGGAGGCATAAAAGACGGGGTCAGAAAAGGCAACAGACAACCCACTAGAGATTAGTGGTGAATGAGAGATGACTTGAAGTCTTCCTTTCTTGTGGCAGTTTACACCTACAAGAATGAGAATGGGATATTAGGTCCAATGTTCCTAGGGCAGATAGTGGTGAGAGGCTGTGAGTGTTGAGAGGGTTGCATAGGGCTCTCCTTAGCCCCATGCAGAGTTAGAGGCCTCACTTAACTCCTGTTGCTGGAGGTGTACAATCCCACAGTGGCACAGTCTTCCTGGGAGCTCAGAGACACTCCCTGCCTGTAGAGGGGTGATGCTATCCTTTGCTCATGGTCTCTTATTTACTCCTGCTGACAGCGGTAAAGAGGACACGTTTAATCATATGAATGTCCTCCTTTGCAGTATATATATGTGAGTGTGTGATAAAATAGGAGGCCTCTTTGACAACATTTTAAGAAATTAAACTACAATAGTAAAAGTGACAGGGACACCTTCCTGGAGAACAGTCCTCATTTTTGGTGCCTCTCACATGGTATGGAAAATAATGATGAAAAGTCTCACCTGGGCACCTAGAGGAATGTGGCCATCAAACATTCCACTTCCAATTTCTGTTCATAAGGACTCCTGTCTCTTCTCAGCCTGGATCAATAAGAATTGAGTTCCCCATGAGCAGACAGAATGTGAACATCTGAACTTGAAAGCGTTGCCTATTCTTTATATATACATGGTGGTCCCTTGCATTGTAACATTTCCAAATATGTGTGGGGAAAGTGGAGATCTAAGTCCCTCACACAAAACCTGTTAGGAAGACCCAAGGGCAGGTTAGAGATAAGGGCTCCAGCAGCAAATCTCCTCTTTGTTTATTGTAATGCTGTAACAGGTGTAACTAGGGAAAATATGCTGGATTAATAGTGACATTTTTCCCCATCCTGAACCTTCTTAAAAGAGTGAATCCTGAAATTCTTTTTGTGGAGCAAGATGATGGGTGGATTTTCCTATCATCTTGGGCATGATGGGGATACATCATGCTACATACAAAAGGGAAAGAGAAACACTGAGGGGAAGATGCAGATCTCACAGACAAAGAGGAACTATAGGTGAAAGGGGATGGTAAAAGGTCTGGAAAAGAAGACAAAGAAGAGAGACATTGAAAGAAAGCCGTAAATACTTTGACAGTGGTCTTTAAGAGGAAGTTTACAGAAATAGGGAAGATGGCAAAGGACTGTTGAGAACTTCATTCTGAGCTATGAGATGCTGGTTTCCTCCTCTGTTCCCTAAACGAATTCCAATAATATTCTACCTTGGATTCGTTATTTTGCTATTGTTGCTGCGACTCCATTATTGATAATTATGATCACATATGAGACTGGATTCCATCTGGGTACCACGTGAAAGCAGGCCTGCCCAAAGGAGGCTCAGGTACAAGCCTTTCTCCCTTATTTTTATGGTGGTTCCACATTTTTTGTAGGCAAACCATAGCTAACTCAGATGTGAAGCCTAACTAGTATGTGAACTTTACTATGATAGCAATACAGTTAGTACTCCTGAATTTCCTGCTATATTAATTTCACAACCAGAGAAATGAAATAAAATTGGAACAACAGGTTTTCTCACCTAGTGACAAGCAGTTCAGTTCTGTATAGGTCTAACCTGAACCTTCTGTCTCTTTCCTCCCAGCATTACAGAATTCAGCCCAGTAGGGAAGCACCTGGGCTGCGACCCTGCACTGCTCAGTGTGAAAGCAGGCTTCATCACTGAGCAACCGTGGGTTATTAGTGAAAATGTCTATGTTCAGACTCTTCACCTGGAAAAATTGGGTTAATTACAGTACCTGCCAAAGCATGTAAACTCCTTATCAAAGCATCTGACACAAATCCCTTAAAAAATGTTAGCTTGTATTGAAGTGCAATAATTCCTGACTTTAGAACATTCAAATCCCTACTTCCTGTTAGGCAATGTCAAAATTCATTCTGTAACCTATAGTTACTTTTCAAAATCCAAAGATACTTTTAAACACATGGATGGCAAAAGAACACATATTGATGACTGAAGGCTCTTTTGGATCCATGTTTGCTTGTTTGGTTTGTTTCTCGGAAAGAAACTTAACATCCATTTAAAACCATTCTTTGCTAAAGGTGAATCTTTAAAGGATGTATACAAATCAGAAAATTGTATTGGCTAATGTAAATAGATTATGACTTTCCTTTTTTCCTGTCTCTTCCCCTCCCCACAACTATAATTCTTAACTCCTCTTGTCATACTTTATCCCCAACTTTGTCTTCATGATTTATTTTGGTTTTAAAATTACATATGGTATTATAGTCACAACAAAACTTAAAAAACCTGATTTTCCTTTTTGGGGGGAAGGCAGGTCTGGTGCCATTCACAAATAACTTATCTATTGCTCTATTGCTGATGTAGTCTTTCAATGTTGGTTTCCAAGTAACTTCGTTCATAATCGGCCTAGCAAAACATATATTCATCCAGGAAAACTTATGGTTGCTACCAAAATTATTATTATCTTAAACTGATTTAACTCTCCTTCCTTATATTTTATGTTATAATGTCTAGTTTAATTTTATGTTGTTTATTGTGCTATTTTTCTGAAACATAATTAATGCTTGTTATTTGCACCTGATACTGTTTCACTGCTTTTGTTTCCACTGTCCTCTCTCTTTAATATTCTCTGTGATCATTGTAGACTTGCATTTTCATCTCCTATAAATTCATTCTTTTTGAATCTCTTATTTTTTCTAGCTAATTTTACAATATTCACACTGCTTAAACACTTTTCAAACTTTAATAAATTTTGAAAAACGTATAAATAAGTTCTTGATATATAGCTTATTACCTAGTACTTATCCATGTCAGCATTTGTAGACTAAGGGGTTGGTGTTTGCTTAATCACTTGTGATTGTGCACTTGTCATTAGGAACAATCATCCAAAAACCTCATCTAGCTGAATCGGAAGTAAAGAGCCTATTTTTTCATGTGTATCATCAATTAATAAATCAATGAAAAAGCGGAAAGGCAGATGGATATGTGGATACATGGAGAAAGAGAAAGAGATGACAGAACCATGAATGCTGCTGTATTATTTGGATTACCAGAATCTCTATGAAATATTTCCTGGCAAAACGTTGCAAGACTACATCTTAAATTTCAAAACAAATGCACCCTGCTGCAGCCTATTAATTCACTGTAACCCTCTCAGTGGTTCATCTAGATGACTGCTCAGCTTCTCTGGTTTCTGCAAAAATCTTTCATTTGGAACAAAACCTAATTGATCTGAACTACTTAGCTTTTTTGCTGATCTGCTATGATCAAATAATTTACACCTAAAAGGCAAGAAAATGGATATTCTCACTCACACTGTTAAAGTAGGATTAGTTTCATTAACAAGTAAGGTCAAGCTCAGAATGGCTCAGCTTAATGGACATTTATTTTCCATTACCTTTAGCAATTTGGCTGGGTCAGTGAAAGGGTGTGGTTGTTCATGAACCCAAAAAGGTGGAGATTGTCATTTCTACATTTGTCTCTCATGGTCACATCTTTAATGATTTTGTTTTATGGCAGTTAAAAGGATGGCGGTGAGATAAACAGAGAAAGGCTTAGTAGAGTTAGTCATTTTTAGAACCAACTTACTGGAATGGTTTCCAATGTTAAACGGTTAGAAATTCTGTTCAGAGATTACATTTCTAACCTTGGAAAAACATTTTAGAGGGTTCCCTAATTGCTTTGGTATACTATTTTATAAGTCCTTACATCAAAGTGCCTTGTATTCTTTTCCATTTATTTTGCTAAGTGACATTTCTGGCACTAAGGCACAATTTCAGTAAGTGCCTTGCTCTCTAAAATAGGCTGTATTTCTTTTAATAATCTAAAGTGGTAGCAAAGAACAACAAAAGAGAAGGAGCACTAAAAATGTCATGATTATAGCATGAGTATCTCCAAGCTATAAAAGATGTATAATTGATCCAATTTGCATCTGAAAATTGAGTTTGGGGGTTGGCTGGGCATTCAACTGTGCAATCTATGGACACTTACTCTGCAGAGATATTTCAATATTGTACAAGATTAAGCAAGGACCATATATCTCACCACAGCTGTCAAAGTTTTATCTTAGGCTTGTGTACATGTTCTTTTCTAATTGCATTTCTTATCCTGTACAATCCCATCTACATGTTCATGGCTTTAAGCCCCTATACCCTTCAATGAAGATCACATTACTTCAGCCCAGACCTCTTCTGAATGCCAGAGCTGAAATTACATATACCTATTTGGCATGTTTCATCTGATATCACAAAATAACTTTGGACTCATCAGGCTAAAATTGAACTCATAGTGTTTTTCCCAAACCTGTCTCCCAATAAGTGGACTATTATCCATCAGAATACACAAGCCATAAACCTACAAAACACCTATTATTCTTTCACTCTTAACACTGACACACCTCTAATGTTAGGAAATCCTATTGATTTGGCTACCTTAGAAAATCCTGTTGATTTTCAGTATGTCTCTTTCATTCATACATCTCTGCCACCACTCTTGTCACAATGAAGACATGGATATTGCCTCCTGCCACAAGACCAAAACCCTCAGAGTGGCCAGTAATGGCCTGCACAGACTGAACCTGGACTACATCTGAACCTTAACTCACTCTGTTTGCCTCCCACTTTTGGCCTTACTGAGCTATTTTCAGTTCCCCCAGTATACAAGCTCCCTTTGGTTTTGGGGCATTTGTGCATTCTTCCCTATTAGAAGATTCTTTCTCCCTCTCTTTATCTGGTTTATCTCTCTTCATCATTTAGCTGTCATGTCAAATATCCTTTCCTTGAGAATTACCTGGTCAGATCCTCTCCGCATCTCACACAGCCTTACAATCTCCCTCATAGAACTTATTGTAATATAGTTTGTAACCTTGAGGGATTGTATCCTCTCTGCTTTATTTATCACTGTAGCCTCCATGCTTGGAGAGTGTCTGCCACCCAGTTGGTACTTAATAAGTATTTGCTTAGTTAATGAATGTGTGAACATCCCTGGCAAATGCAATATAACTTTGGTCTTCTTGTATTCCTGTCGGTCTTCTAGCACAGCACCTGTGATGCCTCAGTCAAAAGGAGAAGGCTGTCAATATAAGTAATAATAAACTACATCTAAATAATATTTTAAGATGCAATTTTATAAACATATCTTTATTTTCACAGTAAGTTTGGTAATTGTTCTTATTTATAAAGATAAGAACACTGACAATCTGGAAGTTTGAGATTTGCTAAGGATTTGAAAACTCATAAATTGTAGCATTGGCTCTAAAGATTAGACCTTTGACTCCTTCTACAAGGTTATTTCTTCTACAGTATGCTGTTTTCTGAGTCAGCTCTCTAACAGTGCAGAGACCAGTGGTTGACTCCTTATTCTCATGTTCTCTCACTCATTCTGGTTAGGCAGCATCAGCAGTCTTGACCATCTCCCTTCTAGCTCCCATCTGCTCTCTTCTCCACTTCCTGCTTCAGCCACCTCTAGGAAAACTATTCCTACTCCTAATGTCAGTGTGTACCTGTGAAACATTTTAGACAATCACCTCTTTCCTGCTTGGAATTGTTTAGCTAATTATCCTTCCACACATCACCAATTTCAGCTGCATATACGTAAGAGGTATGCAATCAATTTCTTTGAGCAACATATTTTAGGAGTTACTTAAAGTGCAGTTTCAACTGAGATGAGTAACTAGTTAATGCCACTTGGAGCCATAGAAGAGTTTAATATTCTTGCTCATGATGTAATGAAAATAAGTTTTGAATAAATTGAAAAATAATAACTACCATGAATTAAGTCCTCCTATACATAGCCATATTATATGCACTAATTATATAATTTTTAGTAACCCTAAATATTACACTTTACAGATGAGGATACAGATATAGAAGAGTTATATTACTAAATTACCAAATTAGATAATATTAGATCAAGCTTTATCCCAGTATTTAAAGGACTATCTAATGCCAGTAATCAGACAATGCCAGACAAATATGCATAATAAGAACTCATTTAATATCTAACAATGGGAACAATAGGTAATAATAGAAAGTGAAAACAAATTATAAAAATGATGGCATGAGAAATGACCCCAATGAAAAGAGATTTAAAAAATAATATTTTTACTATTTTTTCTTATTTCAGTAACATTGTAGATAATTTATAAATTGCAGATAATAAAAACAAATCACAATGGTACAATTCAGAGATTATATGGTTGACAGGTTAATATGTCTTTCTACACACTTTTCACATTTGTTTCCTGACATTTTAACATTGTTAATATTTTTTCTTTCCTTGTTGCCGAATTTAACTCAGCACTAGACCTACTAGGCATTTTGGGGACTGGTGCTTGTTGTGGAGAAAAGCTTCAGAGAGTGCTGAATTGTCATCCATCAGCCACTATGCACTGCTGCCCCTCTGGGTTTCATTACTTTGAGACTTGCTCTGATGCAAAAGATTTTGCGGAGGTTTTGCATCTTCTGTCTCCTTCAGTTGCTCTGGGATTTTGATCTAATTTGAAATGTCTCAATATATGTATATGTTTTCTTCCTTAGGCAAGCATGATCAGGAGTCACAGCTTTCTTAAGGTCTTTTTCCTACCAGGCTTTCTGTCAGCTTTCTTGATTCTAAACAATCCATTGCAATTATTTTCAACCTTGCATTCCTTGGTGATAGCAACAGTGCAGATGAAGTTTCTCCTCAGGGTGACAGGCCTGGCATAGGATGCCTCCAGAATTGGAGGGGCTTCAAAGCAGCTTGGTATGAAGGTCATCTAATAAGCAGTGATCTGTCTGCCATTGGGACTCAGATTTACTGATCCTTTCTTTAGGTCCAGCCAAACATACTGTATTTGTCCTTAACTTGTGTTTTGCCTCCGCATATCAAGGGACATTAAACTTAGCCTGTTTGCCTAATTTTTCTGTGTTAACCTATACACAGGATGGATCTCAGCATAAGCTGCTTCCAAAGTACTTTCTGTAGAGAGATGGAAAAAGACTCCAATACATGGTATTCCAGTTCATATGCAGCCTCTGTGGATGGCTCAATTTCCCACCCCAGCCCACTTGAGGCCCCAGCATTACGAAGGGAGCATCAAGAAATGCCACTCACAGAGACACAGTCTTTTCTGCCCATGTCTGCCCATCATAACAAAGTATTTCTAGCATGCACCATCTCAGTGGTGTCTTCTTAAGCCAAGGTGGCCCCAAAAGTTGTATGACTAAGTTTATCTCATTTATTTTTCTTGCAGTTGTAACATAGGTATGTATAATCCAGATATTTATCTATAACGAAGTATCTGGAGGGTTCCTTTATATATAATCCAGATACTTATCTATAACAAAATATATGGAGGGTTCTTTTAACTCATGATTTTAGGAAAGATAACCATATCAAAGTTCTTATGCAATTAACTTAGCACAAATGCCTAAGTTATACTAATTGTATATAGTAGATTTCTAGTATAAAATTTGCATTCTTCTAGAATAAAGAAGACATCATTCTATTTACCAGATCTACTAAAGCCAGAATTTAGTTAAAACACTAAGCTATTGCCTCAAGAATTCCTTTTGTTCAATTCTGGGAGGAGCTCCTCCTCTGTAATCAACCAGATTAGCATGGACCTCTATGTTTCTACCAACTCTCCTTGTCCCAACAGAACTTCTGTTCTGTTGAAGAATGACTGTCACTGGTGTTACTATTTTTAGATAATCAATTTTTACAGCTGAAGTTCATCATATACATATATTATCTATTAATTGTGTCTTACAGAGATTGTCTTTCTCCATCGTCTACTTCACAAATATCACCTGTTACTAATAGGAAGAATTGTCCTTCTTTCATTTGTTGCCCATGAACTTGCCTATGCTTTTTGACTATCCAAATCTACCACCAAGGGTTTTTATGAGGATGAAATGTATGTATGCATATATAATACAATGTAATGTTTGGCACAAATGGATGATTGTTTTTGTTGCCTCTCCATGCCCTGCAAAGGAATCCATAGCCTTTGAAATCACATGTGTTATTACTACTAGGATCCAAGGTCTCCTGCAAATTTCAAGACAAAACAACCCCTAGATTAAGAGATGCCCACCAAAATCTCTAAGTCTTTCTGCAGGAACTAGAACATCTGTAGTTTTCATGACTGCAGTAGATACTGTCAAGCATGCAGAAGGCTCTGTGAAGGCATAAATCTTCTTGTATTTTCAAATGCTGTATCACAAGAGAAATAAAGGTTTCCAGTTTCGACCTAGAAAGAAGCCATCATCCTATTCATCAGATCTACTAAAGTCATTAGTTTAATAATACTTTAATTTTATCTTTATATTTCACATTATATTCCATATTTTGTCTTTTACATTTCACATTATTTCATTCAGTGTTACCACAAAGATTTTGTGATAAAGGGAATAGATATTATGTAAAATGTAGTATAAACTAAAGTTCATTATTTAGATTATGTCCTTCAGAGAAGATTAATTGTTCAACAGGTTAAAGCAGTGACCTAGAGTCTAGTTTCTCTAGACAGGGCTGATCTAAGCAGCACAGTGTCTGTTGTCTTCAAGCTGTGCCAATTTGCAAGATTTTAATCTTAACCACAGTACCACTTCTTATTAGCAGTGCGATCCTGGGCAATGTACTCATTATCGGTTTTCTAGTTGGTGAAATGGGAATGATAATATTACTTACCTCATTAGCTTGCTGTAAGGACTGAACAAGATTATCTATGACAAACATTCAAGACATTGCCTTATACATAATGAGAGTTCAATAAATGTGAGAAATTATAATTGACTTAGTATATAAAATGTGTGTTTATTTGTTCATTTTGATGCTTTTGCTGTTATTTTTTATGCCGATTTCCATATTCTTTTACCTAATTTTTTAAAAAAATGTATTTGAAAAATGACTACTTTTAAAATATGAGTTAAGAAGGGATGGAAAAAGCGCTGTTCCCATGAAGCTATGATATCTGGATCCAGCAGATATCTCTATTGATATAGTGTTACATGGTTAGCAATTCAGTTCCCATTTTCAAACAGTTGGAAAAATCTAATTAAAGATATTGAAAAAAATAGTGAAAGAGATTTGGGGAAGATTTTTGCAGACAGCTCCCATAATGGTACCATGCCACTAGGTCCATTCTCTTATAATTTCTTCTTCTCCTGTACCCCAGAGGCCCTTGAGAAAGATCAAGGTATGGAAGTTGTGCTATAGCTCTGGAGATACAGGGAATGGCCAGGCTTGATGACAAGGAGAATGGGTGGAATACATGTGGATTATGCTCAGGAGGCATTGACTCTTTATGGACAGTTCTGGGATTCTACTGCACATTTTACCATCAGTTTTCAACTCTCTTCTGAATGAAAGAGCAAATGAAACAGAAATATGCTGATATGTGCATTTGGAGTCAAGAGACAAGAACCCACATTTGTCACAGGGGATGTGACAAAAATCAGTAATAGAGGAAAAACAATTGAGTTTTCAAATGCGTTAGCAGTGAGGGTAGATGAAAAAATATCTAAAAAATACTTAGCATGGCCTTTTAAATATAAATCATCAACAAGCAGCATACCTGATAGAGGATCACATATTGAAGTCAAATAATAAAAAAGAACATTTAGCCTCTTACTAAAGAAATAAGTCAACCTTGCTTTAAGAGTCCTTCAAATGTTCAAGTCATGGGTACCAGTCTTGAGTATGTAATACTACTATTGATTGTCTGTTTGGTGGCTTGAGAATGGCTTACAAACCAAAGGTTACCTCACAAGAGACACCTTGGTTTCTAAAAAGGCTTAGGTTCTACCTTCCGAAATGATTATCTGAGAAAAAGGAAAAGATCCTACCACTGAAACAAAACAGATTATGTAATGCAGATGACTGTTAAAGGAAACAAACTGGAAGTGAGATAGAGAAAATGCTTTTTAATCATATTAAAGTTATTAGTGTTTGGAAGTATGAAGGTACATTATTCTCTTTAGCATAGGTATATCCACCTAGAATGAGGAATAAGCAAGTGTATGCCCGGCAATAAAGTGAAAAACATCATCTTTAATAAAATGTTTTTGGCCAGCTTTAAAGCTCAATATTTGAAATGCAATGAAGGAGGAATTTAAATGCTATTAATATGCATAAATATACATTGAAGACATTCATCAAAATTCCAGTAGGAGACATATGTTTCTAAAATCAGTATTGCCAATATGGTCTCTGAAATTTATTCTCAAACATCTATCTGCATGCTTGAGCATACTCATCTAGATTGGGAAATAGAGCAGTTTTATAAAATAAAAAATGCTGTGCAAAGATATTTCTCACTTTTAATGACCTATTTTAAAGCAATTACATGGCTATACCTATTTTTCTTACTAGCATGCAAAAATGAGCACAAGCTTATATTTTAAAATGATCTTATGCCTTGTCATGAAGAAAAGGATTTAACATTCACATGGAGTGATTCTTAGAGATACTGTCCATTATCTTTTAAACGAAACCTTTACCTGCAAAATTCTGTAGTCCCAAAGATAGAACATAAAGAGAAGATTAAATAGGCCACTCCTTTCTATTAGAAAGGTTTTTCTCTCGGTATTTCACTAAGAACATGTGTATGTCTGTGTCTGAGTGTTGCGAATACATTAGAAACACTTCTCAAACACATACATAACTGCAAAGAAGATGTTATTTTTACACATTTTAGGCACAAAATGTTAATGTCTTATCTGATATACTCTGAAATATGACCTTTATAACTCCATTTAATGTGATATTGTTATGTTTAACTGTGTTTTAACATTGAGGCTCTCACATGGTCTTTGAAAGGAAGTATGACCCATTTAAGAAAGAAAAATTCTTGGACCAAAGATTAAACTATGGAATGGTAAGAGGCTGGGGAATGATAGGAAAGAGGTGTTAGCAATAGTCCATAAGGAGCACATAGTCAAATACTGTTTGAGAGACAAACTCTTCTCTTGAAAATGGAAAATTAATCCCTTCTGGATGGCAAAAGGTTATCACAGATACTAGAAAAACATAGGGGACAATATAGACTCTATCTCTGATAATGTTTCCAAACTACATGAAGTGGAAATCTGTATAAAAAGAGAAACAGGGCTAATAGTGAAATGGCAAGTTGAGTATGAATGCCTATGTCTATAAAATAACACTTAATGAAAAACTTACATAAGAACAAAGATTACCAGGGTTTTGATACGTGATAAAGTTAGTTGCCCTGGTGCTATGAATTTCCTAACACAAAATTGAGATAAATTTACAGGATATTGTTCTATTCAAGTTCAAAAGAACTAGAAGTGGGATTTTATGGCTTTGATTTGCATTTCCCTAAATACTAATAATGTTGGAGCATTTTTTTCATATGCATGTTAGCCATTTGTATATCTTATTTGCAGAATTGTCTATTTAATTGCTTTGCCCATTTTCTAATTAGGTTATTTGCTTATTATCTCTTGCTCAGTTTTAAGAGTTCTTTATGTTAGGGGTTAAATAGCAAATGTTGGTGACAACATGGAGAAATTGGAACCCTCATATATTATTGATAGGAATCTATAATGGGGCTGCCTCTATGAAAAGCATTTTGGCAGTTCCTCAAAAAGTTAAACACAGTTATATAATGTAGCAATTCCACTCTTAGGTATATACTCAAAATGATTAAAAACATGTTCACATAAAAATTGCACATCATTCATAATAGCCCCCAAAGTAGAATCACTCTAAATGCCCCTGAATGCATTCATACATAAATAAAATGTTGTAGTTCATACAATGAAATATTATTCAAAAATACAAAAGAAGTACTGATTCATGCTATGATGTGGATGAACTTTGAGAAAGTTATGCTAAGTGAAAGAAGTCAGGCACAAAACGCCACACATTGTATGATTGCATTCATATGAAATGCCCAGAATAGGCAAATACATAAAGAGAAAAAGTAGATTAGTGGTTATGAGCAGATGGAGGCATTAGGAGTGACTGCTAATAGGTACAAAGTTTTTCTGGAAGGGTCATGGAAATGTTCTGGAATTAGATAGTGATGATTGCACAACATGGTAAATATACTAAAACCCACCGAATTGTACACATTAAATGGTGTCTTTATCTTTTATGAATTGTATCTTAATAAAAATTAGTCAGAAGTATAAGAGGCAGAGACAGGTACCAATTATGGCTCAGAACATGTCATTTAATTGTACACTGATTGATACGGTTAGGCTTTGTGTCCCCACCCAAGTCTCATTTTGAATTGTAATCCCCATAACCCCCATAAACCTCATGTGTCAAGGAAGAGACCAGGTGAAGGTAATTGAATCATGGGAGTGGTTTCCCCCATGCTGTTTTCGTGATAGTGAGTAAGTTCTCACGAGATCTGATGTTTTTATAAGGGGCTCTTCCCCCTTTTGCTTGGCACTTCTCCTTTCTGCTGCCCTGTGAAGAAGGTGCCTTGCTTCCCCTTTGCCTTCTGCCATGATTGTAAGTTCAGCCATGCTGAACTGTGAGTCAACTAAACTGCTTTCCTTTATACATTACCCAGTCTCAGCCAGTTCTCTATAGCAGTCTGAAAATGGACTAATATACTGTTTCACTAATAGATTAAGTAATAGAATTTGAGACTTGAAAGTGAATTTAGTGCATCTCTCAGAGGTTGTCTTACCAGGAGCAAATCTGAATGGTTTAGATTCAAGGGAGATATTCCAGCTAGAGCTAGCTACTGAATATACGAATGAGTTCTAAGGGGAGATTTCATTTCTGGCAATATTAATTAATAATTTATATTTAATTACGCTGTAGATGGAAAACAAAACAAAACCTAGCCACCCTGCAAACCAGCTATTGTTCTCCCTGCAGTGAAGGGACTCAACAGTTATATTTTTATTACTGATTTTTAAAATTATTTAAATTTTTGTAGAATTTTTTTCTGATTTAGAAGTTTCAATTTAGAGTTTTGAATTGTCTTTATAAAGCTGTTAAGATTTCCTGGTAACTCAGTTCTTTTTGTTAGAATAATGTTTTCCTAACTGAGCTCTTAGAGTTGTTTTTTCTGAAAAATGTAAACCAGTAATCTGAAAAGAAGAAAAATGTTTGCATATTTGGAGGGAGAGGACAATTCTGTGGTTGGATAAATTTAAGTTTGGGGACATTCCATAGTCAAATGCTTTCTTGGAGAATCATAGAAATTCTTATCACCATATCAAGACTCAGAAGTCTTGTTGTAAAAACTAAACATCACACAAAATGAAAACAAGCTTATTCAAATTTGTTTAACCTAGTATTTCCAAAACTTATTTGCCACACAGCCACTTTTCAAGGAATGCATTTAAAATGTTATCAATGTTCCCTTAAATATAAGTTGATAAACAACTTGGTTAGAACCTACCTTTGCTCTATTTCCAAGTCAGAGATAAGCCTCTAATTTTGGCTGGACATTTTGCAAATGCATGCTGTTTTTGGAAACTTCAGAACTAAGTTTGGTATAGCTTAGATTTACAATTTGATGTTTATTATCTGTTTTTGGAAAAGTACACGGGCTACTGATCTCTGGTCAGTGGTGTGGTCTTTGTATATAGAGGACAGTATTCTTTTTCAGATTATGTGTGCCATATCACAGAGGTGTATTTTTCCTGGAAAAGTTTTAAGAAATATGGTTTAAGTGTATATTTAGTAAGGCAAACTTCTTTGTTAGGTTAGAACCGGTTTAAAGAAAAAAAAACATCTAATTCTGTAGAAAAAGTTGTCCATGTGAGAATTTAATTCTAATACAGTTTGTTAAATTTATAGGTTCCCCCCCCTTACAATGTGTCCATTTTGGAAGTTTCTTTGAGACAGTTATGCCCAATCAGTGACACTAAAATTATGCCCTAATTTCTGTGAGACATAACATTCATGAATTTTCTCAAAAATATTGGGATCCTTACTTGAATGGAGAATAATTTTTTGGTATAAATCTTTCTGGCCCAAATAAGTAAAGTTTTTTCATCCCCACTGACATTTACTGAGACCATAGTAAATGTGAAAGACAGGCTATCAAATTCCAGCTTATAAGTAGCTCAAAAATCTAATCAAATTTATGAGCCTTGCAAAATACTGTTAAGATTTCTACACTAATTGTTGATTTTCTTCACAATGTGCCTGGATACTGAGCTCCACTTATAATATTATACTTCAGGCAAGCAACAGTTAAGAAGATGTGATAGCTGTCTTTGAGGATCTGAGACTCTAGTTGAAAGAACCTGACGACTAAAGCCTTGATGAATAGGGAACATATTGGCATTATACTGTCATGCACATCCAGAGCAGATGGAAGTTTGGAAAGGCTTTCTGTAATAAATGACACTTGACTGAATTTTAAAGGATAGATAGGACTTAAGAAAAGAAAGAAACATTTAGGCAAAGGGAATAATATGAATGAGGTAAAGGAAGTAGAAAAATACAAATTAAGCTTGGTCAATTACTAGTAACTGTGTAAAGAGTGCATACCTGGGATGCACAGAACGAAGTGGGAAAGGCCGTCATTAGTGGCAAGGATGTGTTCTGCTGGGAGATGGATATGTGGAAAGAGAGCTTAGCAGGAAGAACAACTAAGAGGCTATTAAAACAATCTAAGGGATAAATTATAAAAGTCCCAATGATGAGACTGGTAGACACAGCAGGTCAACTTGCTCATCATTAGTTCCAGCTCCCTTCTTGGATGTTTTCTGGTACTACAAAGGCTGGAAACTTAATGCTGTATTTCCCTCATCTCTTGCAGTGAGGGTCTTAGCAATGAACAAGATTTTGATAATAAGATATGCTCCTGTGAGACGTGGATTCAAAACTGAGTGAAACGAGGAAAAGGCAGGGCTAGACTCTTGTTTCAACCCAGGACACAGCAGAGACAGCATGATTCTGGAGACACAGAAGCAGTGGAATTTTTGATTCTACAGTTTGTTGGTCATAGCAGTTTAGTCTATGGTCTATTTCTTTAGTTCTTCCAACCATTCTTGAAGAAGGGTAAAAAGTTCTCTTTTTGATTAAACCATGTAGTATCTGTATCTGAAATAATGCACTTCTAAGTAACAGGAAAGTGTGTATAGGTCACAGAACTCTACAAGAAATGGGGATATGGGACAGGTTATCTTACCTGGAAAGAAATGCATGAACATGAAATAAGAAATTTATGGTCCATGCTGTACCATGGCAAAACAATTAATTTTTGTCTGTGGTCATTTAATATGAAATGATACTAAATTTTTATTGGAACAAGTGGCTGTTGCAATGAAACATTCGGGTGAGAAAGAAGAATGCAAACAGGATATAATGGGAGGCTCACTGCTTCCAACTGTACTAGAGAAGAAAGAACATATACTCATAGTTTTGTTTTACATTCTCAGAAAAAGGAACAATCAAAGGCTGATGGAAATTCTGTGATTTTCCTGAAAGACTCTTTAATCACAGGCTACAAGGCCTGGCATAGCTAAAAATCAGAAACAAAGCCAGGTGCGGTGGCTCAGGCCTGTACTTTGGGAGGTTGAGGCAGGTGGATTGCCTGAACTCAGAAGTTCGAGACCAGCCTGGGCAACACAGTGAAACCCCATCTCTACTAAAAATACAAAAAAATTAGCTGGGCATGGCGGTGAGTGCCTGTAATCCCAGTTACTCGGGAGGCTAGGATAGGAGAATCGCTTAAACCCAGGAAGCAGTGGTTGCAGTGAGCCAAGATGGAGCCATTGCACTCCAGCCTGGGTGACTGAGCTTGACTCTATCTCAAAAAAAAAAAAAAAAAATCAGAAACCAGTTTAATATTGTAGATGTTGAATCACAGTGTAAAACAGTGGTATTGTTTGAAAAATCGTAGGACTGGAAGAATGAGGGAGAGGGAATTTGGAACAAATAGGAGTGAATGTGAGATTTAAGGCTTTAAAATTCCACTGAGGGACTTCTGCTTCCAGTTATTATAGGATTCAGCAGACCATGTCTCCTATTGAGAATACTTAGCCAGTTATACAATGCTCCAAATACAGAATCATCTGTTAGAGGGTATGACGAGCTTCCAAGCAACCAGAATATGAGAAACAAGATCACAAATGTAAGAGAAGTATGGATAAGTGAACTGAATTCTGCCTTTTCCCCTCAGGGTATTTGACAATTTTTGTAAGATGTTGGAGGACAAAGAAACTGGGAAAAGGACTACAGGTAATAAGTAGAGAAGCCAGCAGAGCTTTTGGCAACTGCTTAGAAGTAGGGAGACAAAGACGAAATTTGGGACTGCCAAAATGACCAGGATCCCAAAGAGAAGGGAGACACTGATGCTGATGTGAGCCCTATACTTGAAGGTGTTTCTTCTCAAGACACTTGAGATAGACTACTCAACCGTTAAAAAGGAAGGAATTAGCGGCATTCACAGTGACCTGGATGAGATGGGAGACTATTATTCTAAGTGATGTAACTCAAGAATGGAAAACCAAACATCGCATGTTCTCACTCATAGGTGGGAGCTAAGCTATGAGGACACAAAGGCATAAGAATGATACAATGGACTTTGGGGACTTGGGGGGAAGGGTGGGAGAGGGTGAGGGATAAAAGACTAGAAGTAGGATGCAGTGTATACTGCTTGGGTGATGGGAACACCAAAATCTCATAAATCAGCACTAAAGAACTTACTTATGTAACCAAACACCACCTGTTCCCCAATAACCTATGGAAAAATAAATAAATAACCATGGAGTAAATTTCAAAATAAAAATAAATTTTTGAAAAGTGAAAAAAAAAAACAGCTCAGAAAGCCACTGCAAAGGAGTATACAGTTTTAGGTAGTCTCATAATGTTGAGGATGCAAAAATGGGGTAGATGCCCACATAACAGACACTACAGAGTTTCACCTGGATTCCAGACTTAATCCCAACCCCATTCAATAACAGCAGCCTTACCACACTGAGATAATTAGGATCAATCATCCAGTCAACTTGCATGTAGCCAACAAAGCCCTTGTATTTGAATATAAAAATAAAGCCTACAAATTAAAAAAAAAGGCAGCGCAAAAAAAATTGGGCTGAAAACTTGATCAGACACTTCATAAACCAGAGTATCGTAATGAGAATACACATATTTAGAAGATGTGCAATTTTATTAGTTACCATGGAAATGCAAATTTAAATCACAAAAAGATGCTATGCACCCTCACTAGAGTGACTAAAATGAAGAAGGCAGGCAATATCAAGTGTTAGCAAGAACAGAACACAATAGAAACTTCTATACATTGTCTATAGAATTACAAATTGGTAGAAAAGGCATGTTCTGTGATCAAGTTACTCCACTTTTCTTACTTTTCTGGTGTATATATAATGGCAAGGTGAACATATGTTAACCAAAACACATGTAGGTACTCATAGAAGCATTTCTAGTAATAATCATAATTTTGAAACAATCCACATATTTTTAAATAATAGAGTGGCTAAATAATTCATGACATATTTATAAAATACAATGACACACAGTATTAGTTCTCAGTTGGGAGTGATCTTGCTCCCCACTCCTCAGGACATTTGGCAATGTCTGGTAGACATGTTTTATTGTCACAACTGGTGTAAATGCTAATGGCATTAGTAGGGAGAATCCAGGGAAGCTGCTAACTATCCTACATTACAAAGGATAGTTCCTAAAACAAAATAATTATTTGGTCCCAAATGTCCATAGTGCTGAAGTTGAGAAATCCTTCTTATTAGTTTTCTATATTGCCTTTTACAAATGACCACAAACTAAATGGCTTAAAACAACACAGATGTATCATCTTATAGTTTTGCAGGTCAGAATTTCAACAAAAGATGCACAGAGCAAAAATCAAGGTGTCATCAGAACTTCATTCCTTTCTGGAGTCTTCAAGGGAGAATCTCTTTCCTTACCTTTTCCAGCTTCTAAAGAACACCCACCTTTCGTATTGAATTCTGTACTTTTTCTTCCTTGGATCCTGGACCCCTTCCTCTGTCTTCAGAGCTAGCAAAGGCAGCCAGGTTCTTCTCATATTGCATCCCTCTAGCCTACTATCTGCTTCCCTCTTTCACTTTTAAGTATCCTCATGATTGCAGTTGGACTCATCTGAAGAATACAGGCTAATCTCCCTGTTTTAAGGTCAGCCAATTAGCAACCTTAATTCTATATGCAAGTCAATTCTCCTTTGCCATATATTATAACATATTCACAGATTCTAGGGATTAGGACTTTGATGTATTTGGGGAGCCATTATTCTGCCTACCACACACTGCTATACGGTGTGAAAAAAGACTGTATTTGTTTCTTCACACAGAATAAAATGTATGAATCTTACAACCATAATGTGGAATGGTTCTGTGTATGTAAGTTAAAAAAATAGACCAAACTAACATATAGTAACAGGAAGTAGAATAATAATTTCGTGATTCAGCAGGTAGCTTCTTTAGCATAGCACAAGTGGTACAGCCAGAAACAATAGCAAAAACTTTCTAATTATTACAAAGCTTCCTGAGTCTACATTTTTCTTGTCAAGACCTGCATAGCAGCTTCCCTGTTAGCATATTCCGCAGGTGGCTTTCAGGGTTTTTCTAGAAGTTCACACTAGACTCAATTTCTTCAGCCCTGCTAAAAATTCTAAAAGTCATTTAATCCTCTAAAATAAATCCCTTTCTGCTTAAAGTAGTTGGAGTGGATTACATTCTCTGTAACAGAAAATTCACCAATATTATGTGGCATTAGCAATAGCTGAATAAAAAGCTCTTTGTCAGTCAGCTTGAAGTATGAAAGATTGGACTAATACTTTATAAATAGTATCCCTTCTAATCCTAATAATCATTAAGTATTATTATCATTTATCATGTGATTCAATTTAGAATCAATGAGGTTAAGTTACTTACCCATAGCTAGCAATAGTGATATCAAGATGTAAACTCCAAGCTCTGCAGGCCATGAACTTCTTATACTCTATTCCTCAGTTTTATTACACTTTCAGAATAGAAATGGCCAATATATTGACTTCCCATAAGTTTTTTTCTAATAAGTATTTTAATAACTCAAAGAAGCATTGAGATTTTGAAATTCTTTTTAGTTCCTGAGTTACAAAGGTGTATCAGTCAGATCACTTAGTTGCAAACAATAGAATCTGTGCTGGCTACTTTTATCAGAACAGTGATGTATTCAAGAATATCTGGTGATTAATAGATTCACTGGGATGGCATTGAAAAAAAAAAGAATAGTCTCAAAACCAAGCTTCTAGCAGCAATATGCGAAATCATGACACAGAACAGGACTATTCAGGATACTGTGCCCACAGCCTCTGTTAGATGTTAAATGCCAGAAGTCCAAACCGATTGGCACTGCTGCCAGCAGAGATTGCACTTCTGTGTTAGAAACACAGACTTGCACCCACTGGGAAGCAGGTATGTCTGATTGCAGCACTCTGGTCACATGCCTTCTTCCTATCTGCAAGGGAGGCTGAGAATTTATTTTTGATTTCCACACTGGAGAGTCAATGGTCACAATGTGGACATTTCCCCCCAAACAAAAAGGCCATACAAAGGCAGTGGGCAATAATATGATAATGTCCACTAGAAACAATGTCAAAGTCTGATTTTTACTTTATTTTTTCCTACATATTGAAAGATAATCATTTATTAGTCCTGAAGTCAGGTAATTAGAGCTAGATACCATCTACTAACACATTTTGAGAGCGTTATCATTGGCCCTATTCTCTTTAAAACAAGCTGCTAGTTTGAAAGAGAAATGTTTCTTTAATGAAAAATTATTGCAGAGAATATTCACTTCACCAGTTATCCATCTCACAAATGAATAAAACAAATAATAATTAGCGTACTGCTGATTTCTCAGTTGTGATAATTTTCATTTATTTGTGAGTCTATAGAGGCCCCTATGTGTCCTGTGTTTGTAATGAAATTGTTTATACACAGATGTTAGAGTAATCTCATGAAAATAATTGAAGAATTATAAAATGGACATATAAATTTTAATCACCATACCTTTTAACTCAGCTCATTTTATTTTTCTTCTGAACGTATGAGTTTCTGTAATGATTTCACTTCACTAATACTTCATAGACCTTTAAAAGATCACTTAATAACTACAATGTCTATTTAGGATTTCAAAGTTCTACGTATAGATATACATAGACAGATGAGGACATCTTTACATTAGTCAAAAATCAGTTATTTTCTCCGAGTTCCCGCAGTTAGTGTTTCTCCTCTGCTCTACCTGCTGCCATTGGCTTGAAATAGATGTCATTAGTACACATCCTGTCTTCTGTTGAGGAACAAGGAATACACATTTTACTGAGAATTAACAATGATCTGTGTTTTTCAGAATTTTAATACGATATTCTTTTGTCTATATGATATTTATGAGCTGCCATGGCCTTGTAAACATAAGCATTTTTAAGGCCCCTTTCATGCAGAATGATAACTAGCTCTGTATTTCTATTGTTCATGAGAAACTATAAGCCTTGTTTTATATTAAGAAACACTAATATAGGTAATTAAATAATTAGAAGCAAATCTGTATGACGTTCCTATAATTTTCCAGATGAGTAGCAAATGCTGAGAATATATAGAGATATTCAATAGACCATTTAACTCAAGGTACTTTTAATTATGCACGAAACACAGACACGTGGAGATAATTGCATTAAGAGACTATTAAGTCCTTTTGTGAGCTAGTTATTAATATTCCCTCCTGTACAAAACCCTTACCTATCCCATGTACACTCCCACCCAGTTATCACATTACCTCTTTTCTTCTCAAGTAAATTCCTTGAGAGTGTTACTATCTCAAATTTTTCATCTTCTACTTTATCTAAAACCATTTAAATGTTTTCTGCCAACCCCTCACCCACAATATCACTGAATCTCTTACTGAAGTCACTAAGGCCTTCCCTGCTGCAAAATGAGATTTCTTACTTGATCCGTTAGCAGCATTTAATATTGCTGAGTACTGTTCTTATTGAAACAAGTTTTCCTTGGTTTCTGTGACATTTCACTGTCCTCATTTCCTTGCTCTGGACATTTCATTTTGGCCTTCTTTGCAAACTCTTCTTTAAATGTCTATTGTTTCAGGTAGCTGTTCCCTTGTAATGGGTCCTAATTTTTGTCTTGCTCTATACATTCCCTGGAATATTTCAACCATACCTATTGATTAAATTATCATTTACACACCAAAGACTCACAAAGCTCCGATGCATCTTTCTCACTTATTTGTATTCTGACCTCCTCACTCCCATATCCAACTACTATGGGGCATGATATCCAGACTTATAAGCACCCAGGAATATAACACTTCCAAAGTGTTCACAACTTAACTCTTTTATTTTATTCTATTTTGTTTGCAACTCCACTTTTTTTTCAACTTTTATGATAGGTTCTGGGGGTATGTGTGCAGGCTTGTTACAAAGGTATATTCTGTGATGCTGAGGTTTGGAGTATGAGTGAATCTGTCTCCCAGGTAGTCAGCATAGGACCCAACAGGTAGCTTTTCAGCCGTTGCCCAACCCCCTGCCTCTTCCCTCTTGTATTCTCCAGTGCTTATTGTTCTCATCTTTATGTTTATTTCTACTCAGTGCTCAGGTCTCACTTACAAGTGAGAACATGTGGTATTTGGTTTTCTGTTTCTGCATTAGTTCCCTTAGGATAATGGCCTCCACTATGTCCATGTTGCTATAAAGGATGTGATTTCCTTCTCTTTTATGGCTGTGTAGTATTCCATAGTATATATATACCACATTTTCTTGATCCAATCCAGAGTTGATGAGCTCCTGGGTTGATTCCATGTCTTTGCTATTGTGAATAGTGCTGTGATGAACATACAAGTGCATGCGTCTTTTTGGTAGAATGACTTATTTTCCATTGGGGAGATACCCCAAGAATGGGATCGCTGGGTTGAATGATAGTGTAACTCTTATATCTTTGAGGAATCTCCAAACGAATTTACATCCCTACCAACAGTATATAAGTGTTACCCCATCTCTGCAGCCTCTCTAGCATCTCGTTTTTAGAATTTTTAACAAAGGCCTTTCTGACTGGTATGAGATGATATCTCATTGTGGTTTTCATTTGCATTTCTCTGATGATTAGTGATGATGAGCATTTTTTTCTTTTTTTGAGACGGAGTCTTGCTCTGTTGCCCAGTATGGAGTGCAGTGGCACGATTTTGGCTCACTGCAACCTCCACCTCCCAAGTTCAAGTGATTATCCTGCCTCAAGCTCCCGAGTAGCTGAGATTACAGGCACAGGCCACCATGCCCAGCTAATTTTTTGTCTTTTTAGTAGAGATAGGGTTTCACCATGTTGCCAAGCTGGTCTTGAACTCCTAACCTCAGGTGATCTGCCCCCCTCGGCCTCCCAAAGTGCTGGAATTACAAGTGTGAGCCGCTGTGCCCGACCTGAGGAGCATTTTTTCATGTTTGTTGGCCATTTGTTTGTCTGTTTTTGAGAAGTATCTGTTCATGTCTTTTGTCCACTTTTTAATTGGATTATTTGTTTTTGGCTTGTTGATTTGTTTAAGTTCCTCATAGATTCTGGATATTTGACCTTTGTCAGATGCATAATTTGCAAATATTTTCTTCCATTCTCTAAGTTGTTGGTTTACTCCCTTGATAGTTTCTCTTGCTTTGTAGAAGCTCTTTAGTTTAATTAGGTCCAACTTACCAATTTTTGTTTTTGTTGCCACTGCTTTTGAGGACTTAGCCATAAATTCTTTGCCAAGTAAAATATCAAAAAAGATATTACCTAGGTTTTCTTCTAGTTTTTCTACTTTGAGTCTAACATTTAAGTCTTTAGTGCATCTTGAGGTAATTTTTGTATATGATGATGGGTAGGGGTCCAGTTTCATTTTTCTGCATATGGCTAGCCAGTTATCCCAGCACGATTTATTGAATAGGGAATCTTTTCCCCATTGCCTATTTTTCTCTACTTTGTCAAAGATCAGGTGGTTGTAGGTTTGTATATTTATTTCTGGGCTCTCTATTCTGTTCCATTGGTCTATGTGTCTGTTTTTGTACCAGTACCATAATGTCTTGGTTACAGTAGCCTCGTAGTATAGTTTGAAGTCAGGTAATGTGACACTTCTGGCTTTGTTCTTATTGCGTAGGATTGCTTTGTCTATTCAAGCTATTCATTGTATCCACATGAATTTTAGAATAGCCCTTTTCTAAATCTGTGAAAAATGATGTTGGTAGTTTGGTAGGAACAGCATTGAATCTGTAAATTGCTTTAGACAGTATGACCACTTTAACAATATTGATTCTTTCTATCCATGAACATGGAATGTTTTTCCATTTATTTGTGTCATCTCTGATTTCTTCCAGCACTGTTTTGTAATTATTATTCCAGTGTCTCTTACCTCCTTGATTAACTGTATTCCTAGATATATCATTCTTTTTAGTCTATTGTATGCAGGATTGCATTCTTAATTTAGCTTTCAGCTTGAATGTTATTGATGTTTGCAAATGCTGTTGATTTTTATACACTGATTTCGTATCCTGAAACTTTGCTGAAGTTGCTTATCATACCTAGAAGACTTTTGTCAGAGATTTTAGGGCTTTTTAGGTATAGAATCATATTAGCAAAGAGATATAGTTTGACTTCTTCTTTTCCTACTTGGATGCCTTGTGTTTCTTTCTCTTGCCCAAATGCTCTGGCTAGGATTACCAGTACTATATTGAATAGGAGTGGGGAGAGTGTGCATCCTAGTCTTATTCCAGTCTTCAAGAGGAAAGCTTCCATCTTTTGCCTGTTTAGTGTGATGCTGGCTGTGGGTTTGTCATAAATGGCTCTTTTTATTTTGACATATGTTCCTTCAATGCTTATTTGTTGAAGGTTTTTCACATGAAGGAATGTTGGATTACATTGAAAGTTTTTTCTGCATCTATCGATATCATTATATGGTTTTTGTTTTTAATTCTGTTTTTGTGATGAATGACATTTATTGACTTACATTTGTTGAACCAACCTTGCATCCCAGGAATACAGCCTACTTGATCACAGTGAATGTTTTGTGGTGCTGCTGGTGGGTTTTGCTCATATTTTGTTGAGAATTTTTACATCTATGTTCATCAGGGATACCGGCCTAAAGTTTTCTTCTTTTGTTGTGTCTCTGCCAGGTTTTGGTATCAGAATGATGCCAGCCTCATAGGATAAGTTAGAAAGAAGCCCTTTTTCTCAATTTTTAAAAATAGTTTCAGTGGGTTTGGTACCAGTTCTTCTTTGTACATTTGGTAGAATTTGGCTGTGAATCTGTCTGGTCCAGGGCTTTTTTTTTAGGTTGGTAGGATTTTTGTTACTGTTTCAATTTCAGAATTCATTGTTGGTCTGTTCAGGGTTTTCCTTTCTTCCTAGTTTATTCTTGGGAGGCTGTTTGTTTCCAGGAATTTATCCATTTCTCCTAGATTATCTAGTTTGGCTGCATAGAGGTGTTGGTAATAGTCTCTGAGGATATTTTATATTTCTGTGTGGTTGGCTGTAATGTTACCTTTGTGAATTGTGATTGTGCTTTTTTGGATCATCCCTCTTTTTTTCTTTGTTAATCTAGCTAGCGGTCTATCAATCTTGTTTATCCTTTCAAAAAAAACACTTTTGTTTTGTTGATCTTTTGTATAGATTTTTGCATCTCAATTTTGTCCAGTTCTGCTCTGATTTTGGTAATTTATTTTCTTCTACTAGCTTTGGGGTTGGTTTGTTTTTGTTTTCACAGTTCCTCTGGGTGCCATGTTAGGTTGTTAACTGGAGATCATTGTAACTTCTTGATGTAGATATTTAGCACTATAAAAGTTTCCTCTTAATACTGTTGTATCCTAAAGAGTCTGGTATAATAAATTGTGTCTCTGTTTTCATTAGTTTCAAAGAATTTTTTGATTTCTGCCTTAATTTTATTGTTTCCCCATAAGTCATTCAGGAGCAAGTTTTTTAAGTTTCCATATAATTGTTCATTTTGACAGAGCTTCTTGGTATTGATTTCTATTTTTATTGCATTGTGGTCTGAGAGTGTGGTTGGTGTGATTTCAATTTTTTTGAATTTATTGAGACTTGCTTTATGGCCAAGCATGTGGTTTATCTTAGAGTATGTTCTGTCTGTAGAGGCGAAGGATGTATATTCTTTAGTTGTTGGGTGGAGTGAGTTCTATGGATGTCTATTAGTTCCTACTGGTCAAGTATTGAGTTTAAGTTCAGAACTTTTTGTTATTAGCTCATTTTAGAATAGAATTTTCAACATTTTTGGTCTCAGAAGAGCTTTACAGTCTTAGCAATTATTGAGTCCCCACAGAGCTTTATAATTGTGTATATCTGTAAATTTTTGCCACATAGCATTTAAGAACCTTAAAGTTATTTATTAATTCATTAAAAAGTAAAGCCTTTGCATGTGAACATTTTTAGAATAAATAACTGTGTATGAAGAGCAAATAATTTAGTGGCAAGTGTAGCATTTTTAAAAATTTTTGGAACCCTCTTTAATGTATGGATGAACACAAAACAGGCAAATTCTCATATTTGCTTCTGTGTTCAGTCTGGAAAACTCTTTTGTACATTACTCAGAGTAAATGAGAATTAAAAAGCCAAATGGCATATAATTATTATTATAAAAGTGATCTTCACCTCACCAATGCCCTGAAATGGCTTCAAGGACCTTCAGGGGTCCCAGATTATATTTGAGAACCACTGGTTTAAAGTGTTACAAGAACATAGTTTGAGAATGATTAGGTTAAAGATCTTGGCTGGGGAGTGGTGACAGAGGATCAAAATAAATGCTTAGTGCTGAGAAATCCGGGGTTGAAGTAGTAAGCCTTAGTCTAAATTGGGTAAGGAAGGAAAATAAACCAGAGCGAATCTATCAGAATTATACAGGTGAGGGTGTCCTGAAGACCCAGCTAAAATGCAAAGAACATTAGTTAATTGTGTCCGTGAAGGCATTGCTGAGCTAGAGAGACAATGCCATTCATAGCCAGGATAGTTGCCAAGATGTGAGAGCCTGAACCAATCTGACTTAAGGAGCCAAGGCATGTTGTGAATTATAGCAACAGGAATCAAAAGCAAGGAGTGAGGATAAAACACAAGGAAGGTGGGGCAGTTCAGGAAGCTACGTTTCTGCAATTTTGACTGCATTCTCTATGGGCCCAGCACCTTAAGTATGATGTATCACATTGAACACTGAGAAAATTGAAGCAGCTCAAGTGGTAGGAACTATTCCACAAAATTATTTTTAATGAGTAAGGTTTAATGATTTTCTTTAGTAATCTGAATGATGTAGAAATACTGCATGACTGCAATTCAGGATGTGTTGTGACCATTTTTTTCTGAAGCTTCCAACCAGATGACTCAAAGAAAAGGTTTTGAGTTGTTCAGTTTGTAAAAGGTTTTGAGTTGTTCCAGTTTGTCCAAATTACCCCAAGAAAAGAGTATCATGAATTGTGAATCAAGTTATGCATTGCATTAAGGCCAAGGCCATGAGATGAGGGACAGCTGAAGCTCTCTTCTTGCTCTGCTTACCAAGTTGTATACCCTCAGGGTTGTTGTCACTCTGAGAGTGGATTTTCTAATCCCATGCTCAAAGTGGGGGAATTTTTCTAATTTCTGAAAATATATCACAGTGGCAAACTGTAGCCCAACACTAGAGAATTGTTTTCAAGGTTGAACAGCATGATGGTGTTTCAGTAGCCAATGTTATCTAGTTTTCCTTTAGGAAAAAAAAAAAAAGCCCCAGAGCAAAGTTACCATCACAGAACAATATAATTATTGTGTTAAAAAACAAAAACACATGAGGAGTTGGTGGTAGAAGTAGAGCATTAGCTGCAATCTGTAATTGCTTGTCCTGTAATTTGTCATCAATATCTGGATTTATACAGCTAAAAGATCACCTAATTAGAAATTCAGCAGGACTAGCATCTTTGGTGGAATTTGAAGTAATATGTTGAATAGTAAGACAGCTGTGAATCCTTGATAACCAGTCTCCTCCTTCATTTGTCTAACATTTCTATGTACGAACTTCTTCCTTGAGCTAGGGTGAGTGAGGATCCAGTTTCAGAAGTGAGAGTATGTAGAATTTGTGTACTGGAAATAATTTCCACAAAGCTATGACTGTGGTGGCTGAAGTATGAAGTTGAACTAAGAGCACTTACCATCATTTGAGCAGTCTAGTTTCTTTTCTAGAATTATTGCCCAAATTAATAAGAATTGTTGATTATTTTCCATGTGTGACAGTCTTTTATGCATGCATACATGTGTGTTTGCATTATGTATGTACATATTCATGCATATAGTCTTCCCAGTACGGCATCCTTTCTTTGGCAGGTGGAGTAAGATTTGCTCTTTTCCTAATCTGGGTAATTTGGGAAGAATTGTGAGGCCAAGTCTACCTCTCACCAATGAAAAGGCAGGTCCATGACCAATGCTGGCTAATCTCTGATACTAAAATACTTAAAACTGGCTGGGCATGGTGATTCATGCCTGTAATCCTAGTACTTTGGGAGGGTGAGTTGGGAGGATCTCAGGAGTTTGAAACCAACCTGGCAAGATAATGGTGTAAACATCTTTACAAAAAAAACTTAAAAATTAGACAGGCATGGTGGTGTAAGCCTGTAGTCCCAGCTACTTGAGTGGCTGAGGTGGGAAGATCACTTAAGCTCAGCAGGTCAAGGTGGCAGTGAGCCATGAAGGTGCCACTGCCCTCCAGCATGGGCAACAAAGTGGGACCCTGTCTCCAAAAATAAATACATAAAAATAAAATAAAATACTTAAAACTATGCTGATTTTCGTCTGCCCTAAAATTTGGTTTTCAACTGTTCCTTTGATTCTGTGAGCTACACATTTATTTTCTAATAAGTTCTTTTTTTCCCTTAATTTGTTTCTGTTGATTCCAGCCAAAGACATCTAACAAAATTAGATATGGAAACAGAATTCTCGGTAATGACTCCCAGGAAAATGTGAGCTATCTGGATTTGGTGTTTGGCTGAGATGGAGTAAATATAGTAAAAGTCATGCTTATATTCTGGAATGAAAGAATAGCTGCTTATGTTTTACCATGGCAATAGGGGTAAGCAGTCTATCAAGTCTGTTCCCCCAGACCCATGTGCTCACTCATGATGCCACTCTCTGGGATAGGATGCAATTCCAATAGGCCAACTTAAAGGGGATAAGGAATGTCAGACAGTGGGGTGGAATATTTGATCTTGGTGGTGTTGGATAACTTAAAGCTAGAGCAACCAAGCTCACATTGTGAAATGCTCACTCAGGACATAGAGTAAAACTATTGACCTTCCTGTGACAATGCTAAACTAAATACCCTTACTGACTATAGCATTTGGTCAGAGATCACTGAAAATCAGTTGGGAGATTGATTTTTTTTTTTTTTTGAGTTGCTGAATTTGAGCAGCCTTTGGATTGAGAGCTCTGCCAAGTATTTTAAGTTAAAGAACCCTGATCAAATAAAAGTGAGACTTTGATATCTGAAATAATGAAATCTCGGATTTTGAAGGCTTGGAGAAACCTGGACTAATTAATCCATTTGAAATAATTTTCATTGCTCCTCTCTTGGCTGAATAGAATATGCTTCCCTTGAAAGAGAGCTGAAACTTCCAGTAGTGTCTTATTGCTTCTAAGTACACAGGGTTTTTAAAAAATCAATTTTGCTTAGGCAGTAAAATAAAAAAAAGAGTAAAAATATTATAGAAATTCATGAATTTAAAGTGCTGGGGGAATGCATATAGAAATGGATATTGTAAGTCCTTAACTAAGGATGATAAAACATAATTTTGGATTAAACTGAATTTTTATATGGATGAACCCATTATAGTTTCTGTATCCAACGTTGTAGCTCTATTTAGATATACATATTTTCTAGGTTCTTTACTAGAACCTCAACTGAACTGGGACTTTGAATAGCAAGACAGACCAGAAAAATGTTGGCATAATTTAGAAGGCCAACTTGAAAGAGTATAAGAGGTAAAAATGCTAGATTGAATATCCCACACTTTCAAAAAAACCCTACGTCATTTCAGTGCCCCCAAACTTCTCTTCAAAGAACAGATTGATGACAAAAACATTAGACCCTTTGGAAACAAGTTTTCTGGTTTTTCATTCTAGGCCAGAAATTCTACTTGAAAAGGCAGCACTTACATTGTACCAAATGGGTCTCTATGATATCATCCGAGTTGAGAAGAGCCTGGTGTGCAGAGACTAGATACTGGCAAATGAGGGCAAAGGGTAGGAGGAGGTAACATTTCAGGATAGACAATAGATTTCTCTCTTTTATATTTTATTCTTGTCAAGAATATTTAATTTATGAAACTTGTTGAAAATGCAGATGTTTTATTATACTTTTAGTTTTAGGGTACATGTGCACAATGTACAGGTTAGTTACATATGTATACATGTGCCATGTTGGTGTGCTGCACCCAGTAACTCATCATTTAACATTAGGTATATCTCCTAATGCTATCCCTCCCCCATCCCCCCACCCCAGAACAGGCCCCGGTGTGTGATGTTCCCCTTCCTGTGTCCATGTGTTCTCATTGTTCAATTCCCACCTATGAGTGAGAACATGCGGTGTTTGGTTTTTTGTCCTTGTGATAGTTTGCTGAGAATGCTGGTTTCCAGCTTCATCCATGTCCCTGCAAAGGACATGAACTCATCATTTTTTATGGCTGCATAGTATTCCATGGTGTATATGTGCCACATTTTCTTAATCCAGTCTATCATTGTTGGACATTTGTGTTGGTTCCAAGTCTTTGCTATTGTGAATAGTGCCGCAATAAGCATACGTGTGCATGTGTCTTCCTAGCAGCATGATTTATAATCCTTTAGGTATATACCCAGTAATGGGATTGCTGGGCCAAATGGTATTTCTAGTTCTAGATCCCTGAGGAATTGCCACACTGACTTCCATAATAGTTGAACTAGTTTACAGTCCCACCAACAGTGTAAAAGTGTTCCTATTTCTCCACATCCTCTCCAGCACCTGTTGTTTCCTGACTTTTTGATAATTGCCATTCTAACTGGTGTGAGATGGTATCTCATTGTGGTTTTGATTTGCATTTCTCTGATGGCCAGTGATGGTGAGCATTTTTTCATGTGTTTTTTGACTGCATAAATGTCTTCTTTTGAGAAGTGTCTGTTCATACCCTTCGCCCACTTTTTGATGGGGTTGTTTTTTTCTTGTAAATTTGTTGGAGTTCATTGTAGATTTTGGATATTAGCTCTTCGTCAGATGAGTAGATTGGAAAAATTTTCTCCCATTCTGTAGGTTGCCTGTTCACTCTGATGGTAGTTTCTTTTGCTGTGCAGAAGCTCTTTAGTTTAATTAGATCCCATTTGTCAATTTTGGCTTTTGTTGCCATTGCTTTTGGTGTTTTAGACATGAAGTCCTTGCCCATGCCTATGTCCTGAATGGTATTGCCTAGGTTTTCTTCAGGGTTTTTATGGTTTTAGGTCTAACGTTTAAGTCTTTAATCCATCTTGAATTAATTTTTGTATAAGGTGTAAGGAAGGGATCCAGTTTCAGCTTTCTACATATGGCTAGCCAGTTTTCCCAGCACCATTTATTAAATAGGGAATCATTTCCACATTTTTTGTTTTTGTCAGGTTTGTCAAAGATCAGATGGTGGTAGATATGCGGCATTATTTCTGAGGCCTCTGTTCTGTTCCATTGGTCTATATCTCTGTTTTGGTACCAGTACCATGCTGTTTTGGTTACTGTAGCCTTGTAGTATAGTTTGAAGTCAGGTAGAGTGATGCCTCCAGCTTTGTTCTTTTGGCTTAGGATTGACTTGGCAATGTGGGCTCTTTTTTGGTTCCATATGAACTTTAAAGTAGTTTTTTCCAATTCTGTGAAGAAAGTCATTGGTAGCTTGATGGGGATGACATTGAATCTATAAATGACCTTGGGCAGTATGGCCATTTTCACGATATTGATTCTTCCTACCCATGAGCATGGAATGTTCTTCCATTTGTTTGTATCCTCTTTTATTTCATTGAGCAGTGGTTTGTAGTTCTCCTTGAAGAGGTCTTTCACATCCCTTGTAAGTTGGATTCCTAGGTATTTTATTCTCTTTGAAGCAATTATGAATGGGAGTTCACTCATGATTTGGCTCTCTGTTTGTCTATTATTGATGTATAAGAATGCTTGTGATTTTTACACATTGATTTTGTATCCTGAGACTTTGCTGAAGTTGCCTATCAGCTTAAGGAGATTTTGGGCTGAGACGATGGGGTTTTCTAGATATACAATCATGTCATCTGCAAATAGGGACAATTTGACTTCCCCTTTTCCTAATTGAATACCCTTATTTCCTTCTCCTGCCTGATTGCACTGGCCAGAACTTCCAACACTATGTTGAATAGGAGTGGTGAGAGAGGGCATCCCTGTCTTATGCCAGTTTTCAAAGGGAATGCTTGCAGTTTTTGCCCATTCAGTATGATATTGGCTGTGGGTTTGTCATAGATAGCTCTTATTATTTTGAGATACGTCCCATCAATACCTAATTTATTGAGAGTTTTTAGCATGAAGCGTTGTTGAATTTTGTCAAAGGCCTTTTCTGCATCTATTGAGATAATCATGTGGTTTTTGTCTTTGGTTCTGTTTATATGCTGGATTACATTTATTGATTTGTGTATGTTGAACCAGCCTTGCATCCCAGGGATGAAGCCCACTTGATCATGGTGTATAAGCTTTTTGATGTGCTGCTGGATTCGGTTTGCCAGTATTTTATTGAGGATTTTTGCATCAATGTTCATCAGGGATATTGGTCTAAAATTCTCTTTTTTTGTTGTGTCTCTGCCAGGTTTTGGTATCAGGATGATGCTGGCCTCATAAAATGAGTTAGGGAGGATTCCCTCTTTTTCTATTGATTGGAAGTTTCAGAAGGAATGGTACCAGTTCCTCCTTATACCTCTGGTAGAATTCGGCTGTGAATCCATCTGGTCCTGGACATTTTTTGGTTGTAAGCTATTAATTATTGCCTCAATTTCAGATCCTGTTATTGGTCTATTCAGAGAGTCAACTTCTTCCTGGTTTAGTCTTGGGAGGGTGTATTATTTTTGGACACTTTGTGCATCTGAATTATTTAGAAAAAAGAGTAAGAAATTACGTTTACATTAAAAATATTGAACTGTAAGAAAAGAAATGTTTACCCTTTGGCCAGTACTTTTTTGCTGCTGCCTTTTTCGGAATGTAAAATAAGATTGTCCTCTTTTTGCTTCATCTCTGAATTCCCATAATACTTAGCATACTATTAGAGTTAAGAATTGTTAGCTATGGTGTCTGTGTGTGTGTGTGTGTGTGTGTGTGCGCGCGTGTATGTGTGTGTGTTTTGCTTTTATATTTCAATCCAGATTATAATATCCAAGAGAGCAGAGGCAAGTTGTTCTTTGCTTAGTGCTCTAGTGAGCCCAAAATAGGGCTGGGTATATTGAGGCTAATGAACACAGAATATATCTTATTCACTAGAAAGAAAATCCTCTAATTGTCCACTTTGTCACGTTCATTCTATATTCCTAAATTTAAAAAGTAATACCTTACATCAAATTCCATATAACGTAAATTATGAGCCAATTATATCCATTGCTATGATTGCAAACAATGAGAGACTCATTACTGCAAATTGTTTTCCACAGTAAGGTGACAATGGCTGAAGCTGGAAGTAATGTACTACTCAAGTAAAGAGAAAGAATAGAGATGGTGTCAGTGAGACAGCAAGTCAGCAGTAAAGACATAAGATAAAATGCTCTTTTACTTTTTCAATGTGGAATTTCCTATCGTGAGCAGTGCATTGGTGACAGACATTATAGGTAAACTGACATATTAAATGTATGCTTCATCCACCTGACTTTGCATGAAGAATATTCAGTCTTTCAAAATAGGCTGAAATACTACATTTTCAACTTAGTCAATTTTGCCAACTAAACAATGTTCCTTTTTTTATTTCCAACAATATTTTCTCACATTTTCTTATCTTCTTCCCAATAGATGACTGGCCCTGGAGCCTAGAAATAAAAATGGTCAATTTCTCTAACTCAAAGAGCTTATAACAAAACAATGTTAAATTTCCATGTCTGGAGACTGTGTTCATGAGTAGGTTTCTGACATCACATTGAAAGAATACAGAGCTCAACATTAAATAATTATTAATAATTAAAGGCATTGTGAAACTGCCTTTTCCAAAATTATGACAGTGAGAGAAATCTAACACAGCTGACTCCATCCTTCTACTAACCTCACAAGCTAACTGTTCTTGCTCATTCCTGCGTATAAGCTAAGCCAACTATGGGAGGAATTCGTTTACAGTTTAACTTTAAGACAAGATGATAAGAGTCCCTTCCTGAAACTAACCCCTTCCTTGCTCAGGGACCAAAACTGCCTTTGTAAACCTAATAAATTGCCCACAAGGTGAGAGTTATGGTAGGGGCCTAAATTCTGTTAGAATGTGGGCATAGTTAAATTCTAACCAGTCATTGTTTTATAATTTGTCTTTTTATAACTGCTTACTGCCCAGGTGTCATGTAGCTGGAGGTCATCTGTAACTTCCCCAATTGGTCCTATAGATAACATCACTATTGTCAAACCTAAGACAACATTTGAGATCTTTTTCAGACTTTTGCATTCTGGTGACCAACTAACTCCACTTGGACCTGTGACTCATACCAAGAAACAGACTCGAAAGGTCCTGTGTCCCCCACCCAGAAATGGACTCAGTGCACAACGACAGTTTTGACATTCCTATGATTTCATCCCCAACCAATCAGCAGTACCCATTCTCTAGTCCCTGCCCACTAAATTATTCTTAAAAACCCTAGCTTCCGAGTTCTTGGGAAGGCAGAATTGAGAAATATCTCCTGTCTTTCTGCTCAGCAGCCTGGTGATAATTAAACTCTCTATCGCAACACTTTCTGTCTCAGTGTATTGGTGGCTTTTTCTGCGTTGTGGGCAAGAAGAACCTGGTTGGGCAATTCAATAGGTAGTTACTGTTCCCATGACATCAGCATTCCCATTCTATACCCTAAGGGAAGGAATGCTGATGTCATGGAGCCATTAAAACCCAAAATGACTGTGTTTGGGAAGCTTCCAGATAGTTGAACACATGGAGGTTCTAGGAGAGTGGCACACTGTGGGAGGGCATGGAGGGAGGCTTCCCTCCATGCCTTTCCCCCATACCTTGCCTTATGCATCTCTTTATCTGTACCTTTATAATATCTTTTATAATAAACCAGTAAATGTAAGTGTCTCTCTGAGTTCTGTGACCTTCTCCAGCAAATTAAGCAAACCCAAAGAGGGGGTCATAGGAACCCCAAGTTGAAACCAGTCAGTCAGAAGTTCCAGAGGCCCAGACTTACAACAGGTGCCTGGCAGGGGTGGGGCAGTCTTGGGGACTGAGCCCTCAACCTGTGCAATCTGACACTGTCTCCAAGTGTATAGAATTAGAATTGAATTAGAGGACATACAGCTGGTGTCCACTGCTTGGTGATGGGGAGAAACCCTCACACATTTGGTCATAAGTCCTCTTTCCTGTTGATGGAACAATTGTGGTAGTGTGAGAGTAAAAGAAAAACATTTGTTGTGGTGGTGTGAGAGTAGAAGAAAAACACGGTTCGAGAGTTTTTCTAAAACAGTTCCCCAATCCTCGAAATAAGTCTTTTTATTCTATCTTAAAGTCCTTCACTTGCCCCACAGGATGGCTCATAAGATCACTGGAGCACCATTTCCTTCAATCAGTTTTGTTAAAGATTGACTTTGCCTGTGACAACAGGTAATACTGCTTTAGGACTGAACAAACAGGACTTCTGCTCCTGGCTTCTCAGAGGGCTCCACACTTTGGAGTTTCTTTCTTAAAATGTTCTAAGTCCTCGTCTGGTGCCTGGAACCCATCAACATCAACAATGTCATCTAGGCTGAAGTCCCACATCCAGCCAGGTATTTAGTGGGCCTTAGTCCTTGTTTCTCCATTTTGGAGAGGTCTCCAAATCTATACCCCTCCGAATCACATGAGATTGACCAGAGATATCAAGAAGCTTTACCTAATAGGTCATTGCAGTTGCTAGTGGTCAGGCCCTGATTCCAGGTGGGTAGCCTGGTGCAGCCTATTTCCACTACCAGTATAGTATTTCTTTTGTGGCATTGTACAAATTTGTGCCTCCAGAACAGTAGTTACACGTTGATTATGGGTGCAACTCACATTGGGTACAAGATAAATTCAGGGCTCTGGGACACCTAGGGTCCATTGCCAATACCTGGGCTATATGTGTGAGCCTGTATATTGGCATTCCCCCATCTGTGTTCCAACCATGAGGCCTTCTGTGGTCTCATACAGCACCTAAGGTTAGAAGAGGGTAGCATGGCTATCCTTTCCCCTGTGTGCTCTCTCCACTGGCACCCGGGATGGTCACCACAATTTTTTTTTGAAAGGGTGGCACCCTGTGTCTGTAGACCTTCTGGAGAGGCCCCACCTATCTCTTCTGAGGACTTGAGAGCTTTCAGAACTGTTGCTCATAACACCACAGGCCCTTCTGAGAAAGTCCTCTCTTACCTTACATGTAAGCACCCAGTGCATTCTTAAACCATGCTGGAAAAGGAGTGACACTCCACTCATTCTGCTTATGAATACTTTCTTATCCTCTTTGCCAATGATAGCATGTAGAAGGCAGGAATGTGGTCAACACTGAAAGAGATTACATTCTAAGAATGTTCTAATTACATGTGGCCTAGGGAGACACAGTTGAAAGATGGTCTATATTTTATGTTATAAAATGACACATTAACATGACCAGAAAAAAACTTATTGGTCACATTTTCCTGCATACTCTGAGTACACATGCATTTGTGATCTTCATTAACGAAGCTGAGCAACAGCTTTTGATAGGGTCATTGGAAGCTGGTATTCATAGGCTGCATGAAGAATAATGCAGTGTCATAAGTAATGAGAGAACCAAGAATAAATGAAATGGCATTAGAGATTACAGAGGCAGGAAGATTGACATTGTTTCAATATACACAGATTCTGAAGACCAGGACATTGTCTATAACAATAGTGTTAGTACTTCTTTTCTCACAGTGAGGAATAAGAAACTCGGTAAGGATAGTGCATTTGACAATAAAAAATGCAAGATGTGGTTCTTGGACATAAACAGGTAGAAATTGTGTCTGGACACCATGAAGAATTTTCATGTGCACTAATTAAACAATAATTATTAATTATGTGCCTCTTCTCTCCTCATTACACTTAACCATTAATAAATCAATAAACTTCACACGCAAATAAATTGTATAATAATCGTTTTAAATCAAATTGTTTATATACACAGTGGGTGGCTCCATACAAAATGTTTGTCTGGGACCACCCACATCCATGGGCCGCCTGGCCATAGATATTATTGACCAAGCATTGAGGATCCACAGCACATAAAGTACTTCACAGCCAGTACATATGTTAACTCTAATCTATAATCCACACAAACACCCAGGTTTTTTTCATATTTTAATCAACATTTTTAAAAGAGGAATAATTGAGGCTCTAAGAGGCTAAACAACTGGCCTGGCCCACGGCCACAAAGGTGCTAAGGATCAAGCATGATTTTTGCTCTAGTTTGTCCAACTCTAAAGCCTAAGCTCTTTCTTACTAAATCATGAACATGAACAACAGTAGGGTAGAATTCTTCAAAGCAGATATTTGGGAAGTAACTACTTATCTTTTGGCATCGCTTCCTTTGAAATGGCTTAAAGAGGCACTTAACACATGAAAAGGACAATAATGGATAAAAACCAGTACACTTAGTCAAGGCACTCGACATTGACCCAAAGTCTCTTGCCTCTTGTTTTCTCTGCTTAACTTGCCTGACCCCACGGAGAAGGAAGGGTGGAAGGTTATAGGAAAGTGTGAGAGGTTAGATGGCGCTGAAACTAGTATCTGGAGCAGATTAAAAAGGCGAATGGAAATTGAGGTTCATTTGTGTGCTCTGCTAGCAATGAGTGTAGTAAATTGCTAACACACATTTAATTGGCTGAAGGCTGTAAAAGAAAATTGTCAGACATCAAATTGCTGTACACCAAGGTTTATTTATATGGTACATTTAACTTTTCAAAGTACTTTAATGTGAATTATATAATGTCTCCCCCTTTAAACTCTGGGGGGCTGATTGTAGATGGAACTTGTCAATGCTGGACTTTGAATGCATTGTAATCTGAAAACATGCAATCATAGAATATTAATGCTGCTAAGGATCCTAAAAAGCACCTAGTTTAACCCCCGTAATTTACAGATGAGGAAACTAACACTCAGAAAGGTAAACTGATTCACACAGTGTAATAGGGTGGATTAATGGAAGAGCCATGATTAGAAAGTCAGTATTTATTTGCAGTGATATAAATTGATGTGCTTTTTGGAATTGAACATTCTTATTTTTGTTGCTGTTCCTCTTCTTTAATTTTGGGCAGGAGCTAAACTGTGGAGAGGTGGGATGGGGAGCCTAACAGAACAAAATAGTCAATATTCAATAATTGCTATGCACTAAACTTAAAATACTCTAGTAAATAATAGGTCAAGAGAAAGTGCTTTATAGAGAGTTAGATGCTGTTTTGAGCTTTCACTCTTCTTCACTTAGAACTAGTTCTTCAAGGCATGTGAGTGTGTGCCAATATAAATAGCTGAATTTGGGGGTTTAAGTGCAGACAGCACAATGGCCTGATTCCCATTTGAGGAGCAGCAGCACGGAGTGGTTATCCTGATATTGAAGCAGTAGATAGAATTTGCTGGATGGATTTTTTGAGTCCAAATAGGCCTCAGATGAAATCTTTGAGGCTCTGGAATGGATTGGAATAGTTCCAACTTCCCATTTGCTATCAACAAGGTACAGAGTTGGGTGAGAGACGGATTTGGTAGACCTGAAGACATCACTCAACTAGGACATGGAGGTTTCAGGGTGCAAGTGTCAATGACTGGCCTGACATTATAGGTGGAGAAGATAACAGAGGAAAGATATCAGGCATACAGACAAGCCTGGGTGAGGGAATCTCAGCAGATACCAAAGTGGACAAAGTCAGTGATCACAGACCACGTAATTCACCCCATCTGATTACACTTGAACTTACATGATGCCACAGACAGAAAACAAATTGGGAGAAATTCCAGAGCTGAGTTCACGCCTAGGATTGACTACGTTTTTATTTTATGTTATCAAAAGAAGATGTGTAGACTTGAAATAAAAATAAAGATAGAGGGTAAAGTTACATAATTTTGCCTTCCTGAGTTATGTCACCTGAGACTATTGTAATTACCAATCCTGATCTCAGACTGATGTCTTGTCATCTAAAACGTTATATAATTTATTTTTAAAAAAAGTTTTCTTCTTTTTTTTTTTTTTTTTTTTGACCAAATCTCACTCTGTCGCCCAGGCTGAAGTGCAGTGGCCCGATCTTGGGTCACTGCAACCTCCACCATCTGGGTTCAAGAGATTCTCCAGCCTCAGTCTCCCAAGTAGCTAGGGCTACAGGCACATGCCACCACACCCAGCTAATTTTTGTATTTTTAGTAGAGACCGCATTTCACCATGTTGGCCAGGCTGGTCTCGAACTCCTGACCTCAAGTGATCCACTTGCCTCGGCCTCCCAAAGTGCTGGGATTACAGGTGCCAGCCACCATGCCCAGGCAAAAAGAGGTTTTCTGTGTGTAAGTTTGTGAAGAGAGAAACACAGTCAATAGACAAATCATTCAATGAGATAAAAAGAACATTAAATTCATTGATTTTCCAAGGAAGTTTATTATTTTTTCTTGTCATGATCTTAGATCAGGACTGGATTAAGAGACATGTCAGACCAGCAGTCAGTGGAATGGTTGCCTTTAAGAGATGCTGAAACATACTGAATCTGAGTAAAACCTGCAGTCAAAACAAAGAACCAGTTCATTAATTCAGGTTGTTACTCATGAGTCTTTAGATAACAACAACAAAATGCAATTTTGTCTCTCTCCTCGTTGAATAAAAAACACACCATTTTAAATTGAAATATTTGAAAGGAAAAATATTGTACTAATCACATACATAAGTTTCAACTGCCTCCTAAGGAAGATGGGGCCTAGTTAGCAAAGAATAATTCATTTTCTGAGCATAATCAATATGTCTCTTTTCATCAAAATGGTCCGTGATGTATTGAATTTATACGAAGTGGCAGGCAAAATCATACAGTTGAGAGCAAGAATCCTGGATAGAGCTGAATTTCTGTACATAATAAACCAAAAGAGAGATTGGTGGCAGTTTCGTGGTAGTGAGTCAAGTGAGCTGGGGCAGGGGCATAGGATAGAGTCAGGAATTGTAGTGCCAAAAGGAAGAAAAGGAAAGGAGGACATCTGGTGGATTTGAGGCCAAAAAGAGAAACTTGGAAGAAGCCAACTATAATGAAAATTTTTAAAATGAATGCTACACACTGTAAAATATAACCCTTTTCCATATGTCCTATGTAAGCTTTAATAAAATCACCATTAAATTTATTAATGCTATTTTGTGAATAGACACTTGTTTGGAAAAAGTCCAAAGGAAAGACTAAGTTAAAAGAAAGAAATATACATTCTTTTGTTATCATTACAGAATCACATTCATAAAAAAGCAAACTAACAGAATTAGGAGAAGAAACAGACTAATCAACCATTGATGTCAGAGTGTTTTAGCAAATGCTTCTCAAAAACAGGTGAAGACAAAAATTATTACAGATATCAAAGTTGAATAACATAATTAATAAGTTCAAACAAATAGCAATAAATAAAACGTTTCATACAACAAGCAGAGAATTCATGCAATACACCTACTATGTACCTACAAAAATTAAGATAAAAAATTTTAAAAAGAAAATGCAAACACTAAACAGTCACTACATTCACTTAAAATAGTTCAGTCTCCCTAAACCTTTGGATAACGTACTCTATATTGTACGAGCAAAGATCTGGCACTTACTTTATAATCTACCAAAGATCTGGTAGTGGAGGCTACCTTTTGCTCCACATTTTGGAAAACTAACCAAGAAAACTGTTAGAGTCATTTCCAGTCCTTCAGTTTTGAATTCAGAATCTCTGATTAATGAGCTCTGTCAATGAAATCATCACGATCCAACTTTATATTCCTTCCATTTTGATCCTGCGCTCTTAAAATCCATTCCTACACATATTTCCCAGTTTTCTGAATAAAGTCTTTTTTTATGTATATCAGATCTCATCACAGGCCATACTTTATGTTTCACCCTCTGAGGCCTACTGGTTCTTGATTTTAATTATAGGTCTAGAAGCAAAGACAGGTAGTGGGAATAGGTCCTGAGGATCATCAGTAACACCTTGCAAGAGATCTACTTCAGGGAAAGACCTTACAGGTTCTTAGGCAAGGGTGGCTAACCTCCTTAGGGCAATGGTTAAAAGGATCTTCCACAGGCTCAGCAGAATTTTGGAGTTCAAAGTTCCCAGCATTATTGGATTCTGCCTATCTGTCGCCTTCGCAATTTCCCAGTTTCTACTCCATCCATATCAATGCTCTAACTTTAACAAAAGAGATACTATGGAATTGGATATTCACTTTGCATTTGTAATTCAGCCACCTGCAGGATCAGATGTTGGGTCTGGTGTTCGGAAATATCTGCCCTATGGCTACAAGAAATAAAAGTTTACTTTAGGACAGTTATTGAAGCTTTCAGTTCTCTTATGCAGCCTGTAAGCTTAGGATTTAAGGTCCTGATATAATTTTCTTTCCCATATTTCTTCAGCATAAGCAATCAACCCATCCCGTTATATTTCTTATTTTCACGAAAATGGTCTATGGCAGCAATTACTTGCATTCTATAGGCACTGATTACATTATCTGCAGGTGATAATTTGAGTAACTGTTTTACCGCTGCATGTCATAGATGATCAACATTCCCTTTAGCCTCAGAAATGAGGTTATTAATGCCTTTAAGTCTAATCAGATCCAAGAATCCAGTTTAAAGAACCATTTCGGAGAACTCATTCTAAAGTTTCTGTTACTCTGGAACCACTCTTAGTATCAAATTCTGTACTAAATAGGCTTTAATCAGAGAAGCAGACCATAAGCTGTCAATATGAATATGGATGTAGATGTAAATATACATGTAGGTGGAGATGGAGATGCAGATATATATAGAGACATGTAGATTCAGATATAGATAAATTAATGGATTTATTAAAAGGATTTGATGTTATACAATTATAGGAACTTGTTAGTGTCTGTAAAACTCTCATCTTTGAATTTGATGCTGAAGCTGCAATTGACAGGGCATGCAGTTAGGAAGAAAAGGTGACGTAATATAGGGAAGAGCCAGGACAAGCTGTGACCTGCAAACAAGAGCTGGATCATAAGATAGACTGAAACACTTCAGTGATTACTACCTCTGTGCTTAATGATATGCATTTCCTGCAAGGAGAGCTATTGATATTGCCCCTCATCACAGAACTTGACACACTCCTGGCTCAGGAATTAGTGGAACTGAAGGAGGATCAGGGAAAGGTACAGCAGTTACATATTTGGTTGCTGTACTTACTTTTCCCCACAAAATTAGCTAGCAGATAAGCAATAACGTGTGTGAGCTATAAAATGGCTGTGTTTTCACTTCCACCTTTCTAATCTGGTACAAGAATGTTTCTATTGATTATTCGTAACCAGAAACATACAGGAAATGGAATTATGAAAAATGTGGGTCAGCCTAGCAAAATAACACTACAAAGCACCTCAAGATCTTTACTAATTTATTGTTACTGTTTTGTCAATTCCTGAGAGGGGAGTGTTAAAGTCTTCCACTATAGTTACAATTATTTCTTATTTCCCCTTAAAGTTCCATTATTTTTCTTTCATGTACTTTGAAGATTTGTTATTAGGTGCACACATATTTCAGATTGTTATGTCTGTTCAGAGAACTGACCCCTTTATCATTACGTAATGTTCCCTTTATCCTCAATAATGTTCCTTTTTCTGAAGTCCATTTTGCCTGATGTTATATAACTACTCCCGCTTTCTTGTGGATAGTGTTGGCATCATATAGCTTTTCTTTTTTTAGTTTTTAATATATCTACATCTTTATATTTAAAGTGGGTTTCTTACACAGCATATAGCTGTGACTTGCTTTTTAAGCATTTAATCTGGAATATGGTGGGTAGGAAGTAGGACTAGCTTGCAGCTCCCACTCAGATGGATAGATCAGCATGTGGAGACTCACAGTGTAAACTTTTGCTCCAAGAACTACCACAGGAACATACCAGGAAAGCTGAGTGAATCTACAGACCCTTTGAAGGAAGTGGATCGCTGCTGCAGGCTCCCTGAGATGCCAAAAAACTAAGTGCAGCTGATACACTCTTGAAAGTGCCACCTCCTGGCTGGAGGCCAACCAACACAACACCAGCCCTCTAAACAAAAACACAACCAAGGAGCCTCACAGAGTCCACTTCACTCCCCTGCTACCTCCACCAGAGCAAATGCTGGAGTCCACCGCTGCAAGACCTGAAGAGGGATCACATCACAGGACTCTGCAGACACTCCTCAGTACCAGCCCAGAGCACAGTAGCTCTACTGGGTGGCTAGAGCCAGAAAAACAAAAACAATCACTACAGTTGGGCTCTCAGGATGCCCCATTCCAAGGGGAAGGGGGAGAACACCACATCAAGGGAGCACCCTATGGGACAAAAGAATCTGAACAGCCGCCCTGGAACCCCAGATCTTCCCTCTGACATAGTCTACCAACATGAGAAGGAACTAGAAAAACAATTCTGGTAATATGACAACACAAGGTTCTTTAACACCCTCAAAAGATCATACCAGCTCACCAGGAATGGATCCAAACAAGACAAAAATCTCTGAATTGCCAGAAAAAGTATTCAGAAGGTCAATTATTAAGCTAATCATGGAGGCACCAGAGAAAGGTGAAGTCCAGGTTAAAGAAATCAAAAACATGATACAGAATATGAAAGGAAAATTCTTCAGTGAAATAGAAAGCCTAAATAAAAAACAATCACAACTTCTGGAAATCAAAGACACACTTAGAGAAATGCAAAATGCACTGGAAAATCTCTGCAATAAAGTCGAACAAGCAGAAGAAAGAACTTCAGAGCTCGAAGACAAGACTTTCAAATTAACCCAATCTGTCAAAGACAAACAAACAAGAATTTTTTTTAAATGAACAAAGCCTCCAAGAAATTTGGGACTATGCTAAACATCCAAACCTAAGAATAATTGGTGTTCCTGAGGAAGAAGAGAAATCTAAAAGTTTCGAAGACATATTTGAGGGAATAATTGAGGAAAACTTCTCCAGCCCTGCTAGAGATCTAGACATCCAAATACAAGAAGCTCAAAGAACACCTGGGGAATTTGTTGCAATAAGATCATTGCCTGAAGCTGATCAAGATGGCCGAATAGGAACAGCTCCAGTCTGCAGCTCCCAGCGAGATCCACACATAAGGTGGGTGAGTTCTGCATTTCCAACGGAGGTACCTGGTTCATCTCATTGGGACTGGTTGGACAGTGGTGCAGCCCATGGAGGGTAAGCCAAAGGAAAGTAGGGCATCGCCTCACCTGGGAAGCGTAAGGGGTTGGGGAATTTTCTCCCTTACCCAAGGGAAGCCTTGAGGGGCTGAGCCTGAGGAACCGGGGACTCTGGCCCAGATACTGCACTTGTTCCATGGTCTTCACAACCCACAGACCAGGAAATTCCCTGTGGTGCCTACCCCACCAGGGCCCTGGGTTTCAAGCACAAAACTTGGCGGCCGTTTGGGCAGATACGGAACTAGCTGCAGGAGGTTTTTTTTTTTTTTTTCTCCATACCCCAGTGGCACCTGGAACACCAGCGAGACAGAATCATTCACTCCCCGAGAAAGGGGTGCTGAAGCCAGGGAGCCAAGTGGTCCGGCTCAGCCGGTTCCACCCCCATGGAGCCCAGCAAACTAAGATCCACTGACTTGTAATTCTCGCTGCCAGCAACAGTCTGAGATCCACCTGGTATGCTTGAGCTTGGTGGGCGGAGGGGCATCTACCATTGCTGAGGCTTAAATAGGCAGTTTTACTCTCACGGTGTAACCAAAGTCACCAGGAAGTTCGAACTGGGCAAGCCCACAGCAGCTCAGCAAGGCTGCTGCTGTAGCCAGAGTGTCAGATTTCTCATCTCTGGGCAGGGCATCTCTGAAAAAAAGGCAGCAGCCGCAGTCAGGGACTTATAGATAAAACCCCCATCTACCTGGGACAGAGCACCTGGGGGAAGGGGCAGCTGTGGGCACAGCTTCAGGAGACTTAAACTTTCCTGCCTGATGGCTCTGAAGAGAGCAGTGGACCTCCCAGCACAGCGTTCAAGCTCTGCTAAAGGTTAAACTGCCTCCTCAAGTGGGCCCTTGATCCCCATGTCACCCTGACTGGGCAACACCTCCCAGTAGGGGCCGACAGACACCTCATACAGGAGAGCCCTGGCTGGCATCTAGCAGGTGCCCCTCTGGAACAAAGCTTCCAGAGGAAAGAACAGGCAGCAATCTTTGTTGTTCTGCAGCCTCCGCTGGTGATACCCAGGCAAACAGGGTCGGGAATGGACCTCCAGCAAACTCCAGCAGACCTGCAGCAGAGGGACCTGACTGTTAGAAGGAAAACTAAGAGAAAGGAATAGCACATCCACTCAAAGACCCCATCTGAAGGTCACCAACATCAAAGACCAAAGGTAGATAAATCCACAAAGATGGGCAAACAGCCTGAAAATTGCGAAAACCAGAACGCCTCTTCTCCTCCCAAGGACCACAACTCCTTGACAGCAAGGGAATAAAACTGGTCGGAGAATGAGTTTGACGAATTGACAGAAGTAGGCTTCAGAAGGTGGGTAATAACAAACTCATCCAAGCTAAAGGAGCATGTTCTAACCCAATGCAAGGAAGCTAAGAACCTTGAAAAAAGGTTGGACAAATTGTTAACTAGAATAACCACTTTAAAGAAGAACATAGAAGATGGCCGAATAGGAACAGCTCCAGTCTGCAGTTCCCAGTGAGATCTATGTAGAAGACGGGTGATTTCTGCATTTCCAACTGAGATAACTGGTTCATCTCATTGGGACTGGTTGGACAGTTGGTGCAGCCCAAAGATGGTGAGCCAAAGCTGGGCAGTGCATCACCTTACCTGGAAAGCACAAGGGGTCAGGGGATTTCCCTCTCCTAGCCAAGGAAAGCTATGAGAGACTGTACTGGGAGGAACAGTACACTCCTGCCCGGATACTGCACTTTCCCCATGGCCTTCACAACCGGCAGACCAAGAGATTTCCTCCAGTGCCTGGCTCAGCGGGTCCCATGCCCACAGAGCCCAGCAAGCTAAGATCCACTGGCTTGAAAATCTTGCTGCTAGTGCAGCAGTCTGAGATTGACCTGGGATGCTGGAGCTTGGCGGGGGGGTGTCCACCATTGCTGAGGCTTGAGTAGGCAGTTTTATGCTCACAATGTAAACAAAGCCACCAGAAACTTCAAACTGGGTGGAGCCCACCGCAGCTCAGCAAGGCCAACTGCCTCTCTAGATTCCACCCCTGTGGGCAGGGCATCTCTGAACAAAAGGCAGCAGCCCCAGTCAGGGACTTATAGATAAAACCCCCATCTCCCTGGGACAGAGTACCTGGGGCAAGGGGCAGCGGTGAGCACAGCTTCAGCAGACATAAACATCCCTGCCTGACAGCTCTGAAGAGAGCAGTGGTTCTCCTAGCACAGCATTCGAGTTCTGATAACAGATAGAATGCCTCCTCAAGTGGGTCCCTGACCCCCGTGTAGCCTGACGGGGAGACACCTCCCAGTAGGGGCCGACAGACACCTCATACAGGAGAGCTCTGGCTGGCATCTGGCAGGTGCCCCTCTGGGAAGAAGCTTCCAGAGGAAGGATCAGGCAGCAATATTTGCTGATCTGCAGCCTCCACTGGTGATACCTAGGCAAACAGAGTCTGGAGTGGACCTCCAGCAAATTCCAATAGACCTGAAGCTGAGGGACATAACTGTTAGAAGGAAAACTAACAAACAGAAAGGAATAGCACCAACATCAACAAAAAAGACGTCCACACCAAAACCTCATTTGTAGGTGATGAACATCAAAAACCAAAGGTAGATAAAACCACAAAGAGGTGGAGAAACCAGTGCAGAAAGGCTGAAAATTCCCAAAACCAGAATGCCTCTTCTCCAAAAGATCACAACTCCTTGCCATCAAGGGAACAAAACTGGTCAGAGAATGAGTTTGATGGCTTGATTGAAGTAGGCTTCAGAAGGTGGGTAATAACAAACTCCTGTGAGCTAAAGGAGTGTGTTTTAACCCAACGTAAGGAAGCTAAGAACCTTGAAAAAAGGTTAGGTGAATTGTGAACTAGAATAACCAGTGTAGAGAAGAACATAAATGACCTGATAGAACTGAAAAACACAGCACAAGAACTTTGTAAAGCATACACAAGCTTCAGTAGCCGAATTGATCAAGCAGAAGGAAGGATATCGGTGATTGAAGATCAACTTGATGAAATAAAGCAAGAAGACAAGATTAGAGAAAAAAAGAGTGAAAAGAAGTGAACAAAGCCTCCAAGAAATATGGGACTATGTGAAAAGACCAAATCTACATTTGATTGGTGTACCTGAAAGTGATGGGAAGAATGAAACCAAGTTGGAAAACACTCTTTAGGATATTACTCAGGAGACTTTCCCCAACCTAGCAAGACAGGCCAACATTAAAATTCAGGAAATACAGAGAACATCACTAAGATATTCCTTGAGAAGAGCAACCTCAAGACACACAATCGTCAGATTCACCAAGGTTGAAATGGAGGAAAAAATGTTAAGGACAGCCAGAGAGAAAGGTTGGCTTACCCACAAAGGGAAGCCCATAAGACTAACAGTGGATCTCTCTGCAGAAACCCTACAAGCCAGAAGAGAGTGGGGACCAATACTCAACATTCTTAAAGAAAAGAATTTTCAACCCAGAATTTCACGTCCAGTGAAACTAAGCTTCATAAGTGAAGGAGAAATAAAATCCTTTACAGACAAGCAAATGTTGAGAGATTTTGTCACCACCAGGCCTGCCTTATAAGAGTTCCTGAAGGAAGCACTAAATATGGAAAGGAACAACTGGTACCAGCCACTGCAAAAACATACCAAATTGTAAATACCATCGATAATGTGAAGCAACTGCATCAACTAGTGGGCAAAATGACCTGCTAGCATCATAATGACAGGATCAAATTCACACATAACAATATTAATCTTAAAGGTAAATGGGCTAAATGCCCCAATTAAAAGACATAGATTGGCAAATTGGATAAAGAGTTAAGATCTGTCAGTGTGCTGCATTCAGGAGACCCATCTCACATGCAAAGACACAGATAGGCACAAAATAAAGGGATGGAGGAATGTTTACCAAGCAAATGGAAAACAACAACAACAAAAAGCAAACAAACAAGAAAAAACAAGGGTTGCAATCCTAATCTCTGATAAAATGGACTTTAAACCAACAAAGATCAAAAGAGGAAAAGAAGGGCATTACATAATGGTAAAAGGATCAATGCAGCAAGAAGAGCTAACTGTCCTAAATACATATGCACCCAGTACAGGAGCACCCAGATTCATAAAGCAAGTTCTTAAAGACCTACAAAGAGACTTATACTCCCACACAATAATAGTGGGAGAATTTAACACCTCACTGTCAATATTAGACAAATCAACAAGACAGAAAATTAACAACGATATTCAGGACTTGTAATCAGCTCTTGACCAAGCAGACCTAATAGACATCTACAGAACTTCCACCCCAAATCAAAAGAATATACATTCTTCTCAGCACGTCATTGCACTTATTCTAAAATTGACCGCATAGTTGGAAGTAAAACACCCTCAGCAAATGCAAAAGAATGGAAATCATAACAAACAGTCTCTCAGACCACAGTGCAATCAAATTAGAACTCAGGATTGAGGAACTCACTCAAAACTGCACAACTGCATGGAAACTGAACAACCTGCTCCTGAAAGACTACTGGGTAAATAATGAAATGAAGATAGAAATAAAGATTTTCTTTGAAACCAATGAGAACAAAGACAAAACATACCAGAATCTCTGGGACACATTTAAAGCAGAGTGTAGAGGGAAATTTATAGTACTAAATGCCCACAAGAGAAAGCAGGAAATATCTAATATCACCACCCTAATATCACAATTAAAAGAACTAGAGAAGCAACAGCAAACAAATTCAAAAGCTAGCAGAAGACAAGAAATAACTAAGATCAGAGAAGAACTGAAGGAGATAGAGACATGAAAAACCCTTCAAAAAATCAATGAATGCAGGAGCTGGTTGTTTTGAAAAGATCAACAAAATACATAGACCATTACTAGACTAATAAAAAAGAAAAGAGAGAAGAATCAAATAGATACATTAAAAAATGATGTAGGACATATCACCACCAATCTTACAGAAATACAAACTACCATCAGAGAATATTATAAACACCTCTACACAAATAAACTAGAAAATCTAGAAGAAATGGATAAATTCCTGGACACATACACCCTTCCAAGTCTAAACCAGGAAGAAGTCAAATCCCTGAATATACCAATAACAGGTTCTGAAATTCAGGCAGTAATTAATAGCCTACCAACCTAAAAAAGTCCAGGACCAGACATATTCACAGCCAAATTCTACCAGAGGTGCAAAGAGGAGCTGGTACCATTCCTTCAGAAACTATTCCAAACTATACAAAAGGGGAAACCTCCATAACTCATTTTGTGAGTCCAGCATCATCCTGATACCAAAACCTGGCAGTGACACAACAAAAAAAAGAAAATCTTAGGCCAATATCCCTGATGAACATCGATGAGAAAATCCTCAATAAAATACTGGCACACCAAATCCAGCAGCACATCAGCTTATCTGATGCGGGAAGTCAGGGACCCCAAATGGAGGGACCGGCTGGAGCTGTGGCAGAGGAACATAAATTGTGAAGATTTCACAGACATTTACCAGTTCCCAAATAATACTTTCATAATTTCTTATGCCTGTCTTACTTTAATCTCTTAATCCTGTTTTCTTCGTAAGCTGAGCATGTACATCACCTCAAGGCCACTATGATAATTGTGTTAACTGTATAAATTGATTGTAAAACATGTGTGTTTGAACAATATGAAATCAGTGCACCTTGAAAAAGAACAGAATAACAGAATAACAGTGATTTTAGGGAACAAGGGAAGACAACCATAAGGTCTGACTGCCTGTGGGGTTGGGCAAAATAGAGCCATATTTTTCTTCTTGCAGAGAGCCTATAAACAGACGTGCAAGTAGGGAAGATATCACTAAATTCTTTTTCTAGCAAGGAATATTAATAATACCCTGGGGAAGGAATGCATTCCTGGGGGGAGGTCTATAAATGGCCGCTCTGGGAGTCTCTGTCTTAGGCAGTTGAGATAAGGACTGAAATATGCCCTGGTCTCCTGCAGTACCCTCAGGCTTATTAGGGTGGGGAAAAAAACCCCACCTGGTAAATTTGAGGTCAGACCGGTTCTCTGCTCTTGAACCCTGTTTTCTGTTGTTTAAGATGTTTATCAAGACAATACGTGCACCACTGAACATAGACCCTTATCAGTAATTCTGCTTTTGCTCTTTGCCTTGTGATCTTTGTTCCCCTTTTTGCCCTTTGAAGCATGTGATCTTTGTGACCTACTCGTGTTCTTACACCCCCTCCCCTTTTGAAATCCTTAATAAAAACTTGCTGGTTTTGCAGCTCAGGTGGACATCACGGTCCTACCGATATGTGATGTCACCCCCAGAGGCCTAGCTGTAAAATTCCTCTCTTTGTACTCTTTCTCTTTATTTCTCAACCGGCCGACACTTATGGAAAATAGAACCTACGTTGAAATATTGGGGGTGGGTTCCCCCAGTACTTATCCACCACGATCAAGTCAGCTTCATCCGTGGGATGCAAGGCTGGTTCAACATATGCATATCAATAAAGGTAATACATCACGTAAACAGAACCAATGACAAAAATCACATGGTTATCTCAATAGATGCAGAAAAAGCCTCAGACAAAATTCAACACCCCTCCATGCTAAAACTCTAATAAACTAGGTGTCCATGGAATGTATCTCAAAATAATAACAGCTATTTATGACAAACCCACAGCCAATATCTTACTGAATGGGCAAAAGCTGGAAGCATTCCTTTGAAAACCAGCACAAGACAAGGACGCCCTCTCTCACCACTCCTATTCAACATAGCGTTGGAAGTTCTGGCCAGGGCAATCAGGAAAGAGAAAGAAATAAAGGGTATTCAAATAGGAAGAGAGGAAGTCAACTTGTCTCTGTTTGCAGATGACATGATTGTATATTTAGAATACCTCATCGTCTCAGCCCAAATTCTCCTTGAGGTGATAAGCAACTTCAGCAATGTCTCAGGATACAAAATCAACATGCAAAAATCACAAGCATTCCTATACACCAATAACACACAAATAGAGACCCAAATCATGAATGAATTCCCATTCACAATTGCTACTAAGAGAATAAAATACCTAGTAATACAGCTTACAAAGGATGTGAAGGACCTCTTCAAGGAGAACTATAAACCACTTCTCAAGGAAATAAGAGAGGACACAAACAAATGGGAAAACATTCCATGCTTTTGGATAGGAAGAATCAATATCGTGAAAATGGCCATACTGCCAAAAGTAATTTATAGACTCAATGTGATCCCCATCAAGCTACCACTGACTTTCTTCACAGAATTGGAGAAAACTACTTTAAACTTCATATGGAACCAAAAAAGAGCCCACATAGCCAAGACAATATTAAGCAAAAAGAACAAAGCTGGAGGCATCATGCTACCTGACTTCAAACTATATTACAAGGCTACAGTAACCAAAACAGCATGGTACTGGTACCAAAACAGATATGCAGACCAATGGAACAGAACAGAGCCCTCAGAAATAACATCACACATCTACAACCATCTGATCTTTGACAAACCTGACACAAACAAGCAATGGGGAAAAGATTCCCTATTTAATAAATGATGTTGGGAAAACTGGCTAGCCATATGCAGAAAACTGAAACTGGACCCCTTCCTTACACTTTATACAAAAATCAACTCACGATGGATTAAAGACTTAAATGTAAGACCTAAAACCATAAAAATCCTAGAAGAAACCAAGGCAATACCATTCAGGACATAGGCATGCGCAAAGACTTCATATGTAAAACACCAAAAGCAATGGCAACAAAAGCCAAAATTTACAAATGGGACCTAATTAAACTAAAGAGCTTCTGCACAGCAAAAGAAACTATAATAAGAGTGATCAGGCAACCTACAGAATAGGAGAAAATTTTTGAATCTATTCACCTGACAAAGGGCTAGTATCCAGAATCTACAAAGAACTTAAACACATTTACAAGGAAAGAAATAACCCCATCAAAAAATGGGTGAAGGATATGAACAGACATCTCCCAAAAGAAGACATTTATGGAGCCAACAAACATATGAAAAAATGCACATCATCACTGGTCATTAAAGAAATGCAAATCAAAACCACAGTGAAATACCATCTCATGCCAGTTAGAATAGTGATCATTAAAAAGTCAGGAAACAACAGATGCTGGTGAGGCTGTGGAGAAATAGTAATGCTTTTACACTGTTGATGGGAGTGTAAATTAGTTCAACCATTGTGGAAGACAGTGTGGTGATTCCTCAAGGATCTAGAACTAGAAATACCAGTTGACCCTGCAATCCCATTACTGGGTATATACACAATGGATTATAAATCATTCTACTCTAAATAGGCATGCACACATATGTTTATTGAGTCACTGTTCACAACAGCAAAGACTTGGAACCAACCCAAATGTCCATCAATGATAGACTGGATAAAGAAAATGTGGTATATATACATCATGGAATACTATGCGGCCATAAAAAAGGATGAGTTCATGTCCTTTGCAGGGACATGGATGAAACTGGAAACTATTATTCTCAGCAAACTATCACAAGAACAGAAAACCAAACATCACATGTTCTTACTCATAAGTGGGAGTTTAACAATGAGAACACATGGACACAGGGAGGGGAACATCACACACTGTGGCCTGCTGGGGGGTGGGGGGCTAGGGGAGGGATAGCATTAGGATAAATACCTAATGCAGGTGACGGGTTGATGGGTGCAGCAAACCACCATGTCTCATTATACCTATGTAAGAAAACTGCACGTTCTGCACATGTACCTCAGAACTTAAAGTAAAATTAAAACAAAGATCATTGCCTAGGAACACAGTTATCAGGTTATCTAAAGTAAAGATGAAGAATGTTAAGAGCTGTGAGGCAAAAGCATCAGAAATCCTATCAAATTAACAGCAGATTCTCAGCAGAAACCTTACAATCTAGAAGGGATTGGAGTCCTATTTTTAGCTTCTTTAAACAAAACAATTATCAACCAAGAATTTTGTATACTGCAAAACTAAGCCTCATAAATGAAGGAAAGATATGGACTTTTCCAGACAATTGCTGAGAGAATTCACCACTACCAAGCCAGCACTACAAGAACTGCTAAAAGGAGCTTTAAATCTTGAAACAAGCCCTTGAAATACACCAAACTATACATTTAAAGCATAAATCTCACGGGACATATATGACGATAACACAATGAAAAGAAAAACAAGGTATTCAGGCAACAAATAGCATGATGAATAGAATAGTACCTCATATCTCAATATTAACATTGAATGTAAATGGCCTAAATGCTCCACTTAAAAGATGCAGAATGGCAGAATGGGTAAGAATTCACCAACAAAGTTTCTGCTGTCTTCGGGAGACTAACCTAACACATAAGGACTCACAGAAAATTAAGGTAAAGTGGTGGAAAAAGACATTTCATGCAAATGGACACCAAAAGCTAGCAGGAGTAGTTATTCTTAATATCAGACAAAACAAACTTTAAAGCAACAGAAGTTTAAAAAAGACAAAGAGGAACATTATATAATGATAATAGGACTAGTCCAACAGGAAAATATCACAATTATAAATATATATGCACCTAACACTGGAGCTCCCAAATTTGAAAAACAATTAGTACTAGACAGCAACACAATAATAATGGGGGACTTTAATACTCCACTGAAAGCATTAGACAGGTCATCAAGACAGAAAGTCAACAAGGAAACAATGGACCTAAACTACACCCTACAACAAATGGACTTAGCAGATATTTATAGAACATTCTATCCAAAAGCTACAGAATTTACATTCTATTCATCAGCACATGGAACATTCTCCAAGATAGACCATATGATAGGCTACAAAACAAGTCTCAGTAAGTTTATAAAAATCGAAATTATATCAAGTACTCTCTCAGATGACAGTGGAATAAAACTGTAAATCAACTCCAAAAGGATCTCTCAAAACCATGCAAATACATGGAAATTGAATAACTTGCTCCTGAATGATCATTGGGCCAACAATGAAATCAAGATGGAAATTAAATAATTCTTTGAACTGAAAAATAATAGTAACACAACCTTTCAAAACCTCAAGGATACAGCAAAAGCAGTATTAAGAGAAAAGTTCATAGCATTAAATGCCTACATCAAAAAGTCTGAAAGAACAGTAATAGACAATCTAAGGTCATGCCTCATGGAACTGGAGAAACAAGAACAAACCAAACCCAAACCAGAAGAAGAAAAGAAGTAATAAAGATCAGAGCAAAACTAAATAAAATTGAAACAAACCAACCAACAAACAAAATACAAATGATAAATGAAGCAAAAAGCTAATTAGCTGAGAAGATAAATAAAACTGAGAGATTTTAGCAAGATTAACCAAGAAAAGAAGAGAGAAGGTCCAAATAAGCTCAATTAGAAATGAAATGGGAAATATTACAACTGATACCACAGAGATACAACAGATTTTCCAAGGTTACTATGAACAGCTTTAAGTGCATAAACTAGAAAATTTAGAGGAGATGGATACATTCCTGGAAATACACAACTCTCCTCGATTAAACCAGGAAGATATAGACTCTCTAAACAGATGAATAACAAGAAGCAAGATTGAAATAAAATAGTAATAAAAAATTGCCAAGAAAAAAAAACTCAGAACCAGCTGGATTCACAGCTGAATTCTATCAGAAATTCAAAGAAGAATTGGTACTAATCCTATTGACACTATTCCAAAAGATAGAGAAAGAGGGGATCCTCCCTAAATCATTCTATGAAGCCAGTATCATCCTAATACCAAAACCAGGGAAGGACATAAAAAAAGAAAACTACAGATCAGCATCCCTAATGAGCATAGATGCAAAAATCCTCAACAAAATCTAACAGCATATTAAAAAGATAATCCACCATGATCAAGTGGGTTTCATACCAGAGATGCAGGGATGGTGTAACATATATAAGTCAATAAATGTGATAACCCCCATAAACAGAATTAGAAACAAAAATCACATGATCATCTCAATAGACACAGAAAAAGCATTTGACAAAACCCAGCATCCTTTTATGATGAAAACTCTCAAGAAAATTGGCATAGAATGGACATACCTTAAGGTAATAAAAGCCATCTATGACAAATCCAAAGCCAACATTATACTACCGTATGGGGAAATGTTGAAAGATTCTGTCTGAGAACTGGAACAAGACAAGGATGTCCACTTTCACCACTTTTATTTGGTATAGTGCTGGAAGTGCTAGCCAGAGCAATCAGACAAGAGAAAGAAATCAAGGGCATCCCAATCGATAAAGAGGAAGTCGAACTGTCACTGTTTGCTGATGATTTGATTATGTACCTAAAAAACCCTAAGGACTCATCCAAAAAGCTCCTAGAACTGGTAAATGAATTCAGAAAAGTTGCAGGATACAAAATTAATGTATATAAATCAGTAGCTCTTCTATACACCAACAGTGACTAAGCTGAGAATCAAATTAAGAACTCAACCCCTTTCACAATAGCTGGAAAAACAACAACAACAACAACAACAACAACAACTTAGGAATATACCTAACCAAGCATGTGAAGTACCTCTACAGGAAAAATTACAAAACACTGCTGACAGATATCATAGATGACACAAACAAAGGGAAACATATCCCATGCTAATAGATGAGTAGAATCAATATTGTGAAAGTGACCATTCTGACAAAAGCAGTCTACAAATTCAATGTGATTCTCATCAAAATGCCGTGATCGGCTGGGCGCAGTGGCTCACTCCTGTAATCCCAGCATTTTGGGAGGCCGAGGTGGGTAGATCATGAGGTCAGGAGATCAAGACCATCCTGGCTAACACGGTGATACCCTATCTCTACTAAAAATATAAAAAATTAGCCAGGTGCAGTGGCAGGCGCCTGTAGTCCCAGCTACTTGGGAGGCTGAGGCAGGAGAATGGTGTGAACCTGGGAGGTGGAGCTTGCAGTGAGCCGAGTTCGCACCACTGCACTCCAGCCTGGGTGACAGAGCAAGACTCCATCTCAAAATAAAATAAAATAATAAATAAATAAATAATACCATGATCATTCTTCACAGAACTAGTAAAAAAAAATCCTAAAATTGATATGGAACCAAAAAAGAGCCCACATAGCCAAAGCAAGACTAAGCAAAAAGAACAAATCAGGAGGCATCACACTACCTGACTTCAAACTATACTGTAAAGCCATAGTCACCAAAACAGAATGATACTGGTATAAAAATACGTATATAGATCAATGGAACAGAATAGATAACCCAGAAATAAAGCCAAATACTTACAGCAACATTTTCTTTGAAAAAGTAAACAAAAACATAAAGTGGGAAAAGGACACCCTATTCAACAAATAGTGCTTGGATAACTGGCAAGCCATATGTAGAAGAATGAAACTGGATCTTCATCTCTCACCTTATAAAAAAAATCAACTAAGATTGATCTAAGATTTAAACCTAAGACCTGAAGCCATAAAGATTCTAGAAGATAACATTGGAAAATCCGTTCTAGACATTAGCTTAGACAAGACTTTATGACCCAGAACCCAAAAGCAAGTGCAACAAAAACAAAGATAAATAGATGGGACTTAAACTAAAAAGCTTCTGTACAGCAAAAGAAATAGTCAGCAGAGTGAACAGACAACCCACAGAATGGGAGAAAATCTTCATAATTTGAACCTCTGACGAGGACTAATATTCAGAATCTACAAAGATCTCAAACAAATCAGCAAGAAAAAATAAAACCCTATCAAAAACTGGGCTAAGGATATGACTACACAATTCTCAAAAGAAGGCATACAAATAGCCAACAATATATGAAAAAATGCTTGACATCACTAATTATCAGGGAAATGCAAATCAAAACCATGATGCAATACCACCTTACTCCTGCAGAGAATGGCCATAATCAAAAAATCAAAAAATAATAGATGTTGGTGGGGATGTGGTGAAAGGGAGCACTTTTACACTGTTGGTGGGAATGTAAACTAGTACAACCACTATAGAAAACAGTGTGGAGATTACTTAAAGAACTAAAAGTAGGACTACCGTTTGATCCAGTAATCTCATTACTAGGTATCTACCCAGAGGAAAATAAGTCATTGTACACAAGAGATATTTTCACTTGCATGTTTACAGCAGCACAATTTGCAATTGCAAAAATTTGGAACCAGCTCAAATGCCCATCAATCAATGAGTGGATAAAGAAAATGTGGTATATATATATATATATATATATATATATATATATATATATGCCACATTATATATATATAAAATATATAAACCACACATATATATACCAATATATATATTGGGGTGTGTGTGTGTGTGTGTGTGTGTATATATATATATATATATATATAGTGGTATATATATAAAATGCTTGCCATCACTAATTATCAGGGAAATGCAAATCAAAACCAAGATGCAATACCACCTTACTCCTGCAAGAATGGCCATAATCAAAAAATCAAACAATAATAGATATATATATCTATTAAAAATATTAGATATATATTTTTCTATTTCTGTAATAGATATATATCTAATATATATTATTTTTAATACATAGGTATTATATACACACACACACACACACACACACACACCATGGAATACTACTCAGCCATATAAAGAAAAGAAATAATGGCATTTGCAGCAACCTGGATGGAATTGGGAACTATTATTCCAAGTGAAGTAACTCAGGAATGGAAAACCAAACATGATGTTTTCTCACTCAAATGTGGGAGCTAAGCTATGAGGATGCAAAAGCATAAGAATGATACATTTGATACTCTGGGGACTTAAGGGTAAAAGGTCAGGGGTGGCAAGGCATAAAAGACTACACATTGGGTACAGTGTAGTACTGCTTGGGCAATGGGTGCAACAAAATCTCAGAAATCACCATTAAAGAACTTATTCATGTAACCAAACACCACTTGTTTCCCAAAAACCAATGGAAATAAAAAAAATTTAAAAACATAATCTGATAATATTTGTCTTTTAAATGATTTTCAACCACCTTTTGTTTTTAAACTTGCCTTTTGTTTCATTTAGACTATTTGTATTAAGGTGGTTACTAATATGGTTGAGTTAAAAATCAACCATTTTGAATTAGCTGTTTTCTATTTGCTTCAACTTTCTTCTACTTTTTCTGCATCCTTTTGTGTTAGTTGAACAGTTTATGCTCCTATTTAATCTTCTCTATCGATTTCTCACTCACATCTCTTTTTTCTTTTTATTTTATTGCTGATTGCCCTAGTCTTTACAATATGCATTTTATTATTTAATCTAAATGTCACATATAGTTTAGACACTTTTCAGCAATCTATTCCTAATTTTCTTGTTGATCATTCATTATCACTTTTCCATTTTCTATAAATACACAATACATTAGTACTATTTTTTACCTTTAAAAAGTCAGTAATTTTTGAACAATTTGAAATGAGAAAATTATTTTACCTTTCTTTATTTTCAGGACTCTGTACTTTTGTGTGTAGATCCGAGTTTCTGTCTGATATCATATTCCTTCTGTTTGAGAAATTTTCTTTGACACTTCCTGTAGAGTAGGTGCGCTGGCAATGAATTCCTTCCATTTTATTTGGCTGATAAATTCTGTATTTTTCTTTCATTTTGAAAGATATTTTCTCTGGGTTTGTAATTCTGGTTTGATGGTTATTTTTGTTTTCTTTTCAACACTTTAAATATTGTAACTCCATTTTTTTAGCTTGTAAGATTTTTGACATAAAGTCTGCTGTAATTCTTATCTATATGTAATGTGTCTTTTCTTTCTAGCTGCCTTCAAGATTTTCCCCTGCAGTTTAATTATAATATCGTAGGTGTTCTTTGGGGCATTTATCGTGCTTGGTAAACTTGAATTTCTTGGATTTGTGTGAGTGTTTGTCAGGATGAGGAGAGATTCTGTCATCAGTTTAAAAAATTATTGGCCATGACTATTTCAAATATTTTTTCTTCCCCAATCTTTCTTTCCTATATTTCTGGGATTTTAATCATTCATATGTTAAACCACTTGATCTTGTTCCACAGCTCTTTAATGCTCTGTTATGCTTTTTTTTCCACTCTCTATTTTTCATTGTATTTTAGTTTGGATAGCTTCAATTGTTCTATCTTCAACTTCTATTTTTTTCTTCCACAGTCTCAGGTCTATGAGACTGTCAAAGACATTATGGTATTTTCCATTTCTATAGTTTCCATTGGATTTTTTTCTTATAGTTTTAATCTCTCTGGTGAAAATACCCAAGTAATATGATTCCTCCAGTTTTGTTCTTTTTGATCAGGATAGCTTTGGATATTGTGGGTCTTTCATAGTTCCATATAAATACAAGAATTGTGTTTTCTATTTCTGTGAAGAATGTCATTGGTGTTTTGGTAGGGACTGCATTGAATCTGTAGATTGCTTTAGGTAGTATGGACATTTTACAGAATTATTCCAATCCATGAACAAGGAACATCTTTCCATTTTTTGTGTGTGTCATCTTCAATTTCTTGCATTAATGTTTTATAATTTTCATTATAGAGATTTTTAACTTCTTTGGTTAATTCCTTGATATTTCACTATAATTGTAGCTATAATAAATGGGATTATTTTCCTGATTTTTTTTTCAGATTGTTCACTGCTGGCATATAGAAATGCTATAATTTTTGTGTCTTGATTTTGTATCCTGCAACTTTACTCAATTTTTTTATCATCCTAATAGTTTGTTGGTAGAGTCTTTAGATTTTTCCAAATATAAGATTATGTAATCTGCAAACATGGAGAATTTGACTTCTTCCTTTCCAATATGGGTGCCCTTTCTTTCTTTCTCTTTTCTGATTGCTCTAGCTGGGACTTCCAGTCCTATATTGAATAACAGTGGTGAAAGTGAGCATCCTAGTCATGTTCCAGACCTTAGAGGAAAGATTTTCAGTTTTTCCCCATTTAATGTGATATTGTGGGTCTGTCATATATGACTTTTATTGTGAAGTGTGTTCCTTCCATCCTCAGTTTTTTGAGAATTTTTATCATGAAAGGATGGTGAATTTTATCAAATGCTTTTTCAGTATCAATTGAAATAATCACATGGTTTTTGTCCTTCATTCTGTTGCATCAATGTTAATCAGAGATATTGGCCTATAGTTTTTTTTTTTTTTTTTTTTTTAGGTTTCTGTGTCTGGTTTTGGTATCAAGGTTAAACTGGCTTCATAAAATCATTTGGGAAGTGTTTTCTCCTCCTCTATTTTTTGGAATAGTTTGAGTAGAATAGTATTAGTTGCTTTTTAAGTGGTTGATAAAACTCAGCAGTGAGGCCATCAGGTCCTGGGCTTTTCTTTGCTGGGAGAATTTTTATTACAGATTCACTCTCATTACTTGTTATTGTTCTATTCGGGTTTTGGATTTCTTCATGGTTCAATCTTGGTAGGTTACATGTATCTAGGGACATATCCATTTCTTCTAGGTTTTCCAATTTATTGTCATATAATTGTTCATAGTAGTCTCTAATGAGTCTTTGAATTTCTGCAATATCAGTTGAAATGTCTGCTTTGTTATCTCTGATTTTATTTATTTGGGTCTTCTCTCTTTGTTTCTTAGTCTAGCTGAAGGTTTGTTGATTTTGTTTATCTTTTCAAAAAAGTAATGCTTTGTTTCATTGACATTTTGTATTGTTTTCTTCATTTCAATTTTATTTATTTCTGCTCTGTGGTTTATTTGAAATTTTTCTACTTTTTGGATGTAGGTACTTATAGCTATAAACTGCCCTCTTAGTACTGTTTTGGCTATAACCCACAGATTTTGGTACATCGTATTTTCTTTCTTTCTTTTTTTTTTTTTTTTTTTTTTGAGACAGAGTTTAGCTCTTGTTGCCCAGGCTGGAGTGCAATGGTGCGATCTCCGCTCACTGCAATCTCTGCCTCCCGGGTTCAAGCTATTCTCCTGCCTCAGCCTCCTGAGTAGCTCGGATTACAAGTATGGGCCACCATGCCCAGCTAATTTTTTTGTATTTTTAGTAAAGACAGGGTTTCTCCATGTTAGTCAGGTTGGTCTTGAACTCCCAATCTCAGGTGATCCGCCTGCCTCGGCCTCCCAAAGTGCTAGGATTACAGGCGTGAGCCACCATGCCTGGCTCACATTATCATTTTTGAAGAATTTTTAAAATTCCCTTCATAATTTCATCATTGGCTCGCTAGTGATTTATAAGTATATTGTTTAATTTCCGTGTATTTTTATAGTTTCCAAAATTTTTCTTGCTATTGATGTCTATCTTTATTACATTGTGGTCAGAAAAGATACTTGATATTATTTCAGCTTTTTTTGAATATTTTAAGACTTGTTTTGTGACTTAACATATGGCTTATCTTTGTGAATAATCCGTGTGCTGAGGAGAATGTGTATTCTGAGCCACTGGATGAAACGTTTTATAAATATTTATGAGGCCAATTTGGTCTATAGTGCAGATTAAGCCTGATATTTCTTTGTGGAATTTTTTCTGGATAATCTGCCCAAAAAAAAAAAGTGAGGTGTTGAAGTCTCCAGCTATTGTTGTATTAGGGTCTATCTCACTCTGTTTAACTTAATAATATTTGCTTTACATATCTGGGTGCTCCAGTGTTGGGTGCATATATATTTAAAATTGTTAGGCCCTCTTGCTGAATTTACCCCTTTATTATTATATAATGACCTTCGTTGCCTTTTTTATAATTTGTATCTTGAAATCTGTTTTGTCTGATATAAGTAAAGCTACTCCGGCTGTGATTTTAAATTTCCATTTGCAGGGAATATCTTTTTCCATCCCTTTATTTTAAATCTATTTGTGTCTTCATAGTTGAAGTGTGTTTCTTATAGGGAACATTATTGGGTCTTGCTTTTTTTTTTTTATTTTATTTTATCCAGTCAGCCACTCTGAGTCTTTTGATTGGAGAGTTTAGTCCATTTATATCCAATGTTATTATTGATAAGTAAGGACTTATTCCTGTTATTTTGTTATTTGCTTTTTGGTTGTTTTGTGGTCCTCTCTTCTTTCTTTTCTGCCTTCTTGTCTTTCTTTTAGTGAAGATAATTTTCTCTAGTTGTATGTTTTCATTTCTTGCTTTTTATTTTTTTGTGTGTGTTCATTGGATGTTTTTTGATTTGAGGTTACCATGGAGTTTGTAAATAATACCTGGTAATCCACTATTTTAACTGATGACAAGTTAACACTAATTGTATAAACAAACTAACAAATAAGCAAAGAGAAAACAAATAGAAACTCTACTTTTAACATTGTCCCCCTGCTTTTTAACTTTTGCTTCTATTTATGTCTTATTGTACTGTGTCTTAAAAAGTTGTTATAGTTATTATTTTTGATCAGTTCATCTTTTAGTCTTTCTGCTTAACATATGAGCAGTTTACACACCACAATTACAGTGTTATAGTTGTCTTTGTTTTTCTGTGTACTTACTATTACCAGCGAGTTTTATTCTCTTTATTTTTATTTTCTTAAGACATGATCTTGCTCTATTACTCAGGCCAATGTCCTGAATTCAGGAGCTCTTCCTGCCTCAGTCTCTTATATAGTTGTGACTACAGGCATGCATTACGAAACCCACCTGATTTTTTAATTTGTGTAGAGATTAGGTTTTGCCATGTTGCCCAGCTGTTCTTGAAATCCTGGGCTCAAGCAATTCTCCTGTCTTCTTCTCCCAAAATGCTGGGATTACAGACATGAGTCACAGAGCCTGGCCACCAGTGAGTTTTATACCTTCAGAAAATTTCTTATTGCTTGTTAGCATCCATTTCTTTCAGCTTAAAGAACTCTCTTTAGCATTTCTTATAGGACAGGTCTGGTGTTGATGAGATCCCTCAGCTTTTGTTTGTCTGAGAAAGTTTTTATTTCTCTTTCATGGTTGAAGGATATTTTCTACAGGTAATCTGTTCTAGAATAAAAGTATTTTTTTCTTCCACACTTTAAGTATGTCATGTTACTCTATCATGACCTACAAGTTTTCCATTGAGAAGTCTGCTGCCAGATGTATTGGACCTCCATTATATGTTATTTGTTTCTTTTCTCTTGCTGCTTTTAGAGTCCTTTCTTTATCCTTGACCTTTGGGAATTTGATTCTTAAATGTTTTGAGGCAGTCTTCTTTCGGTTAAATCTGCTCTTTTTCTAGGTTTGGGAAGTTCTCTGTTATTACCCCTTTAAATAAACTTTCTACTCCTAGCTCTCTCTCTATCTCCTCTTTAGGTCTATAACTCTTCAATTTGCCCATTTGAGGCTATTTATTAGATTTTGTAGATGTGTGTCATTCTTTTTTATTCTTTGTCTCCACTGACTGTATTTTCGAATAGCCTGTCTATGAGCTTACTAATTCTTTCTTCTGCTTGATTAATTCTGTTTTTAAAATACTCTGATGCATTCTTCAATATGTCAATTGCATGATTCAACTCCAGAGTTTCTGCTTGATTCTTTTTAATTATTTCAGTCTCTTTATTAATCTGATAAGATTCTGAATTCCTTCTCTTTCATTTTATTGAGTTTCATCCAAACAGCTATTTTTGAATTTTATGTCTGAGAGGTCACATATCTCTGTCTTTCTGGGATTCGCTCCTGGTGGCTTAGTTTTTTTGATGAGGTCATGTTATACCTAGATGATCTTGATGCTTGTGGATGTTCATCAGTGTGTGAGCATTCAAAAGTTAAGTATTTATTCTAGTCTTCACAGTCTGGGCTTGTCTGTACCATTCTTTCTTGGGAATACTTTTGAGGTATTAGAAGGGACTTGGGTGTTGTGATCTGTGTTTGGTCACTGCAGCCATATCTTTATTAGAGAGCATCCCTTGTCCAGTAACATTGTGGCTCTTGCAGACTCATAGAGGTACTGCCCGTGTGATCCTAGATAAGATCTGCAAGAATTCTCTGGATTACCAGGCAGAAACTCTTGTTCCCTCCCCTTAATTTCTCACAAACGAATGAACTCTCTCTCTTTGTGCTGAGCTACCTGGATCTGGGGGGGGGTTGACATGAGCACTCCCATGGCCACCACCACTGAGACTGCACTGAATCAGACCTAAAGCTAGCATAGCACTGGGTCTTGCCCAAGGCCCATTGTAACCACTACCTGGCTACCACCTATGTTCACTCAAGGCCCTAGGTCTCTACAATCAGCAGGTGGTGATAGCAGCCAGGCTTGTGTCCCTCCTTTCTGAGCAGTGAGTTCCTAGTGGCCCAAGGCAGGTCCAGAGATGCTGTCCGGGACCCAGGGCCTGGAGTTGGAAACCTGAGGAATTTACCTGGTGCTCTATTCTACTGCAGCTGAGATAGCACCAAATCCACAAGACAATGCCCTTCCTACTCTTCTCTCCCCTTTTCATAAGCAGAGGCATCTCTTCCTGTGGCCACCACTACCAAAGGCCTGAAAGGAGTACTGCCAGGCTACCTCCAATGTCTACTCAACACCCAAGGGCTCCTTGGTGAGCTTGTGGTGAATGCTGCCTGGCCTGGACCCATACTTCAGGGCAGTGGACACCCATCTGGACCAGGGCAAGTCCAGGAATGCCATCCAAGAGCTAAGGCCTGGAATCAGAGATCCCAAGACCCCACTAGATGCTCCACCCTATTGTGGCCAAGCTGGTACCTAAGCTGCAATACAAAGTTCCCTTACTCTTCCCTCTGCTTTTCTCAAACAGAATGTGTCTCTCCCCATAGCTACCACAGCTGGGAATGTGCTGGGTCACACCTGAACTAGCATGTCTCAGAATCTCACCTAAGGCCCATGGCATGTACTACCTATCAACCACTGCTGATTATTCAGAGGCCAAGGGCTCTTTAGTCAGCAGGTGATGAATCCTGCCAGGACTGGGTCATTCTTTTTAAATGAGCAGGTTCTCTTCTGGACCAAGGTAGGTCTAGAAATGTCTTCTGGGTGCTGGGGTCTGGAATGGGTGCCTCAGGACTCTGCCCAGTGCCCTATTCTACTGTGGCTATGTTGCTATCCACATTGCAAGACAAGGCCATCTTAACTCTTCCCTCTCCTCTCCTCGAGTGGAAGGAAGGAGTCTCTTTCAGAGCTGTGAGCTGTGCTTCCTGGATTTAGGGGATGGGTGGTACAAGTACTCCTTTGGCTGCCCTGGCTGGTGTCTTACTAGGTCACATGGCCCCTAAGTCCACTGGCTCTAAGCCCGGCATGGCACTAGAACTTGTCTAGGAGTTGCAGTCTTTGTGGACTAAACTGCCTTTCAAGTTTATTTCAAACTGCAGAGCACTTTACCCTGTGGTGGCAAGGCCTGCTGAAACTCAAGTTCCATCTGCTGGAATGGATGATTCCCTTCTGGCTAGGGCTGGTCTAAATCCTCTCTCTGTTGGTATCAGCTAAGTTCTGCCTAGTGTTGCTTCCTGCTGTGACAGGACAGCACTGTTTCAATGCAAAGTCCCACAATCATTGCTTTCCTTACCCCAAGGCCATGGATTCTCTGTGCCATGTGGCCACTGCTGGAGGATCATGTAGGAGTGATACTGGCAATACATGTCTGTCATTTTACCCTCTTCAGTGCCTCTTCCAATGATATGAAATTAAAACCAAGTTCTGTAATCACTTACCTGATTTTGGGTTCTTATGAAGGTGCTTTTTTTTGTGTGTAGGTAGTTGTTAGATTTGGTGTTTCTGTGGAGGAAGATCAGTGGAAGCTTGTATTCATCCATCTTGCTCTGCCCCCTCTGGTGTTATATTTTTAATGCATTATTCCTCTTTTGCTGTGCATGCATGCTCTAGTTTACCCCAGTTTACAACATTTCTTATTGTATAATACTCTACCACTTCACATTATCCTGTTACAGATTGGACTCTGGAAGTGTGTAAACTTTTGGCTCGTGCTTAAGTAGTTTAGAGACCTTTAATACTGATTCTAAGGAAGCGATATTGAAATTGGTTTATCAGATATCATCTAGTTTAGCCTTAATAGTTGTGGTTATAAGAAACACTTTTGCAAAGCTTATTGCAATTTTTTTTTTTGAGATAGAGTCTGGCTCTGTCATACATGCTGGAATGTGGAATGAGTGGCACAATCTCTGCTCACTGCAAACTCCGTCTCCCAGGTTCAAGCAATGCTCCTGCCTCAGCCTCCCAAGTAGCTGGGATTACTGGCGTGCACCGCCATGCCCAGCTAATGTTTTTGTATTTTTAGTAGAGATGATGTTTCACCATGTTGGCCAGGCTGGTCTCAAATTCCTGATCTCAAGGGATCCACCCTCCTTGGCCTCCCAAAGTGCTGGGATTACAGGCGTGAGCCACCGCACTCAGTCCAAAATCTCTTTTATTTGACTTCTACAGTTAAAATTCTCATTACTTGAAATGCCACTGTATTGAATTTATGTTTTCAGAGGGCCCAATTAAAACATAAATGTATTTATTAGAATGAGGGACACTTCAATCACTTATCATTAAAAGAGTAGAAGGGAAGTTCCAGAGGGGTTAGAACCCAGTACAGGTAGATTTTGATATCTAGAGTATATTTGAGATGGAAATGGAATATCTTGCATAGTGGAAGGGGTTATCTGGTGTGTAGATGACTGCACAAGATGCAATAAATATATTTATGTTGGGAGGGTGTGGGGAAGAAAGAAAATAAGTGTCTAAAAAGGAATGACAATGGAAGAAGTTTCACAGTGGGTTTGGGAGTGAGGGAAGTAATTATAAAACAAACAAAATCAGCTTACTTAATGGGTTTTTCTTGGGGTCAGAACTAAATTATACTCTCAGTTAATCTCAATGTTTCTATATTGAGGGTGTGGAAATTCTCAGAGAGTCTTTTAAAAATCAAAGAACAGAAGTTTAAGATGCTACAAATTAACTCTATTTCCCACAATTGTTCTTTAGTAACTTAAAATTCTAGGCTGTAAAATTTCTAGATCATCTTCAAATTTCTCACTTTTGTAAGTAGTATCTCACTGTTTAGACCAACTATTGGGCTACTATATTTGTCATTCATTTTTATTTCTCTAGGGAGAAAAGATTTCATGGCTTTAAATCTTTTTCTCTTAGTTAATGGCTTTCTCAACAAATTGAAAAGGATACACTCTTCCAAAAGCAGAGGAATACAAAAACACAATGTCACTTTGGATTCCAGGTGGCCAGGAGCATTTTTTCTCACCAAGCATCATTGCATATATTAACAACCAAAAATGCAGAGTAATAAAATACAATTTTCACCACTACATTTTTGTATGTTTTACACATGTTATCATTATGCTGCTGAAGCAGGCTGGGGGCAGCAGAGAAGGGCAGAATAGAGCACTTTACAACTTCCAAAGAATTCCTGCAGTATGTTCACTCATTAAATAATTCCAGGTTATGAGGAAAATATGAAATTATTAATATTTTAACAGATGAAGATGTTCCAGTTGAGTAAGTGACTTGCCCAAGGTCACACCATTGGTAACTAATTGATACTGAATTCTAGGATCCTGAGTCTTATGTTAACCCAATATCCTTTCTGAATAACTTTTTGGAGAAAGAGATGAATCTGACAAAACTGTCGGGTTGCATGAGGTTGAAAGCCACAGATACTGCCCAAGATCCTCCTGTAAACAAATCCAAGCCAGAATTTCACTTTTGCTTTAGTTATTAATTTTTTATAGCATAGATTCATTCTCAGTTATTTTCTTAAGCCAAGTAAATGTCAAAAGAAAATCAACATCCACCTGCTCAAAACCCTCAGCAGCTGCCAAACTCCATGGCATATAGTACAAATAGTTTGGTCTGACTCACTCAAGGGCCTGGAAACTCCTTCCATTTATCTCTGCCTGCGGACATTTTACCAGTTCTTTTGGGCCTGCTTCTTCCATGAAACCTCTAGTTCCCCCCAACCGCATATGATCCCTTTTTCTCTTGAACTTCCATTGGAGTTTATTTGATTTTTTTGTTGGATATAATTCTTCCCATGTGCCTTCCCACTAAATATATAAAATGAGAGTAGAAAAATGCTAAAGAGAAATCAGAAATTAAACTGAATCAGGGAGGAGGAGTTAAGACTTAGCCATTCATACATTCATTCAAAAATATGTATGGAGCTCCAATAACACACTGTGGAGACACTGGGATGCAGCAGTAAACAAAGAAATCCCCTGTCCCCATGGCTGGTGAGTATTTATAAAATTTTTCTTTCTGTTGAACTCTGAAATTTATTGCAGTGTCTCATTTGGTTTGTACTACTCTTTTGATGAATAACGTCAACTCTATATAAGCTATATTCAATATGACTGTACTCATGAATAAACAAGGATTATATTTTACTTGCCTTTTAACAAATTTAGAACCCAATTTAGTGATTATATGTAAATGGACATTCAAATGATCATTGATTCAAGTATGACATTTCAGTGTGACAAGGATTACAGATTCTGGTGAATGTCAGTAGGGTTAAAGCAGGTGAGGTAAAAGAGAGAAGCATCTTTGACACACTGCAGAGTGCTTGCTCCAGCTACATAGGGAGGCTGGCACTGAGCTCTAGGTGTTGTAGCCTCTCAGGAATGCTGGTTCAGAGAAGATAGTGATAAAGGCCTGAACCAGAAAATTACATTATTTGAGTTTGAGTCCCACCGCCAAAGTTACTAGATAGAAGACTTTAGGAAAGCCCTTAACTCTTCTGTGCTACAGTACTAGTAATTCATCATAGAGATGTTTAATGAGTAAATGTGGTAATTATTTGTAATAATTGCAGTGTATTAGTAAGGTTTCTCCAAAAAACAGAACCAATAGGATGCATATATAAATAGATTTATTGTAAAGTATTGGCTCCCACAGTGATCAAGGCTGAGAAGTCTTATGATCTGCCATCTGCCAGCTGAAGACCCAGGAAGGTCACTGGTTGATTTTGAGGGCCTGAGGTCTGGGGATAGTTGATGGTGTAGATTCTAGTCTTCATCTGAAGGCCTGAGAAAGGAACCTCTAAGGGCCGGAGAAGATCAATGACCCAGTTCAAACAATAAGACAGACAGAAGCTGACTCCTCCCTTCTTCCACTTTTTTTTTTTTTTTTGTCTTTTCTGTTCAGGCTCTGAATGGGTTGGATGATGCCCTCCCATATTGCGGTGGCCAATATGCTTTACTCAGTCTACAGATTCAAATGCTAATCTCTTCTGGAAACAAACTCACAGACACACTCAAAAATAATGTTTAACTAGATATCTGGACATCCGGTGCTCAAGGCAAGTTGACATATAAAACTATCACAAGCAATTACAACAGTGCCTAGCATGTACTACATGTAAACTAAAATAAGCAATTTCTAATTTTTCAGTAGAAATCATAAACCCAAATATTTATATAAAATTCCAAAGTTTATGTGTTGATAACTTTGTCAAAATTTTAATTACAATTTTGTATTTTAAGACAATTAAAACACATCTGTGACCATCATTTGCAATCTCTTGTAGTATGTGAGCCTTATATTTTTTAAACATTTGTATTGGTATATAACAGTTTACTTATTTTGGAGGTATATGGGATATTTTGATACTTGTATACAATACGTAATGTTCACATTAGGATAATTTGTTTATTTGTCCCTTCGAACGTTTAACTTTTCTTTGTGTTGGGAACTTTATGAATCTCTTCTAGTTGTTTTGAAATATACAAAAAATTAATGTTAACAATAGTTTCCCTACTGTGCTATCAAATACAAGAACTTACTTTTTCTATCTAACTATGTTTTGTATCACTTAACCAATATCTTTTTATTGTTTTCTCCCCACTTCCCTTCTCAGCCTCTGGTAACCAGCATTTATGCTCTCTACTTCTGTGAGATCCACTTTTTTAGCTTCCACTTATGAGTAAGAACATGTGATATTTGTTATTGTGTGCCTGGTGTATTTCACTTCAAATAATGGCCTCCAGTTCCATCCATGTTGCTTCAAAGAGTAGAATTTTATGATTTTATATGGCTGAATAATATTCTATTGTGTATGTGTACCACATTTTTTATCCATGCATCCACTGATGGACACTTAAGCTGATTCTATATCTTGGCTATTGTGAATAGTAATGAAATAAACATGAGAATGCAGATATCTCTTTGATATGCTGATTTCCTTTCTTTTGGATATAAACCCAACAGTGGAATTGCAAGATTATAAGGTAGTTATATTTTTAGTTTTTTTGAGGACCCTCCATATTGTTTTCCATACTAACTCTACTACTTTATATTCCCATCAAACAGGGTACTACTTTACATTCTCTCCAACAAGGTACCTTTTTCTGCCTCCTCATCAGCATTTGTTATTTTTTATCTTTTTCATAATAGCCATTCTAATTGGGGTGAGATGATAGCTCATTGTGGTTTTGATTTGCATTTTCCTAATCATTAATGATGTTGAGCCTTTTTTCATATACCTGTTGGCCATTTGTATGTCTTTTTGAGAAATAACTATTCAGCTCTTTTGACCATTTTTAAATCATGGCATTTGCTTTTTTGCTATTGAATTGTTTGAGTTCCTTATATATTCTGCTTATTAATCTCTTGGCAGATGGAGAGTTTACAAATATTTTTCCCATGCTTCAGGTTATCTCTTCTCTTTGTTAAATGCTCCCTTTGCCAGGTAGAAGTTCTTTAGTTTGATGTAATCCCATTTGTCTGTTTTTGTTTTTGTCACCTGTGATTTTGAGGTATTACCAAAAAAATCTTTGCTCAAACTGATGTCCTGTAGCATTTCCCCAATGTTTTCTTTAAGTAATTTCAAATTTTCAGGTCTATTTATATTTAAGTTTTTAATCAATTTTGAATGTATTTTTGTATATGGTGAACGATAGTAATCTAGTTTCATTCTTCTGCCTGTAGGTATCCAGTTTTCCCAGCATCATTTATTAAACAGACTATCCTTTCCCCAGTGTATGTTCTTGCCATCTTTGTAAAAAATGAGTTGGCTCTAAGTGTGTGGATTTATTCCTAGGGTTTCTCTTCCATTCCATTGGTCCATGTGTCTGTTTTTATGCAAGTGCCATGCTGCTTTGATTATTATAGCTTTCTACTGTAATTTGAAATAAAGTAGCGTGATGCCTTCTGGGTTTTGCTCAGGATTGCTTTGGATTTTGGGAGTCTTTTATGGTTCTATACGCATTTAAGGATTGCTTTTTCTATTTCTGTGAATAATGTCTTTGGTATTTTGATACAGATTGCATTCAATCTGTAGATCACTTTGGGCACTATAGACATTTTAATAATATTAATTTTTTCAATCATGAACATAGAATAGCTTTCCATTTTCTTGAGATTTCTTCACATTCTTTCATTAGCGTTTTATAGTTTTCCTTATAGAAATCTTTGACTTCTTTGGCATAATTTATTCCTAGCTATTTTAGGTTTAGGGTTTTTTTTTCAAGCTGTTTTAAATGGGGTTGATTTGACTTCTTGTATTTGTATTTGGATGCCCTTTACTTCTTTCTCTTGCCTAATTACTCTAGCTAGGACGACCAGTATTATGTTGAAAAGAAGTGATAAAAGTGGCATCTCTGACTTGTTTCTTCACTTTGTGTCTTCACTTTGTTGATTGCTTCCTTTACTATGCAGAAGCTCTTTAGCTTGATGTAATCAGATTTGTCTACTTTTGCTTTTGTTGCCTGTGATTTTGAGAATCACAGATTTTATTGGAAAGAACTTCAGTATTTCCCCATTTAGTATGATATTAGCTGTGGACTTGTCTTATATGGGTGCTTATTGTGCTGACACATATCCCTTTCATACCCAATTGGTTGAGAGTTTTTATCATGAGGAGATGTTGAATTTTATCAAATGCTATTTCAACATCTATTGAAATGATTATATGGTTTTTGTCCTTTTATTTTGTTGATATGAAGTATCACATTGTTTGATTTGCATATGTGGAACCATCCTCTTATATCCCTGAGATGAATCCGACCCAATAATGGAGAATGATCTTTTTAATGTGTTGTATTTGGTTTGCTAGTATTTTACTGAGGGCTTTTGCATTTATGTTTATGAGGCCTGGAGTTTTCTATTTTTTTATTGTGTCCTCATCTCATTTTGGTATCAGGGTAATGCTGGCCCCCACATAATAATTTGGAAGTGTTCCCTTCTCTTCAATTTTTAAAAATAGCTTAAGTAGAATTGGTATTAGTTCTTTTTTGAATGTTTGGTATAATTCAGCATTAAATCCATCAGATCTTGGGCTTTTATTTATTTATTTATTTTTGGCTTTAATCTTGTTACTAGTTTTCAGTCTGTTCAGGTTTTCTGTTTCTTCATGGTTTAACCCTTTTTAAATTTTTTAAAAAAAATTTTGTAGTCACATAGTAGGTGCATATGTTTATGGGATACATAAAATGTTTTCACACAAGCATGGATTGTGTAATAATCACATCATGTAAAATGGGGTATTCATCCCCTCAAGCATTTATGCTCTGTGTTACAAACAATCCAATTATACTATTTTAGTTTTTTAAAAATGTATGATTAAATTCTTATTGACTATATTCACCCTGTTGTGCTATCAAATACCAGGTCTTACTCATTTTTCCTATTTTTTTTTGTGCTCAGTAACCAACCCCCACTCTCCTCCTTCGTGGCTTAATCTTACTAGGCTCTATGTGTCCTGGAACTTATCCATTTCTTCTGGTTTTCCCAATTTGTTGGCATATAGTTGTTCATAATAATCTCCAATGATTTTTATATATCTGTGGTATCGATTGTAATGTTTCCTTTTTCATCTGCATTTTATTTATTTGGCCTTTCTCTCTTCTTGCTTAGTCTAGCTAAACGTTTGTTGATTTATTTGAATACTGGGGCTACTATAGTCAATAAAACCAAAGAATTCCTTGCTCCTATGGTTCATTCATTCTAACGGTGGTGGTATGTGAAGGGGGAATGAAGAAGTTATGGGTAGCATGATAGGAAACAAAAAAATGAGTAATTTGTTTGGCAGTGATAGGTTCTGTGGTGAAAATCCATTATGGTAAGTAGAGAAGTACATCTGGAGTAGGATGGAGTGAGGTAGACTATTTCACACAGACTGATTAGAGAAGACCTCTCTGAAATATGCTAGTTGGATGTACAGGTCTGGAGTTTAGAGGATAGGTCAGGAATTGGGATATGCCTTTGGAATTATCAGTGATTGGAATTTAAAATCATGATGTTGTATAAGATTACTACAGAAATAAGAGTAAATGAGAAGCTGAGGACAGAGCTCTGGGGCACTCTACATTTAGAGGATAATAAATTGATGAGGATCCATCAAAGAAGAATAAGGAATAGCCAGTCAGTGTCAGGAGGGAGGCCAAGTAAAGGATATGTTTTTAAAAGGACCACCCCAGCAAATGCTTTTGACAAACAGTAATTGAGAACTGACAATGATCATTGAGTTTGGCAATGTGGAAATCTTCAGTAATCTTGACAAGGGCAATTTTAGAAGAGTGGTGGAGACAGAAGCATGAATGGAGTGGGTTCAACAAAAAATGAGAGGAGAGGAGAGAAGGCTGAGAGTGATTTTGACAATTATTTCAAGTTTGCTGTAAAAAGAATGGAGAAATGAGGCAATAGCTGGAGAGGAATATAGGGACAATGAAGTTGGTGTTTGTTTTTGTTTTTGTTGGCTGGTTTTTAAAGATGGAATATATTTTAACATGTTTATCTGTTGATAGGAATGACCTGGTAGAGGAAAATATTTTGTCAGTGCAAGAAAGAGAAGGGTCAGTGTCAATTGCAGAAGGCAAGTCCTCGAGGGGAGAGAAAGGGATTTAGTGAACAGATGGAACAGGATCCAGTGAACTTCAGGTTTAAAAAGAGAGCATTCATCAATTTAAAAGAAGTAAGAAGAATATATGGGTGTAGTGAAAGCATATGAATTATTCTCGTTTGCTTTTATTTTCTGCGTGAAATAAGAAACAAAGTCATGTCCTTCTTGCATATCATTTCCTGAACCTGTGGCTTACCTACCTCTGTCCTCTGTGCCTTTGATTATACTATTCTTTTTTTTTTGAAATGGAGTTTTGCTCCTGTTGCCCAGGCTGGAGCGCAATGGCGCAGTCTTGGCTCACTGCAACCTCCACCTCCTGGGTTCAAGTGATTCTCCTATCTCAGCCTCCCTAGCAGCTGGGATTACATGTGCCCGCCACCACGCATGGCTAATTTTGTATTTTTAGTAGAGACGGGGTTTCACAATGTTGGTCAGGCTAGTCTCAAACTCCTGACCTCAGATGACCCACCTGCCTCAGCCTCCCAAAGTGCTGGGATTACAGGAGTGAGCCACTGTGCTGGGCCCCTTAAAACACACATCCTCTGAAAGTTTCCTAATCCTGCAATCAGCAAAGGCTTATTTCATTCACCTTCGGCCTGCTATAGTACATGTAATCAGTGGCAACTGCAGTGCATTTATGACATACTATCTTTTGCCTTTTAGCTTCATGGGTGTTATCCATTTTCATTAGACATATGTACTTGAGCACTGCGGGGTGAAAATCCTTTTTATTCTCCCTCGTAGCTAGCCAAGGAGAGAGCAGTTAGCTAGGTGGCAGTAGTAGTAGTAGTTGTATTAGGTGGGTGAAAAAGTAATTGCAGTTTTTGTAAAATAGCAGCAGCAATGGTAGTAGTAGGTTCTTGTAGTAGTAATAGTTAGGTTGTTAAGTAGCTAATAGATAATTAGCCAGAAATAGTGGGGATAACTACTAGATAGTAGGTCACTACGGAAATAAGAGCTAGTATTTTGAAAATATTTGTGATCTTGGATTTTAGTTATTGAAGAAACAAAACATAGATGGTGTTACATAGGTATATGAATTTTGACTTTTGTTCTTGATTATGTCTTCTTAATTTTAAAAATATGCTTATATGTTATTTGTTGTTACCCCTGCTGCAAGATTCTTTTGTGTTATCAAGTGTGTTATATTACTTGATTCTGGATTTTTGCCATGTTTTTTAATTTTTAGGTCTTTTAAAAATTTTTCCTTCCTTTATATAGTTATGAAAAATCCTCAAAATTTCTGTTCTCTTCTAATCCAACAAAAAAAAGCTGAAAACTCAAGTCAGAGACCACATTTACTATTTCTGTTATCTTTACTAAAACTATATTAACACACAATTCCAGAAGTGTTTATTCCAGGAGTTTAGTAAGAATGTCTCTGCTTTTACATTTTGTGCTCTCTAAAGGAGAGGATATGAAGACATAGAATTCTGTTGCTGAGTGTCAAGTATAAGTAAGCTATAAAGATTTAGCAAGCACATATAATGCATACACAGGATGTAACTTTAGATTATTTTAAAAGAAAAGATAATGAAAACCATAATTACTTTAAAATATTGAATTAAATTGAAACGGTTCCCAAAATATTATATGTGTATAATAATGGAAAGATTAACAAATCTATAAATGAAACACCATGAGATCATTTTTATTAATATTTTATAAAATTTTGAAAATATACTGGAATATTTGTTTTACAAATTTATTTGTATGTGGTAGAACCATGGTGCTTCAGAAAATAAATACAAAAAACAGAATCCTAATGTAGCTTCAATTTTTGTTTTCTTTGTAAATGGCAGCTCATTTAAGCCTACCTGTAGAAGCTATTTAATATGGAAACTTCCACGGAAAGATAGATAGATAGACAGATAGACAGATAGATAAGCAACATCCAGTAAAAGTGACTTTTTGGTGCATAGTTCTACGAATTTTAAAAAATTTATAGATTAATGCGTCTTCAACCAGAATCAGGATACAGAGCAATTCTATCACTGCTCAACAAAAAATATTCTTTATGCTTCCCTTTGTATGCACACACTGAAACCACACCAGCTCTTGGCTCCAGCTAGTCTTTTCTCCATTTGCCTCTTGTCAAATACATTTTACTTAGTGTTTCCCACAAGGGGTCCCAGCACTCCAGGGAAATCCCAGAACTCTCTTATTGTCTGGGTGAAGATAGTAACATTAATCATATTCTGTGGATAGCCTCTGAGAACGTACCGAAATAGATAAAGGAGATTAAGATTGTGTCGTGACTCACTCTCTCTGGGCACAAGCATGTATGGCGAGGCAAAATAGGACAGAATAACCAACTATTAACACTATTTCCTTTCTCTTTCCTGAAGATACCTGTAGCCATATTCCCATCTGACTTCTAACTCAAACTGCATTGACGAATGTGAAGACCTCCGTGGACAGCAAGGACTGACAGTCTAAATGAGCAATGATGCTGCTCTTATCACAAAACAGGACCGACTCAAGTAGGGTATAAGAGATCAAACTGATTTCCCTTCTTTCCTTGGAAGGATGTTAAAAATTTGAGCTCCAGGAAGACATAGCTGACCTGGGAATGCTGTTTTGGACGAAGAGAGGAATTTGTACTTCCTCCCTGGGGTAGGTGAAGAAGGGAAAGGAAGAAAATATAAATATGTCCCTTGAAAAATGTGGCATTTCTGAGAGATGTGAAAACAGATTTGCCATGTTTGGGATGCAGTTTAAGAGTAGAAACCTCCGAGATACCATATACCATGAGGCTTGGGGAAAAAACAGAAATGATACATTTTGACGAAAGGAGGGCCCAGCTCTACCTGAGATTCCCTGTGGCTGGGGAGTGGCAATGAAGAGGTCTGTACTCTTCCCAAGGCTCCATGGTAAGCTGTGGAAAGTAACTTGGAGCATGAGCTGATGATCATGGCCAGAGGCTACCTGGCCAAAAACAGGTCATAGATCAAGGAGATGCACATTACTGTGATGTATGTGGACCTTTATAAGTGAGATGCTGGCTGGTATCTCCTGCACACTGTACTGGTGATGACTGTGTCACCTGTGGGAGCCAGCACCATCCAGCACTGTGCCACAAAATAATGAAAGTAGACAGAATCTCACCCTCCCTGCCACGAATGAATGGACTTCTCCTCTCTAGACTTGCATATCTTCCAGAGGAAGAAGTAGGAAGCTGAATTAAAATTTGAATTAAATTTTGACTGAATTAGTAATTCTGATAAAAGACTGATTGGACTAAATTTAGCCCCAATACTATATTTCTGGAGACAGGACAAGAGTTCTATTTCTTCGCACTCAAGTTGGTGTCTATAGAATTCAAACCTGTTACATAAATTTAGAATCAGAAGGAGTGGCTTTGTGTCCTAGAAACCATCTTTAGGGACAATATATGGCTGGAGTTCTGCCACTGATTCACACGAAATTCCTACTGATGCACAAGAAGTCATTATTGCATGATCCCTGATGGCTGAGGCTGTCTCATGATCATATTTCTAAGATTCCATTTAAAATGAGTACGAATTCCAGCTCAACTTTAAAGTATAATTTATCTGTTAAATAAAAATCTGTTTGTATACATCTTGAGGGTTAAATTGCTCATGAAACTTGTATTCCTGAGGAGTGTGTAAAGGCCGAGGAAAGAGCCAAGACAAAGAGATGATTTGTATCTGTACATCTGCCTGTTTGTTCCACAGGGAAGTGCCACCAAGTAGGCCTTACGTTCATGGGCGCCTGGACGGGGCTTTTAAAAGTTCACAACAAAATCCAGAACACTTGTGGGTTTCCCCAACCTGAACCTTAGCTTTGAAAGAGTTTGCTGAGTTGCTGACACTCTCAAGATCCTGTTTCAAACTTAAGAGAGAAAGAATCACCCAGGGAGCTTGTTAAACATGACGATTCTGATGCAGCTGCCCTGAGAGTCTGCATTTTTTAATAAGCATGAACCACAACTTGAGTAAAGACACAATAGAAGATTTGGTTAACGAAGTCCATGTGCCCAGCTTGAACTTCCTTGATCTGAAGACTTCTCAGCATGGGACCCCAATTACTGTCACTTTTCTGTGCTGATGCACACTCAGTGATCCCGGCAGGCTCTCCTGCTCCCTACCCTAGGGCTTAATCAGCACAATTAATCACTTGTATTCCTTTGGAAGTTCTTCACTCATTTGTCAAGATACCCGTATATTGACACAACTGAAATACCGCCCTCAAAATAGGCAAGCTGTGGTTTGGCATCCTGGTACACACCTGCCCTCTGGTGGTGAGAGAGTAACTCCAAGCTATAGGGAAATAAAAGATCCTTTCCCTTCTGCTCTTTATCATGGTGAACAAGATGAAACTCGGTGTCTGGCCAGTGTACAGTAAAGAAAGGTGCATTTTAAAGGCATAGTCTACAAAGATGAGAAAATCCTGGGAGCAAATTCTGTTGCCAAACTATGACTAGGTGCCTTACATGGCAGCACATTGGAGAGTGATTGAGGGATTCATCCCACCAAACCTCTGATGCAGACGACACAGACCTGCAGGTTTCCCGGAGGTGAGGTTCTTCAGCGTGGGTTTGATGTCAGCTCCTCTGAAGCCAAACTCCTTCCTGACACAGAGGCGTTGGAGCTTCCTGGGACTGACATCTAATTTAGGGATAATCTAAGGCAAAGTTAGAGAAATCAGATCCTGTACTCTGGAACATTGTCATAAGGGAAAGACATTCTATCCATAACACTTACTAAGAAAGAGTAATTAACTCATACATATTCTTAATCATAGAGTCTATCACTTAATATTTTACCTTATAAAGAAGCCCCACAAGCCTAAATTACAAAATGGTACAAGCATATGGCATTCAGATTTACTGGGATTCTGAGCATAACTGTGTTTGCCCTTGTTAAAGCAGGGTCTTTTTGTACTCACTTGGAGACTGGGGCTGAGTGTACGTATAGCTATGGGTCGAAGGAGAGGAGACGCACTTCCGTTGTCTTCATCAACAGCTGGACCATATCAAGCCCCCACTACAGCCATGAGAAAATAAAAACTTTAGCAGAAAGAATAGTCAGAATAGGTTTAGTAGATCTAAGCTCTCATTGCAATTTGATTCTGACAAGTCTTTTGATGTCCCTGAGCCTCAATCTCTTCTTGTAAAATACGGCTTTTACACTTATCTCTCAAGATTATAGTTGAGATGAAATGAGCTTGTAGAAGGGGTAGGGTTTTAAAAATTATGCAGTGTAGAAGCTACAACTATTTCTGTTGAATTCTTAATAAGGCCAGGATGGAAATGTTCAGGTGGGTGGGCAGCAGGCATAGGGCCCTATGGGACACTGCTGTCCATGGGCATCCACTGGACTTGTTAAAGGAAAAATTGTTTACGACACATGTTAAAGGCAGTGAAGAAGACTTTATTCAAGGGAGGCTTCTGCAGTGGGGTTTTATAGTAGAGGAGAGAGATCAGTCTCCACTCTGAATATGATAAGGAAAAGTGGAGACTTATAGCTAAGGGGAACAGTCAGGCTTTGATGGATGGAATATTACTAAGAGTAGGGTAATATTTTGCTAAACTGACCTAACAGGATTTTTACTGAAGGAAGGCCAGGGTGATAAGATATCGTATAGAGGGTAGTCAGATTTACTGTAAACTGACTTAGCAAGATTTTTGCCAAAAGTGGAATAAGCCAACCATGGACACAACCCAAGATCCAGAGCCTAGTCAGAGAGACACTCGGGGGAGCCTAACTAGCATTAGATCAAGGACAGAGTCTTTGTCAAGAATCTTCCTGAATAACTTGGAAAACAGCTGTAAAAGCTGTACATTTATATGTTCATGATAAGCAAAATAAAACTTTTTTCCTGGGTTTGCAATTCTTGAAAGTGGTTTCTGATCATTATATTAAAAAAAAAAGAAAACTTTTGCAGCAGGAACAATAAAATTATTCTATTAAGTATTGATTAGAAATGTTTCAGCCTTTAAAATAATGTATTTTTAAGAAAGAAACTTAGTTAACTGCTGTTTCATTTATATTTACTGATATACTTTTGAATCTGGCCTAACCATTGTTTTATTATTCAAATAATTATCTAAACAATATTTCCCAACTTTGAAACTAATTCTAATGTGAGAGATTTTAGCGCTTATTTCATAGCTGAGAAAAACCCACCAGTTTAATTAGCATAAGAAGAATTACTACCTTTTCTTTGTCAGGAACTTAAAAACGGCGTACAGGATAAGCAAAACTGTGTAAGCCTTGAATCTTTTTCCTTCTTGCTAAAGAAATCTAGTCAGAGAATATTTTATACTGAAAAAAGAATTTCTTTATTTAAAAGATACAATATTTATTTCAATTTTTTATTTTGAAAGAGAGCCTTTTGGCCAGGCGCGGTGGCTCACGCCCGTAATCCCAGCACTTTGGGAGGCCGAGGGGGATGGATCACGAGGTCAGGAGATTGAGACCATCCTGGCTAACAAGGTGAAACCCTGTCTCTACTAAAAATACAAAAAATTAGCCGGGCGTGGTGGCGGGCGCCTGTAGTCCCAGCTACACGGAAGGCTGAGGCAGGAGAATGGCGTGAACCCGGGAGGCGGAGCTTGCAGTGAGCTGAGATCCTGCCACTGAACTCCAGCCTGGGAGACAGAGCTTTTGCATTTAGATTTTATTTATGTATATATGCATATATTTTAAATACAGACACACAATTGTTTATATAGTCCATATAGTTCTATATACTCTGCATCTTTTCAGTAAGTATAAGGCATTGAGGAAAGACAGAGCACCGTGTATTTAAGGCAGAAAGTAAGAGGCAGGAAAGGGCAGATTATAAAATGGAGCCAGGAATGCGGGAAGGGCTCAAAATACACACAAGGAAGTCCTATCCACTCCCTTTCCTACAGTCTGCAAAACGAGGGAAACTGGATGAGGTACATGAGTTACAGTGTCTATAAAATGAAAGCAGAACTGCTCTGGTAGAAATCTGGGTTCGGTTTCTGAAGTCGTTCACTTTGGTTGAATATTCTCACCTTACGTTAGGCAAGAGCCTGGACTAAGTGATTATTTGGAAGAAACCAAAAAAGTTGTCTTTCCTCTAAAGTGTATATTCTCTTAGACTCTGTGGGTTTGGAAGTAGAAATCCAGAGGTGTTGAGATTTAAGGGCCCTAATTACAGTTTTAAAAATTATTTCTCAGATATAATAAAATTATATTTATTCAATTATATGAGGGGAGAACTTAAGACCTGTGTTAAGCAATGGGTACAGATACCATTTAATAATTCAACATTATTAAAATTTAATTTTAGTAAAAAATTACTAAAAAATAATATTTAAAGACACCCTCAATACAGAGAGCTACAAATGTAGAAATTCAGGCGATCATACCAACTCTGAAACAAGCAGTAAGTTGTTTAATATTCCTAAAACTTTAACCCATTTGAAGAGATTAGAAATGGGGCAATTTCCAGGCATTCCTCTAGCTTTTAGCTTTAGCATAAGATGTGCCTCAGAGTCAAGAGTTGATGCTGAGGGTTACAGCTCTGCCTTCAAGTGTCAGTATGACTCAAGGCCAATCATATTTCTTTTCTTGAAAGATGAGAGGGTATCAAAATTAGTGGTTGCAGGAGCTGTGAGTCATGCCATCACACTGATTGTAATTACAGAGGCATATCCCTTTGGTAAAATGCTTTTTCATGAGTTGAGGGCAGGCCTAGTAAATATCACCACCAGATGGCAGTAGTGCACTCTGGAGAAACGTATCCAGGACGCTCCCTTTTCTGTTTTCCACTCACTAAACTCTCCACTAGGTGACAGCAGCATGAATATAATTGGAACGGCCATTAATGGATTATGTTAAAAAAAAAACTTTAATCCTCCTGTTGAGTCTGGGAGGAGCACTTTTAAAAAGTATGCACAGTTGGAATTTTTTTTGAAAGAAAATTTAATATACCATTTGCTTTTAGGCCTCCCACACACTCACCTAATATACAAAAACAAAGCAAAAATACAAAAGATACCTTTTCTTGGCGGGGGCGGGGGGGGGGGTGTGGGGCGGTATACAAAAACCTGGGGAAGATTATTGTTGAAACTAAATTATTATAACTTAAGAACTGGTGGAGCCAGGTGTTCTCACCCCAATTTAGGTTAAAAGTTACTAAAATAGTCAGTGTTAAAGATAATAATAATTATTATTTATTGACTACCCGTTATTTGCCAAGGATTGCATTTAAATATTTTAGAGACACTTTTTCATTGAATCTGGATGAGAGCTTCTCAAGAAAGCCGATTTCAACATAAGCCTGTTTAGGGCCATCGCCTCTGCATTTTCCATGACTTTATGCTCTTTCTGCTCCATTTTCACAAAAATCTGTACTGTAGAAGGCAAAATTGGAACTTCTTTTAAGGTATTATTTTGAGTGTAAACAGGTAAATTCTCTTTATTTATAAGTTGCCCACACATGTAGATGCATAACATTAATTCAAGGCAGGGCAATAATATATTTTGATTTTACAGTTACATTGAAAGCTAAAACTGAAGATTGGTTTGGAAGCAATAGGAAAGTAATAAACTCATTTATGATGAAACCTAAATGACTGATAGTATCATAAATAAGAATAGAAGAGGGATAGGGAGAATAGAAGAATACTAGGTGCTTGACCAGAATTGACTAGGCAGAAGAGAAAGGTAATGAGATGGGGGCAAGGGAGACAGGAATTCAGGTAAGCAGGCTTTACACTTTTCTGGTTACTCTTGCTTATTGCCTTTAGAAGCCTTACCCATGCTTAATCCTAGGCAGCCACATGTGACCTGATGCAGCACAGATGTTTTCCACGTGTGGCAGAGACCTGAACATGTTTTGAATCCCTTAGAGGTAAACTTTAGGCAGGTAAGCTTTGAAGGCAGAGTAACAGCAAGCAATATCTGTCCACAGCGAGAGTGATAAAGTCCCTGATACTTTATTTCTTGTAATTCAGTTTTAAATTTCTCCTGTAATTCAGTTTTAAATTGTACTGGAACCTTCCACGGAGGAGAAGAGGAATAAAAAATCAGGGACTACAAATATGACTAACGCCGTTTTTTTTCTACACAACAACTTTATTGTCCAGTAAAACTGTCTCTTTTTTTGGGGTTTTTTTTGTTTGTTTGTTTGTTTTTTTTTTTTTTTTTTTTTTATGGAAGTCTCACTCTGTCACCCAGGCTAGAGTGCAGTGGCACAATCTCGGCTCACTGCAACCTCTGCCTCCAGGGTTCGAGAGATTCTCCTGCCTCAGCCTCCCAAGTAGCTGAGACTACAGGTGTCTGCCACCAAGCCCCGGCTAATTTTTGTATTTTTAATAGAGACGGGGTTTCACTATGTTGGCCAGGCTGGTCTCGAACTCCTGACCTCATGATCCACCCACCTCAGCCTCCCAAAGTGCTGGGATTACAGGCGCGAGCCACCGCGCCCAGCCCAAACTGTCTTTTACTGTACTTTATTTCAAGCATCTTTAAGACAAATACAACAAAATGATATGGCAATATCAAGGGACAAAATCTGACTTTAGGCTCATGAGAAGAAGAGAAAGTCCCTCTTTTGTTTCTTGCATAAGATAGCCTTTGGCTGGGTTGTTTAAAGATGAGAAAAGAGTGGGAATGAGGGGCTTAGGAAAGGATGTTCTAGAAGGAAGGGCAGGATGGTGACTTGATTCCCCATCTGTGTCTACAACCATGTCCCCAGGTATCTGCAGACAATGGAAGGTAAACTCAGGTTGTCAATTAGCTAGCATAAATTAATAATAACAACTGCCTTTAATTAAGCAACTGCTTATTTCGAGCCAGATACTGTTCATACCTGTTTTGTATTTGGTCCTTTGGCCAGCCCTGTTGGGCAGGTAATATCATTCCTTCTCTGAGAGAATAACTTGCCAGAGTCTGTTAGCAAGTAGCAGTTAGGCTTCAAACTCTGTTCTCTTAGCAGTATTCCCTCTGCTTTCCTAGGGACCCCCAACCTAGACCATGGTTGGTAATATATGCACACTGACTGCCACCAGGGGTCACAGCCAATTTGGATAAATTGGATCTAAATGTAATTAATTATGTAACTATGGCCTATCCAAGTTTAATTCTATTAAAATTGCAACATGAAATTGGGGCATCATAGATGATTACTGGGGAAATAAGAATAGATTTGAATAAGATATTTCCCTTTTTCCTTTTTTCTGACTTAAACAGAAATACAGGAAAATAAAACAGAGAATGAATCTAACTCAGTTGGCAGCACAACTGGAAGATTTTTATCCTAGCTACCCAGCAGTTGGTTAAAAAAAAAATTATCAGCTCAAACTTTTCTGGTGATCACAGGAGGATGAGGTGGTAAAGAGTTAACAGTATTTTTAAAACAAGGTTAATATAGTTTAAGCATGAAAACAAAGCTGCTGACAATTTTTGATACTGTTTGCTCCCTATAAAGATATTTAATGTGGGTTGCATATAGTGACTATTCTGTGATTATGGTCCTCAGAATTCCTGCTTCCCAAAGTTCAGGGTGGCACTCTTAGAAAGCTTTTATAGAACAAAGTGGAGAAGCCAGCATACCACGCCTGACATTCACATTCTTCAGGACAATTACATTTAATAATACAATCAACAATCCATTCACACTGCATGTACATGTGTTTTTTTGTTATTTTGGTGGGGGGGGTTTCAAATGTTTATCAGAAAAATTTTTAGGAAATTTAAAGTAGCTCTGATTGTTGCAGTTTCCTCAGGTGAAAAAAGTAATGATAGTCACTATGGTAACCAAGATGGAGATAACGACAAGTAAAATCAGACCCATACGACAGAATTTTGAATGCTTCTCTTGTTTCTCTTCCTTTTTCAATAAAGTGTCAAAACCTGGAGTGTACATGTCTCCCAACCAAAACCGCAGGTCATTAGGATTTTCCTAAAAGAAAATTACATAGAGAATATGATTAATCAGTAATCAGTCAGTGTTACAAATTAATTGAGATTGCAGAACAAGACACTGTCATGGGGACTGATGGTCCATATTCACTCTGTCCTGGGCAAGGCTTCAATGTCATGGCTCACATGAGCGGTATGAGGCTTCCTTGAATAGCATAAAATTGCAGCTACAGTCTCCTGGCTGACAAGGAATCCCTGCAATTCCAATTTGTAGGTCTGCATCAGAATTAATTAGGAGGCCTTCATGATTCTTTAATTAAATTGCTCACATCAGAGGGTCAGAAACACAACGGTGTTTCTATCACATTGTAGCCAATTTGGTGTTCCTTACATCCTATAAATAGTGCATGTAATTCAGCATAGTAAGTTGAAATAAAATGAAAATTCTTTGCTTTAGATGAACCTTTGAGGTTTGATTTTGTCTGCATGCCAGGAATAAACATGCTTGGTGGGGTTTTCAGTAAACCCGGAAGCTGACTTTCATGGAAGTAGTAGGGCTAAAAGTCAGGAGTCTCTTCCATTACTCTTGACCCACTGATTTTCCTTGTAGAGGGCTGCCACATGTCTGGCATGCAGAAACTTTGTTTGACCTCCTGAAAAAAGGACCCATTATATTCTTCCCCACATCAGCTCTTATTTATTCCCCATGTCTCTCTTTCTTTCACAGACTTCATCTTTCCTTCAGGCCCATAGAATTATCAAGTCAACCTGATCTCCTGTACCTGATAAATCACCTGCAAAGTCTATTGTCCATACATTTATAAAAATACATTTTTTTCCTATTACATCTCTTGCTATGTTTTGGTGCTGTAGATTTGGTGTCTATGCCTTCTATACAACAAATTTACAATGAATACTCAATCTCTGCTTTCACAAACCTACTTCATGCTTCATTATATTTCATCTGCTTTATTGTAATGGCTTACAGTGGACTGCCTACCCTCTCTTTGCCTCTCCAGTCTCAGGAGACTTAAAGCTAGCTGAAATGTGGCACAGCAAGTTTTCTTTATCAGCATCAGGGGTCAATGAACTAGCTTCAGACTTCCAGGTGCACTGCTAGGAGAGGAATGTGCATGCATGTATTAATAGAAAGCGAGGATAGATTCTGCTGATGGCAATATAATTCTCCCATTACCCTAGTACTAGTTGGAACTTCTTAGTTTTAGAAATGCTAAAATGTTAAAATAAAATATGGATGATCTGTGAAGAAGGGTAATGATGTAAAAATCCTCATCTACCTCATGCCTATCCTTCATTTTGTGTCCTATCATCAGAGGCCTGCACTCTGTAAGTTTAATGCCTCTGTTCTCCACTAAGAGCTTCATTAATAGAGACTATTTTGTCACATTCTGCATATAGCTTTCCTTTGTAATTAAACATGGATTTCTTTTCTCTTTTCTGGCTTATAAACTCTTACCAATGTAGAAAAATGGGAGTGACCACAGGGACTTGGGTTTATAGCCTAAAAGTGGTGTCAAGGTTTCAGAAAGTAAGTTAGGGGCTCTATGAGATATAGACAAGGGTGAAGATGAAAGTTGAATTAATGAGGCATAAGAAAAAATTTTAATGAAAACCAAAGTTATGGTTTCCAGAAGCTTCTCTCAGGAAGTTAGTGCTGACGAATAACCTTATGAGACCTGTAAAACAGGCCTCAGACCTCAGAGTCCACTGCTTTAGGGAGAGTGAGAGTGTAAACAGAGGACTGGGTAGGGGAGGGAGCAGGTCCTAATTGTAGTAAAACATGGCACTCATTGTATATATGGCTCATTCTTCCTAAACATAATTCATATAATTGTCCAGCTTAAAAAATTACTCCCTATTGCCAATAATATTCAGTTTCCTAAGTGTAGCATTCAAACATTTTTTAGCTTTATTTTCTAGCCTTATTTTCTCATTATTCTGTTACTTAACCTGTATCTCCTATATTTCTGCCTTTGCTCTTGCTACTCCTGACAAAAGAGCCTTCCCACTTAGGCAAACCATCTATACCTTTGGGAATTCTATACATCCTTCAAGCCCATAAGTTTATTTTTTCATGAAGTCCTTTTATAATCAGATGTGATTTGTGCCCCCTTCCTATCCTACAGGCACTTTGTCTTCTTTATTTTTCTTCTTTATTTTTTTTTCAGTGAAACAAAACTTCTTTTTATTGTATAAAGTAATAACCATTCTTAATATCAAACTTCTACTCAAGGTTGAAGAAGAAATAAAGAAGCACGGAAGTAATAACATGGGATTATCAGAAAACCTGACTGATTGTGCTGCTGCTGGCAATGGTGATGATGGACTAATTCCACAAAGAGCAGAAAACCTGAAAATCAGCAATTTCCTAGGACGGAGAATGAAGAGTATCATAGGTAAGCCTATGGCAACATTTAACAGGAGATAATTATGTGCTATCACACTAATCCTAATTTGGGCTTTTATAGTGAACAAATTTTATACTTTTACTGGAATGTTCAGCCTTGCCTGGTAATCAGAAAAATGAAAATCAGCAAACAATGTGTTACCATTTTTTCCAATCATTGATAATTTATTTGAAAAGTAACCAGTATTGGCAAATGTGAGGGAAAAGGCATTTTGGTTTCTTTTTTTGTGAACTTTTATTTTAGCTTCAGGGTTACATGTGCTAGTTTTCTATATAGGTAAAGTGTATCTTGAGAATTTGGGGTACAGATTTTTTTTTTTACTTTATGTTATGGGATACATGTGCAGAATGTGCAGGTTTGTTACATAGTTATACCTGTGCCACGGTGGTTTGCTGCACCTATGAACCCGTCATCTAGGTTTTAAGTCCCGCATGCATTAGGTATTTGTCCTGATGTTCTCCTTCCCCTTGTCCCCCACCCCTCACAGGCCCCAGCGTGTGTTGTTCCCCTCCCTGTGTCCATGTGTTCTCATTGTTCAGCTCCCACTTATGAGTTAGAACACTGCATGGCACTTTCTGTTACTATTACCGTTAGCTTCCTTTATCTTGTTCTATAGTTATTGTCTGTTAGTTTGCTCAGTTAGATCAACTTTTTGAGGGTAGGGACAGGAACATTCACCTCCATAGTTCCCTTATTTTGCATGTAAACAGCAAAAGGAAGAGGCCCTAACATACAGTCAAGAAATGTCTGTAAAATAAATCAGTACTTTTTTTTCTAATAGTAGGGGTGACTTTTTAGATGTCCTTAAGACTCTTGGTAAGGAATGCAAAATTTAAAGAAAGAAGGAAAAAGAAACACAAGATTATTGTTTCTGTGGAGAGCATCTGTTATGTAAACTTCTCTGGAAAATGGGCTACGTAAAGGAGGAGATACATTCAATCTACTAAGAGATTAAGAAACTTCAAAGATTCTGGACAGTGGATCTTTTGAGCAGCACATATTTGAAATTGTAAAAAGTGTGAGTAGGATTCAAGGAGACAGGGTGCTGTCCTCTTTAAAAAAAAAAGAAAAAAATTCTCGAGTGCTTAAGGTATGGGGCTTAGCTTAGATAAACATTTTTAAATGAAGGGTATATACTTGGAAAATGGCAGGCCTTCCTGGCCTAGGGCAGGTGGAGGCAAGCCAAGGCTGGGTAGGAATCCAGTCCATTCAGAAAACAGAGGGCTGCTTCCTTGCTTTTCAGGTATTTTGAAGTTTTTCATGTGATGGGGTGACACCAGTGGGGGCAAACAAAGAAAGAAAAACTTAAGTTGGGTTTAAGCTGGGTGAATGAGTTCATTGCATACTTTTCCTGTGTTGAAATGTTTTTGTTTTGTTTTGTTACTGAGACACAGGAAAATAACCAAAATGTAAATCTGCAATCTTAAATCACTGAGAGGGCTGAGATAAAATAATCTTTGATGAGAAGTTCCTTGCACAGTGCCTAACACAGAACACTTAATAAATATTTTTGAATAAATGTAGACTAGGGAATCAGCTCTTAAGTGTTCATGAACATAAATGTTTACAAACTGACAGAAAATGTGATCTTGCAAATTAATTTTCAATAAACCTTTTACCCTCCTGGAAAACCTTTGTTCTGTACCACATGGCTTTTTTCTTCTCTACACTGTACAGTTGCCAGTAACTGTTGAAACTGTAAAACTCAAAACAAATAAACACAAATACTGACTAGGAGGGAGAAAGAAAAGCCAGGAGCCAAAATGCTCTGAAATCTAGAGATTCTGCGCCTAGTGAAGAGTACCTGTCACTTCAATATTGCTTTCTTTTAGGATTATTTGACTGATCTCCCTTATCAGTTGAAGAGGTTGACTCTTAGTCGTGAGTACCTTCAGATGTCCAGAGAGGTTTGTGTGCAGGGAATGTTTGTCATATTCCTCAATGGTCCATGAGGGGTTCTTTTTTCTTTCTTCCATAGCTTCCTCCAAACTTAGGTCACCATAGAGTGGGTTATTCTTCATAACTGATGACATGGATGGTGGGGGGCTATCAGCAGTGACAAGGCTGTCTGCACTGGATCCCCTAATTCGTTGAGCAGCAATATTCTTCTTTTCCCTCTAAGAGGCAAAGAAACAAGGCATCTCTTAGCAACGGGCCTTCTGATAGTAGGGAATGCAATGTGAGATAACTACCTGATAATGTGCTGATTTTGTGCAGAAACACAACAGATTAGGACAATGAATGAGAAAAGGATTCTAGGGTTTCGTTTGACCTAGAAATCTAACATTAATTGAGTTTTTTCTTTGTGTGTGATCTTGAACAGCTTTACTAATCATTCATTAAAATGCTATTTTATAACTACAGAGAAAGAGCCTTCTTTACTCTCTAATTCAAACAGTAGAATTCCAAACAAAGCCAACTTTTCTCAGGTTATTTGCATTGAGATTTAATGATATTTTACTTATCTCTATTTTTATATTCCATGACTTATTAAAATAGTATTTAATATTATTGTGCTAATCCAGCAAAGTCAAAATTAAAAGACATTTTAGAGATATGCCTCGACTTTCACAAATACTATCATGTCTCCCATTTCAGACAGCTTTGAGGTCTAAGCTAACTTAGCACTGTACATGTAATTTAGCATGTGTGTGTGTAAAGACTGACTGTTAGATAGCTCTAATACTGATTTTCAGGTTTTTAAAAACTTTTCAAATTGAAGCATAATATTCATATATATAAATACATAGCTCTATAAATTCTTGCAAACCAAACAAACTCAAGATTCAACATCCAGACCTAGAAATATGACATTAGTAGCACACCTCATGCTCCTTTCCAGTCACCCTCCCTCCCCCTGCCCAAAGCATAACTATAATAGCACCCAAATTCTAACAGCATAGATTAGTTTGGATTCATCTCATATTTTCTATAAATAAAATCATATAATGTGCGCTTTTCTGTGTCTGGCTTGACCTTCAGATTTTTACTTTGTTTTGTTTCCTTCTTAAGTATATCAAGCTATCATGAAGGTAGAAATTAAAAATTTGTTCATTTTGGAAATTAAAATTTGTTCATTGGTCAAATACAAATTGAGAAGAATCAAAAAGCTTATAGAGTCATGTTTCATTTGTCATGGGACATCAAGAGAGGGATTTCATATAAGTTAATTTTAGATAATCTTTAATCTTTAAAAAGAAGTGGCTCATTTCCTTAATTCACAGATATTTTTCAGTAAATGTATGTCATGTATTTTAGACACCCCAGAGAATATTTAATAGGAATTTTATTCTTCTGAGTCATATTTATGATTATCAATACTCTGATGCTGTCAACATTTATTAGTGTATATAGGTAACATTAATTTATATTATATAAGCTAAAGTTGGAAACTGTTAAATGTAGTTTCCTTCTGAAATGGCTAGCAGGAAAAAAAATCATCTAGATAAAACCATTCCCATTCTCTTCGGTGTTGGATTTCCCTAATTTTCTTAATCCATGCATTTTTCACATACTTAGAGCTCAACTTGCAGACCCTTCTCTGAGTTTAATAGGTCCTTGGTCTGCTCAAAGTCAACTTACATTCTGTAAAACTGTAGTTTGCAATGAAATAATAAATCTTCTTGGCTTAGCATTTATCTCAAAGATAGACTGCTTCAAAAGTAATGTTTCTGAATTGAGAAAAAAGTAATTTGATAAGAAATTTAAATGATATGAGCTTAGCATAATTTTTACTTAATTTTTTTTTTCTTCAAGGCTAGGCATCTTTGATCATCTCTGAAGGGGGATAATTCTCCTGACACTGACAAATTGGCTTTGTCAGATTGTCTTCTACACTGTTGGCCAAGTTTCTTAAATAAGAAAGATCTATAAATGAAAATACAGTTTTGGGGAGATCAAGAAAAAAAGTACACACTCTATTACAATGTATATAGACTTAGAAAATCTAATGTGTAAAAGTAGCAAAATACTCAGAGATACATTTTAAAAGAACATTCAAACCCTTATTTCTAGATGATATTTTTGAAAGTTGTGAGGTTTATTATAGAGCATAGTGCTATTTATTTTTGCACTGCATGTGAATTTATGTCTGAGAGACAGACGAAGGAAAATTAATAGTATAAATTTATTATGAATTTAATCACAAAATAAGCAATACGCTTTTGGTTGAGCTTTTATTTGTATCTTGATAAATTTTTTAAAATAACTTTCAGAACATCAACAACAAAAAACCCTTCACTGTACTGCACAAGAAAGAATACATTTACCAGAGGAAAACTCAGTAGTAATTCAACTATTTTAATTACTTGGGCACTAAAATAAATTACCTTTTAAAATATTTATTTAAAAAAGGTAACACTTCAAAGCTTACCTAGGCTTTTCTGTATTAAGCATAACTTTATTCATTTATCATTTATACACTTTAATCATTATATACTCTGTGTGAAGTAAACTATAATTCAATAAAGAGAGTGAGATAGAAGGCATTTTTGAACAAAGAAAATTAAGTGTACAAAATTCATAGTTTATTGTAAAAACTCTAAAAATGTAATTCAGGAAGAAGAAAGTTGATAACAGACGTTTAAGGTAAAAGAGAAATATGAGAGAGAAAGAAAGACAGAAAGCAAAAAAACTGATAAATGTGTGTGTGAATCCATGCAAGTATTGATTTAGGTGAAATAGAGAAAATAGTAATAATCACTAATTTGTGAATTTTAAAGTAAGAGAAATGAATACACTGGAGTATAGTAAGTTTAACACACATTTTTTATTAGAAAATTTTAAGAAATAATTTCAGTGAGGAGATAGAGATATTACTAACAAGCAGAGAAAGAATGTACAGCTTCTAAGTCACCAGAGCAGTAGGAAAAAGATGAAGACTAAACAATCTTTAAAAAGACTACAAAAAAAGAATACAGGTGGAAAATCTCAGAAACAGAAAAACAATTATAAATAATCACATTAAATGTAGATGGAATAAACTCCCTATTGCAATGACAGAGATTGTCAGATCAGATTTCAAAAAATGAATTAAATTATAAAATATTTACAACAGAAATGCCTAAAATATAAAGATTCAGAAAGAATTAGAGTAAAAAAATATAAAAATTTATACTAGACAAATGTAAACATTGAGAACTGGGTGTTGTGACTGACTAAATGCTCGCTAATTTTGTTTCCACTTCCTAAGCACAGAGGATATCTGCCTTTCCCAGTCTGTTTCTGATTTTATATTGGGGCCACATGTTTTATGTCCATTGACTTGTGGATGAAAGACCACTTCCAAGCCTGGCCCTTGAAATCTTTCACAAGATTTTGGCTCACTTTCTTTTTTTGTGACACTACACACATCTCAGGACTCTTGTGAATGTGCTCTATATAGCAGAAGATGATTATACATATGTGATGAGATATATATATATATATATTAGGTGATACATATGGCATATATAATATATTCATATACCATTATATATAAATATACACACATATGTGTATATATGTGTGTATATACATATATGTTTGTGTGTGTGTGTTTTTTTTTTTTTTTTTTTTTTTTACTGTGGAAAGCCTTACTAGACACTCAGCAAACCTAATGAAACTCAAGCTTGACCAGTAAAATTCCTGGCAAGATCCTTGGAGACAAAATAGACACGGTCAAAAGCTTTGCTAGATATAAAGAATGTTTCTAGAAAATGAATAAAGTTAGTTAACATTAGTAAAATATTGTCATTCTAAACTTGTATGCATCTAATAAAATAGTCTCAACATTTATAAAACAAAACTTAAAATAATTACACAGAGAAATTTATACATGTAATTTTTCTCAAGCATGCAAAATAATCATTAAGAATAAAGAACCTGGGTGAGATTGGAGACTATTATTCTAAGTGAAGTAACTCAGGAATGGAAAACCAAACATCGTATGTTCTCACTGATATGTGGGAGCTAGGCTATGAGGACACAAAGGCATAAGAATGATGCAATGGACTTTCAGGACTTGGAGGGAAGAGTGGGAGGAGGTGAAGGATAGAAGAGTACAAATATGGTGCAGTGTATACTGCTTGGGTGATGGGTGCACCAAAATCTCATAAATCACCACTAAAGAACTTACTTATGTAACCAAATACCACCTGTACCTCAATAACTTATGGAAAAAAAAAAGAATAAAGAAGATGTGAACCATAAAATCAAAAGTTTGTTCAAGTGACATATATGGATGTCTTTATTAAACAATTGAAAATACTTATTTTAAAAATATATACTGAAAATTTTATAAAATTGATAGCATGTTAAATTCCAAAACAAATTTCAAAGACTCAAAATCACTTGGACCATGCTTTTCGACCATTGACAACTTAGTTATAAATCTAGAAATCATTATCAACAACATAAAATAAAACATTCTGCTGACATTTAAAAATACATTTCAAAGAAATAATAATAAACATTTTAAAATTTAGGACAGAATGAAAGTGAGAAATGCTACATTACAAAATTGTTGGCTGGATCTGAAATGGTATTTTGAGAGAATATTATGGGCATATATACTTGCATTATAAAGCAGAATGAGAAAATTAATAAGGTATTAAGCATTGAATTCAAAGTCTTAAAAATAAAGCCATTGAATAAATATAATAAAACAGTCAAAATAAAATCATAAATGTAAAGACAGAATCAACACATATTAAAGGGAATAAATATATACAATGGAGAAGATAAACAAAGTTGAAAGCTATTTCATTGGAAAAACACATTTGAAATATCTCTGGCAATACTGCTCAAGAAAAATAATAGAGACACAAATGCACCCAGTTAGGAATGTAAAGGGGACTTGACAAGAGACACAGCAGAAATTAAGAAACAATCAGAAAATAATCTGAGCGACTTAAAACATTTATGTGCAGTCGGACAATTTCTTACATAATATAACTTACCAAACTTATTTAAGAAAAACTAAAAAAAAAATTAACAAACCTGTGATAATTTGACTAGTCGAATCAATAGTTTTAAACCTCCTCCAAACACACACATTTAAGAACAGCATGTCAGAGGGTTTTGCAGTCAACTTCTACCATTCTCAAAATATATAATTTATTAGTCAAATTCTTCCAGAAAATAGGAAAAGGAACAATCCCCAGCTCACTTTTGAAGTTAGTATAAACTTCAGATGAGGGCAGTCAGTAAAAGAAAAGTATAAGCCAATTTCTCTTATACACATAAATGTAAAATTATAAATGCAATATTGCTGAACAGAATCCTACAATATGTACAAATTATATGTAACAAGATAAAACAGATTTTTACCAGGGAAAGATGTTATACCAACAGGATGGTTTAATATTAGAATATTAATGAAATTTACCACATTAACAGGAAAAAAACATTAAATTTTGCAATAGGTCAGAAAAAGACTTTCAAAATATTCAAACATATTTAAAGCAAACACTCTTAGTGAACTAGAACTAGTAGAAAATTTTCTTAAGCTAATTAAGGGAATGGGCCCCAAACTTACAGAACACAGTTTACTTAATGGTTTAATATTAGAAACACTTATTTTAGTTTCAGAATTAATAAAAGGATGCTAGTAATCACAATGTCCATATAATTTTGCAGTGGAAGCTCAAAGCAATGCAAAAAGAATAGAAACATAAGTAAATAAAAGAAATAGGGTTATAAATAAACAAATAGCAGATGACATGATTATCTACAGGGATGTTTATGGGCAAAATAGATGTTAACACACTTTCTGGATTCAAAATCAGTATATAATGATCAATAGTATGCATGAGTAATGCTCTATTATAAAACATGACTTAAAAGGTACTATTACCAAGAGAAAAATAATGTAAGTATTTAGATGTAAACCTAACAAATTATATGGAATAGTTTTGTGTGGAGAATTACAAGATATTATCGAAGGCCATATGAAGAACTGAAAAAATAAAACGATACATCATGGTCATGGATTGAGAGAATCAAGGTCATATAAAGATTTCTGTTTTCTCCATTTTGATCTATGCATTCAGTGTAATCCTTATCATAATCTTAGTGAAAAGAAGGCATTTTGCATGTATTTCATATGTCAGCACATACACTTTCTCAGAAAATCAGCTCTTTTGTGAACACAAAATTTTTGTTTTAAATTGCTAGAATGGAAAGCTTTCTAAAGCACATATTTGATTGTGTCATTCTTCTGCTTAAATTTTTCACTGATTCTTCAAAATTTTCAGGGTAAAATTCAAAATCTTAGACAAAGCCCATGGACCCTCCATGGTGTGATTCAGGCTTCTCTGAAACCTTATGTCCTGCCTTTCCCTGCAGATAACCAGGGCTCTTTGTGCTCACAGGTGGTATTATAACATACAAGGTACCTTTAATATAGGCTTTCATGCCAGAGACATTTGGGTCTCAACTAAGAACAGTTTGGAGGAGCAATTTGGGTGTTCTTTTTGGAAATATACCATCCGTGGCCAATTCCCTAATCCTATAAATTTAGTACAACTTGGTACCCTGAAGAACTTGATGATGCTATCAATCTACTTCGTAGATAATATAAGCACCTGCAAAGTACCACATTGTCATCCAATATAAGCTTAGAAAGGAGAAATGATTGTATTGTGCAGTATTGTTCTTTTCTTTCTTTTTCTTCTTTCTTTCTCTTTTTCTTCTTCTCCTTCCTTCCTTCCTTTCTCTGTCTCTCTCTCTCTCTGACGCTCTCACTCTCTCTCTCTCTCTCTTTCAACGGAGTCCCACCCTGTTGCCCAGGCTAGAGAACAATGGCGCGATCTCAGCTCACTGCAATCTCCACCTCCCCGGTTCAAGCGATTGTCCTGCCTCAGCCTCCGGAGTAGCTGGGATTACAGGTGCGCGCCAGCAAGTCCAGCTAATTTTTTGTATCTTTAGTAGAGACGGGGTTTCACCATGTTGGTCAGGCTGGTCTCGAACTCCTGACCTGCTGATCCACCCGCCTCGGCCTCCCAAAGTGCTGGGACTTTTTTTTTTTTTTTTTTGAGACAGTCTTGCTCTGTTGCCTGGGCTAGAATGCAGTGGCACGATCTTAGCTAACTGCAACCTCTGCCTTCCAGCTTCAAGTGTTTCTCATGCCTCAGCCTCCTGAGTAGCTGGGATTACAGGCCATGCCACCACGGGAGGCTAATTTTTGTATTTTTACTATAGATGGGGTTTTGCCATGTTGGCCAGGCTGACCTTGAACTCCTGGCCTCAAGTGATCTGCCCGCCTCAGCCTCCCAAAGTGCTGGAATTACAGCATGAGCCATGGCACCCGGCCCCAGCACTGTTTTTTTCAAAACAATAAATGGAAGATTGAAAATAGAGACAGTCTTAGGAAGGCATGACGTGTGTTCAGAGACAGAAGAAATACAATTATACACAAAAAAAAACCCATGATAAAAAGGAAAGACATTGAAATTTATGGGAAAAAAGAGTGTGACTGAATTGAAAAAGAGTGCAGAAAGGTGATTAGGAAATAAATTCAGTAAATGACATTGTCTAGAAATCAATGGAAGAGCAGCCTCTCGCCCTTAGCCTTTCCCTCCATCTCACGGGTTTAGTCTGGAATGCTCCTTGATTCTGAAACTGATGTGACAGAAGCCAGGAAAAGATATAACAAAGGAGTTAGTCTGAAAATATTCTGACGTGCAACTGCTAATTAGAAAATTAAGGCCCACCACAATAAATGGAAAAAAAAAAAAGACACACATTTTTCTTTCTTGCCATTTGAATTTTTTTAAATTATACTTTAAGTTCTGGGATACATGTACAGAACATGCAGGTTTGTTACATAGTTATACCTGTGCCAAGGTGGTTTGCTGCACCCATCAACCCATCATCTAGGTTTTAAGCCCTGCATGCATTAGGTATTTGTCCTAATGCTATCCCTCCCCTTGCCATTAAACCCCGGACAGGTCCTGATGTGTGATGTTCCCCTCCCTGCGTCCACATGTTCTCATTGTTCAGCTTCCTATTATGAGTGAGAACATGCCGTGTTTGGTTTTCTGTTCTTGTGATAGTTTGCTGAGAATGATGGTTTCCAGCTTCATCCATGTCCCTGCAAAGGACATGAACTCATCCTTTTCTATGGCTGCATAGTATTCCATGGTGTATGTGTGCCACATTTTCTTTATCCACTCTAACATTGATGGACATTTGGGTTGGTTCCAAGTCTTTGCTGTTGTGAACAGTGACTCAACAAACATACATGTGTATGTGTCTTTATAGTAGAATGATTTATAATCCTTTGGGTATATACCCAGTAATGGGATTGCTGGGTCAAATGGTATTTCTAGTTCCAGATCCTTGAGAAATGGCCACACTGTCTTCCACAATGGTTGAACTAGTTTACATTCCCACCAACAGTGTAAAAGCGTTCCTATTTCTAGACATCCTCGTCAGCATCTGTTGCTTCCTGACTTTTTAATGAACACCATTCTAACTGGCATGAGATGGTATCTCATTGTGGTTTTGATTTGCATTTCTCTAATGACCAGTGATGATGAGCTTTTTTTCACGTTTGTTGGCTGCATAAATGTCTTCTTTTGAGAAGTGTCTGTTCATATCCTTTGCCCACTTTTTGATGGGGTTGTTTGAAAAACACATTATTTTATCACATTTGTTTAAAAAAATCAGCCTTTTTTCATTACTTGTTTTATAAAGGGGTTGGCAGAAATATTTGGAATACATTTCTAAATGCCTTCATCAGAAACATCCCCAAAATTAATCTAACAGGTAGAAACATTAGATTTTGGTGAATGTTTCTTCATTACACTGACATAAAATTTGTTGTGAAGCTTCTTTATTTCTCTGGTGAAAGAATTTAAGGAGAAGTATAAATATAATAGAATCAAATAATATCTGTGTATACTCTCTGCAAATATGGGAGACCTGAGTATCTGCATAGATGGGAACTACAATGTCCCTGGTTACTGAATCAACTGAGACCATCACTGCTTATTTTCCTAGATTGAGGCCAGGCATGGTGACTCATGCCTATAATTGAGCACTTTGGGAGGCCAAATTGGATGGATACCTTGAGGCAGGAGTTCGAGGCCAGCCTGGTCAGCATGGTGAAACCCCATCTCTACTAAAAATACAAAAATTAGCTGGGCATGGTGGCGGGTGCCTGTAATCCCAGATACTCAGGAGGCTGAGGCATGAGAGTTGCTTGAATCTGGGAGGCAGAGGTTGTAGTGAACCGAGATTGTGCCACTGCACTCCAGCCTGGGTGACAGAGTGAGACTATGTCTCAGAAAGAAAAAAAAAATAGATTGAATGGTATTGCTTTAGCTCATATAAAAATGACCAGGAGAGTTTCCTCTGCAAATGGAAAGTGAATTTTAAAAGTTAGATGATAAGTCATTGATAATAAAATGATACCAATATTTAAGAATTCAATGTGACATTTCAAATCTAGGGAATCTCTGTTTTAACTGCTGAGTTACCCCGAGTTTGAAGGTAATGACTGCAGGTTAAGTGCTTTGCCATTCGGTAAGGTAGTCTATATCCTAAACACCATGCACTTGTGTGGTGTGGGATGAAAGGATCAGTTGACACAACTCTGGAGTTTGTGTAGATTTCATGTGGTATTATATCTACTGCTTGGTTTAGTCACGCAGGTTGACGTATTTATTGAGTACATCCCCTCAACCACCATGTGCACACACGTGCATGCGTGCACACATATACACTCACCCCTTCATCCACAATATTTATAAAATAATGGAAATGGAATTATCTGCTAATAAATTCTAATGAAAGGATAACTTCAATACATTTTGAAATACTGGTATAAATAACAATACATATGTACATACTTCCATACATATTCTTGATCTTTTATAGGAAAATCTGGCTCTCAGTTGCTTTTACTTCATGTTTCATTTGCTCTCACTTTTAAGGAAATATGGAAAATAAATATTATCCTAATACTGCAAGTGGAAATACTGAGGCATGAATTAAGGGTCATGACAGATGTCTCTAAAACTGGTTTATTGTGAATTTGAGATAAGAAACCAAGTTTCTAACTTCTTTATTCCATGTTCTTCCCATTGACTTACTGACTCCCCAATGGAGTGTGAGCTTTAAATTAAGAACTATTTGGTAGCCACCACCTTATGTGTGCCCAACACCTCAGTGTACCTGCATATTCAGTGTCTTCTTTCATGGCATGCTATCGTGGTATCATGGCAAATATTTAAAACTTCTATATGGCCATTTCTATGACATTTATTGTTTTATCCAATGAATATATCAATCATGGATTTTAAGATCTATCCCCAAAAGAGAATTAGTTAATGATGCATTGCACAGTGAAGTGGTGAATATTGTTGTTGTTACTCATACTTTGTGCCACATCTACCTGATTACCTGAATTTGTACTTGATGTCCTGCCTCTCCACTCCATGCATTAATAATTGGCCAATTAGTACACTGGCCTTCACTAGGTCATTTAACATTTCTTCTTAGGCTAAAAGGATACCTAAATCAAGTTTATTTGAAGTTTATAATGATTAACAACACATATTCAAAGACCTATGAAGCAGAAGTTTACCTCTTTGGTTTTTCTTTGAATAACTATTTCCACCCAATGGGGCCTGTAGAAAAAGTTGCCTTTTAAAAATTTGCATTTCATTTAGGTTTAGGAACAACATTCAACAGAGTTTTAAACTGTGAAGTTCCACATGAAGGAAATAGGTCAACTTCAGTACCAAACAAAAGATGTTAGATCAATGTGTTCCAACCTCAAAGGAATTTATTGGATATGTTTTCTTAGACTAAACTGCATAGCATAGAAGGGCCAAGTTTTCTGAACTGATTTTTGAATCATTTTATTCTGTGATATAAACAATAAGGAGGAAAAAGGAGCAATTTCATTTCATTTCATTTCATTTAAAACTTAAAAAAAGAACGCCTACAAATACAACAACAACAAGATGGCTGGGTATGAAATGGCAGAAGGGTTTGAGGATTACCAAAGTGATTGATGCAAAATTCAAAAAATGCCAGTTGTCATAATAGGCTGCCTTACAATGGAAATAAATTAAAATCCTTATAGGTGGAGGAAACACTTACATAATCATTTGAGTGTACTTGATTTTGAATGATCTCATGATAAAGGTCCCAAGGAGCCCACAAACTTACCACAAAGGAGTCACTTTACACCAGGACTCATGAGTAGCAACTGTTCTTAAAAGAAAACAAATTTCTGTTCAGGGAATTTGAACCACTCCAAAGGATTTAATGACTTGCAGGGGTTTGTAGGTCAGTCACATCTGTTCTGTAATGAAATGCTTCTTCCTGTTTCTAAATTGACTAACTCTTAACCCCATTAGCCTTCATGTCTTAAAGCAAAGATTATTTCTGTTTCATTAGCTGTGCAACAGTTAGGGCCTTTATGTTTACTCCAGCTGATGGAACTCATCACAGTTTTATTCTTCTCTTTTGGTCAGCAAAAAGAAGGAAAATGCAAAAGAAAAGAGAAATAAAACCTGCACTGGGTTTGAAGGTCTAATTGGTATTCCTTGTCCACATGGACACCTGTGGAAAATAAGAGTATCTACAGTAATAGCTAGCACTTTTTCAAGTGGCGAGTTCGCTGTATTTTTTCCCTTCAATAATTAGGTTTCCATTGTTCTGTTTTCTAAGTCTTCTGTGTATGCTATGAAAGGGAGCTAGTCTAAGGGAGGCAGAAGCAAGATCTCCAGCTGTTTTAGAGGCTTGTTTATGCCCACAATGTAAACTTCTGATGCTTTATGCTTAGATTACACCAAAAGATAGGGACGGGAGTTTTTCCCCCAAAGTCTTATTTGTGCATATAACAATTAGTTTGAAAATTTTTGAAGGGAAGGAGTAAATGAGGGCCACCTGAAATCTAAAATGAGGATAGGCAGAGAAGCTAATGCTAGGAGGGGAATTAATGAATGAGAGAATCCATGTATTTTATGAATAAATTAAAGAAAAGTTCCTAATGTTAAGGAAGAGAGAAAGACTAAGTTGGAAGACAGAGCAGCTACCTTGTACTCTGTTCCTATAGGCTTCTTGTTGCATAAATGGTGAAATGGCAGATAGCGAGAAAGAAACAAGCCTCCATCCCCGTATTTTTGTGCCCCTAGATCTTACCTGTGAGTAGACAAGGTTTTGCCAGTGTTGTGCAGCAGGATAATTTCCACCCGGAAACCTCACCAGGCTGGCCTGAAGGAGGGCTGAGCTCCTCGTTAAAGACTTTACGTCAAGCTGCAGGAATTTGTCAGGATGGTTGTTATTTGGCAAAACAGAGAGATCCATGTCTCCCTTCACCTACAGTGGAAAACAAAGACAGGCAAAGCTGCTCTTGTCAGACTCCTCCATTATTAATGTGCCTGAGGATGCTCTGACTGCATCTGAAACCAAGTCTCTCAGCTGCACGCAGCCACTGCTCTCGAGATGATACATCAATGCACAGGGACAAAGAAACAAAGCAGCACACTGCCCTACCTTTCTCACACACATGTACATGGAGGGTGCTTGACCGAAACAGATGGGGCTATACTCATTACAATTAATAGGGTGACAGAATTAGATATGTGTAGCACGTAATATCTCTTCATTCAGAGTCAGAAATAACAATTTAAGGGAAACTATTGTTTGAATAAAGGCTGCCAGAATCTGTGTTACAACCCGCAATGCGGAGCACAGGAAACAGTCACGTATAGGGAGACAGTGCTTGATTTTTCTCTTCGAACATTGCTAAGCTAACACAGCTGACTAGGCCCTGCCTCCACAGCCTCACATGTGATACTCAGGATTATGCTTCTTCTCATGTTCCAGAGCCTCAACTCTTGTGCAACCTAACCAGGTTTAGGTTGTTAGCTTTGTTCTGGGGAGGGAAATGGCAAGAATTTGCTCTATAGTTTGCTACAGTAATTTAGTGCCCCAGTCTACCACCTTGACCCATTCACTATCTTAGGTCCCCTTGACTCTGTTCCTAGCTGTATATGCTCTTAACAATGTGCTTTGGTGTTCACACGGCACATTTGGAACCCCAAAAAAACATGGCTGCTGGGTTTGGATGACACGCTCTTCTAAGTGAACCCATCTGCTGTTAAGAGAGCCAAGGTGGTGGGAGTGAGGCTGTGGGCAGTTGTAGCCAGCCAGCAAGTCGTGATGACTTTAATGGAGATATGTTCTCTCTTTACAAGGCACTCTGCTTTAGGTGACCCATACTTCTCACTGGGAAAGTATGGATTTCCATCTGGAGGGAGGAGAAACTTCCCCACTTGTGAGACGGCAAAGGATAGATATATTAGCAGCTTCTAAAAGACATAGGTTGTCTGTTAATTTCACATCTCTATAAACCCCTCTGACTCAGCAGGAAAGTTTCTCTTCCAGGGGCAGTGGGGTTACATGTGGAATGTATCAGCACTAGATCTCAGAAGAGTGCCATATGCCTTACAAGAGTCAGCAGCCGGGGTGTTCTTGAATCAAGCAGGACACTGGAGAGTACTTATCTTCTTCACAGCAATAAACATGAGGGGCTGTATTAAAAAATATCTGCCCTACTTATAGTTGTAAAACTGAATTAAGCAGTTAACATTTTCTCTAAGAATGTTTTGGACCAGAACTCTATCACTGTTTTACAATATTAAAATAGGTTTGGATGGTTTTATAAATGCATTTACTAGATAAAGAAATAGGTACTTCATAATGACAGTTAATAACAAAACAGTGAAACCAAAAGTGTTTCAAGAGTCAAGTATATTATGTGTATGTGCATGTGCTTGGTACTTTCTGGATTTTCCTGGTTGCTGCCAGAATATATCTAATGAACAAATATTTCTCAGGCTGCTTGCTCTTCCTAAAAGATTCTTTGGGGAATAACACACACCTTCAAGAAGAAATTTACTTGTCTTTGGCTCTCTATATTGGCAAGTAGAGACACAGAACCTAGATCCAAATATATTTGATTAGGCTTTTTCCTTAGCCAAAGCATGAGGTAGGTGGTATGAGCCTTCAGTTTTCCTTAGGCATCCTTCCTTTCAATACTTCTGTCATTCCCTAGTTGCCCGAGGCTTCGATACTGTCTCGTTCTACTTACAAGTTTCGTCTCAGCCTCTCCATCTTCTCCCACCATCCTTTGTCTGCCTTTACCCCAAAACCATCAATTCTTATTTCTCATTGCTATCCCTGTAGGTAGCCTAAATGACTGAAAATCAGGAAATCAAGCTTTTACTTTTTAAAGTACAGATTCAGGGGGTAAAGGTGCAAGTTTATTACCTGAGTATATTGCGTAATGGTGGGGTCTGGGCTTCTAGTGAACCCATTACCCAAACAGTGAACGTAGTATCGATAGGTGGTTTTTCAGCCCTTGGCCCCCTTCTTTTCTCCCCCCTTATAAAGCCTCCAGTGTCTGTTGTTTCCATCTTTATATCCATGTGTGGGCATTTCTTAGCCCTCAGTTATAAGTGAGAACCTGTGTCTCTGCTAATGCCAGCTCTGCTGCCTGGAACCTTCCTTCCCATCCGTGGCTGTTGACTACCTCCTAATTGTCATTCAGGGGTCATCGCTGATACCTAGCCTTTTACAAAACCTTTACATATTTTTGCTAGAAGGTATCATTTTTCTCTCCTTTGAAACCTTACAGTGATTTATTTCTACTCTCATCTTCTTATCTTTTGTTTGATGCTGTATTTCACATTTTTGTTTTAAGGGCCTTTACACTAAAGGATACTTCACAAAAGAGCAGCCCTATAACATGGCCTCTTCCAAATAAGTCATGTCTGAAGACCCTAATGAAGCCCTTTGCTCAATAAATAATGATTGCTGTTGTCTCTTCCAGTCTATTAGGACTTAACTATGATTGAAAGTTGATAATCCAATTAAACTTTAAAAAAATGTCTTGGTGCTCCATTTTAAAATCTGAATTCCAACCATACTCAGTGAAAAAAAAAGGATTCCATTGCCCAAAATGACATCCTCTATAATTCTCTTCTGGTAGTTTATAGTTCATAAGCTCATCATGAAGGTGGAGAGATTCTGTTTTGTTAACTCAAACATTTTCAAAATTTATCTGATCACATAACAACTCCTTCATTGTTTTCCTGTTAACTCTTAAAAAAATAAGTTACTTGATCATAATTTTAAAAATACTGGCTTAGGGTTTCTAGTCCCTTATTGTCAATAATACCTTTGTTCAAGAGTGATGTAGGGTATAAACACATATAAAGAGTTACTATATTGGAAGAGCAGTGTGGTGGGAATGTGGGTATCTGAGGCCTCTCAACTCTTACCATGCAACTAATCATTTGCTCTTTCTTTACAGCATTTAAAAAAATTACAGTACCATTTTCCCATGGATGGATTTGCATCCATAGTAATTGTTTCTGAACCATAAGAATTGGAAAAATAGAATTAAATACAGCTTCATCAGGCAAAACTGTTTATCTGTTGTTAGGTTGGTGCAAAAGTAATTGTGGTTTTTGCCACTAAAAGTAATTGCAAATACTTTTGCACCAGCCTAATAATTCACATTTTCCCCTTTTATTCTCTCTTTCTTTTTTCTTTCTAGCTTTCAAGATCACTGAAAGCCAGTGGAAATATCTGAAAGTATTTCCAGCTCCAGTGCCTGTTCAATGATCAGATGAGCCATCAAGGTTCATCAAACCGAGATAATTTAGAAATTATTTCCATAGTTTTGATTACAAGGAAAGACTGTGATTGGGTTATATAAATCCTGTGCATTTCTTATATTTTCAAAATTGGTAAATAAGGGTGGCAATTAGAATAATTGAATGCACAGTATTTATGTAATAGGGAGCCTCTATAGATCCAACTAAATTGTGTTCTTGGGCAACATTCTGAGTCTCACTGAGGTTCGGTTTCCTCAGCTAAAAACAGATATTAACGGTACCTTAAAGGTTGCTGTGAGATGTAATATGTATAGTGGCCAACAGAATGCTCAGCATATATTAAGCACTAAAAAAGTTTGCTGTTATTTTGAGAGTGCATATGAACATGTATTTTTCACTTTAGGTATAACTGCTATAAAACTAAAATGGGAAAAGTTAAAAATTAAAGCCATATTAACAATCTATAGTTAAAAAATCAATTATGTTTCCCAGAGTCCCCCTTCCCTGTGTGATTCTAGGTGAGAATCGACCAAAAGAGGGACTTCCATGAGATTCTGAAGGCAAAATTGAAACAGTATCCATTAACCTGAAAGTCTCTTTTAGACAGATGCAGCATGTGCCTGGCAGACTGCAGCCTGACTTTGCTCTCTTGAACTCCAGACCCGTTTTTTCTTCCCAACTGTTGGTCCTGTTGACCAACAGAAAAGTCAGATTCACTACCAGATGTTGGCTGTGAACCTATAAAGAAGGAAAGTGCACAGAGGCAACAATATCCCATAGATTTCCTTGCAGACTACCCTTTCAGAGTTTTTCTTAGCTGGCTGTGCCTGCTCCTTGGATTGATTGGCTGGTGACTCCCCTAATCCTCCAACTCCTCTTACAGCCCTTCAGTTTCCCATCTCCTCTCACAGTTGTGTGAGCTCAACTACATTATCCTATAACCCTCTGAAACTGCTCTGCTGACTGAACCAGCCAGAAGTGTTTCCGGGGAATAGAACTTTAAAAATAAAATTTGAAACTGGTTCTCTTATCTGACTAGATTTAAAGACATGAATGACCCTATTACCAGGGGTAAGTGGGAGCCTGGCCATCCATGGCATGCAGTGATTCAACAGTTATTTAAATTCTCACTTATAGTCACCCCTAGTGCCTGTATAATCTAAGTGGCTACAGAGGCAATGTGCAGAGTTACCAAGTATCTGCTGCATTAGAACCGTTTCACAGAAACAAAGAGAATAATGACTGTGGAGTTGATTCATTGCTTCTAAATGTGCTGAAGAACTTAGAGAAAGAAAATGATAAGATGAGATTTAAAGTTCAAGGTCTAAGTTGGGAGCAGAAAAAGCTTCTGTGACTGCTCTGAAATAAAACCTTTAAATATTTTTATCTTAAAAATTGATACATAATAGTTACACACACACACACACATATATATATAGCCACATATTTACATATTTTTGGGGTACATAGTGATGTTTCAGTACTTACAACGTATAGTTATCAGATCAAGGTAATTAGCATATCCAGTATCTCAAACACTGATCATTTCTTTCTGTTGGGAATGTTCAATATCCTTTTTCTTCTAGCTGTTTGAAAATATATATTAATGTTAACTATGGTCATCCTACAGTGATATAGAACACTAGAGGTTATTCCTCCTATCTAGCTGTAATTTTGCTTCCTTTAATAAATCTCTCTCTATCCCCTTTTCCCCTACCATTCCCAGCCTCTGGCAACCTCTGTTCTACTCTTTACTTCTATGAGATCAACATATTTTAGCTTCTGCATTTGAGTGAGGCATGTAGTGTTTAACTTTCTGTTTCTTGCTTATTTTATGTAATATAATGTCCTCTAGGCTCATCTATGTTGCTGCAAATGATAGGATTTTATTCTTTTTTATGGCTGAGCTGTATTCCATTGTCTATATATACCACATTTTCTTTATGTATACATCTGTTGATAGATACTTGGGTTGATTCCATATCTTGACTATTGTAAATAGTGCTGCAATAAGCATGGAAGCCTTTTATGGTTTCATACAAATTTTAGAATTGCCTTTTGTATTTCTGTGAAGACTGTCATTGCCACTTTGATAACGATTTCATTGAATCTGTAGATTGTTTGGGGGAGTATGGTCATTTTAACAAGATTATTTTTTTCCAGTTCATGGCCATGGGATGCCTTTCCATTTGTATGTGTCTTATTCAATTTCTTTCATCAGTGTTTTATAGTTTGTTTTATGTGTAGAGATTGTTTACTTCATTGGTTAAATTTACTCCCAGGTATTTTATTTTATTTTTATTTTTTGGAGCTAATGTAAATGGGATTGCTTTCTTGATGTCTTTTCCAGGTTGTCATTGTTAGCATGTAGAAGCACTATTGATTTTTGTATATTGATTTTGTATCCTGAGATTTTACTGAATTTGTTTATCAGTTCTAAGAGTGTTTAGGTTTTTTTAATACATAAGATCATCTCCTCTGCAAACAGGGCCAAATTTTACTTCTTCCTTTCTAATTTGCATGCCCTTTGTTTCTTTCTCTTCTGTAATTTCTCTGGCTGTGATTCTCAGCACTATGTTGAATAAGAGTGGTGTAGTCTTCCTTGATTGTTACCATTTTTAGATGAAAAGTTTTCAGCTTTTCTCTGTTTAATATGATGTTAACTATGGGTTTGACACACACAGTCTTTACTGTGTTGAGGCACCTCAACACGGCAAACCTTTTTTAATTGTACTGCTGATTTTCCTCAGGACCTTTCCCTATCTGTCATGTCTTCTAAATCCATACTCAGACTTAAGTCCTGGAAGATCCAAGGGGACCAGGTAAAAACTGTGACTGATGAGGTTGTACTTTAAGGTTCTAAAAGAATTATGAGATTTTGCAAAGTCATATAAACTGTGTGGGGATGTTTCTTATGGATGTTAGATTACGATGGAAGATATACAATCTTGGATTAGCTTGAATTTTTTTTGATATGTGTGTGGTAAGTAGAGATTCTGGATTTAACGTGTTAGTTGATGTGACTGAGAGTAATTCTAACAGTTTGACTGAAAACTGGGCCCAATAGTGGTTCATATTGAGCAAAGTTGAGATGCCAGACTTCTTTGCTACAATGTAGTATAGAGAAAGGTATACATTTAGGAAGATTGGTTTTAATAAGATAGTTATGTTCATCCACCTGTTAAATATATTCCCCAAGAGGGCCCAGAGGGCATTCCCTAATCAAGGCTTTGAAAGATACAGTGGTGAAGGCAGCGTTGGAATCCTTAAAGAACTCTGTAGTGGCTATTCTCTGGAAGCCAGGAATAACGTTGGGAAATGCTGCCATAGAACTGATCTTATAGAATTTAATGAGTATAATAAGTTCCATATGGCCAGGAACCAAGTGACAGGATTTAACTTCCAAAGACCATGCGTGCATGGATATTATAAGGAGCAGCGGATTCAATGTAGTAAAGGGAACTGCTATGGTCTGAATGTTGGTTCCCCCTGCCACCCCCACAAAATTAATGTGTTGAAACTTAATACCCACTTAGTGATAGCACTAAGAGGTAGAGCCTTAAGGACGTGATTAAATCACAAGGCAGAGCTCTCATGAATGGAAGTAACCCCTTACAAAAGTCTTTAGCGAGCATCCTTACCCCTTCTGCCATGTCAGGACAAAACGAAGGCACCATTTATGATGAACATGTCCTTGCCAGACACCAAATCTGCTGGTGCTTGATCTTGGACTTCCCAACTACCAGAACCATGAGCAATACATTTCTGTTTATAAATTAGCCAGTCTAAGGTACTTTGGTATAGCAGTCCAAACAGACTAAGACAGTAACGGTTTGACCTGCAAAAATTTTTGGTATTGGCCAATTGACCAGGGAGTCCTTAGGACTGAAATATGTGGGCATTCTACTAAAGTGTTTCTTGATTTATATAACCATTATATCTCTATACTTAGTGAACACAAGTTGGATATGAATCACCATACCAGATAATTGCATTCCCTTTTTCAGTTTTCATTGGAGAGATGATTCTCAGACCCACAACTCCCTGAATGAAGGGGAGGCCAGTTCTCTTTGAGAATGATTCCTCAAAAACTTCCGGAATTTCACAGCTTGGTAAAATTTCTAGGAATTCAGTGACATGTTGAGATATCCCTTCTAAGTAAAGGACAAATTCCTGCCTCTAGCCCTTCCTAAGAGACACACATCCCATTTGGGCTGTGACAATGTATAACTCATTTTAGAATGCTACTTTACACATTATTACTGAGTAATCCCAAAGACTTCCAGTTTCATGTAGTGCACAGAATAAGGAGAGAATCTATAATCAGTTCAGGTTGCAATAGAAGCTACTCTGCTATTTAGGCAATATGGCACAGCAGATATGATGGTATTTAAAGAATCAGTGGCACATAAGGATCCTATATGGAGCTTCTGGCAGGATCCTATTGGTGAATCACAGTGAGGTCTTAATAACTTTGGAGAAAGCTGTGTCCTTTTTACAAATAATTATTTCTGTTTTGAAAAACTATTTCTGGTTTGCATTGAAATGCTAGTAAATGTTTAATGCTTGACCACAGGTCACCAAATTCCCATGTAACTTGAGCTGCTCATTATAACCTGGGTGGTGTCTGACACCACCCAGGTTACCTGTGCAGAATATCACTCCATCATCAAGGGTACAAGATTTGTCTTGAGCACAAGCTGAAGGCATAAGTTCCTTGAATAATTGGATCTGATGGTTAAGGGTCCTACTACTGCTACATTGCCTCCACTCTCTCAACCCACACAGCCTCATAGAGAATTTATTATAACGAATTGACTGAGACAGAAAACATTTGGTCCTGGTTTACTAATGGTTCTTCACAATATGCTAGCATAACCAGGAGTAGACAGCTGTAGCTCTGCAACCCTGCACAGAGGTGACCTGAATGATTAGTAAGAAAAATCCTCGCAGAAGGAATTCAAGCTGTGCATCTGGCTGTTTATTTTGACTGGAAGAAAAAACAGCCAGAAGTATGGATATGCACTAATTTATGGGCTGTGTCTAATGGGTTTGGTAGGAACTTGAAAGGAGCATGATAAAAACTGGTAATAATGAAGTTCTGAGGAAAAAGAATGGGGATAGAACTCCTTGAATTGTTTATATACTTATATTTCATTTGAATGTTCACCAAACAGCATACTCAGGAGAAACTGATCAATCATCAGGTGGATAAGATGACATGTTCTTTTAATGTTCATCAGTCTCTTCCATGCACCTCTGTCCTCGACCAATACCCTCAAAAATAAAGAGATAATGGTGGCAGGAGTGGAGATTATGCATGAGCTAAGCAACATGAACTTATTTTCACCAAGGTCAATCTATCTACAGTCACTGCTGAGGGTTCCACCTAATAATAGCAGAGAAGACATTATGGTACCCTTCTATGGGAGAAGCAACACACCATCTTGGTTGTAGGTTGATTACATTAGACTCCTATCACAGAAGAGGCCATGGCTTGTTCTTGCAGAAGTAGTCAGTTGATCTGAAAATATATTTGCTTTCCCAGTTTGTGATGCTTCTGCCAAAATACCATCTGTGGACTAAACAAATGTCTCACTCACTGTTAGGGCATTTCATACAATATTGTTTTTGTTCAAGGAACTTGTGTGACAGCAAATAAAGTGTGGACAGGGGCTCACTGTTGTGTAAATCTCTCATAGTACCATGCTCCCCATCACCCCGAAGCAGATGGCCTAACAGAATGATATGTCTTTTTAAGAAAGGTTTAGTCTCCTACCAGGTGGATGAAAACACTTTGGAGTCTGAGATAATGTTCTCTAAGATGTATATTTTCTGAACTATCAACCAATATATGGTGCTATTTCTACCTAGATTTATGGATTCAGGAGTCAAGGGATGGAACTTACTATTTCAATTTTTCCTTCTCCCATTCGTCTACTATTTCACATAAAATTTGTTGATATTGGTTAACCCTATATCTCAGCAATTAAATTAAAGGACCTACATAGGAATGGTCAATCTAGGAAAAAGGTGACCTCGATATTAAAACACATTTATTAAAATGAAGGCGAAAAATATTAATGACAGAAATGTAAAGAACTGTGAAGCTTTTGAGGTTTTACCTTACTTGCAACTTATCAAGTTAGCCTGTTATGATTTCAGGGTAGAAGACATGAGACTCCTGCATTAGACACAAAGGACTTTATTACTCACAGCGATAGTAGTAGCCAGGGAATCAGCTTTTCCTGTACTGGCTCGTTGAGCCCCATTTCCCAAAGGGTGACATGAAGAGAGCCAGGTGACCTCAGAACATACATTGGATTGTCTTATAGTAAAGAAACCCCAATTTTAGGGAACCTGAAACTTTTATAATGAGAAGTATGTTTGCCCTTTGCTCCCAAGAGACATACTATCTTCCAAGGCAGTTCACTCTATAAACATCCTCTAGAAGATACTCCAGAACAAAAGTAGACAGTACCTTTGTTCATCAGACATGTGGATATGTGACAAGTCTATGAAGAATTGTCTCTCAGTGGGAAGTTTTACATATTTTATTGAAAAATCTAAGAAATCATGTGAATCATGTATAATATTTTCTCACAAGAAAAATTTTAAGCTGGCTTTTGAACGTTTCACATAATTGTAAAACTTTTTAATTTTTAAAAGGAAGAAAAACACAATGAAACGACCACCGTATTATATGCTTTCTGTTTTTCCTTGTTCCTAGGGAAAAGGCTGAGAAATACTAGTAAATTTTCTAATTATGATTCGTGAGGCTAAGTACTATACTCTTTAATAAATCTGCTAAAAAGATACAGGGAAATGGGTGGATCAATGTTTTCTTTGTTAAAAATATTTAAAAAAAGCTAAAATCTAGTGATAACATGTTAAAATAATACACATTTTTTGTAAGATGTCACCATTTCTAACGATTTCTCTACACTATATCAACAGTGCAATTGTGATTCAGTGTAAATCATTACAGTGTTTCATTGTTACAATACTTGTGTTCAAGTACATGTTCATGAACATGATCAAAGTCTCTATTTTGACTTTTCTTTTCCATATCAAAATAAGGTTATAATTACAGCAGAATTTTTCCTATGGATGTCTATAAATCTGAACCAAATTCATAATACATTCTCTAAAAACCTGTTCAACAGCATGAGGTTCATTATGTTTACACATCTCCTGCAGGTGACAGAAAATGGGCTAATTCTGCAGCAGGACACCAAAAAACAAAAATAGTTTCTCTTCATATACACCTAAACTATTATGCTAAGTCAGTATACATTCTGGATAATTCAATGTTATTGGTGGGGAGAGAGTAGCACCTTAGAGATAGCCCTAACAAACAACGAAAACTTGTTTTAAGTATAATGATCTATTTTTTTCCTTTTTCTTTTTATTATATTACTGGATCCAACTAATTCATTCATATAAAATTATTTATGAAGCCATATAGTATAAATCAAAATGTTTGTGTAACCAAAACAAGCACCACATTGGATGTTTGGCAGGCAAAAAAATAAATTAATTTGATTAAATTATATGTAATCTGATAATATTTGGTCTGAAAAACATGCTAGTGTGTGTGTTTATAAATAATGTAATTGCCAAGAGCTGTGATCCAGCCAGCCTGCTAGAGGTCAACTCTTCTGCTGCAGCTTTTGGGCATAGAAGTCCCTGCATGTTTCACAGCAGCGCTGATACCACCGCATGTCCTGACATAGGTTCTTTTCACGTATCACTCGGCAGTACACTGGCCACTGATCTCCCAGGCACTTGAAAGTCAGAGCAGCTGTGAAACAGAACATAGTGAATTCACTCCATGCAGATATCATATATGTCAGTAAAAACCAACTTCAAGCGTTTAAGTGGGGCGGATTTTGTACACTCTCTTTGGTTCATTTATATTACCTTCTGGAATTTAAACAAGAAAGAGATACACACACATACACACCTCCTATGATTAAAAAGTAAAGAATGAATAATATTTTTACTTATAAATGTTTTTAGGCCTATTAAAGATATAATTCCCAGGTTCAATGTGTTGTACTTTTAAGCTTCAGTTTCATAGCTTGCATTTAAGTTGCTTTTGAATTTTAGTAGAGAAAATTAAAAAGAAAAATAAATGTGCTCAATATATCTACCTTTATGTGAATACAAATTAATAAATACTATTATTAGGGTTGAAATTACAAGGAAACAGCAAAGTAAAAATATGCTCACAGTTATTTCATATTCCTAGTTTCCCCAGATAACAGACACATCTAAATGGATTACCTGGAGCTGTGATTTCAGGCTTCTATAAAAATTAATGCATATCATCACAAGCGACTGAGATTTACAGCAATAGTTGAAGTGTTTGAAATGAGAAGTTGGTATAGAATATTTGGTCATGTAGACTTGGCCTCCCTTTTTGTAAAACAGTGTGTTCTGGAATGCATAATGAAAGTCACTGCTGCTACAATTATTTCTTTTGCATATGAGAATGAATCGTATTCTAATATAATTATTCTATTTTTAAACACCTTAGATTTTCCTAACCATTGTGCTTCTGTATTTTGGGGTATACCTTCAAGGAATAATAAATAGAGAAAATGCAATTTTAACAAATTTTTTCTTTTAATCCATTATTTTCTGCCATGTAATATTTCAAGGACTCCAACTAATTGTTGGAGAAAGGAATTATACTGCTATTGAATAAATGGATTTAGTACATCTGCTCTAGAATTGCTTAACTTTTTGTCTTAATTAGTGTTATTCACCTTGAACTCATTATTTCTTAGGAATGCTAGTTAATTATTTGGCCCTAAAAAGAGAATTTTTGTATTTCGAAGAAACCAAGCTTTCACATTTGATTGAGTCTTATGCCTGGAAAAATACACATGATAATTTATCTTCTTACATTTTGGTAATATTATTTTGTATGATTCCAATTGTTCCCCTGGAGATTATATGCACAGGTTAAAACCAAAGGTATTAAATATAAATTAACCCACTGACAATGAGGCAAGAGTGCTGTTAAATGCTACTAATAGTCAAGATGTAAATGCTAAATCATTCATTAGTATTTGTTATGCAAGTGTAGGCTATATCTACTTAAAATATGTAGTCTAATTCTCAATTATGGGTTAGATTAAATAACAGAAATTGAGGATATATATATGAAGGCATTTCATAACATAAAACAATGTAAATATCAATATAGTCAATATTACTAGAATGTATTTTTTATTTAGTATCATATTCTCAAAACTTAAAAAGAAAATAGAACTTCTTGTTTAATGGTGTAGATCCATGCACCCATTCTTCTTGAAAGACATTTTTTAGTCTGTGTCCCTCCAAAGAATAATTTATACCCAGATCACAAGGAAGGCTATCAACCATGGAGAAATCTAAGGCTTACACTACAATCTCATCTTTCCACAGATATTAACTTAATTGATAGTTCTGCCATGAGATTGATCCGAGTCTAAATTTTGGTTACAAAAAGACCTGGGGTGGTGTGGCATTATTTCCTGGACCTGGCTCTGATTGGACAACTTTGGGAATCAAAGCAGTTTAAGTTTTTAGGACTTTTTTACCCACCTGACCATTTGGACGAAATCATATTTAAATGGATCCAATTTAGTGCAAACCAAAATAATCAGTATAGATTTACAACTATCAAGGTTTAAAGTAATATACAAAATACAAGAAGCCATAAGCATTTCTATGTTTTTCAAAAGCATCTTTTTTTTTTGTCTGCTTACCCAGTCTGGGTGATGTTATGGTATTTACATTAATTTTCTCATTGCAGGGTTGAAGATGGCATGGCCTGTATGCTGCAGGTTTTTCTGAGGAAAAACATTCATTTCCATGTCTTCCTGTGATCTTATGCATGCATTGGATTACACGGGACTGCATTCCTTTGCCACAGGTAATTGAGCACTAGGAGAAATACAAGGTTTGTTTAGGTTCTTTTTTATTTTTATTTTTTGCTGTTATTATTTTCTAGGGTGTGGGAACATTCTCTAAATGTTTCTTAAAATTAAATATGAGCTGCAACATCCACAGTCAATGCAAAACATGGGTCAGAAACATTGATGCTCATAAATTGGGCACAATGCCTTTGAGAACCTCTGGCTGATCTGAGACAGAGTTTTGGGTAATGAAAAGGACATAAGAGTAAAGAAGGATAAAGAAAAAGGTACAGTATGACTTGAAGAGAAAGAGAGTGAATGACACCAGTAATGCTTGAGCAGACAGCTTTCCAAGGTCTAACACATGGTTTGCAAACAAATAATTGATTTATTATTATTTAATTTAATCATCGATGTTCAGAAGTTAGCACATGTCTACTTTTAGAGCTGGATCCTTGTTACAGTCTTTAAATATACTCATCTGCCTTATTTTCTCTGGCCTTAAAATGTTTATAAATTATATCAAGATGTCTTAGCCAGATATGTTATTAAAGTAATTGCTTTTTCTTGGTAGATTAGATGATGTTAGTATTATGCTAATAAAAATATTTGATAATCTGAATTTCTCAGGTAAAAGGTACTTTTTTTCTCTTTTTTATTTTTATAGATTCAGGGGATAGATATATAGCAAAATGGTAAGGTTTGGGCTTCTAGTATACCCACCACTCAGACAGTGAACACTGTACCAAGTACCTAAATTTTCAACTCTCTGCTTTTGGAGACCTCAATGTCTATTTTCTCTCTTTCTCTATGTCCACGTGGGCCCATTGTTTAGTTCCCACTTACAAGTAAGAACATGCAATATTTGATTTTCTGTTTCTGAGTTATTTCACTTAGGATAATGGCCTCCAGCTCCATTCATGTTGCTGTGAAATACATAATTTCATTCTTTTTTGGCTGCATATTATTACACACACACACACACACACACACACACACACACACACACACACACGCACACACTTGCTTTATCCAGTTATCTGTTGGTGGACACTTTGATTGATTCCATAACTTTGCTAATATGAATAGTGCTGTGATAAACATGAGTGGAGGTGTCTTTTTGATACAAGGATTTTGTTTCCTTTGGATAGATACCCAATAGTGGGACTGCTGAGTCAAATGGTAGTTCTATTTTTAGGTGTTTGAGAACCCTCCATACTGTTTTCTATAGTAGTTGTGTTTATTTACATTTTCACTAACAATGTATAAGTATTCCCTTTTCTCTCCAACCTCACCAACATCTGTTGTTTTTTGTCTTTTTGATAGTAGCCATTCTGACTGGTATGAGATGGTATCTCATTTTGGTTTTAATTTGCATTTCTTGGACGATTAGTGATGTTAAGCATTTTTTATATGTTTGTGGGTTGCTTGTGTGTCTCTCCTGAGGAATGTGTGTTCATGTCCTTTGCCCACTTTTTAATGGGGCTAGTTGTTTTTTTGTTTGTTGAGTTGTTTGAGTTCCTTGCAGATTCTGAGTATTAGTCCTTGTCAGATGCATAGTTTGAAAATATTTTCTCCCATTCAGTTAGTTTTCTGTATACTCTGCTGATTATTTCTTTTGCTGTGCAGAAGCTCTTTCATTTACTTAAGTCCCATTTGTGCCTTTTTGTTTTTGTTGCATTTGTTTTTAAGGTCTTACTCATACATTCCTTGCATATGCCAAAGTCCAAAAGCATTTTCTTTGGTTTTCTTCTAGGATTTTAACTTTCAGGTCTTATGTTCAAGTCTTTAATCCACCTTGAGTAAATTTTTGTATATGGTGAGAGATAGGGGTCCAGTTTCATTGTTCTGCATATGGCTATCCAATTTTTCCAGCATCATTTATTGAATAGGGTTGTCCTTTCCTCATTGCATTTTTTTGTTGACTCTGTTGAAGATCAGTTGGCTATAGGTATGTGGTTTTGTTTCTGAGTTCTTTTGTCTGTTCCCTTGATCTGTGTATCTATATTTGTACCAGTACCATGCTATTTTCGTTACTATAGCCTTGTAGCATAAAGTCAGGTAATGTGATGGCTCCAGCTTTGTTCTTTACTTAGGATTGCTTCAGCTATTCAGGCTATTTTGGAGTTCTGTATGAATTTCAGGATTTTTTTTCCCTAATTCTGTGAAAAATGACATTGATAATTTGATAGGATTTGTGCTGAATCTCTAGATTGCTTTGGGTAGTATGGTCATTTTAATGATATTGATTCTTATAATATATGAGCATGGGATGTTCTTCCTTTTGTTTGTGTCACTTATTTCTTTCATCAGTGTTTTGCAGCTCTCCTTGTAGAGGTCTTGCACCTTCTTAGTTAAACGTATTCCTAAGTAATTCTTTTGTGTGTGTGGTTATTGTAAATGGGACCGTCTTCTTGATTTCATTCTCAGTTTGAATGCTATTTGTGTATAGACATGCTTCTACATTGATTTTGTATCCTGAAACTTCACTGATGCCATTTATCAAGTCTAGGAGTCTTTTGAAGGAGTCTTTAGAGTTTTCTAGGTATACAAACTTATTATCAGCAAACACAGATAATTTGACTTCCCCTTTTAAAATTTGGATGTTTTATTTCTTTCTCTTGCCTGATTGCTCTGGCCAGGACTTCCAGGGCTATGTTGAGGAGTGGTGAGTGGGTATCCTTATCTTGTTCCAGTTTTGGGGAAATGCATTCAACTTTTTCCCATTCAGTATGATGTTGGCTGTGGGTATGTCATATACGGCTTTTATTAATCAAGTGCACTTTTAACCGATTTCTTGCATTTCAACTAAATGTTATTTTCATTTGTAAAATATTTTGCAAAGAACATATTTGATGTGTAACAATTTTTACCAGGGAAGTCTCTTGGTTTCATACATATATCACTAAATTTGTTTTTTGACACAAATAGTCTGATGCTAATTTGTCTGAGAAAATACCGTTATTTTATGGTATCAAAACTATATGTAAGAGGGGAAATGTGCTTGTGTTTCTGAAAATAATGATTTATTTACTAGCCATTTTATTTTCTATGTAAAAAGATAAAGAATATTTTGCTTAAAGGGTTTATTAATACAATTAGAATTATTTAAATGAATTATCTTGGTGTATTCTATTCTGATTACAAATTGGTAAATATTTTCTGATTGTCATCTTTTAAGTATACAGACATATCATTTGTAATACTTTTTTCCCCTGTATTTTCCTAAGTCACTATTAGTATTGCATTCTCTTTGCTGTCAATTCTTCCTTTACGATCATCATTGGGCTCATCTCTTTTCTTATTTTTCTTAGCACAAGAAGCATTCTGCACAAATCCTCATTATCTCAAATCTAATGTACTATTGTATGATTTGTTTTTAGTCCTCAGCCTACCAATGAATGGCACATATTAATTGAAAATGCATTCCTTCAAAATTTATTTACATATATATGCTCCTTGGACAAAAATCTTTGGTTATTGAGTTTACCATTGCCTACAAGATAAAGCCCAGTATCCCACTATATCCAGGCTGGCATGTGTTTACTTCTTTAACTTTGTATTTGACTCCATCCTATTAAAAACAATTTGTTATTTTATAAACTAATCATTTCCATGCAATTTCTATTTCTACCTCTACAGTTGTGCTCAGAGTAATACTCCTTTCCTAAATGCCATGTCTTTTTACAAAATTGTATCTTAGGCTGGGTGTGGTGGCTCACACCTGTAATTCCAGCACTTTGGGAGGCTGAGGCCGGCAGTCACTTGAGGCCAGGAGTTCTAGACCAGCCTGTCCAACATGGCGAAACCCCATCTCTACTAAAAATACAAAAATTAGCTAGGTGTGGTGGTGCAGGCCTGTAATTCTAGCTATTGGGGAGGATGAGACAGGAGAATTGCTTGAATCCAAGAGGCGGAGGTTGCAGTGAGCCAAGATCATGCCACTGCACTCCAGCCTGGGTGACAGAGTGAGACTCTGTCTCAAACAAAACAAAACAAAACAAAACAAAACAAAACAAAACAAAACAAAAAAACAACAACACTATCTCAAATCCAGCTTCTCCATGAAAGCTTCCACATTATCCTAACTACCTATGCATATTTATGCAATATTTATAAATTAAACCATATATTCATATGTTGAGTGTACACTTCAGAATGACAGGAGAGATTTTTCTTTAAAGACAATGATGGATTTTAAGACGTAGAATTTCTTAGTCAATAAATTCATGTGAGATCTGGGAATCTGCATTTTTAGTAAAAGTATTTAGCTGATTATGCTGTGCGGTCTGAGTTTGGAAATTACTGGCCAAAAGTACATGTTCTGTATTTAACATAGACCCTTTGTATTGCTTCTTGTCTGTAAGTAGTATCATGGTACTACTTATGTGGTAAATTATGTATTACTATTTGCATGGTAAATTATGTTAGAGTTGTTTGTATGTCATGTTCAATAATGAAGCCTATATTTCTGTTATGACAATAGCTTACTGCAGAATAATGGAATTTTATGTGCATGTCATGAACATGAATCTACAGATAACATAACTTTCTAAGTTTTACTCTGTATATATTTCTGCAAAATATTATCTTTGTATCTGATGAATTCTTAGCTTTCTGCAAATAGCAGATCAAAGAACAACAAACTAGGATGTTATGTCCTTTAAACCTGACTTTTTCTCTTAAACTTCTACAGGATTTGAATATTTCCAGTTCAGTGTAAGCTTTATTATAATTTCCAGCTATTATAGAAGGACTCTTTGACATGGTCTTTCTCCTTTAAAAGCCTTAATCTCAATACCACTCTATACAATGGATATAATCATATAAATAAAGACATGCTTAGAAAAGTATTTTCAGGACAATGCAATACAGTTTAACTAAAACTTTTAAGGGATTAATATTACATAGAACAAAATACTGTTCTAGTATCTATTCCTAAAATTTCTGTAAATCTTGAAAAAGATCACAATATTTGAGAAACCAAAAGAATAACAGAAGGCTTAGAAAGATGAGCTCACTCTGATGTGATAAAGAAGGTTCTCGATATTTCAAAGAGGCCCATAATTAGTCACAGACTATTCCTGACACTTTTAGTCAATCTTACATAATCAACTCCAAGGGATATGAGCAAAGCAAAGTAACACATCATTTTTCAGTATTATTGAAAATGACATAAAATAACAGTAGACACATGATAACTCACAATATATAATCTTAGCAGATAATGGCTGAATAGCACCTTTTATAAAATTTTGGGGTCTAAGAAAAGATGTTAGTTGCATTTTATAGGCAAATTACGTTTTGTAACTATTTGGGCATAACCTGGAAATAAAAATATTCTCCAAGAAATAATGGAAATTCTGTAATTCATTAAACTAAAACAGTATAATTTTCTGCTTGAGAAACTAATAACTAATAGATTTGCTTTATTATTAAAATAAATAATCTTTTAGCCTTAGAATCTAATTTTCATTAGAATATTTTAATAATAAAATATCAAGTTCTTACTAGTAAGTATTTTCTTTATAAAATATAATTTGGTAAAACTTTTATTACAAATATATGGAAAATGGACAGTCATTCAAAATAGAACAATTGAAATCCCAAGTTATCTTCTAAACTATTTATTATTTTTATTATAGAAGACAATATTGAATAATCAAATATCTTTTCAAATAATGTCACTATGATTAAAAACACACAGACATTAAAGAAAAAGCCAAAATAATTCTGACCTCCAAATTAGGAGACCTGGCTTCTAATTATTTGCCTTTAGCAAATAATTTACCTGAAACTTATTTTTCCTTTTTGTTAGACAAGGTATTGTAGTAGATCATAGCTGCAGGTTCAGGTCTAAATTACTATCAAAGTAAAACTCCAAATAATTTATTATTAAAAGTTACTGTCATCTAGGTGGTGAAAATTTCTAAGTGGTGAAGCTACCTAAGAGTAAAGACTCTAATCTCATTAACTATTATCCACTTTGCCAGCTTACAGTTGTGACAAGTCTTAGCTTTCTGCAAGTAGAAGTCCTGTCTAACATAGTCTTAAAATTACAGTTTGCTTGAATGTCTCAGAATACTACATTATTTATTTTTGTTTTCAAATATTTACTGACCACTCATTATGTTCATGGTCCTTTGTAAAAAATACAAACACCAGAGATTATTTACTATGGATCTGGTATTTTATTCAATAACATTTATTAACAAAACACAATGACATAAAATCAATGGAGTTAGAAGTAGATTACTACCACTGTGGAAGCTAGGCAATTTCATCCACTTTTAGCCAGTCATGTAATATTTAAATAATCAGTTACACTACAAAGCCACTTTGTTGCCTTGTGATCAAAGGAAACCAATAGTACTGTTATGGGAAAGGGCCTCTGATCCAGACCCCAAGAGAGGGGGCTTCTGGACCTCTTACAAGATAGAATTCAGGGTGAGTCCTTAAAGTGAAAGCAAGGTAATTAAGAAGATAAAGGAAATGAAGTCCTTGCCCATGCCTATGTCCTGAACGGTATACATATGTAACAAACCTGCACGTTGTGTACATGTACCCTAAAACTTAAAGTATAATTTAAAAAAAGAAGATAAAGGAATAAAAGAAGGGCTACACCATAGGCAGAGCAGGGCATGGGCTACTCAATTTAGTATACTTATAGTTATTTCTTGATTATATGCTAAACAAAAGGTGGATTATTCATGAATTTTCCGGGACAGAGGTGGGCAATTCCCAGAACTGTGGGTTCTTCCCCTTTTTAAACCACATAGGGTAACTTTTTGATGTTGCCATGGCATTTGTAAACTGTCATGGTGCTGGTGGGAGTGTCTTTTAGCATGCTAATGCATAATGTATAATTAGTGTATAATGAGCAGTGAGGAGGACCAGAAGACACTTTCATCACCATCTTGGTTTTGGTGGGTTTTGGCCAGCTTCTTTACCGCAACCTGTTTTATCAGCAAGGTCTTTGTGACCAGTATCTTGTGCCCACCTCCCATCTCATCCTGTGACTTATAATGCCTTAACCTCCTGGGAATGCAGCCCAGTAGGTCTCAGCCTTATTTTACCAGGCCCTATGCAAGACAGAGTCTCTCTGGTTCCAAAGCCTCTGACAGTACTACTTCTGAAAGTTTTTCCTCCATTCAATGCTAAGAGAAAGAAGCTAGTACTTATTTAGTGTTTATTATATGCCAGGCACTTTGTTAAAGCTTATATTTATTTTAATATCTCACATGAAGGCCATGAATACTATTATCCCTTTTAAACAGAGGAGAAAGTAGAGGCTCACATAAATTCACAAACTGTCTACTGTCTACGGTTTTACAGGCAAGAAGTGCTGGAATTAGAGTTTTAACTTAAAAAATACTGAATTCAGCATTTAAATGCTTAAGCACTATTTAATACTTGAAAGTTGCTAATATTTCTCTTATGTTAAAACCGAAATATTTCCCTTTTCCACATACTGCCATGTTAGACTATTATCCTACTTTACTGTTAAATTAAACATTAATGAATTTTGAAAGCTTTTTTATTGCATTTTTAGTATAACTCAGGTTATATGGTATGAGGTAAACTTTTGCTCTAAGGACAATTCATATGCATGATTCATCTTTAGATAGGGTGATCATATAATTTATTATCCATATCAGGACATTTGTGAAATAAGTTGCTGATAATAATTTTTGCCAGACTGTAGGCATACTGGGACAGTCCTGGATAAACTAAAACATCTAGTCACCTTCTCTACAGACAACCTACTGACAGATCATGTATTAGACAATAAACACAAATGAACAGACATATGAAATACCTATTATATTCCATGCCTCTAATATGCTTTTACATAGAATATCTTGGTTATCTTTCTCATAACCCTAACAACATTGCTAATGGAAAGTGTGAGGCATGTATTTCATTTATTCATTCAACAAATATTTACTGAGCCAATGTGCCATGTCTGGAGACTGGGATGTAATAGTAAGCAAAACAGACAAGAACAGGGGCCCCCAGGAGCTTACATCTTAATGGGGGAGAGGGTAAGAGCAAAAAAATAAAGGAGGAAAGTATACTATAATTTACATGTTAACAGGTACTATGGAAAAAATTAAAGCTGGGAGAGAGGATGAGAAATGTTTGGGATAAGGGGTTTTGTAATTCAAATGGGAAAATCAGGGTAGGACTCAAGGAGATCATACAAAGACATGCCCCATAAGGACAGACAAACCTCAAATGCAAGTCTTTTGATTCCAGATATAATGTTATTTCCACTATATGCACTATATAGTTTTATTCATACATTTGTGTGCTATGATGTTCCAAAATGTTTAATAACAAGGGGGCAAATGAGTAGAGTGGACCCTTAAGTAGGTGTTTCTTCAGATTCCATGGCGCTCTCTCTCTCCCCTTCCTTCCCTTCTCCCTTCTTTCAGTCCTTCTTTCTAATAAATGCTAAATCTCGCTCTTCACATGTGTATCAAGTAATTTAATGTATATTTGAAACAAGACACACTATAGAGTTCCACTAAAAAGCCAAATGCTAAAATGTCAACATCAATTTGCCAGCAAATGGGAAAGAAATACAGAGTTTACCAGATAACTTGCTATTGAAATTTCTTTTACAAGGAAAATTTTCTGACTAGAGTATTTTAAAAAGAGAGTCTTGTATTGTCTGATAGATATTCTGTTCCCCAAACAGTTTAATATTGCCCCAAAAGACCTTTGAAACAAAGCACCTCATGAATCTACTCCATGTACGAGATTTAATTCTGAATAGGAAACACAATCATGATGTCCCAGGTTTACTAGAGTAAAACGAAAGCAATCATCTTTAGAGCAAACTTAAACAGCTTAGAAAATTGCTTACAAGGATTTAGGACTTAAGCAAGTTTTTGACGTAGACAAACAACAAGACACAAGGAAAGTTGATGTCGATAATCCCTTTTCCCCACCAAAAAATAAGCCCCAAGGTCTCTGAAAGCAAAATTTGTTCCATTGCCGTAGTGATATTCATCAATTAAATCTACCTAAGGAAAGTACAATCTTCTCTGTACTTGGGTACACATGAGATAATTTCACCATGTAAACCAACAATAAAATTCTAAGTCCCCCAACTAATTGAATGGACCCCTCCCCTCAGCCAAGAGCATTCTAGAAGTAAACCTGAAACACAAATTTAGGCCATGAATGGGTGGTAGTGTTATGCTAGATAGTCAGGCAGACATGACCAGGGCAGAAGTGGGACTCTCCCTCCCCCGCAACCAGGAATGTCAGGCGACCATCAGGTGATGGTCAGGAGGTTGTTAACTGTCTCTCTAAAATAATAATTAGTTGCAACCAGCCCCTGGGGAAGGCAGTTTCTCTATAGATAGAAAAAACCTGAAACTGGTGATCAGCAACTTTCCAATAAGATCTCAGGAATTGGGCAAGTGGGCTCAAGCATAAGCATTAAGAGGAAAAATGGTGGAGTTTAACTCGTATATGACCTCCTAGGAATATTAGACTAGTAAGAGAAGAGCACCTTAAAGTGAGCATGCATGCAACTCCAGTAAACACACTGCGCATGCTCCCCTCCCAAGTGTGAGCCGGCCGTTGTGCATGTGGACAGCTCACCCCAAAAGAAGAACTGGGGAGAAGGAATGGAAGACCCCAGAAGCATGCCAACATATAACACCCCCAGTCAAAAGGTCAAACTGCACACTTGTCCTTCAAGTTACCTGCTTGGTCCTCTTCCAAGTTTACTTTCCGTCCTTTCATTCCTGCTCTAAAGTTTTTTAATACATTTTTCATACACTAGCTAGAAAGAAATTATTTAGGCAGTTTGTGAGAGTCAGAGAGTCCTTAGTAATGTTTTTCTTTTAATGAAAAGCAGCCCCCAAATCATTTCTTTTCTAACAAAGAGCAGCCTGTAAAATTGAACTGCAGACATAGAAACTAGAAGCTTGCATGGGTGAATGCCGGCAACTGTGCCAATAGGAAAAGGCTACCTGGGGCCCAGATATGTTCAACATTGAGGGTCCTTCTCCCTTTTTCTTTGTCATCCAGGTGTAGAATAAAGAACAGTCAACATGATGCCAGCCAAGTGGAGAACCCATCTGCATAATAGAAGATTAGGGTGGGGTGGCCAGCTTCTTCCTGTGCTATGCAAACAAACGGCACACTGGGTCCAACCAATCTCTCATGCCCTATGTAAATTAGATACTGTCTCCTCAACCTCATCTATAAAACCTCCTGCATTTCACCACAAAATCAGAAGACACACTCCGGAGTCCTTCTCTTTCTACGAAAGAGAGTTATTCTCTTTTCTCTTTCTTTTGCCTATTAAACCTCTGCTCTTAAGCTTACTTATTGTGTGTCTGCCCCTGGCATGAGACAACAAACCTCGGGTATTTACCCCAGATAATGATGCTGCTTCACTTTCACTCCTGCTATAAAACTTGCCTTGGTCTCTCCTTCTGCCTTATGCTTCTCAGTCAAATTCTTTCTTCTGAGGAGACAAGAACTGAGGTTGCTGTAGACTCAATGGATTTGCTGCTGGTAACAATAGAACACACCTGATTATACCCTCCTCCCTTTGGAATTCAGGCATAGCTGACCAGCATTAACGTTAAAAAAGAGACCTTAAGATTGACAAAGCAGACTCTTTGTAGCAATAAGAATATGACAGATAGCAGGCCCTGAAAGAAATCAAAGTAATTTACTCCAAAACTTATTTTCTTGACATATTTTGAAATGGCCATGCAAAGCTGCTCTTGTGGGAAAAATCTACATTCTGTAAAGAATCTCCTTCTCTTTCCAGGTCTTTTTCTTGATCCAGAAGAGAATTAACTAAGAATCTGGCATCTTTTTGAATCTGATAAGAAACATTTACAATCTATTCTCTCTGAAGCCTGCTAAGTAGAGGCTGCACTTGCATAAGAACAGTGGTCTCCGCAACCCCTTATCTTAACCTAGACACACTCCCTTCTATTGATTCCAGGTCTTTAAATAAATTCTTTCAATCAATTGCCAATCAGAACATCTTTGAATCCACCTATGACCTGGTAGCCCCCTCTTCAAGTTGTTTCTGTATCAAACCAATGCACATCTTACATGTATTGATTGGTGTCTTACGTTTCCCAAAAATGTATAAAACTAAGCTGTAGCCTGATTACCATGGGTACACGTTCTCAGAATTTCCCAGGGCTGTGTCATGGGCTGTGGTCACACATATTTGGCTCAGAATAAATCTCTTTAAATATTTTACACAGTTTGACTCTTTTCATTGACAACCTTATATTTCTTTTATAATGAAATAAATCTTTTATTGCCCTGGACATTAGTGACAATGTCTAAGATTATATTAAATTATGTCTATGCTGTGGCTCACATGTCAAACACTAAACATGATAGAATAATTCTCAATAATTTAAACACTTTGGACTCTCAAAATGATTAGAGAAATAGTTTAGTAAATGAGAAGCTCAAATAGAAATGCTAGCAAATCAACTTGGTAACAAGAAAAAGGCTTAATCTTCTTTACAAATGAAATATACCTTCTTAAACCCTATACTTGTTTTCAGTCTCTAAAGCTTAATTTCCTGCCATTTCCTACATTATTACCTGCCATTCTTATGCCAGGTAATAAGAGCCGAATGACTTTATTTTACCTGAAAATAATTTAATCTAAATAAACTAGCTGAAAGGGAAATACCTGGGGGAAGTATAAGCAATGTTCAAGTTTACAGAAGTGTAGAGTCGAAGTTTACTTAACTCAGATGTTTATATTTTTTCTACAAATGACCATGGATGATGTAGTAACAGATACAGACATGATCTCTTATAAAATTATATCTACTAAGACAGATGATAGCACTGAGCAGACAGGGTTTGGCATTACTGATAAACATAGGCTCAGATGACAAAATGATTTGACAAATTTATGGATTGGCCTAAACACAGACAAATGAGAGAAAATGAAAATGTGTAGGAAATAAAAACACACGCAAAAAATCTTAACAAATTCTTAACTCTGACATTATTGTAGAAACAAAGGGATGAAATGAACTATGAATAGTTGTGAAGTCCATTTCCTGGACAAAACAAGGTGTGAAATCCTTTCTTCTATCACAAAAGATGAATGAGACAGGAGACACTGCTGACAAGTTAAATAACACGAGAAAAGTGAACATGGAAATTTCACTCCTGAAATTGTATTACTTATGGCATTAATGGAAAGTGTTGCTGAGATCTTAGTTTAATCACTAGAAGAAAATCTAGGCAATATCATTCAGGACATAGGCATGGGCAAAGATTTTATGATGAAATCACCAAAAGCAATTGCAACAAAAGCTAAAATTGACAAATGGGATCTAATTAAACTAAAGAGCTTCTGCACAGCAAAAGAAACTATCGTCAGAATGAAAAGGCCACCTATAGAATGGGAGAAAATTTTTGCAATCTACCTATCTAACAAAGGTCTAATATCCAGAATTTACAAGGAATTTAAACAAATTTAGAAGACAAAAACAACCCCATCAAAAAGTGGGCAAAGGACATGAACAGACACTTCTCAAAAGAAGACATTTATGCAGCCAACAAACATGAAAAAAAGCTCAACATCACTGATCATTAGAGAAATGCAAATCAAAACCACAGTGAGATACCATCTCACACCAGTCAGAATGGTGATTATTAAAAAGTCAAGAAACAACAGATACTGGTGAGGCTGTGGAGAAATATGACACTTTTACACTGCTGGTGGGAATGTAAATTAGTTTAACAATTGTGGAAGAGAGTGTGGTGATTCCTCAAGGATCTAGAACCAGAAATACCATTTGATCCAGCAATCCCATTACTGGGTATATACTCAAAGGAATATATATCATTCTATTATAAAGATACACACACACATATGTTTATTGCAGCACTATTCGCAATAGCAAAGACATGGAACCAACCCAAATGTGTATCAGTGATAGATTGGATAAAGAAAATATTGTACATATACAACATGGAATACTATGCAGCCATAAAAGGGATGAGGTCATGTCATTTGCAGGGACATGGATACAGCTGGAAGACATCATCCTCAGCAAACTAACGCAGGGAAAGAAAACCAAACACTGCATGTTCTGACTCATAAGTGGGAGCTGAACAATGAGAATACATGGACACAGGGAGGGCGACAACACAGACTGGGGCCTGTTGGGGGTGGAGAAGGGGAGGGAGAGCATCAGGACAAATAGCTAATGCATGCAGGGCTTAATGTCTAGGTGACAGGTTGAAAGGTACAGCAAACCACCATGGCACACGTTTACCTATGTAACAAACCTGCATGTTCTGCACACGTATCCTGGAACTTAAAGTAAAATAAATAAAAAAAAAAGACCTTGGTTTAACACTGAAAAATAGGTGAACTTCAACCTTATAGAAGATGCTCAAAGAAATGTCCATTTACCTTGAGACATTTACAGATGTCATAGCTCCAGTATGTTCAAGATCAGTGAGTGTGTACTGTTGAAAATCTGTGGCCTGATGAAATTAAAGTTTTTCAAGTGTAATCTGATACATTTTAGGAACTGAGGTTAATTAGGTCTAAAATAGCACAATGTTATAAAGAAATTTTTGATGGGTCAAATGCTACACAGAAGACATGAAAGTACTCTGTTGCTAAATTTTCATTATTTTATATAGAAATGTTCCTTTTATGATATAGTTGAATATTTTTATCAAGATCATCTTCATGTATTCTTTCCCATAGTTTATATGAACACCACTATGCTTAGTAGGTATCCACTCAATTCCGGTGAATCATAGCAAACATGCTCTGAAATATACTGAAATAAGTAAAACGTGTTTAATTCAAAGGGGCTACACAAGCTCCAATAAATAGCCATCCACAAATTTCTAAAGTGCCCAAATGAGACAAGAGAATAGTCAACCATGATGTCAATGGGTTCTTCAAGGCTTATACATAGTACAACTTGAATCTACTTTTGTAAAGTATAAAATTATCTTTCTGTCACTGAAAATTCATGAATCATACGTAGAAATTTATGTGATGGCTCATGGTATAAGCTAGCCATTATCATGTCTCTGCCAAATTCACCAAAGACTATTGTTGTCTGCTAGTCCAAGAAGCAACGTAGGCACTTCTGAACAACTTCATTTCACTAAACACTTTATAAATGGGCTATTCCTAAAAACCTCTTAACTACTCTCCTGTTTAGAGAGCAGACACTCATTCTTTCCATTGACCTCTGACTCTTGTATGGCTTCTGCACTCCATGGGCTCTGGCATCCACTGGACTGTCCCGCATGCTAATTTTTGAAGTCTTACACTGTTGCTATCCAGCAAGCAGCCAACAATTATGCTATTTTTCTGTATTTAACTTGCATAAACAACTATACTAGAATTGTGACACTGAGTCTTGTAATTCTTTCTTTGTAAAAATAAGGATTTATTAATACTTCTCAAAGTGAATGAAGAAGTATAAAAATATACTGTCCTAGGCTGGGCGTGGTGGCTCATAACTGTAATTCCAGCATTTTGGGAGGCCAAGGTGGGTGAGGTCAAGAGTTTGAGACCAGACTGGCCAACGTGGTGAAACCCTGTTTCTACTAAAATAGAAAAATCAGCCGGGCGTGGTGGCGGACACCTTTAATCCTAGCTACTCGGGAGGCTGAGGAACAAGAATCGCTTGAACCCTGGAGGCGGAGGTTGCAGTGAGCCAAGATCACACCACTGCACTCCAGCCTGGGTGACAGAGCAAGACTTTGTCTCCAAAAAAAAAAAAAATAAATATATATATATATATATATATACATACACACATACTGTCCTAAAATTAAAGTATATGTTAGAAGCTCTTACTGATTGGCACAAAAAGCTCAAAAGAAAAAAAGATAAATATTTAATTTTATTTATTTATTTCTAAGATGAAGTCTCCGTCTGTTGCCCAGGCTGGAGGAGTGGCGCAATCTGGGCTCACTGCAATCTCTGCCTCCCAGGTTCAAGTGATTCTCCCGCTTCAGCCTTCCAAGTAGCTGGGATTTCAGGTGCTGCCACCATGCCCAGCTAATTTTTGTATTTTTAGTAGAGATGGGGTTTTACCATATTTGCCAGGCTGGTCTTGAACTCCTGACCTCAAGTGATCTGCCCACCTCGGCCTCCCAAAGTCCTGGGATTACAGATGTGGGCCACTGCGCCCAGCTGATAAATGTTTTAGTGTTAGAATGAAATATTTCTTCAACTGGCAGTTTGATATTTTACTTTAATCATATCGTTTTGAAAATATGCATTGAGATAATTACTAACTCTACTTATTTGACTAACAACTGCTGTTAGAGAAAATGTTCCATATTTGTCCATTAAGTTATAATTTGAAGTAATACGTGATTTTGAACATGGGGCTAAAGAAAAGACTTCCACATCTAGTTTTATACATGGAGAATCCATGGTAAAATGCCAAAGTTTAAAATTATTAACTAAATGTTAGTTTCTACCTTTCATGTCAGGACTTCAGAAAAGTCATATAAGTACTGTTTCAGTACTAGCTAGTCATTTGTCACTCTGAATATTTAGATTACTTAGATTTGGGGGCCATATGGGAGATTACGGTATAAATAAATGCGTAGATTTAGGTTATATAATCTACTAGTTTGTCAGTGAGTTCATGGAACTATTAATCTATGCATGTTAAACACATCCTAAAGAAACTGTAAAACTCTTCAAGCTGTAAATCCTATAAATGTCATGTTAAATACTTTACCAAAGAGGAGGCAGAAAACACAACAGTAAAAATATCACTCTAAGGTGTTTATTTAAATTTTTGTTAGATTAAAAAACTCAACTAACAGCAGTCTGTTTTTTAATTCTTAAAGGAAAAAAAAACATTTCAGTGCATTTAGGGGTTAAAAATCATAATTCTCACACTTGGCCAGCACAGAGATTACCCAAGATTCCTTACTTCTAGACTATGCCAAAGATATATATTTTGGAGAGAATGTGTATTCTCCAGGCCAACAGCTAAGGAAGGCTCTGTTATGCTTTACTCATTTCCAGCTGGCCTCTGTAAGAAATAGGAATTCCTAAATTAAGGGAAAATTGTCACTGGCAGAGCACAAATGTTTTTTCCTCAACCAATATAATAGACAATCTTATAGAACCTGATATAATCTGTAATGATAAGTGCCAATCTGTAACAAGGTTAACAGCATAGACTTGGGTAATTTGTCTTTGGGAATAATGGATTATTCCAAAGTGGTTTAACAAGAAATAGCATTCACAGTGGAGAGAGGACCTCATAAGGAAACCAAATGATGACTTCTACTGGAAATTATTAGCGCTGCATTCCTATTCATTTATGTATATGTTTGGCAGTTCTATCTTTCAACTTTTTAATAAAGTGAGTGTGAAACAAGCATACTAAAGAACAAAAGTTAGGTTTGTTTTTAAAGATTTGCTATTCATTTTGGTCTGTGTTTCAGTGTCTTTTTAAAGCAATTTGTCTGCCTTATTTAACACATGGATATTTGGAATTGAATCCATTCCTAGAGGTCAGGCATTTGAGGGTGTTTTTTTGTGTATGTGTGTGTATGTGTTTAATTAATTCATTATTTTTTTTGGATCTAACATTCAAACTCTTCTTGCCTCTTTAATGAAAATGTTTACATATATTTATAGCAAATCAAGGAAATGTGTGTGACAAAATCAAACAGATTGCTTATGAATGATTTAGAAAGAACTGAATATGTTGTGAAAGGACTGTCAAAATAATCAAAATGTGTTTTAAATCAAAGTGTACACTGATCACCACAACAATGGAAGAAAAAAATGATGTTTGCATTAAGAAGTAATTAATAGACACAAAGTCTTGGGCACACTTGCAATTCTGTGAGAACTCAGATCAGAAATCAGTTTGCTAAAGTGAAAAAAGTATATCAAGACATTTCTATTTTATTACTGTCATTCCAGTGAAACATCTTCCCACCAGAGAGAACTTTTTGGAATGACAATCATTAAATTTCCTTTTCAAATAAAATACTTTCCATGTCTAGTCCAACAATTGTATGTCAAAAGTGGATCAGATCCCTCTGTGGCCATGTGAGAGAGAACTGTGTGTTTTTTGTTCTGTTTTGTTTAAATAAGTAAAGTCTTGATTTAAAATAGCACAGATAGCATTTTATAGCTATATTTAACTTATTCCAACTTAGAATAAACACGTATTTGCCAATTCAGGAGAAAATTCTTAAATGAGCTTTGCTTCTATCCACCACTTCTTTTCTAAGGTAGATAATGGCTATCTAACCTGATGGTGGGTATTCCAGCCAAACGGATTCAAGACGACACAAAAGAAGTCTGCCTGTTTCCTTGAAACTCAACTTTTTTAAAAACTGTTTTTGGTCTCAAGTATTCTGTTATTAAAGTAAGGGTGAATTTACTTAAAAACATATTTTCAAATAGTTTGAGTTACGATATAGGAAAAGGTGAAGAGAGTTGTATGACTACGAAAATTATGTTGATTAACTTTCATGGAAAATATCAGTGAATAAATCTTTTGTTGTAAAATATATGAAATCTTAGTTGTTATCAAATTAGAGTCAGAAAAATCAACCCATAAATATATACACTTACTGTGTACCCCCCAAAAATTTTAAAATAATTTAAAATTTTAAAAAATACAATGCTTAAATATGTAATACTTTTTAAATTTTTTTTGCTTACACATATAGTACAATGTTCTGGTTGCTGAGATATTTTTGAGAAGGGTAAAGGAGTTAAGATTTTCTTACTGAAATGGCAATAATGTAAGACAATAATTGTGAAAAACTAATGTAATCAATATGTACCAAGGAGTTCTAAGGCTGTCATTTATTGATGAAGCCCTTTGAGAAACTAGGTACTCCAGCTGGTCTTTGAGGACTTGGATTGTTGGAAGAAACAAATTGTAGGCAAAGAGAACTGTATAAACAAAGACATAGAGACTGTAGAAGTAAAAACTGCTCAGGCGTGAGCTTAGTGGAAACACTTGAGTTAATGAAAATGATGAGAAAATTCTGGAGACGTAGGTTAGGTTACAATACAGAAAGCTTTGAGCCACAGTATCTGGTAGTTGACGCAATCAATGGTGGATCTCTGGAAGTACTTAAGAGTATAGGAAAGAATGATGCAACCATCTCGTGAATAGACGGAGCTGTGGGAGGAGGAGTATGCAGGTAAGGAAACTGTTACTCTAATTCTGGTGAAATATAGGAAGGGATTGTGGTATTATATTGGGAATTAAGAGCAACTGAGGCAAAACCCTACTTGTGTATAGAGGAAGAAGTGCCAAGGATAGCTTCTAGCCTGGGTAGGTAGGGAGAGGATTTTGAAATGTTTTGGAAAAAAAAAAAAAAAAGAAACTGGAAGTGGGCTGTAGTCTTGAGAAAATAAGATCAGGAATTTTGGGTTAAATATGTATATTTTAAAGATGAGGGCCGGGCTTGGTGGCTAATGACTCATCTCAGCACTTTGGGAAGCCAAGGCAGCCAGATGGCTTGAGCCCAGGAGTTTGAGACCAGCCTGAGAAACATGGCAAAACCCCATCTCTACTAAAAGTACAAAAATCAGCTGGGTGTGGTGGTGCATGCCTGTAGTCCCAGCTACACAGGAGGCTGAGAAGGAAGGATTGTTTGAGCCCAGGAGGCAGAGGCATGCAGTGAGCTGAGATTGCACCACTGCACTCCAGCCTGGGCAACAGAGCAAGACCCTGTATCAAAAAAATAAATACAAATACAAAAAAAATAAATAAAAATGAGGAGTTATTGGAATGCCAAAAGCACTTTCCTAGGGCAGCTGAAGTTTGAGTTGAGACTAAAGATAGGGTACTCTCAACTCCCTCTGATTCAGTCCCCATCACATGGAATATTTTTAAAAATACTTTTTTTTTTCTGTTTCTCATGATTTCTCTCTTGCTCCTCTGAATAACCCTTTCTCAGTTCCATCTGCCGCAGCTGCTGCTTCTCTCACACACCTTTACAGAGGGAGTTTCTCAGAATTGCATTTTTTTCTTCTCATGCTACACTCTCTCCCCAGGTACACATATACTTTGAAATTTTAAACACCGTTTAGGTGCTGATAACTCAGAAATTTCTATTTCCATCCCATACCTCTCCCCTAGTCTGCCTACTACTCACCAGTATTTAACTATCTGATGAGCACATTGAAACATAGTCCAAAATAGAATTCACAATCTTCCCTTTCAAACTTAATCTTTCTCCAGGGGTTTCTGTCTCATATCACAAACCACCAGCCATACAAGTTGCTCAGGCCAGAAAACTAACCTGGGAGTTCTCCTTAACACCTCCTGCTTTCTTACCTCCCACTACAGATAATCAACCCAAGTTCTTTTCATTTTAATCTCATAAAAAATTCTCAAACTCAACCATTTCTCCCTAGCCCCACTGATACTACAATTCGAATATAGCCAGCACTTACATAGTTACTGTGTATGTGACACTATTCTCAGAATTTTCCATGAATTATTTCATTTGGATTCATTAACTTAGAAGATACAGAATTCAAACCAGATATACTGAGCTATCTTACCTCTTCTAGTCCCAAGTCCTCAATTCTCTCCTAAAACTCTATAGTATTTTCACATCTCCCTGTATCCATAATATCAATCATTCTCAATAGTATAGCCTGAAAAATTGTAAGGATTAAAAAAGTAAGAATTTTTTAAAAATTCCAGATAGAAACTGTTAACGAGTTTTATAAAATTAAAAGTAATTCTATAGATATGGTAAAATTATAAGTAAAAAAATTCATTTCCCTCAATGTAATTCAAATAAAATGTTCTTTGTACATCTGTGTAGAAACATTTTAATATGTATATGATTAACAAACCTATGATAACCTTTGTTGACACTACATAACTCTCCTGCATGACATTTACTTACTTAATAGTAGGTCTTGGAGAAATTTTCTTATCAGCATGTATTTATCTATAAATTTTTTTAAAAGCTACAATATTCTACTGTTTAAAATAGCATCATGAGTTCTATAACTAGTTAATGGACACACAGATTGTTTGCAAATTTTTCTTGACTTAAAGCTACAGCAATGAGCAACTTCATAAATATGGTTAGCAAATTATGCAAAAGTGCTCATAAGGAAAATCTTTTGTTAAACATTTTTTAAAATGTTCATAAGGAAAATTTTTGCTGAGTCAAAGAATGTATGCATTTCAAAATGAGTTGTAATTTTTTTCCACCTATCAAGTTGGTGTAAAAAAGTGATAACATCCAATATTAGAAGTGCTGTGCAGAAAGAGATACGTGAACGCAATTGGACTCAGTTACGTAGCGTCTGCACCCTTTAAATGGAGCTTTCTGGTTGCCCCCTGATATCCCTCACTCCACTTCTCCCATATTACTTCTGTGTGTGCATGTTTACTTGTAAACATATTTGTTAGATTTATTTATTACGCTCTATATACTTATGCATATTTTGTCCTATAGCACAGACCTATAGATATATATTTTTCTTTTTTTTTTTTTTTTTTGAGACGGAGTCTCGCTCTGTCGCCCAGGCCGGACTGCGGACTGCAGTGGCGCAATCTCGGCTCACTGCAAGCTCCGCTTCCCGGGTTCACGCCATTCTCCTGCCTCAGCCTCCCGAGTAGCTGGGACTACAGGCGCCCGCCACCGCGCCCGGCTAATTTTTTGTATTTTTAGTAGAGACGGGGTTTCACCTTGTTAGCCAGGATGGTCTCGATCTCCTGACCTCATGATCCACCCGCCTCGGCCTCCCAAAGTGCTGGGATTACAGGCGTGAGCCACCGCGCCCGGCCAGATATGTATTTTTCTAATCCATTCTGCTATTTGTGTTTCATTGACTCTTCATTTTAAGGACTTCAAAATACATTTCCTTGGACTACACACATCATTGACACTGGATTATTACTTTTACTTGCATGGTGAGAGCATTTTGATATTCCAAGAAACCTGTTGTTACTTTGGTACATTTTACAAATGTGGAGTTTGAGGCTAGGGGGACTAAGGAACTGTTCCTCTGCAAACAAGATCAACACCAATCTGAAACCCTGGTTGTGTAGATGCTGGAGTGCCATCCAGTCATCCTGAAGCAAAATCTCAAGGCCAGAACCCCCAGCTCAGGGCCCATGGCTCTGTTTGTTAAAAACATTTTGTTAATTTTTTTTTTTTTTTTTTAGATAGAGTCTTGCTCTATTCCCAGGCTAGAGTGCAGTGGCACGATCTCGGCTCAATGCAGCTTCCATCTCCTGGGTTCAAGCAATTATCATGCCTCAGCCACCCAAGTAGGTGGGATTACATGTATGTACCACCATCACTGGCTAATTTTTGTATTTTTAGGAGAGTCAGCGTTTTGCCATGTTGGCCAGGCTGGTCTTGAACTCCTGGCCTCAATTGATCTTCCTGTCTTGGCCACCCAAAGTGTTGTGATTACAGGTGTGAACCACTGTGCCCAGCCTGTTTGTTACATTTTAAATCCAAAGACCTCATGTGATATCTTTCTAATTGGCTGATCATTTGTATACTTTTCTTGTGTCTTAAACTTGTATTTCTCTAGTTATCCTGGTTATCTGGTTATGTCTATCTCTGGATAGTCTCTAGTAGTTGATGAACACATATTTCACCATATCTAAGTAAAATACACTCAATGTTAAGACTACTGCTTATAATTTTATAAAATTCATATCAAATTCTCATATTTGTTCATGTGAACATACCTGCTCACCCCCTGCAACATAGAATCCTTTTGAGGTTCAACATCACAAAAATGAGATTTAGCATGTATGCTCCATCCTTCTATAAGGAATATCAAAAGTAACTCCATCACATTTACTTTCTGAATTAATCTGAGATATGGTTTAGGAGATGAAATTATAGATTCCCTATTACGCTGCATAAGAATAGTGATCAAAAGTATTATTTTAATAGTCTAGTAATTGTGCTAGAAGCTATGAAGAAGGAAATATTATTAAACCCTCTGGATTTTATTTTTACAATATTTCTCTTGCATTTTCCAAAATAAATGGCATTAAACACATGTTCTTATATTTGCATTTATACTTATGTATGTGTTGCACATACACACACGTAGGGGAGAGAGAAAGAGAGAGAGATACTATCTCAGTCTCTCTGAAGTATACATTTTTTTAGGGTAGCATATATAACAGCATATGTGCCTCATTGTCCTTAAGTTAATGTATTTCTGCTCTGATCGATCATATCAGCCAATGTACTTGACTGTTTTCAGCAATCCAAACATTTTAGAAATTCATTTTTAAATTTTGTATATCTAGTGGCAATAAATAAGACTCTCAGGAGATTTTCAAAATAAAAATAACAGCAATGCAAAAAAAAATCCATTCTCTTTAGTGCAAAGAGACAGAGACAAAACAATTTGATAGTCATTGTTTAGGAAATTTTGCATGGTTTCTCCAGATATAATGGTGAGTAGCAAGTTTTGTAAGTACTCAGTGGATATATCTAAACAACAAAATGGAAAGTCTTTCTTGAGGAAAGGGATCCTACTTATTACTGACTAATCTATTTGTTGTGAACAGTTTTCAAAGAAAATAAAATGTAAAATGTTTCTTTTTTAGGATATCTTGGGATAGGTTTTTTCAATGTCCAAACGCTTTAAAATTAAGCTCACAATCTTTGATTTCTTTAGATGATGGACTGATCTGACAATGAGAGCTTTCGGTGTGATAGTTTTCTATTTTAGGGGATAGCTGTTCACATTTTCCTGTCTTACATGATTATTTGTAATTACAAAAATTGTAAGCAATTACCTTCTCCAAACATCAGTATATTTGCAGACATAATTAGAAACCAATTTTGAATAAAATGCTAACCTATTTCAGGAATAATTCCCTATGTTATAGATAATTTCAGTTTAGTTTCAATCTACACATTTTCTCTAGCTAGAAAAAAAAATTTACATAACTATTCTTTGAAAGTTGAATAATCTAATGTGAAGTCACCCAAAGTGTATTATGTTAAATAACAAATTAGCTATGTCCTCTGCAAAAGCGATCTTTGGTATAAAGCAGAAAGAAAGGAGAAATACTTTAGTTTCCTCTTTGCGATTTACCAAATACAGTAGAATATTAAAAGACCTGAAAAGTCCTACAGCAAAGATATTTGATTTTCTTTATTTAACACCAGCATTTTTCATACATAGAGACCACATCCCCAAGGAATGAGCTCTCCATGGAACAAAATTTTGGAAATGCTAGCCTAAAGAATTTTTGTTTTTTTTTTTGAGACAGAGTCTCACTCTGTCACCCAGGCTGGAGTGCAGTGGTGTGATCTCCACTCACTGCAACCTCTGCCTCCTGGGTTCAAGCAATTTTCTGCCTCAGCCTACCCAGGAGCTGGGATTACAGGCACCCGCTGCCACGCCCGGCTAATTTTTTTTGTATTTTTGGTAGAGATGGAGTTTCATCAAGTTGGCTAGGCTGGTCTTGAACTCCTGACCTTGTGATCCACCCACCTCGGCCTCCCAAAGTGCTGGGATTACAGGCGTGAGCCACCGTGCCCAGTCAAGAATTGTCAGATTAATATGTATTTGATCTTATAAAAATAATGACATTCAGGCCTCTGGCATATACCAATTTTACTAATGTGTCTACTTGACAAGATATTATTTTCCTAATTGTGTTTATTTTATTCTCTAGTTTCAGTGGATACTTAACATTTTCTATTTTTACATTCTACTAGAGTATTTAATTAGGTTATTTGCTTTTGCTGCTAATTATTCCCTTAAATTTAAATAAGTATCCTTTCAACAAGGGATTGAGTTTCCCTCTAATAGCCTGCTTCATTTAGTTATGTTAAAACTAGGAAGCTATACAAATTCTCACTAGGACTCTGGACTCCCTGCAAGTTGATTTTAATTGGGGTAGTGTATTTGCCATCATTGGTCAGTATAGGCATGTTGGAATCCATAGTCCTAAGGTCTAGCCTAGCCCTGGGGCAGCAAGAAATCCCCCTTTAAAATTTTTGGTTCTGGTAATTTTTGTACCTTTTGGCAATGTAAAGAAAAAAACAACAAAAGCAAAAAACATTAGACATCAGGGGTGCATGATCAAAACAGTGTTATCTAGTCAGTTACTTCAGTATATTCTTGATTGTATCAAGGTTTCAAATTTCTTTCAAAGACTCACTGAGTTTTCCTTCAGTGGAAAGAAATGTCCTCTATGATTATTAAAAAAATGCTACCAACTGTGATAAGTCTGACATACTACTGTCAATGTTAGTTTTAAGAAGTGACAAGCTTCTGTATAGAAAAATAGAAGGCAGTGTAAAGGTGTTCCTATTTCTCCACAGCCTTGCCAGCATCTGTTGTTTTCTTGAACATTTTAATATCACCATCCTGACTGGTGTGAGATGGTATCACACTGGGGTTTTGATTTGCATTTCTCTAATGATCAGTGATGTTAAGCTTTTTTTCATGTTTGTTGGCTGCATAAATGTCTTCTTTCGTGAAAGATACATGCACTCATATGCTCATTTCAGCACTATTCACAATAGCAAAGACATGGAATCAACCCAAATGCCCATCAATGATAGACTGGATCAAGAAAATGTGGTACATATACACCATGGAATACTATGCAGCCATAAAAAGGAATGAGATCATGTCTTTTACAGGGACATGGATGGACCTGGAAGCCATCATCCTCAGCAAACTGACACAGGAACAGAAAAGCAAACACTGAATGTTCTCACTTATAAGCAGGAGATGAACAATGAGAACACATGGACCAGGGAGAGGAACAACACACACTAGGGCTTGTTGGTGAGGCAGGGGGAGGAAGAGCATCAGGATAAATAGCTAATACATGCAGGGCTTAATACCTAGGTGATGGGCTGATAGTGCGGCAAACCAGTATGGCACACATTTATCTATGTAACAAACCTGCAGGTCCTGCACATGTATCCCGGAACTTAAAATTAAATTAAAAAAAAAAAAGAAAATAGAGGACAGATGGTCAGGCCAAAGATCCTATGAGCCTACAGCCTATTAATTTACTGAGAGCTTCAAATTTACACACCTTAAGAATCCAATATAACAAAAAGTAAGAGAAAATGTTTTCTTTAGGGATATGTGAAATGGCGCAAATCAAGTCACTTGTATTGACTGCTGGCCAATCTGAATATAGGTAAGGCTCAAAATGACAAGGTAATAAATCTTGTATTGTCTTTCTAGACTTGTTTTAAGTATGTACGTAAGGAATGTTTTTGTTAAATTGTTGTTTCTTTGATCTTGCACTTGTTATGAGTTGTTCTAATTTAATAATTATGCAACAGGAGAACACTTTAAGGTTATAATGCTTGATTATGCAAAGCACACTTAAAGAGCTGGCATAACTAATTAATTTGTACTTTTTTTGAACTTTTTTAAACAATTAGAGTGCTAACAACTTAGGAATACTTATTTGCTTATAGTTATTACAGATTCCTATGACAATATAATATATGAAGTGGATTTCAGTAACATCAATAATATTTATGGTAAGAAATTATTTTTACTAGAAATAATCCAGATATATACAGGTCTTTAATTATAAAAATAAATTACTAAGTAGTCAATATATTTTTTTTCAGCCAAAGCATTGTTCCCATAGAAAATGAGAAAACAATTTATTGTAGAACACCATTTTGAGATTTGTAACTAAGGAAACTAGAAAATTTTCACTATGAGCATGAGCTCAGAATACGTAGAATTCCCATTAACATAAATCTAATTTTTATTGCTAGAAAGCAGGTATCTAGATAAGTATATTTTGCTTATTCATTAGGAAAAAATTAGTTTTTAGATTCTTCATTTGTCTAATTCCTCTCCTATTCAATACAACATGCTGAATATAATTGTGATTTCCTTTTGGAGGATAAGTTAAAAATTACTCATTATACTGCAGGCTTTGTATCTATCACTTCTAAACAAATATATACCCAACTGGCTGGGCTGTATAACTAAATCATCCAAAATGATTTACTGTGCTTCCAGCATTATTTTAGATTATGTCATTTCAAAAAGGCTCATAAATCCCCTGTCCAAATATCTGTTAATATGTCATAACTTTATATGTGTCCAAAACTAATCATTTCCTAGAATTTTAAAGGAGTAAGTTTGAATTGTAGAATATAAATATAAGAATAAACCAGGAACAATTATGTGCAATTTTAAGGTGCCTTGTTTCTCAACAGAATTCTGTTGAATAAGTTTAAATCACTTGTTAATACTGCATGAAAGGGTTAACTCTATAAAACTTCATAAATAATCAGATCCTGTAAAACAGGTAGATAAAATAGTACTCTTTTTTTTTTTTTTTTTTTTTTTTGCTTCTCTGCTGGTCTCCAGTAATGAAAATCAGGAGTTGCAGAAGTTTAAATAAAGGAAGGAAGGTCAAATTCAGACCAAAAAAAAAAATGTCATTTCATTAAACATTAGAGACAATGTTATTTTTCAAGTCAGTGTTCCATACTAAGAAGAGCTTAAATGAGTGAATGAAGATTTAAGTTGGCAGGAAATGTGTGTAATGTTCTTTTCTCCCAAGAAAGATCCGAAGAACATGTCTATAGCAGAGAGAGATATAGTCAGAACGTGGCATATAATTGTGTAAGTTAATGCAAGCCAGGGCAAAGCAGCCACATTGTATGTGTCCTATTTTTGCCATCATTGTAATCCTGATGAAATAAACGTGAACATTTTTCAACAAAGGCTGCATTACTTTTTCTTAGAAATCAAAGGCAACAATTTTATGACGTAAGTTTCACTCTTTGCATATACCTTAATCTGTTTTTCCCCCTCAGAAGCCCAGAGCAATTTTTCCACTATTTACACAAAACCACCCAAAATATATATGATATAAATCATGTAGGCTGATACAAATGCAGTGAACATAGTTTGAGGCATAAGCCATCTTTTCAGTCATCCTCCATTTAGTCAATACTACCTTTGCCCAATAGCAGTCAATGATTCTTAGGCAGTGGGAGAATCTAAGGATGTATTTTCTTTTGATTCTCCCAGGGACTCATCTATATTATTAAGGGAGGAGCAGGTTTTCAGTGCTAGCTTTATAAAAAAATTGTACATTTAATATTCCTGATTAAAGTAAATCCAAGGCTGAAGTCCACTTTAGTATTGACACTTTAAAAATAGGGCAGACTTTGCGTGAAACTGACAGATTAACTGACCTCAGAGGAGCACAGAAATCCACCTACAATCACATACATCTTGTTGCTATTCCTGTTTCAAGGACACAGCTGATAAGAATAAGAGATTTGTGTGTTTTCTCTGTCCCTGAATACTTTAATCACTGAAACTTAATCATGGCATTCATTATTCCTTTTCTCTGTAATTATTTTGGGATGGTCTTCATTTTAACATGAAAGTAATGTCATAGAAGTATAAAATGAAGGGTGAAACCAATAAAATTCACGTGGAGCCACTGGTTTTAATTTGTGCACACTGTTTGAGTCTGTGATGCTGAGATCGTTATAATGAAAAAGGAAAGAAATGGCTTTAAGGAAAAAAGCACTTATATTCATATAAAGTCCGAAAGTAGACAAACAGAAGCACTATTTACTGGATCTTCTAAGTTACCAAACAAAGAAACAAACAGGCCAACAAGCAAAGGTTAAAAGGCCAGGAATAAAGATGAATACAATCTTCTTTGGGTATATGAGGGCATTGGTTTTAGGACAGCCCAAGTATAATCAAAGTCCATGCAAACTTGAGTGGGTCCTGCAGAACCCACATATGCAAAAAGTCAGCCCTCCTTAAAGTGGGTCTCACAACCAGGAAATATTGTATTCTTGATCCGCCTTTGGTTGAAAAAATCCATATGTATGTATATCCGTGTAGTTCAAATCTGTTTTGTTAAGGGGTCAACTGTATTTGTTGAAGCTATTCTTTTCTTTCCTCACTCACAAAGGCTATGTTCTAGTTGGGTAGCCATACAGTAACACCACAAAACCAATTAAAAGTAATTCAATCCAATTATATTTAAGAATTACATACATATATTCATAAAACTGAAAAAAATTTTTTTTAGTTTAGCATAAAAAACCACAATCAGTGTTCCCTATGATCTCCCTAGTGAACTTTGGTTTTAACTAAGATTTAACCCAGAGGCCACACAGTAGGCACGTTTCATTAACCAAAAGTAATAGTATTTGTCAAGCAAATAGGATTTGCTAGCCGTATTTCCACATGCAGCATTGTATGAGCTTATAATTCTGTGTCACATATTATAATAAAACTTGAATCTTTTGGGTTTTTTTGCAATTACATCTTCTGTATTTTATAGTTAGTTGGAGGTTAACAACAACTAACATTTAAGTTTTTCATTTTTTTTTTTTTTTTGAGTTTCACTCTTGTTACCCAGGCTGGAGCGCAATGGCGTTATCTTGGCTCACTGGAACCTCCACCTCCCGGGTTCAAGCAATTCTCCTGCCTCAGTCTCCCTAGTAGCTGGGATTACAGGCATACACTACCATGCCCAGCTAATTTTGTATTTTCAGTAGAGACGGGGTTTCTCCATGTTGGCCAGGCTGGTCTCAAACTGCTGACCTCAAGTGATCCACCTGCCTTGGCCTCCCAAAATGCTGGGATTACAGGCGTGAGCCACTGCGGCTGGCCTACATTTAAATTTTTCTATTTATCACCAAAGTTGGAAAAATATAGCTCAGTTTTTTACGTGGTTTGTAAATATTTTCAGAGCAGAATGGTTTCATTCTAAGAAAATATCTAGAATTTCACTAGCCAAAAGAAACAAATGAGTTCCTACAATGGAAAGGGAGCAACAGGTGATTTTCCCTGCCCTCTTGCTGCTAGTACTTTTTCTTCTTCCTTATTCTATCCTATATCTTCAATGATGAATGAAAAGTTGCTATACATATACACTAAAGAACTTATCCATGTAACCAAAACCTCCTGCTCCCCACAAACTATTGAAATAAAATTAAAAAAGGAAAAGTTGTTATACATATAGCTTGAAAACACTGTTCCATTTTCATTATTTGACTCATATGGAAACAAAGACACAAAGGCATTAATTCAGTGGCTTAACCACTTTACCCATCTATGCAAAGAGGGAGTGAGAATTGTCCTCCGTATCTCTTGACTTCCAAGCCACTGTCTTTCCCTATTATCCTGCTCTATTTGTCTCCCTTAGAATTAAGGAAACAAATCTTGAACATAAAATAAATTAGTTGTAGTTAATTTAGAATTCTGTGCTGCCTCAAAGTTTTTTATTCTGAAGTGTGAAGTTTCCTTATGTGATTCACCAGTCAAAATTCCCATGGATTGAGCTGAATATTTCTCACTGCTGTAGTTAGGGATCGATTTATGTTGTTTACAAAAGCATCCTTTTAGAGTTCAAATGTGAATTTTGAATGTTGTAAGTAGTAGAAAGAGAGTCTAGTTTACTGATAACTCAGATGCAATATTAATATGCAAACTTTTCTTAGAGACAAAAGGCATACATAATCATGAGAAAATAGCTTATATTTCAAATGCCATGGATTGCTTTGGGGCAACACTGTGAAAGTGGGATAATCACAGTATTTTCTATATTGAAAATATTTCTCCCAGAAAGCCCTTTAGGGTTATTTATGAAAAACTATTATACTCCTCTCCATACCCCAGCAGCCATCACTTTCTTTTCTCTTTTATACAATAAAAGGGGAAGGAGAGAGGATTTATTATGTCTCATCTAAAGCATTATGACCATCTAAGCATGGAACTAAGCCCTATAATTTTATGATTTCATGATAGTCAGTATATAATATCACAGCTGAAAGTGGGATAATTGATTCATATTTACATTTCTGAAAAATATGTGAGATCTATTTTCACCCCAAAATGATCAGAATTTTATCTTAAAACATGGGTTTTATTAGTATTTCATAGAATGAACAGGTCAGACATTTTCTACAGCCCTATATGAGGCTCTACTTTACTCATATAAACTTTAAATAGGCATTACTGTTATCGTGAATTAAACTTACTGTTCATTTTCCATATAAATTGTGTTCACTTGATTTGACCAAAGGATGTCAACATTTTGTTCCTTTCCATTTCTACCATACACAACTCCCAAAATTGGTGGGAAAATGACTGTCTTTTATCTAGTAAGAGCTGAGTTCCCTTTATTTGGTTCTTCTGCTACCTTACTTAATTATATTTTGAATTGACTTGTCTGACAGTATTCTATTTGTTTAGATAGTTTTATGCAACAATATTCTGAGAACTATATGAATAATTAACAAAAAAGCAATAATGACAGCTATTATTTTTTGATAGCTTCCTTTGTGTCAAGTATGGTGCTAAGTGCTTTGTACATTTTATCTTCATTTTTAACACAGTTTTATAGAGATCATGATCATGGACAGCCAGCCAGAATCTGCCCCATATCCCATGATGTTTAATTCTACTCTCCTTCCCTCCTAAACTCCATGCTATGTGGTTATAGTACCCAGGGCAATGCTGACATTATTGAAACCTATTACTGAGAATATACAGAATGGTTCTCACCTTAGACCAGTCACCCATTCGCCACACATAGCATTTTGAATAATCCTCACAGTCTTCAGCCTCCCTGGGTCTGGTAGAGAGGACACACTTCTTTCTTGGGTTGGTACATCTAACGGTCCGATGACGTATGCCTTTGCCACACTTGACTGAACACTGGAAGATAACATCAGAGGTTTTAGATAAAGTTGGTGAATTGGAGATATAGATGATAGGCTCAATTAAGTACTGGTTTCCAATAATCTGTTATGAGCCCATCACCCATAAAAGCCAGATAAAATTATAAATAATAAGTTTAAAGGTAACAACAGGCTAAGCACCAGTATCTGATGCCAGAAGGAGCTTAAGGCACAATGCTGGAGATAAGTGGTTTCAGAAATACTGAGCCATTATTACAGAGAGTAATATAACAGGGATTATTTAAGAAAGATAAATAATGCACTATGATCAAAATTAAAATTACTAAAATTTGATATCACATTTTAAACATAATTATGTAAAAAAATTCATTTTACTTTTTCTAAGATGTACTCTTTTATTTAGATGGAAGACATGTTTGTGAAAAATAACAATTTCCCCAGCATGTCACTTCTCAAAAAACATGTTTCAAAGATGAAATAGAGAAAATCTTAGCAAAAATAAAATTCAGATTTTTTTTTCTTTGAGATGGAGTCTCATTCTGTCGCCCCGGTTGGAGTGCAGTAGCGTGATCTTGGCTCACTGTAACCTCCATTTCCTGGGCTCCAGTGATCCTCTCACTTCAGCTGCCCAAGTAGTTGGGATTATAAGCATATACCACCATGCCCAGCTAATTTCTGTATTTTCAGTAGAGATAGGATTTGCCATGTTGGCTGGGCTGGTCTTGAACTCCTGGCCTCAAGTGGTCCACCCACCTTGGCCTCCCAAAGTGTTGGGATTATAGGTGTGAGCCACCGGGCCTAGCCAAAATTTAGAATTTCTGTATATAATTATATATTCCTAGAAATTATAATTCTAAATAATTTTTGGAATTAAAATACAATTTGGTTCAAAATTCTTTAGTTTAATAAATAGGAGATGTATAACGGATGAGGGTGATATAAAAGCACATATGTATATTCCACTAATTTTCTCTAGGTGCAATCTCTTCTCTCATTTACATTTATCCTCCACATCATGGAATATGTATGAAGTATTCCTGTTGTCTAAAGGCAAGCACCACTGACTACCTGGACATTGGGACCAAAATTGTTCTGGATATGTGTGTGGGGCATACCAGATATCCTGAAAGCTTAAGCATGGAACTAATGACATTTTAAATAGGTATCCTAAATCTTGCACAAATAAGTAATTGTCTCATAACTTAAAGTTTGTATTTGAATATGTTCAGTTTTAAAGTGGACTATGTGATTTGGCCCTTTAATACATATATATATGTATTTGTATATATATATATATATATATATATATATATTTTTTTTTTTTTGGCAAGTCAAACTATGCCTGATTCATAAAATTGAGTTTTAACTTAAAGTAAAACAATAGACGTTTTTTCAATTGGCATATTGCATTATGACATATTATTTCTCTCAGCTGGTGCCAAAAATCTGTATAGTAGAATATTTCTGACCAATTTTCTCCCGAAGAGTTTGCAAAAATGTTTTGATTGGGTTGCGGTGGGGTATTTTGTTTCTCTGATGCTCATGTGATTCTTCTCTCCAGACTGAACTGATTCATTTCAATGTAAAATATGATATGGTATTCATTTGCAAAAGTATACATTATAAATGAAAAAGAATCCATTAAACAGTATAACCTAGAATAGTAAGAAAAGAGAAAGCCAGGATTTTTGTGAATATGCTTTTTGGAGGGGGTTGGGTTAATTGACAGACATTTAGAAACTGTATTATCTAAGCTATGTTATCCTCATTTTCAAAAAAGTAGCTACTTCAATACAGCATTTTTTAATTATCATTTTTGCATCCTGTATAATATTTTGAAATTACATAGATGGATGATTTTCCTTTTTATGTGTGTAGGTGTGTTGGTACATGTGTGAACATGAGTATATAAGTATGTTTATATGAGTAAATGCAGCCAGACCTTCACCTAAAGTGCTTCAGAGCAACCACTAAGTGTAAGTCATGAGTGCCATTTATTATTACGCAAAGATATATATCATGATAACAGAAAATAAATCACTATGGTTTGGCATGGAACACAACTGTATGTTATACACTACAAGCCTGTAGGGGTTGGGAGGGTGCAATGAGTTAAACAACCTTGGGTTCAAATCCCAGCTCTACCACTTAGGTAGGACTTAGGGTAAACTATTTACTTTCTCTGAGCTATATTACTCTTACTTATAAAATGATGAAACTTAAGTTTCCTGCACAGGTGATTAAATATAAACAATATACTAAACATTAAGTAAAAACACATTCCTTGTTCACATATAATAATTAAACATTAATTTTCTTCTTTCCATTTTAAATGTTCAGGGATATGCAGTGAGTTAAGTGTGTATTTTAATGTGTGCCAACTCAAGAGTATAGTCATAGTATATAAGTAAAAATGCAGAATTTAAAATGTGTATAAAATATGCCCTTGATTATGTTGCAATATTTATAGAATAGAAAGTAAATATCTTTGTATTTTTCTATTTCAAAATTATTTGAATGTATTCCTTTAATCATCAACAAAATTAATAAATAGTATAGAAAAATATCAACTTCAATGCAGATTCTGAACATGATCCAACCTGATCTTGTACAAGCTAGGAGTCAGAGTAGGAATGGGGAAAGAAAGGGGGCATGTATGCACCTCAGACCACACTCCCGCCTCCCACACGGTCATGCAGTCCTGGCCCTCACAGCGCTGGGCAGAGGCGGGCTTGGGCCCAATGCAGTCCCTCTCTCGGGCTCTAATCAGTGTTCCATTGCTCAGTTGTTGGGTACAGGCCACTTGTCTGCTCTGCATTCCTTTTCCACAAGTTCGTGAACAAGGGGTCCATTCTGTCATCATCCACCTGAAAGTAAAGCAAGAGTCACTGGAAACAAGTTAAAAGATACCTATCTACTTGTATTAGTCTGTTCTCACACTGCTAATAAAGACATACCCAAGACTGGGCAATTTACAAAGGAAAGAGGTCCAATTGACACAGTTCCATGTGGCTGGGGAGGCCTCACTCACAATCATGGTGGAAGACAGGGAGGAGCAAGACACATCTCGTATGGCAGGAGGCAAGAGAGGGTGTGTGCAGGGGAATGCCCCTTTATAAAAGCCATCAGATCTCATGAGAGTTATTCACTATCATGAGAACAGCACGGGAAAGACCCACCCCCATGATTCAATTACCTCCTACCGGTCCCTCTCATGACATGGGAATCATGGAAGCTACAATTCAAGATGAGATTTGGGTGGAGACACAGTCAAAGCGTATCACTACCATATATTTTGACACGTCTAGAGTTAGCAGAATGTTACATGGAGACTTTATACCTTTTTTTTTTTAACCAAACACAATAGTTTTCTGCAAGATGCCCAGGCTTCCTCTTGCTTTGAGTGCTCCATATTTCTTCTCTTGGAACTTGTTCTTATTAGACTCTCAGTGTCCATCAGACTTTTTCCATGTCATATTATAAACTGCCTTTCACTGCTTACCATATCACTATACTGTGGGACTTTGTAAGTATAAAATTGCTAATATCCAGGAGTTATTCTTATTCTTTGTAATTTACATCTTTACAATAGCCCTATGTATTGGGTATCACAAATATCGTGGCCAGATTTACAGAAAGGGAAGCTCAGGCACACAGAGGCTTAATACCTTACCAAAGGTCACAAAATTGTGGCACCAACAATTCAAATGAGGCTGTAGACTACTTAACAGTGAGAGATATGGGGGTATTAGCAAAGTAACAGAAGACTGTGATTGACCTCTTACCTGGATAAAGCAATCACCAAGGTATTACACTTATCAGCAGCAACTAGATTTCTGTGACCAGGCTATATCCTCCCACATGGAGCTACACATGCTTCTTTAGGCTAGCCAATGTCTAGCTTTGATATGAGCATAGACACTGGAGTGACAGACTCAGGGCTAAACTTAACATGACTCCATTTTACAGGCTCTCAGGACTCCAATATTATTCTTTGATCTCACTGATTCAGCAGCTAATACATACGTATTTTAATATCTAGATGGAGAGCTACCTTAAGGACCACTAAACACCTGCCCAAATTCACTTTAGGAAAGAACTAAAACCTATGACAGAAAAGTGATTCTTAAAATTTGGTATTTGTGTGATTCCTGTCAATTAAAATCTTCCCTGTATTTCTCATTACTTGGGCAATCTTCTAGGGAGACCCAAATTAACTATTTCAGCACAATATAGAGCAGTCAGAATCCCCGAGGTTATTTGTAGGTACCTTATTAGCTGTGCACATTCCTGAAATAATACTTATTAGCTGTAAGTTTCTATTTTTTAATTTGTAAAAGGGTTTATTATTATTTCCTGATATACAATAGGTTCAGGATATATTATATATAGTAGCATTTTTAAAATGATTCATACTTATTCATATATTTTTCTAGCTTCATCTCCCACTTGTTCGGAAAATAAACCATATGCTCATCTTGCTTACCAAACACTTTCTATTTTCACCTCATGATATTTGTAGAATCCTGTGCCTGGATCCTTGACAGCCAGCCCCACGCCCATTCCTCCTAGAAGGGCTTCTCCATTCAACCAATGGGGACTGGCCTTTTCTTTGCTCTCTATTGCCTGGCTTGTAGCACTCACACGACTTATTAGATATTCCCTAGGGAAGCAGAGGGGCTCAAAGGCTACCTAATGAATTTGGCCTTCTTTTCTTTGTAATATATAAGCTCCTCAAAGGCATGTATCAATGTTTTGTTTTTGTTAGCATCCATAACACTTTTACATAATAGGTTTTGATAAACATGTCTTTCTTTTTTTTTTTTTTTTTTGAGATGAAGTCTCACTGTGTTGCCCAGGCTGGAGTGCAATGGTACAATCTTGGCTCACTGCAACCTCCACCTCCTGGGTTCAAGCTGTTCTCCTGCCTCAGCCTCCCAAGTAGCTGGGCTTATGGGCATGCCCGCCATGTCCCCCTAATTTTTGTATTTTTTTAGTAGAGAAGGGGTTTCAACATTTTGGCCAGGCTGGTCTTGAACTCCTGACCTCAAGTGATTCACCCGCTCTGGCCTCCTAAAGAGCTGGGATTACAGGCATGAGCCATTGTGCCTGGCCATAAACATTCCTTGAAATAGAATTTATGTTTCTCTCTGTTTTACAGAAGTAACCTTAATTATTCCAGATTTACCAAACCCAAGTATTCCTAGCAATGATCCACATTTTGAGGAGTCACATCCTCTTACAGCCTAGTAAATCTCATCTGTAAGTTAGTTTAATTGTAAATGATTTTATGTTTCTATTTCTGAGAAAGGAAATAGAAGGCTTTACAAGGTTATTTTTTCCTCATCTATCCAGCATGTTGCAGACCTGCCATTTTGCTTTGGAGTCCCCTGGTGGATTTCTCCTAAAGTGCACATCTTCCAAATTTAGTTTAGTTTCTGCTTCATATTTCTGCACAAGAATATCCAAAAAATAATCCCAATCTAAGTCCATCTACATATCTTTTCCAACTATGGAACTCAGAAGACACTACTGGGTTCTCCATACTGAAAAGAGAAGTATTTGCAATTTCATGGAATCTCATATTTTTAAGTAAAATAAAAATTTGAGATCCTCAATATAATTATAAAAAGTTACTTTTCCTATTCCTTATGAAAACCACTGAAAAATAAGAACTAAAATATAAAACGTATTCTAATGAAAGAAAACATTTTCGTGGCTTAGAACTTAATTTGGAAGGATCCCATTTCCTTATCTTTAAGAGACCTTCACTTACAAAGGTATTTACTAGTGAATTCATCTATTTTATATTTCACCCATAGAATGCCATCGGGCCATTTAGTGACTTTCTCAATAAATGTGAATGGGAATTAGAATTTTTTTACTAGGTTGGAGAAAGGGGAAAGACAGGAGGAATAAAGGATGTACTCTTCCAGTAAGTCTTGGAAAGGTTTCCTGTGATGACCCTTAATAATTGCCCATGTTCATTTCTTTCTTTCCAATATTTTGCTTAACCTCACTAACATCACAGCTTGGTGGTTCAAAATAAATTGCCTCCTTTTCCAAGGGAAGGGAGATAATAATCTCTAACAAAAAGACTTCCAGTCTCCAGCTGCAAAAATTTCTCACTCAGAAATGTACTGACCTTTTGAAACTAGTCATTTTACCAAGTCATTATTGAGACGTTTTTCTCCAAGATAGTTGAGTTCAGGGAATGAAAAATAAATAGTGTGTTGTATTGTACACTCTGCTCCTTCACAGACCAACTTGGGAAACAACAAACATGCTCTAATCCTCAAATCCAGCTCTTTCAAGATTCCTGATGTATCAGAAAAAGCCATGGCTCTTTCACCAAATTGGAACAACTATATGGCAATATAAAACAAATTGTGTTTTGAAGTATTTTAACATTATTTAACACAGATAATTTAGCATCTTAATATCTATTAAAGGGGATAGAGAAAAAGAGAATTCTGAGGAACAGCAGTAACAGCAAGGATCCTGGTTCTTTAGCTGACAGGGCCAAGGCCAAAAATGCTACTTTATGTATCTGTCCAGCACTGAGTGGAAATGACCCAAGGACCTGACAGTAGGCAAGAATAATTCCCTAGGTCACTGTACCTGATTACTACTCTGTATCATGAAAAAGCTTTACTGGTTCACACACTTATGCAGTTAGGCTGAAAAGCCTACACTCAGGAAGGTGCAAAGAACATGACATTACTGAAGATATGTCCATTACTTTTCCCTTATGCACATCCTTTTATATATCATTTTCCTATTCTTTTAAAAGCATATATTTGCCTGGGGTAGGACTGTTAGAGCAGGAATGCAAAAGACAGGAAAAGTTGATAATCAGCTTCTACTACTATAAACCAAAAATAGAATTTTAAGCCCCCCAGCTGATTGAATGGACCCTCCTCTCTCAGCTAAGGGGACAAAACTAAACTTGAAAAACTAGTTCAGACCATTATATGAAAGGAGGGTGGGTAGACATGCCTCATTATTACTCTCCTTCCTTTGGGGCTCAGGTATACAACTGAACAGCATTGACATTAAAACAGAGATCCTAAGACTAACCAAATAGACTCTTTGTAGCAATAAGATACTAAATTCCAACCTGACTCTACTATAATATCACATGACAGACAGCAGGGCCCTCAAAGAAACCAAACTATTTTACCCCATAATTTGACATACTTTGAAATGGCCCTGCAAAGCTGTGTCTTGTTGGGGAAACTGACATTCTATAGGGAATCCCCTTCCCTTTCCAGGTCTTTTGCTGATACTTTAGAGATTGGCTGAGAGTCCAGCACATTTTAAGGATCTGAAGAGGAAACACTGCCATCTGTTGCCCCTGGAGGTCAGCCACCTATGAGACTTCATCTACATAATATGAACCTTGGTCTCTACAACCCCTTATCTTAACCCAGACACTCCTTTCTCTTGATTCCAGGTCTTTAGATAATAATTTAACCCTCAACCAATAGCCAATCAGAAAGTCTTTGAATCCACCTTTGACCTGTAAGTCACCCCTCCCCCAATGGCTTTGAGTTAGACCAAACCAAGTTATGCCTCACATTTATTGACTGACATCTTATGTCTTCCTAAAACATATAAAACCAAGCTGTAACCCAGTCACCTTCAGCAAATGTTCTCAGGGCCCTGTGAGACCATGTCATGGGTCATGATCCACAACTTTGGCAATATAAGCTTCTAAATTGATTGGAGACCTGTGTCAGATACATTTTGGTTTACAGTATCTAAAATATATTGAATCTACAGAAAGCAAGCCTTGAAATTCAAACTTCGTAGATGAAGTATTTTCCAAATTCTTTTTTTAGATGTAGTTTCGCTCTTCTTTCCCAGGAGTGCAATGGCATGATCTCTGCTCACTAGAACCTCCACCTCCTGGGTTCAAGTGATTCTCCTGCCTCAGCCTCCCGAGTAGCTAGGATTATAGGCATGTGCTACCATGCCTGGCTAATTTTGTATTTTTAGTAGAGATGGGGTTTCTCCAAATTGGTCAGACTTGTCTCAAACTTCCGATCTCAGGTGATCCCAAATTCTTTTAAGCGCTCATTAACATAGCATGGCTAGATTTAGAGGGCTTTAGTAATTGACTTTTCCTTGGGGGTGTGAATAGGGAAATCAGGACTAACCATTCGTCTGCATGACACTAATTCCCAAAGAGATTAAGAAAGAAAAGCTCAAATATGGTTAATTAGCAACTTTGTTCCTCTCCCTCTTCCCTCCCCCATACCTACTCTTTGTGGTAGATGGCCATGAAGACGGTTATATCAGTTATAAACTGCTATAAAATGACACATTATCTGCCTATCTGAATTGTAGGGTGTGTTAATTCACCATGAAGCCATTACAGAAGCTCTTGTGAGGGGAAGATCAATGCTCTGACTACCTAAGAACTTACAACTCTTTCCTAACTCACCGGGCTTCAACAAATTCCTGAGTGTCAGGACAAAGTAAATATTCCTGTCCCAATATTCAGAGGAATCAATCCAGCCTCACTCTTTCTGTCACCCCATCCCTAAAAGTTTTCAGGATTTTGGACACCAGGGCTGAGTCCTAATCAAGCTAAGCCTTAATTTTTATGTGAAAGCAGGTAGATTGGAGCCCTGTGTTGGCAGCCATGCCAAGTAGCCTCGTTGCTAGGCTGGTCCAAAATTATACTCAGGTTCCACTCACCTGTCTTTACCCCAACTTCCAGTAACCAAGGCATGGGCTTCTTTCTTCCTATTCCACTTACAGCTGCTCAGCATTGCTGTTTTGTCCTCTACTTGTGAATTTCTTGCCTGCTTTGTTACCTAATACTCATTGGGGGGTGTCAGAGGAAACCAAAGCATCTGTGGTACAGTAACTGGGACCTGGGTCACAAAGTTGGTGGTGAGAGATCAGGGATTGGGCAGTTTGCTTCTGGAACTCTGGGCTAGGAAGTGAGAATTTAGCCAGAGGAATCAGAAACACTACACTGGCCTGGCTCTGCTGGGATCTGGGTCATGGCAGTCCCAGTTTGGTTTATGTTACTGTGGGCAAATTCTAACACACCGTTTTGGAGAATTCAGGAGCAAACAGCTATGTTCCACCAAATAACAAAGTTTTTGAAGAGGTGACCTAGAGGTTATGAAATGATTTTAAATAAAAAGTGATCTTAATTACTCCTCAGCAACCATCCCTCCCAATACCCCTTCCTTAAGTGGAAAATCTTGGCCTTGCTACCTTGCTTTCTTAGATCTTGCTTATTTAAGACTTTAAATTTTGGTACGTATCCTTTGGCAATGTTTTTAAGAAAATGTGATTTCAATGATATTCTGAGCATGTTTTAAAGGACAGCAATCTAATGGACAAATAATGCTTTAAGGGCCCTTGGAATAGAGTTACCTTGTTTGACATGGTTGCTCATTGCACTTTCGAATCTGTGGCTCTGGCTTGGTTAAGTATTTGCATTTCTCATTGTCCACAATGCTGATATTTTTGCTCATGATTTTTGTGCAGGACACTGTTGTCTTCCTTTCTCCTGAAAAGAACAAATAAACAAAGAAATATTATTATAAGCCTTTATGTAATGGATTTAGGAGGTGTTCATAAGCTTATTATGCTTATTTTTTATTTAAAAAACTTTTTTATAATTTAAATTTTTATTTTATTAAATTTTATTGATTCATATTAGATGTATACATTTTCAGGGTATATGTGATAATTTGATATATTCAGATAATAAAATCAGGGTAAGTTGGATATTCATCATTTAAATATTTATCTTTATGCTAGGAACATGTGAATTATTCTCTTCTAGTTATTTTGAAATGTACAATCTATTAATGTTAACTATAGTCACTCAATTGATTTATTGAACACCAGGTCTTATTTCTTCCATCAACTTTTATTTTAGATTCAGAGGGTACACCTGCAGGTTTGTTACATGTTATTATACTTTTCAAAGATATTTTAAACAAATTTTAGAACAATGAAGATATTATTTATAATTTACATAACAAAATGTACCTCTAGGCTTAAAAGGGATGAGTAATAAATATTCCCTGTTACAAATTAAATGGCAAGTTTTATATACAAAGTGATCATGGCAACATAAATTAGCAAGATACAAACTGAAGACATTGTAAAGGATTGTGGCCATCTTTTAGCATTAAGTGGTGGAAAGCTCTATTTCCATAAAGTTAATCTCCCTAATGAGCCTTTCTGAAAGCACATAAACATGTGTGCACATTTTATCATTTGGTTTGTACATCATTAGTGCTTTATAATAAGTTATGGAAAGCACATTTGTTTTGAGTATAACTCAAACCTTTATTCTTATCACCTCTAATAAAGACCCCAAGAATTCTAGAAATCTTTACCCAAATGATTGTCATCATCTGTAAGAAAAGAAATGGGACTCTTACCATCTTTTACCAGATTTCAGAAAACTTGGCTTTTCTACTTTCTCTACTATGATAAAATTTGATTATAGGATGTAAACATGACAATTTATATGCTGTATTCCTTTTGCTTACACAGCCCTGTAAGCACACTTCCTTTACAGGAGTTATATTATTCATCTTACAATTAAAATGTCTAGTAAGTATGTGCTAATTTCTGCTTCTCTTTGAAAAAGTCTTATATACAGATTTCTTGTGAGTAGAAAAAGATACACATCTGTATAATATTTAATAATCTTATTTAATCCATTGTTTGACACTATAAGACAGTTAAATCAGCCCAAAATTTTGACGCCAGATTGATCATGAAGAAGTAAGAAGACATCACAAGTCTGCTGGTTCACTATTGAAAGGCCCATTAGTTAGGGTACTATGACTGACATGGAAGCTTAGAGAATTCATGCTGGTAATGACAAACAAGAAAAGCTGGGCTGGTGGCAGGGAGGTCATTCTGCCACTCAATTAACAGAAAGAGCAGCTGGCATCAAGAATGAGGAAGGAAGGGATGTAGACAGAGAGGCAGTTTGAATAATTTTGGAGTACATTTTACTTTAGTTTGAATGGGAGATGGTAAGAGGCAACTGGTTGGCTAAGTAAACAGCAAAAAATAGCTTTAGGTTCAGAGTCTTTCCTTGATTTCCTCTCAATAGCTCTGAGCATAGTCCTACCGCAATTTGTAGTATAAAAACATAACTGCATTTGTATACATGTGTAAATTAAATAATAATTCTGTGGTTATTGCATATAATGTTATTAAAACCATTTGGACCTTTAGTTCAATCAACAGTGATAACACAATGTTGGCTAAGTTATTTCCTTTTTAGGAAATCTTGGAGTACTGATGGAATGCAACTTATTCTATGGGAGCTCCATATAGGCAAGAGTGTCAGGCAGGTAACAGGCCCTTTCCTTTGAGTGGAATGAGGTGTGCCTCCTACCAGTACCCTATGGCATTCCAGAAGTGTACACTGGTGGGCCAGCAATGGGGAGGGCCTTGAGATGGCATCCAACCACAGGTTAAAAAGTGGATTAGGAAAAAATCATGGCCTATAGGCAGATGAATTAGAAAACAGTACTCATCCTCCACATAGAGGTGGCCCCACAGCAGGCTGCATGGCTTGGCAAATGGAACATGGACTGGATTGCAGTCCCCTTGGCTGAAGACTTTATGCAGTGCAGAAACTGCCTGAATGTGGAAACTACACCCTCTGAGGTCCTCTTGAGTGAACCTTTGCAGCTCATGCAACAAGGTGACCTAATGCTAACTTGCAGAGGAAAGGCAGTCTTTCACGTCTCTGGCAGATACTTAGAAGCTGTCCATGCTATTCCTTGGTAGGTCAAGAAGGATAAGTGTAGATTCAGACTTAATCACAGCAGTGCTCAAAACCCAACAACTTCAAATAATTTTCAAATAAACTGCTAGAGAAGCAGAAATGACATTATGCTCTTTTTTTTTTCACATGGAGAAAACAGGCATCACGAGGTAAGATTTACCTAAATGTAAAATTTTGGGACAGATTTTTGGTCAGCTTCCTCTTAGCTTCCTATGCTTCAGGGGCTCTTTTATGACCTGAAGTATATATATCAAATAGATATTATGCAGATTTTGTATAATGCTAGCTTAGGTATTATTTCTACATTATTATGATGCGATAGCCAAAAGCAGGATTAAAATAAATACTACTTTTATGAAGTATAAATGTTAGTTCTAAAATTTAACTTGAAGCCTTGACACTTACAGAATAGATGCAGTTGCCTAAATTCATTTAAATGATGACATTTTGCCAACTGCAACACAAAAAGATGATGGGCGTTATCCAGAAAGCTTTTGCTGAACATATATATAGTCACAGAATAAATAACCCAAGGCTGATTATAATGCTTTTTTCCCCATCCTCAGAAAATATTTAACCTTAGTTATATTCACCTACTGCTTACGTACTGAGATACTGAAAAAGAAATTTTTAACTATAAGTATTGTTATATCAAAAGGGATATAGGTATCGGCATCATTTTAGGGACATGTTAGTAGTTTTCTAAGAAAGTATGAAGGTGCATGAGTATGAATTGAGACATTTCCATTTACATTGTAAGAAAGGACTCCTATATTGTAAGGTTTGGCAGCTAGGGGAAGCTTAGCTCTTTTTAAAAATTTCATTGAACAAAAACAATAGAATTAGAAAAAAACTCATTGCTCAGCTACAGACGTATTACACCTATGAAAATACAACTAAGATCTTAAAGCCATATGGAAATGTTATTGTTTGAGTTTTTCTTTTATATATTTAAATGTCCCAGCCAACACAGGAAATTTCCATTCTAGCATCTAATAGCAGTATCTACAATGCATCCAATACTGTGGCACATAGGGACAAACAGAAAGTGATGAAATAACTGACCTTCTGCCTGAATTATGACAGCTGTAGGCTGTTGACAGAGTATTACTTGCTTTATGGTGATTAACTTCACCTCTTGGTCATTCCCATTAAATTAGTCTTGGGGAAATCTGGATGTTTTGAATACAATTATAAATAAAATAAAATAACCATTATGCATTCATCTCTATTGAATTGCAATATCTGAAAATGAAGGGTAACTTTTATTTACTAACTCTTTGTGCTTTGGAAATTTAACAAAGACTAGACATTATATTAAGTGAGCCGCCTTTTCCAGTTTCACAGATAAGCTGACACTTTTTACTATAAAATATATGCTCTGTATTTAACCCATAAAATGGATATTTCAAAATAAAACTAAATTCTATTGAGGTACCTCACATTACTAGAACTTGCATTGTAAATGCTGAAACATATTCTTGGTTGTGGGTTCAGTGTTTCAATATGCATAACTGAAATTTTCTATACATTATTTAACATTCTAAAATTTTAAATTAAATTATAGAACTCTGTAAGACAGAGACTATGTGTGTGGGTATGCCTGTGTGTGTTTGTAAATTTCTTTATAATTTTTATAATTTTCTTTTAAAATTTCTACTTATTAATTTTCTTTTGGATTAACAATGGCCAGTAAGCATGAGAACCAAAAGTAAATATACTTTAATGAGGATGAAGGACTTTTCTCTGAGCGCTTCCTAGATCTTTGTAAAATGCTGATTATTTTTTACACCTACATTTATTTAACTTAAACGACTTTCAAAATCATGTCATGCCATTTACTTTTTATCCTTTTTTTACATTAAAAAATATTATTCCCTAAGGATATTGTCTGAGTGTTAAAATGACTAGTTCATTTTTTTATTTTAATGAAAATAATTTACTTTGCTTTGTTCACAACACCTAATATATAACTAATCTGATCTTGCCATTTATATGCATGCAAATATTTTAATGAGATCACATAGCTGTCAAGTTAAATTTAACTGTTAGCATAACACTCAAGGACCTTCATGAATTGGCTTTCATCCTACTTTTCTGATCAAATCACTTCCCACCCACCAATCCTCATACTTTACACTATAGTAATAACATTTTCACTTCCAAGAAAGCCTTCCACCTGGCACGTGGGTGCCTTTGCACCGAGGTATATCCTTGGAAGGCTTTCTATATCTTCCTTTATCACTGAGTAAGGTGATTTTATTATTATCTGACTTCCACTAGATGGACTGTGAGTTCTCTGAAAGCAAGACATATTCATCTTTGGACCACCTAGCAATAGTGGATGCATGGTCAATACTGGTAAAGGAATGAATGAGTGAAATATAAGCATGTAATTCAAGCTGTCAGTGCTTTCTATACTAAGAGGTTCATCTCAATACTATGTTTTCTAAAATGGTGACAAAATCATTTGCAAACTAAATGACAAATTATCAGGAATCCAGTTCTTCTTATGGCAAATCCAGTTCATGGATTATCGCTTAGGTATTAAAAATCAAGGTTATGAATAGTTTCTGTCAATATAAGATGTTTTTATTAATAAATGAAATAATATCAAATTTTATTAAATATTGAAATAAAATAATGCAGAGAAAAAATGGAAAATATATTCTGGTGCATTTTCTTTGGCAAATAATGTTTATTTTGGTACATGTATAGTACCTTTAAAATGTAAAAACAGGCCAGGCACGGTGGCTCATGCCTGTAATCCCAGCAGTTTGGGAGGCTGAGGCAGGTGAATCACGAGGTCAGCAGTTTGAGACCAGCCTGACCAACATGGTGAAACCCAGTCTCTACTAAAAATACAAAAAAATTAGCTGGGTGTGGTGGTGTGTGCCTGTAATCCTAGCTACTTGGGAGGCTGAGGCAGGAGAATCACTTGAAACTGCAAGGTGGAGGTTGCAGTGAGCTGAGATTGTGCCACTGCACTCTAGCCTGGGCAATAAGAGCCAAACTCCATCTCAAAAAGAAAAAAAAGTAAAAACAGAACAAATCACACCCTTATAGATGTTCTTTCCTGTTAAATATATTCTAGAGGGTTTTAAAAGGTATAGGCTTTTGAATACTGAAATGTTTTCCTCAACTTGGACCCAAAGGCTTGGATATCTACTTATGATCTGGATATGGACAAGGGAAGCAGTGTCTAGAGGATCCCAGGACAGTCATAAGCTAGACAGACTTGGACTGGTGTGAAGAATGTGGAATGTTGGCTTATTTTTTTTCCTTCAAAGTAGATCTGCTTAGGATTTCCTAAAAGCATGTTTAACTCTTCATGTGTTTCATAAGGGGTTATTGAATTTTGGGGTCCTCATTCTATTTTATTTCAGTAATCTATTCACTAGATCAAAACAAATCTTAAAGTTATGCAGTTAATGCTGATTCCATACACAATCCTCAGATATTTTGGAGTAATATATTTATAATGCCTCTGGAGACTAAGATCACTTAAAACAGGTCTTCAATGTCAAAAGGAACCTTGTAGCAAACTGATCCACACTTCTGAGATGCCAAAATAAATTTAAACCATTCCTCCAAATATTTTAAGATGTTTTAGAACTCTAACGCAAAGTGAACATTTCTTTCACAAAAACATTTCAAGCTGTTTGAAAATAAAAGAACTAGTTTTAATGACTGATGTTAAAATACAAAATGATATGTCAATTCAAATATTTCTAGAATTATCATTAGACTCAAAAGACTGTGACGGAAAGTGTGATAACTTATATATGTATGTTAAACTGTTGAAAAAATTTACCTGAGATGATCAGCCTTCATCAGAGATTTTAAGGCAATATTCCTTTTAAAAGAGAGAATTTTCATCTCTTAGGCTTTTCATATCTTATAATAACTGACAATAATAAATACATATTTGAAATAAGTTTAGTTTGAGTTACCATTTTAAAACTTAGTTTGAGATGCTGATGTAAAATATAATTATGATAAAAATTAGCTAGATAACCATATCCTTTTAAGTGTTTATTTTCCCACTTATTACAGTATTGGCAATTTAATATCTTACAACAGAATTAGAAAAATAACATCTTATACACACATTTTATACTGCCCTGTGATACTTTACTTGCTCTTAATATATTCTTATGAAGTAGAATACTGCTATTATTATTCCTCTTTGCTGTTGAAGATAAATTTTGCATGAATCTGTTTCCAATATTCTGTGCTTTGAACTTACTCTCATTTAATTCATGAATATGCTGAAAGATTAGAAAGCTCTTTCTGGCTATAAAATCGATGATATGAAGTCAGAAATGATGCGATCCTTGAAATTCTGTCCATCCACTTTATTTATGAACTGCAAAGGAAAATAATATCCAAAAGCCCAGAAATATTTTGGCATTGAAATGAATATGCACCCCATTAACATAGAGATAATCGAAAACTGTTGACTAAACACAATGGAGCAGAGTTGGAAGAGGAGATCTATTCAAGCACAAATCATATAGGAGTTGTGTATTATTAGAATGACTGTTTTATAAAATCAGCCATTTGAAGTAAAAATAAAAGCATATCTAAATTCTTACATAACAGAATATAATAAAACGTCCATTTGTATCCAAAGAAAACCTAAATAATCTCTAGAAGACATGCTGTATTTTGTGGAAATAAACTACATGAAGCCTCCTGAGCCATTCATGAAGGCAGTATGATGAGCAGGAAAGAAGACTTGAACCCCTGAGTCATTGATTCTAATCCTGGCTCTACCCAAATGGGCCATGCAACCTTGGGAAGTCACTTAACCTCTAAGCCCTTCAATTTTCTCATGTTGATAATTAAGAAGTTATGTTTAAGAATAGATAATATTTCTCCTGACCCTGAAACAAAAAAAATTTATAGTCAACCTCTATTCCTTGATGCTTAGCAATTGGAAGAACATATTTTAGGAAGTAATTAATGTAATTTGGGGAAGAATGTTGATCCTAGACAATTTGCTTTTTAAAATTGAAGACTGACAAGTTCTGTATGTTTAACTCCTTCTGATGCAGCTTCTATTAGATAAAAATGGCAGAAGGAGGAAAAAATGAGAATAAAAACATTTACTGGGCAAACATTTTCCTGTCTAGAGTTTTAAATGTAAATGGATTTTAACAACTGCGTTTCAGTGGTATAAGGTGAACCATCAGCCTGTCTGTCCATCACTTTACTCCTCCATTGCCTGCCCCCCAACCACAAGATGGGCGCTTGTTGGTAGGATTGCAGATATGACTAAGAATCTTATCTGAGCTATGTTAAAGAGAAAAATATAACTATATTTTTGTTGTGAATGTGTTTGCTTCTATTTTGTGCCTTTGTTTTTTATTTGGGTAGAGAAGGTGAAGTACAGCCCCTTAAGAAAGATGAGCCCCTGGCATCAGTGTAGGATGAGTGGAGCAGAGGAACAGGAATTTGCGAATTTGGGTGCATATGGGAGCATCAGCAGGAGAGGATGGGAGGATAGAAGAGCTCAAGTCATAGGGCAGTATTAGGGCCCAGGAAGAGAAACATGGCCACTGAAAATTTCTTGTGGCAAGGGTGACTGATAACATTTTTTTAAATTGAGAGAGCGATTTGAAATGTTTTTGTTGTAACCACTTTTTATCCTTGGGGCACAAAGTGAATTCCTTATAACTTCACCATTCCTCTGCCCCTGATGTTGCCTTTGCTCTGGCAAAGATGCTCCTGGAGTCAGGTGAGAACCTCAAAGCTCTGAGCCCTCTGCCAAAGGATGCTCCTTCCCACTCTATGCTCCTTGAATATTCTTGGCACCTTCTTTCTCCTAAGGACACAGCCTCTTACTCTCCCTGTAGCCTTCAGTGGGGTGACCATTGTTTTGATCACTTCCAGGTACCTTTGGATCTAGACGTGGTGCAGCTGCCATGCTCCTCCCTGCCACTACCAGACCCCTCTCCCTTTCTGTTCTATAATCTCAGCTCTATTTTCTGATATCATCCTCTATATTTCTAGCCTTTTAGTGCCATGAGACTAACAAGTCTTTCCCTTTAGCACCCTGAGACTAAGAATTCTTTAACCCCTCAAGACCCTATACTCCATCAATCCTATCACCATTTTACTGTCTTTCCAGCCCCCATATCTTTATATTCCTCCTATTGCACCTAAATTCCATGATCCACCACTTTCAGCCTCTTGCATACAACCTCAGGTCAAGCACTTACTCCTCTCTTACTTTATCATACTCACTTGGCAATTTCCAAACTCACTTCACAAGTGCACTCGCATGCTGTACATTGCTAGAAGGTAACATACATCATAAGGACTGGTATCATCCTAAATTCATGACCATTGACTTTAAACAGACTATTACTCCAGATAATCAAAATACACATACCCATTTCATTCATTATCTAAGTGATTGATTCACATTTTCTCTTTTCAAAATGTCAGTACTTCCTTTTCCACCCTAACTCTCAGCCAGATAGCCTTTATTGACAAAATAGTTTCAACTGTAACTTCCGAACACCTATCTTTTCTCCTGTTACTAGTGATGAGTTGTCCATATTTTTGCCTAAAGCCAACTTCACCATCCTATCCCATTTGGATAACACTTCAGCAATTTTTTTGCTCTCTCCTTTGCATCCCTAGTTTTTTGTTTGATTCTTAAAAATGCACATTGGCAAACAATGTTGTATAATATACCCTATTGAAAACAACAACAAACTCCTTTGACTCATATCCTCTTTTACCCCTGCCACGTTTGTTTTCTCCTTTCAGCAACATTCCTGAGTTACCTAGAGTCTCTTTCTTCAATTCTTCTGCTATTTTCTGTGGAATCCATCCACACAGTCTTTGGAGCCAAACACTTTATTAATTTTTATAGGATAACCATTGACTTTCATGTTCCAAATATATTTCATTTATAAAATATAATGACTATAATATATTTAAGTATAACAATCATTGTCAGTCTACATTATTTTTTATTTATTGCAACTTTTGATACAGTTGATCATTCCCTCCTTCTTCTAATACTCTTCACTTGCCATACAGAAGAGCATTGTCTCCTGCATGTTTTTTTTTCCTGCTATGTTGTTGGCTACTCATTTCAATAGGCTTTGCTTATTTCTCCTCATCTCTCCAAACTCTAAATGGTGGCATACCCCAAGTTTCAATCCTCTAATAGCTTCTCTCTCTCTTCACTCAATATTAGTCTACAGATAAAGAATATATGGATATTTTTAAATGCCAAGGATACATAAAGTCTTTGGTGACTATTCTCAGTTGGCATTTAAAAATATCCATATATTCTTTATCTGTAGCCTGATATTCTCTCCTGAATGCCAGACTTATATACCTAACTGCTTACTTGACATCACACTTAGATGTCCAACAGACATTTCAAATAAAACTCTCTTCTAATCCTGCTATTCCACAGACTTCTTTTTTTTTTTCTTTTCTTTTTTTTTCTGAAATGGAGTTTCGCTTTGCCACTGAGGCTGGAGTGCAGTGGCAGGATCTTGGCTCACTGCAAGCCCCGTCTCCCAGGTTCATGCCATTCTCCTGCCTCAGCCTCTCGACTAGCTGGGACTACAGGCGCCCGCCACCACACCCGGCTAATTTTTTGTATTTTTTGTAGAGACGGGGTTTCGCCGTGTTAGCCAGAATGGTCTTGATCTCCTGACCTCGTGATCTGCCCGCCTCGGCCTCCCAGAGTGCTGGGATTACAGGCGTGAGCCACCGCGCCCGGCCCAAATAATTCTTATATTCAATTCAGGTCTGTAATTCTTGTGGGCAGGTGTACTTTGGAATTTAGAACTTTTAAGATTTCATAGAAATAACACAGTGCATAAATAGTACCTAACAACCTGAATGGTGTCTGGGGAGGCCCCTGTAAACAAATATATTAATACTTATGTAATGTAATGTAATGTAATGTAATGTAATGTAATGTAATGCAAAGAGTAGTCATATTGAGATATGTTAACAATCCTAAATAGCTGTTCTTCCATTCTAAGTATTTCAGGTGTTTAGCCACTAAACATATCATATAAAACTTTCCATTTCTAACTCTTTATGGATTTTGGAATTGCAGATTAGGGATTTTGGATATGTCTTAATTATCAATGCTTAATCAGAAAACAACTGATGTTTTGGAAAGATAAATGTTTAAAAATCCTTCACCTCCTCCACAAGTGGCATCGCAATCTTCCCAGCTTGTGTGTGTCCACATGAAGAGGGGCTCAGGTGCTTTAGAGCTCTGGTTTTCTGGAAGAGGGTCTGATGGGATAGTGTATTCATAGTGAAGACCATAATTCTGATCCTGAAACAGGAGCACCTATAGTATACAAAAATGATCAAGGCAGATGGGTCAAACTAGAGCACGTGCAATGTAAAGCATAAAATTAACAATATTGATACTTAAAATGCTCATTGTGTTGTGTGCATTTTGTTGTTGTTGTTGCTGTTGTGGACATACCCTTCTCTTAATGCACACTAGAAACGTGACATTATTCTTAAATGTAGATATTGCCATGCTTTTGAAAAGACTGGAGCTTCGTACTTACCTTCATGCTAAAAACATCTTAAGAAAAGCTCATTTGAGTGAGGTCAGACATACTAGATCATTTTCTTTCAATTTGATGGACTAGACAGTTTCCCAAAGCATAGTAAATGTATAAGATGACTTTAGTTGGAGGTGGGCAAAAGTGGCGGCAGGAGTATGTGTTCTATCATATATCAAGGTGTGACCCACAATCTAATGCCAAATGTAGAGAAAAGAAAAGATGGACAGGAAGTTGCTGAGTCAAAAGAGGAAGATAGATAGATGACTTTGGGGATCACTGAACTTCATAAGGGCAGAGAATTTCTAAGCAAACTGGAGGACAAGAATTTCACTCCAGGTATGCTTACAGTTAACCTTTAATTGTAGCAAGCAAGGTTACTGATTTTCCACTTGTAGTATATATTGTTTTCTTTGAAGTTAAATTTATGTTACATGAACTTTTAATATTAATAATTGTACAGTTATGCACATATATATATATAAATAGTTCAATAAACCATAAAAATACATGAAAACGACTGAATATGGGGCTACACGTTGGACTGAACTATATGCAGGGACCATGTCTGTTTTGTTCTCTACTGGTTCCCAGTGCCAGGCTCAGAATTGGATAGTGTGGCCAATTATACATAAATACACCCACCCCCCTCCCCCACATACACACATATTTTAATGAAAGAGTTAATGAGTATATATATATATTTCTTTATACATCTATTTTTAGAAAATGTGTCAAGCAATCCCATGGAATATATCACTTCTATGGATCTGAGGATCTATGGAAACAATCTATATAATATAATATGATACATTAAAAAACATATGTACCCAAATTTTAAAATTATGATAAATTATTGAAGAACTTTATTTAGTATTTTACCTGCATCAAGGTAGTCGTAATGATAGGTAATGCAGAGTTAACATTCCATAGGAAAATTGAAATGGGCCTAGGTTTAAGTGTCTGAACATTTTTATTATATTTTCTTTCCTTCTTTTTCTCAGAGTTTTGTTCAGTATATCAACAGAATGCCTAAGATGTATTTTGATGTGCGGATTGGGAGACTAGTGTGTCGACTTTATAAATAACTATATCAATAAAAACAATAATTTTAAGTTCACAAATGCGTAACACATACAGTGTACTAATTCTATCATAGTACTTATTTTGGCTTAAATATGTCATTTGATGTTGCTGATTATAAGTGACTTTCAGCCTAATGAGTTTAAAGACAGACAGTTTAAATGGGTTTTTAAAAAATGATATACCTTACGACTATACCCAGACTATTATTAATACATAGTTTTTAAATGAATGGGATGAACATGTAAATACCAGCTATTTGTCAACTTATTTAATTACATAAAAATGTGTCTATTTTTCCTAATAAACTACCTTTTCATTGATAGAACTTTAGATTGTCCTTGAATATCTAATGCCACTTAAAACAGAGACATTGGCTACAAAACCATTAGCTCTTTCTTAAACCATTTGAATTTGGCAGTATTCTTTGCAAAAAGGAAAGTGTGACCATGTTACAGTTGAGGGGCACATGCTGAAGCATGGCAGCAGAAGGGATTGCCTTTAAAAATTCAGTACAGTCCTTCAATCTGTAATAGTCATTAAAGAAAAAATATCTTAGAAGTGCAGTTTCCCTTGGATTACTGAATAAATCCAGGTCACATAGATGCCTTCTTTTAGACATAGTTCACTGAGTTTAATTATGCTTCATGCTTCCAGGAAAAACCTTGGTAATTACCAGTTAGATTAAGGATTCTGCAGCAAGGAAACTCCCTCCACCCAACACTAAGGTCTCACATATAGTGTTTTAAAATTCTGAATTTGAAGCTTAGTAAAGAAGCCTTGGTCTTATACCATAAAATAAAAACAGGGGAGGTTACATTTATTAAAGGCAGGGAACACAATGGCATTTTATGCAATACAATCATTAAACATATGTTTGCTGTTGATACTGTTATTATAAGTGACCAAATCATGGAATGAAACAGATATTGTTCATATAACATTTGTTTCTTCATTTTATTTTCTCTCGCTAGATGGCATAAGGCAGAGAGTAGGGTTTCCAGCTGAAATTAAATAATAGGATCCAATGGGACTGTGAGGTGATGCACAAAATGATTATTCAAAGTATACTTACATTTTTGATTTAAGGCAGTTTGGTATAAAGAACTTGGATCTAAGCTTTGGATCCAAGTTCTTTGGACCTCTGTGTCAGCGAGGTAGCATAGAAGAGTGACTAATACCTAGGTTTTTACAGCTAAATAACTTATTGGACAACACTGAGCACATTGATTAACTTTTCTCATATTTAATTCTTTTTAATCTGTAAACTAGAGTAATAATAATATATATTACACAGGATTATTTGGGGGATTAAATGCTATAATGAACATAAAGCACTTTTGGATAGTGTCTAATTCTTAGTCCTCAAGAATGATGGATATTATTATTATTCTGATTTGGAATAGAAGGTACACACACCACTCACCTTGCTCCCTTTATTTCTGTTGGTAAAGCATATTAATTGCAGTTATATAGAACCTTGTAATTTAAAATGTGGTTTGTGGACCAGTAGCAGCAGTATCACGTGGAAGGTGGTGAAAAATACAGATTTTAGATCCTGCCCCAAATCAAATGAATCAGACTATGCATTTTAGTAAGAACCCCAGGTAATCTGCAGGCACACTAAAGTAGTAGAAGCAAATAGGCCAATATATGATGTGAACCTCTGGCTTCTAGACTAGCAACACACATGTCTCCAATTGAAGACAAATTTATCTTAAATCATGTGGAGATATTAAATAATGCAGCACATCATACTCCAAATAAACAGTTAATTGATCGTGTTTTAGAGTTGTTTTATATGTGGACTTAAGGAGGTGTTGCAGTGTCTGAATTTTAGACTTCTTTTTGCCATTAGGATAGAAAACTCACACCAGCTGTGTAGTCAGTCATTTGGCTCATGTGCCATTAGCACGCACTGCCATAATCAAGGTCAAAAGGGGCACATGGACCTGCCACCAGCCTGGACAGAATTCCATCATCCTGATTTTTTCTCTTCAAATTCTAACCCACTTATATCCAGTTTTTTTTTTTGTTTTTTTTTTTTTTGAGACAGAGTCTCCCTCTGTCACCCAGGCTGGAGTGCAGTGGCTTGATCTCTGCTCACTGCAACCTCCGCCTCTTGGGTTCAAGCAATTCTCCTGCCTCAGCCTCCTGAGTAGCTGGGATTACAGGCATGCGTCACCATGCCCAGCTAATTTTTTTGTTTTGTTTTTAGTAGAGACGGAGTTTCAGCGTGTTGGTCAGGCTGGTCTCGAACTCCTGACCTTGCGATCCACCCACCTTGGACTCCCAGAGTGCTGGGATTACAGGCGTGAGCCACCACGTCTGGCCTATATACAGTTTTTTACTAATGGTAACAAAGCTTATCATCCCAAATATTCAAATTTTCGTAATTCTTTACAAAAATCCATTAATAACAAACAGGGTGATGGGGAGCACTGTTAACATGTATTTATCAAATTCCTTCTCTCGGGTAGAATAACATTTTATCTAAGGTTTTTATGCAGAGTCAGATAATGGCCATTCATGGATATATAAAACGCTGTGATTTGCATGCAATATTATAGTACTCTCTTCATAGACATCCTCTTCAGTTAGTAAATGTATGTTTTTAGGAAGAAGGGTTTTCTTTGGATTCCCTGTCATCCATCTGTACTTTGCATCTGTAAATTCCCTAAAACATCTTGCTCCTCCTGTAATAATTGCTGTTTTTAGACAACATGATTTAAAACACATTTTACAAAACCTCTAAAAATTCCACTTTTTAAATAATTTTAAATGTCTGTGTGACAATTCAAATCTGAAAAATATTAGAGGAAGTGCACTGGGAATATTCCTTGCCATGAGAAGTTGATTATGCCATGTTATCAATTCATTCCCTCATACCAGAAGATGTAAAGGTGCTGTAGTAGGACCTTTGGCAGAGATCTTCTCCCAGAGGCCTCGTCTTACATAATGAACGGTAGTTCCAGCCAAATTGAAGGCTCCAGAGTGTTCAATCTTCCAGTCACTATTAATAGACTGTTTGCCAGCATCTCGGAGAGCTATAAAGAGGTTCAAAAATATAATGAGTATTAACAAGTCAGCTTCATTGATCAACATCTACTACAAATTATTTTGTTAAAACTAGTCCATTTATTTACAAACAAATGGATCAACATTCCCTGATGTAAAACTTGAGGCAGCTCTTTTTAGGAAAAGTCTGCAATCATGGCAGATGCCATAGCTCTCCTGTCCTGAAATTGTCCATAACTATATAGCCATATTTATCTTTGCCTTCTCTAATCTCCTTGGACCTTTGATGTATATATTCCTTATTTTGGTCCTTAATCATTTATTCTTTAACACATTACTATATTCAGGCTATGTGTATCTATTTAGTCTATCCAGTGATCCTATGAGCATTGTGAATACTGGCTTTATATCTCATACATGCTCTGTCTCTCCTATGCCCATTCAGAAAAGTATGTGATTAAAGAAGGATCATTAAGCAGGACATTAATTAACTGATCAAAATGGCAGGGTTATATGCATTATAAAACAATTCAAAGATAATATGTTGGATTTAAAAACAGACCCAGGACCTTTTAACATCTGTTTGTGATTTGCTGTGAACAAGAATGGAAGATAAATGTTATTTCTCACCCACAAGCAACAATCATCTATATAGGATTTTACAGAATAATTCTGTTTACATAATTTTTTTTCTTTTTGAGCTAATCTGTGTACAATTTAAATAAGATTAGTGACACGGAAATGAGACATCATGGTTACCATTTTAAATTAAGTTTTTAAAATATTTTCCTTCAAATGATTTAGTGTTTAATTTAAACTTTTAGACTCTTCCATACAACTTTACTGTCTTTCCTAAAGACATGTACATGAGGATTCATTGAAGGCTATGTCAAAATTACATGAAAACATTTTGATAACTTAAGCCAATAAATCCTGCTAGTTATTTAGGCTAATCTCCAAGTATTAGATGTTTGAAGATTTCCAAGTTTTTATCTTGTAAATAATGTTTAAATAAATATGCTATATACTAATTATGTGTATATCTGAATATTTCCCTTAAATATCCAGATTTGGAACTACAATAATAAATAAATTGAACATTTAAAGATTTTGAAAAACAGTTTCAAATTGATTTTCCTAGAGGTTGCATCAATTTATACTTCCATAATAGTGACTGAGAGTGTTTATTTCTGAGCACAGCACTGAAAGTAAATTTCTCTTACCTAATATAAAATCATGATTGAATAATTACTTATCTAGTATCAACCATAACTCAGGCAACATTCAAAGTTCTGGAACCCCCAAAATGAACAACATGTATATGTTCTCTGTCTTCATGGAACTTACACTCTAACTGCAGAGCCAGACATTAAACAAGTTACGTAGGCAACTGACTACAACATGCTGACACTTGCGTGGCAGAGTTGAAAGAGGCTCCTCTGAGGGATGTTATTTACTGAGAAAATTAGTGAAGGGAAATAAGGGAAAGGGCATTCTAGACTAAGGGAGCCATACATGGAAAGGTCTTAAAGCTCATCGCAGCTTGACCAGGACCAGGAGACCCATGTGCATGAAGTCAAACATGCTGAAGCAGATTATGAAGGGAGGCTGGAGAAATGAGGACTAGCCAGACCAGAGAGGCCTTGTTAGTATTTGAGTTTTCCTAAGAAAAAAATGTAACGGCCGGTGTGGTGGCTCACACCTGTAATCCCAGCACTTTGGGAGGTCAAGGTGGGCAGATGGCTTGAGTTTACAAGTTCAAGACCAGTCTGGACAACATGGCAAAACCCCATCTCTACAAAATATACAAAAATTAGCTAGGTATGGTGGTGCCCGCCTGCAGTCCCAGTGACTCGGGAGGCTGAGGTGGGTGGATCGCTTGAACCTAGGAGGTGGAGGTTGCAGTGAGCTGAGATCATGCCACTGCACTCCAGCCTGGGCAACAGAACCAGATGTGGTCTGGCGGGGTGGGGGGGAAAGTAAAGCTTTAAAGTATTTCGAAAAATATTCTGTGGAAAATGGGCTGGTGTAGGGTAAATTTACACAGGGAAGATAAGATATAACACTAACATGGTAGCCCAACTGAAAGTAATGGTGGCTTGGATTAAGGGAATGGATGAAAATATCAAGATTTGTTTCAGAGTAAAATGGACAGAATATGGTAATGAATTGGTTCCCCTGGGAAGTGTCAAGTATGATGCCAGGGTTCTAGGATGAGAAAACAGATGGGTTATGATGGCAAATAATGAAATGGTAAAAACTGTCAAAAGAACATAGTTGAGGAGCAATATCAGAAGTTAACTTTTTTTTTTTTTTGAGACGGAGTCTCACTCTGTCACCCAGGCTGGAGTGCAGTGGCCCGATCTCAGCTCACTGCAACTTCTGCCTCCCAGATTCAAGCAATTCCCCCTGCCTCAGCATCCCGAGTAGCTGGGATTACAGGCTGCCACCACCATCCCCAGCTAATTTGTGTATTTTTAGTAGAAACAGCGTTTTGTCATGTTGGCCAGGCTGGTCTGGAACTCCTGACCTCAGGTGATCTCCCCACCTTGGCCTTCCAAAGTGCTGTGATTACAGGCGTAAGCCACTGTGCTGGGCCCAATCTACTTTTCTTAAAGATCTATTATTTTATTCCTATTGAACTTTATAATTTTTTAATTTTGATCATGCTAAATTGATAAAATAATTAATGATTTTTCCTAAAAGGTAAATTATTTCCTTGTTTTTCATTAAAGTCTATTAAGTATTTTGAGGAATCTTTTTGGCCTAGATATGTACTAAGGTCGGTACAATTCCATTTTTTTCTCCTGTATTCAGTACATTTTTAGGGCACAATGTAAAGAAATATTTTCAGAAAATCTCTAATTAAAATGCCTTTACAAATCCTGGGGATCACTAGAGTACATTTAGATTCAATTGGTATTTTTGACATTCAGCATTCTCCAGAAAATGGCACTCACACATGTACCTTCAAATCCACACCATTTAATAGCAGCCTCACATAAAGAATCAATACTTTAGGTATATATGTTTCTTGCTTTTTGTTTTTAATTTGTTAATTTAAAAAATGTGCTTTTAGAAATCATACTCTTCACCATGATTGAATAACTAAAACTGTATTAGCTCTCCTATGGTAAATAACTAGAAAATTAGACAATGTATGAAACAGCTGTTCTCAGATGTTGGTTAAATAACAGAGAACTGCGATCCCTAAGAGAAGACCAAATGATTTGATCTCTAAAACTGCTTGGCTTTCTGCTTGAAAATATTTACCAGACCCCCTGACTGGGAGGTAGAACCCACACAGAGGACAGATGATGAGGGCGAGGGCTTCAGTGAGTTGAGGACACAGAGAACGGAGTTCAAATTGGCTAAAGCAGCTGAAGTCTTTAGTGGAGAACAAAAAAAGGCTACATATAAGAAATAAAGTTAAACTAATCCTAGAACAAAGGTTACTTTAGTTGCATACTGACAAAGCTTTTAAAAAGCCTCAAGAAGTTAAGCTGATCTGCAAGTAAGTTAACTGTCCAGCAAAATGAAACTCAATACTCAATAGTAAATAACAAAATACAGTCATTCAGCAATGTCACATTCATAATATCCAGCATCCAACCAAAAAGTACTAGGTATGGGAAAAAGTCAGGGATTGCAACCTATCATAATCAGTGGAAAAATCAGCCAATAAAAAGAGGTCCAGGAATAATAGAGATGACAGAATTTGTAGACCAAGGCTTTTTTTTATTATTATTATTTTTTCTGAGATGGAGTCTCACTCTGTCACCCAGATTGGAGTGCAGTGGCGCCATCTCATTGCAGAGGTCATTGCAACCTCTGCCTCATGGGTTCAAGCAATTCTCCTGCCTCAGCCTCCTGAGTAGCTAGAATTACTGGTGCTTGCCACATGCCCAGCTAATTTTTGTATTTTTAGTAGAGACGAGGTATTACCATGTTGGTCAGGCTGAACTCCTGACCTCAAGTGATCTGCCTGCCTTGCCCTCCCAAAGGGCTGGGATTACAGGTGTGAGCCACTGTGCCCAGCTGACCAAGACTTTTGAAGAGCTATTGTAAGTATGTTCAGTATGCACAATAATTCAAAGAAAAATATGTAATATTGAAGAGTAATGGAAACTATGAAAAATCAAATTTCACAGAATAAAATATGTAAAATAGAAATAGAAAAAATATATATAATAACTGTAATGATAAAGTCACAGAATAGAAAAATATACATAATATCTGTAATGACAAATTCACTGAACTGATTTACAAACACTTTAGATATTGCAAAAGAAGTCTGTGAACTTGAAGGAAAGCTAATATAATAGAAACTGACTGGATTCTAAAAAGAAAATAGGCTAAAAAAATGAACAGACCATAACTGTCCCATGGGAAATACCTGGTAGAGTAACGTATGTGTAACTAGAATTCCAGAAATACGGGTGGGGGCATACAAATTATTTGAAGACATTGTGCTCAAAATTATTTCCAAATTTGATACAGTCTACAAACATAAACAAATCTAAAAAATGCAATGAAATCTAAGCCAAATAAGCATAAAGAAAGCCATACAAGGTACATTATAATCAAACTGCTGGAATCCAATAATAGGGAATAACAATCTTGAAAGTGCCTAGAGAGAAAAAAGCACGTTAAAACAGGGGTAAAAGATTTAACAATTCACTGGATATACCATCAGAACTAATACAAGCCAGAAGATGATAAAATATCACATTCAGAGAAAGAAAACAAAGCAAACAAAAAAATCTCGAATTCTATATCCAGTGAAAATATCCTTCAGAGATGAAGGCAAAGTAAAAATATATTCAGACAAACAAAATTTGAGAAATGTCAGGAGACTTACTCTATTAAAAAAATTAAAGAATGCTCTTCAGGCTGAAATAAAATGGTTCAAGATGGAAAGTGGTGTCTATGTGAAGGAAGGAAGGAAGCTGATAGTGGTAAATGTATAAAAAAGTATCGATATTATTTTTAGTATAATTAACTGAGGCAAAATGATTACAATGTATTTTGGTGTTTAAAATATATGTAGAATTAAACTGATAATAGGAAATGTGAAAGTAAGATGCATAATAGCAAAAAGGAAGGAAAAAGAGGAGTATACTGTTTTAAGGAGCTTACATTATATATAAAGTGGTATAAATAATTTGTAAGGAGGCTGTAATAAGTTAAAAATACATACTGTAAATGCTAGACAATCCATTAAAAATATAAAGCAAGAATTATAGCTAATAAGCAAGTAAAGAAGACACTGGAATAGTAAAAAGTGTACTCAGTCCAACAGAAGCCAGAGAAAAAGACACAAAGGAATTAAGAAGAGATGGAACAAATAGAAAACAAATTCAGTATGGCCAAAATTATATTATGTTTAAGTGGACTAAGGACATTGGTTAAAAGAGAGATTGTCAGGCTAAAGAAAACGAAAAATCTCACAGTATTCAAAGAGCTTTAAAAATACATTGGTTAAAATAAAAGAATGGAAAAAGATGTAGCATGCAACACTAAATATTAAAAAAAATGGATTTAATGATTTTTTTTTTTTTGAGATGGAGTTTCGCTCTTGTTGCCTAGGCTGGAGTGCAATAGTGTGATCTCAGTTCATTGCAACCTCCGCCTCCCGGGTTCAAGTGATTCTCCTGTCTCAGCCTCCTGAGTAGCTGGGATTACAGGGGCATGCCACCACACCAGGCTAATTTTTGTATTTGTAGTAGAGACAGGGTTTTATCATATTGGTCAGGCTGGTCTTGAACTCCTGACCTCAGGTGATCCGCCCACCTCAGCCTCCCAAAGTGCTGGCATTACAGGCGTGAGTTACCGTCCCCGGCCAATGGCCATATTATTAATGGATACCATGGACAAGGGCAAGAAATATTTTGAGATTTAAAAAAAGACATGTTTTTAAAGGTCATTTACATTAAAATTAATTAAATTTAAATTTTAAAATGACATAACATTTGTTGAGTAGACTTAACAATCCTAAGTGTATGCTAAAGTATCAAAATGCATGAAGCAAAACTGACATAATTGAAAAGAGACAGAAAAATCCACAATTTTAGTTGAAAATTTCAATACTTAACTGAAAAAAAGATGAGTATCAGTAAGAATATAGAAGACTAGAACCAAATAAAACTAATTGATATTTAGAGATTGTACTCAGCAATTGTATTAATAGAACACAAATTTTTTCAAGTATAAACGGGTCATTGGTCAATAGATGCCATAAGTTATAAAAGAGGTCTCAAAATTGAAATTACACTGAATATATTCTCTTATCAGAACAGATTTAAACTAAAAATCAGTAACAATATATCTATTTTAAAAACTAAAAAAATTTGGAAATTAAACAATCCATTTATAAGTAACTCATGAATCAAAGTAGAAATCATGGTGCTAATATGAAAATCTTTTGAACTAAGAATATATTGTGGAATAAAACTAAAGCAGTGGTTAGAGGGAATCCTATAGCTTTAAATTGTCACATTAGCAAAGAAGAAAGCAATGAAGTTCATGATCTAAGTTTCTACCTTAAAATGGTAGAAAAAATAAATATAAACCCAATGTAAATAGAAGCAAGAAACTAATAAAGGGCAGAAGTCAGTTAAATAGAAGTAAATTAACAATAGGGATAATCATTAACACCAAGAGTTGGTTATTTGAAAAGATCAAATAACTGATAAAACTTTAGCTTATCTAAGAAAAATAGACACAAACTAAAAATATTAGAAATAAGAGACAAAATATTATTCTTATAGGTATTATAGTATAATAAGGTAATATTATAAACAAGTTTAAACCAATGAAATTGACAAGGTAAGGGAAATGAATTAATTTCTTAAAGATAACAGTTACCAAAATTGACACAAAAAGAAGAGGAATATCTGAATAGCCATATATATATAAAACATATATAAGAATATCTGAATAGCCATATATGTATGTATTTGTGTGTGTGTGTGTGTGTGTGTAGATTTGGACTTGCACATGCCAACCAACTTAGTAACCATATAAGTCTTGAGAGCCCTGAACTTTACAGTTAAGGTAAATTGGTGCTGCAAACCCATATGAGGGTTTGATTTGCCTTATAAATTCTCAGGAAAATTGATTTTTCTACTTCCACTTAGTACTAAGGTTAATATAGATACATTTTCTTTCTTCCACCTTTTGTGGTGCAATTTCTCTCTCTCCACCACAATGAAGTTGTAGTTCTTTAGAGTTCTTGCTTTATGCAGGGCTCTCCTACTAGAGCTCCCACTTTGTAAAGGCCTTAGGTTTTGTTTTCTGTCCACAGAGTCCCTGTGGCTCTCAAAGTCTACACCTGCTTACCAGAATCAAGTATAGGTGGGTCTTTATAGTTAGCTTAATTCTCTGGCTTCCTGTTCCCACTTTGTTTTTAGTATCTAAGGGTTCTTTAATTTCTTTCCAGTTCAGAGGTGTTAAGGATTAAACATTGGTGCCCTCCCCCAAATTCATGTTAAAACCCTACCCCCTAATGTGTTCTTATTAGGAGGTGGAGTCTTCGGGAGGTAATTAGGATTAGATGAGGTCATGAGAGTGAAGTTTTCATGAATGGGATTAGTGTTCTTATAAGAGTCCCAAGAGAGCTTGTTTCCTCTCTCTCTTTGCCATGTGAAGACACAGCTAGAAGTCGGCAGTATGCAATTCAGAAGGAAGGCCCTCACCAGAAGCCCACCATGCTGGCACCCTTGATCTCACACTTCTGGCCTCCAGAACTGTGGGAAATAAATTTCTGTTGTTTATAAGCCACAAAGTCCATGGCACTTTGTTATAGCAGCCCAAAGAGACTAAATGACAGGTACATTATAAAAAGTGTTTTTTCTTTTGAATTTTGCTCATTTTAATTTTTTTTTAGTGAGAAGTTGTCCATAGTGCTTTACATACAAAACTGCGTGGAAGGTAAGTAGACCCATATGACCTTTTTGAGATTTTTTAAAAAACTCATGAGATGGAATGATTTTGCAAAGATATAACATAGGTCTATCTGAAGTATTTTCCATTTTAGGCTTTTTGATAAATTACGAACAAGACAATAATGCCAGAATCTTCAGAAAAGCAAATAATAATTGCAATTAAGAATACAGTTTAAAGAAGGAATGATGAAAAACAATAATTGTATTGGGAAGGGATTAATTATCTCTATAAAATAATATATAGTTTGATGTAGACAGGTTAATTTCTTTAAGAATGATCAGTTTGCCAAGGTTCTATTTTCTTTTCTTTTTGCTAAAGCTATTTCAAGATGAATATTTCCAATGACTTCCTTCCTATACCCAAAGGAGCCTTTAGGAAATGTGATTTATGAAATGCATCTATTTGCCAAGTCTTTAGGCCTGAAATCTGTGATTTCAACACAGTGTCATTTCTTCTTTATTCCAAATTTGCCCCTCATCCATGTGTCCTACATTGGTGTTACTATTACTTACCAGAAACCTAGAAGTCATCCTTGAATTTTTATCCTCTATCAACACTCACATCTATTTTTCAGCAAGTTCCATCAGTTCAACTTCTTCAATGTCTCTGGAAGCTACTGGGTGTTTCCTATTTCTATTCTCTAGTTAGGTTTATGCAGCCGGTCTCTTTCCCTCCAAGAATGTGTGCTCCAAGGCACCCTTCCTCTGATTCATCCGAGGTGAATTATTTTTTTCTGAGTCAGCAAGTAAGGAAATGTGTTTTTGAATAAACATGGTAACATATTACTAGTATTTTCAACATTGATTTAATCTCCAGAGCAGCATTCAGTCTGTTTAGGGGCATAGATGGTGTTTCTTTCTACAAGTAAAAGACCCTGCTCACTTAGGCCTAAGGCTAAGCACAAGGAGAATTTACGGTAACTAACTGAGACGGATATGTGATTCAACTTTTAAACTGAGTGGTCTTTTAAAAACAAAGAGTGATTGGAGACTTATGTTTAGAGGTCACTAACAGAGAAAAATGATGGGATTTAGTAGAATTGGAGACAGTGAGTAGAGAAGAAAACAGTCATTTCATGATTTATACCCTTCTGAGTTAATTCTATACAATTAGTTGATCACCCTGGTTTAAAAGGGGGAAAAAGAGGTTATATGGGATAAGTTTAAAGAAAATGTGTTCAAATATGACATGTACTTTTTAAAATCACAAGTGTTGCATGGACGACAATTACTTAAAATAAGAAAACTAAAAAGGAGGCAGCATGGTTCAGTGCCTAAGAACCCAGATGCTATCCCCAGATGCCTCGGGTTCAAATCTAGATTCACAGCTTCTTAGATGTGTAACCTTGGGCAAGAAACTTAAAGTTTCTGTTACTCTATTACCAGATTTTAAAAACTGGGAAATTAATAATGCCTACTTCATAGAGGTATTCTGAGGATTTATGGATGTATGTAATGCACTGGCCTATACTAACCAAGTGTGAAACATCTTTTTCTTAAACAAATTCACTCAAAAAGTCTATAATTTCCTGTGTGCCAGACTTTGATTTAGATATTGTAGACAAAAGAACAAAATGCCTTCCAGAATTAACAATGGAGATTGACATTAGAAAAGCAAGAATTTAAACAAATAAAAAATTCAGACAAGGATATGCAATACAGAAAATAAAGCAGGACAATGTAATACAGAGTGGCTTGGTTAGAGGTCAGTGTATACAGAGAAAAAGTAATAATTTTGAGTAACTGAAATGATTTCCTGATGCGTCACATTAGAGCAGTAAAGAAAGTGAAGGATCAAGGAAGACTGTCAGTTTTTACATGAACTACTGGATAGAAATTAGTGAATATGATGAGCTGAATAACAACCCCCCACCACATATCTATCTATGCTCTTAAAAGGTAAATATCATACAAAATATCTTCTCTGACCACAAAGGGATGAGGTTAGAAATCAAAAACAGAAACAGAAAATGCACAAATTTGTAGAAATTAAACAACACACTAACAACCAATGCAACAATGAAAAAAAAATCACATGGGGAATTAGAAATTATCTGGAGACAAATGAAAACTCAACATGCCAAAGCCATACCTTATGGGACACAGCAAAGGTTTTCCTAGGGAGAAAATGTATACCTATAAACTCTTATATTAAAAAAGAAGAAAGATCTCAAAAAAACAACAAACTGAATCCCAAACTAGTAGAAGAAAGCAGATAAGATTAGATTAGAGATAAGTGAAATGGAGAATAGAAAACAATAGAGAAAAATCAACAAAACAAAAGATAGTTCTTTGAAAAGATCAACAAAATTAACAAGTCTAGCTAGACTGACTAAGGGAACAAAAGAAAAGACAAGACTCAAATTACTAAAATCAGAAATGAAAGTGAGGCTGTTATAATCAATGCTACAGAAATAAAAAGGATTATGAGAGTATTATAAACAAGTTTAGGACCATAAATTAGATAACCTAGATGAAATGTACAAACTTCCCAAAACAAAACCTACCAAAACTGAATCATGAAGAAAGAGAAATCATAAATAGACCTATAATTAGCAAGGAGATTAAATCAGTAATCAAAAATCAAAAGCCCTGGACAAAAAAGCTTTTTCATATAGTTTTAGGCAAAGGTCCAACTTCATTTTTTTTGCATGTGGATATCTAGATTTCCCAGCACCACCGGAGAAAAAGACTGTCCTTTCTCAGTTGAATGGTCTTGGTACCCTTGTTGAAAATCATTTGAATATATATATATATACACATATATATATTCCTGGACTTTCTAATCTTTTCCATTGGTTTAGATGTCTGTCTTTATGCCAGGATCGTACTGTTTTAATTACCATAGCTTTGTAGGAAGTTTTGCAATCAGAAAGTCTGCATCCTCCAGCTTTGTTCTTTTTCAAGATTGGTTTGACTATTCAGGGTCACTTCCGTATATAAAATTTCACATGAATTTTAAAATGGTTTTTTGTATTCCTTCAAAAGATTTCATTGAAATGTAAATGTACTTAATGCCACTGAATTAACTGAACTTGACACTTAAAAATAGCTGTGATGGTAAATTTTATGTGATATATATTTTACCACAATAAAAAATATGTTATTGAGGGGGAAAAAGATACCCACATCCTAATCCTTGGAACCTATGAATGCTACTGCAATGGTCTGAATATTTGTGTCCCCCCCCATAATTTATATGTTGAAATCCTAACCCCACGTTAGAATTAGAAGCATTAGAAGGTGGAGTCTTCTGAGAGGTGATTAGGTCATAAGAGCGCTGCCCTTATAATTGGGATTAGTGTCCTTATCCCAGAAAGCTAGCTAGCTCCTTCCACCATGTGAGGACATAGCAAGAAGATGCCATCTGTAAATCAGGAAATGAGCCCTTAAAGGGCACCAAATCTATTAGTGCCTTGATCTTGGACTTCCTGGCCTCCAGAACTATGAGCAATACATTTCTGTTGTTTATAAGCTACCTAATCTATGGTATTTTTATAGCAGCACAAACAAACTAGATAATTACCTTCTGTGGCACATTAAAAAATTACAGATATTAAGTTGAAGATCTTGAGATGGGAGATTATCCTGAATTATCCAGGTAGGCCTTAAATACGAGGCCTTATAAGAGAGAAGAGGAAAATTTGGACATAGAAGGAAAGGAGAAGGCAAAGAGACCATGCAGGTAGACAATGGAGTGACAAGGTCACAAGCGAAGGAATGCTGGCAGCCACTAGAGTTGGAAAAGGCAGGGAATGGATGTTCTCCTAGAGTCTCCAGAGATAGTGTAACACTGCAAACACTGATTTTTGGCCCAGTGAAACTGATTTTGGACTTCTGGCCTACAGAACTATGAGGGAATACATTTTTGTTGTTTTAAGTAACCAAGTTTGCAGTAATTGTTATAGTAGGCATAGGACACTAATGCAGTGACATTCACTGTAGTGGAGAACACCAAAGGAAGAAGAGGTTTTAGCATGGAGTGGAAATCAAATTTTTTATTTGGACTTTTGATTTTGGACTTTCTGTTAGGCTGTTCTTGCACTGCTATCATGAAACACCTGGGACTGGGTAGTTTATAAAGAAAATAGATTTAATTGGCTCTCGGTTCTGTGGGCTGTATAGGAAGTATGGTGCTGCCATCTGCTTGGCTTCTGATGAGGGCCTCAGGAAGCTTACAATCATGGCCGAAAGTGCAGGTGGAGCAGGCATCTCACATGGGGAGAGAGGGAGCAAGGGGCAGGAGGGTGGGGGGTACATACCACATACTTTTAAGTAACCAGATCTCACGTGAAATCACTATTGTGAGGACAGCACCAAGAGGATGGTGCTAAACCATTTGTGAGAAATCCATCCCCATGATCCAATCACCTCCCACCAGGCCCCACCTCCAGTATTGAGGATCAGAATTTAGCATGAGATTTAGAAGAGACAACATCCAAACTATATCAGACTTATTATTTCTGAGGTACCTATGAAACTTTTGATAATTTACATCAAATAAACATGCAAAACAATAGAGCTAGATGTAATTCCCTGGGGACAGAATATAGCAGAGAAAAGATCAGGACCCAGGCCTGAACCCCATAGTATGGGAATATTTGGAAACAAAGAGGCTGAAGACCTCACAAAAGAGACCAGTAAGTGGCATCCAGTGGTCCTATAAGTGTTTAATGAAATGAGGAGAAGTCAACAGTTTTAAATGCTGCTTACAGGTCAAGTAACATTGGATTTGTCAACATGGAGGGCATTTGCTGACCTTATAAAAGGCGTTTACTGTAGAGGGAGACAGGAAACAGGACTGGATTGGTTGAAGAGACTGGGAGGTAAGAAATTGGAGACAGCATGAAGATGTCACCTTTGTAATATTGCCTGGCTTATTTAGCCACATGTGTCAGGTTACTAAAACCCATATTATAATTTAGAATTTTGTATAATTGAGAAATTCCATTTGAGATATCTATATTCCTTTCCAGCTTGGAAAAAAGAAAACATACATGCAAGTGTAATAACAACTTGTCTGCTATTGAATGAATGTATTGAAATTGTCTAGATTATGGCCAGTGTCTCTAAAAACTGGGTATCAGGACTTTTAATCTGTATTTGAAAATCTTGTATGATCTATTTGTACCATAGTAAGTAAAATAGATTAAATACCAATGCATATTTTGGGAACAAATGGTAATAATTGGTAATGAGTGTGTCACATGATAAAGAATTCCTTTTACAGTCCCCTTTCCTCAAATTTTTCTAGTCCTAGACTTCAACTCCTATTGAAAAAAATTCAATCTGAGTTTAGATTATGTATTTTTGATACTGCAGAGTAGAAACAATCACGTAAGCTGAGTTGTTTCTATATACAAAGGATTCCTTGTTGGAACATTATTGCTCATTAAAGAAAAAAAATAGGGAGGACATTATTTTTGTTAAAAAAATAGGCTTGAGAGCTTTTTTTGTGTATGTAAAGATAATACAAACACAGTGTTACAATTCTGGAAAAATGTCTGCCTGACATAATCATATTAGGTCCCTCTATCTCTGGATGCCAGATAAAACTTAATTTCACATGACTTAATTAGATTGAAACTTTAACATATGAGCACGTATATTTTGACAATTTAGTATTTTTTTCATATATTTAAAATCATGAATTGACCTAATTAAACTATTAAAATAACTGATACAGTACTTTTCATAAGGAATAGTTAAAAATTTAAAAATGTTTTCTTCATAGGTGAGATTTCCTAAAATGAGGCAAGAGAGAGAACCCTTTTCCATTAAAAAATCAAGTCCTTTAGTATGTAGAACATTACTTCAAAAACGCCACAAGATTTCCTGACGAAACGATCATTTTATATATATATATACATAAATTCATTTATAAATGCAATTAATATGTATATATGAATGTATGTATATATGTGAAATAAATATATTTATGAAATATATATATATATATATATATGAATATAAATCATACCCAAATCATTCAATGAGGTTTTTGTTTTGTTTTGTTTTTTTATCTTGGACTAACATGTGGAAGCAATTTTTACCCCTCAAAAACATACAGACAACCAGATTGCTTTTGCTCCTGGGAAGTCCTTGGGAGAGAAGGAAAAATTTTCCTACTTGATATGACAAAAGATAGTTCCTGGGAAGTTCAAACATAAAACTAGAAACAGATTGACTTCCTCCTCATCATAGAACTCTCAGGGCAGGGAGTTGGGCTCGTACTTGGATCTTCTCTGTGTCTGTAACACAGGTTACCTAAATAGCTATGTGCCGGCTTTTCCTCCACAACTTTGATTCTTCTTGCTCCAGCAGGTATCACCAGCACTTCTACATAACCTGTAAGAGTCAATAAAACATGAAATAAATCTTGAGTTCCTTCAAAATCTCTTTTCTTCATTGACTTGCCTTTTGTTTTCCTTTTGGTTTTGGTTATTGCTATGATATTTCAGTACTTACGTAAAGAAAAATTTTTATATATAAAAGCTGTCATGATTTCCAGTGAAGTTTCTTGGAAACATGTTGAGCCTACAGCACTACGGAGGACAAACAGGCACTTTTATTTTATGTAAAACAAACAAAAAAATCTCATTGATACCTTATGAATTGTGAGGAGGGAAAAAAAAAAACCCAGTGGAACAGCCTGGTTAGAAACACAGTGGATCTTGAAATAGAACAGATAACCTCAGATTTTGTTGTGGGAACTTCTTTAGGTTAGAAAGTGTGGGGAAAAAGAATATATAGCCGGAGAAAATATAGCAGGCCTGGACTAAATCCCTGGAGTACTGAAGTATAGGACACTAGAGACCAAGCATTTTCTGGAGGATATTAACAAAGGGTTTTGAAACCGATGCCGGAGACAGAAAGTGTAAGGTCGCGCCAAGCAATCTAGGGTCATTTCTGAAGATGTCAGATAGCTAGACCCAAGACATGATTAGGTGCTTCTCAGGAAACATTTTTCAGCAGATGTAGGGATATAATACTTGAAGAGAAATAAAATGATAAGGTAAAGTGAGATAAGAGAAAATGTGCAGAAAAATACAGACTCAAGTTTCACTTAGTGCAGAATAGTGAGAACAGATGCCTACTTTTGCTTGAAGTTATTTTCCAATTATATTAAAATATTGTTCTTAGTAGTTCTGTGAAGATCCATGTATCTTATAAAAGTCTACCTTCTAAGCTTTAGAAAAGGCACAAGAGCTAATTCCAGAGTTGTCTCCTGTTTATTAATTATTCATCTTCCCGAGACTGTTGAGTTATTTGGCGTATACCAAAAGGTAGCATATACCCCCCCTGGTGGTAGTGGCTGGAATTAGTGGCATGTGCTTTTAGAATCATAATTTCCATTCAAGAACACTGTTTATTTAATTAACTATTGAATTGCACATTTCAGCAACACTAAGCCATTCTCAGTAACACTAAACATAAAAGCACTGTCATTTTTTCACATGACCAAAATACGCAGCAATTAAAATGGAAACAAATGCATAATGGCTATTTGCACACAGAAGTCAGGTAAGATGATCTCTACCCTCAGTGAGCTTATAATTGAACTGGAAAGACAGGCATAACTACCTTATATAAATGAGTTGAATACAATGGCAAATATCATGTTAAAAAGGTAATATGCAAAATGATATGGTTAATTCTCTGCTGAAGGTTATAAACCAGAGTTGTTTAAGCTACTACCTTCAAGGCTTCACTGCTATTTTTATTCACAGAGGTAGGATTTTTTTTTTCCTTGTTAAAAATTACTCATACTTGGGAAACACTGTCATCAGACAGAATCACTATGATTCAAAGGAGAGAACAACTTATAAAGGAAAGCTTCACAAAAAAGTAAATAGATGAACTGCCTTTGGAGAATGGGTAGCATTCACATGCATACAGAAAAAGGATGAGTTCACTGTGTATAAGGAAGAGTAAGGGATATGTGGTGTGGTTAGTGGCACTTGAATAAAATAATTCAGATGGAATGAGAAGATTTAAGAGAGTGGCTCTATTAAAGAGAGTTTAAATGCATGCCCAGGAGAATGAATTTATCAATTTGAAACTATCAAACATTCTATAGCAAGGACCTTGGTAATTGGATTCTGGCTTTAAGAGGCTTTGACTAACAGTGATATCCAAGAGGAACAGGGATATAGTTGTGGGTAACAGTGTCAGGACACTAATGGTAAAATCCAGGAGTAGTGGAGGCTAAGGGAGAAAATCCAGAAGATACTCTGTAGAAAAAAATTTCTGAACTTAGTAACCAAAAGAAAGTGGGTATAATAAATATTGAACACAATGCTTTATTATTAGTTATGTGACAATGGGGCATCATTTACAGGAACATGGAAGTCAAGAGAGAAATCATCTAGTTTTGGTAATAACTGAATAAATTTGGCTTTGCAATTTGTATCTAACAAAATGGTACAGCGCACTAGTAGAAACATCCAGTAAGAACTCTGTAACATCTGGAATCTAGAGAAAAGTCATGCTATTGACGTAGCTTTTCAAGATATCCTTGCAGAATCACCAAGTTAAGGCATGGAAATAAGTGGAGAAAATCAAGAAGAGAAGTCAAGGCCTTAACTTTGGTGATGGTCATAGTTTTTAACAAAGAGATAAAAATAAATCGGGAAAAAAGATAAAGGAATGGGGCCGGGCGTGGTGGCTAACGCCTATAATCCCAGCACTTTTGGAGGCCGAGGCAGGCAGATCACAAGGTCAGGAGATCAAGACCATCCTGGCTAACACAGTGAAACCCCGTCTCTACTAAAAATACAAAAAATTAGCTGGGTATAGTGGCACATGCCTGTAGTCCCAACTACTCAGGAGGCTGAGGCAGAAGAACCGCTTGAACCCGGGAGGCAGAAGTTGCAGTGAGCAGAGATTGTGCCACTGTACTCCAGCCTGGGTGACAGAGTGAGGCTCTGTCTCAAAAAAAAAAAAAAAAAAAAAAAATGAAGAAGAATCATGAGAAGGAGGAGATCTCATCTGTTTTGGGAAGTGGGACCCTATGGATGAGAATATCTCAAGAAGAATTGCTGGTGAACTGTCAAAAGCTGTATGTCAAACATGAGGCATCAAAGAGAAAGGTGACTAAAGACAGTCAGTTCTGAGTGTCCCAATCAAGAGATAACTGTTAATCTCCGAGCAAATGAGTTCAGCAAAGTGTTGGGAGCAGATGTTGAACTTCAGAATATTAAAAAAGAAGAATAGATATAACAAAGTAGATGTAGTATGTGCAAATTCTTGTTTGAGTTTAATAGTACTCTCTGAGGTATGTTATACATTAGAACTATAGTTATATCTAAGTTTATAGTTATATTTACAGCGATTCTCTATTATTGAGTTGGGATGGCTTAAAGGACAGGTTAGACTGATTTTCAAGAAGAGAGGTAGAAAAGTATTAATCAAACACATATGAAGAGAGAAAGCCAATGACTGGGAGTTAAATACTTTCAGTAAATAAGCCATTTGGCACAATTAGCAGTGTACTGACTTAGAAGCTTAGAAGTTGGATCATGAAGCCAGTGAAGTCAATATCGTAAATTTGATCCTTGTGTGTACTTTGCACACAGTAACATCCTATTTTATAACCAGAGATCCCATTTTTAATCAGCCATCTTAAAATGTTGATAGCAATCTTCATCTTCATGGCAACAGCGAAGTAACAAACGCCATATTTTGAAAAACTGCTATGTGCTAATCATTATTATAGTTACTTTACAGAAATTATTAATTTTAACCATAATTATAGTCTCCAAGGTAGATATTACACTTCTAATTTAGTATGATGAGAAAATAAAGATAGAGGAAAAAAACACTTTCCAACACTGCATTGTCAGTAATTTAGCTGACCCAAGCTTTGAACTCAGGTCTGTCTGTTTCTCCTGTTCACTTCCTGCTATAATTCACTGCAACTATTTCCTAAAATAGAAAAAAATAGTTAACACTATGACTCCCCGACTGCTGTGGCAAACAACCAAACACGCAAAAGCTCTTACAGCATGTCCTCCTTATACTTCATTTTCTTATATAAAGAATAAAACATTTTTTATGCCCATTTTCTTCTTAGTATTTACTGGTTAACTATGCATTTCAACAACTGGCCAATATGTAATTTGCCTTTTATTCCTCTGAAAATTTATCACTTGGCTAGGCAAGTTACAATGGAAGACATGATAAAGTATTAAGGAAAAAAAAGAAAACGCTTCTTGAATTTATTTTCCAGCTCCAACAAGAATGATTTAGTAAACTCTAAATAGAGCACAGGGACTGAAAACACCCATGTGTGTTTGCACGTGGGTTACTCATACAATATATACAACGTGCGTGGCCAACTGGACAAACAGGGCTGTATGGCCTTCAAAAAATTCTAGGAAGTACATAACTGTAGGGATAAAATTGTCTCAAGAGAAATAAATACAATATTCCTGAAGTCAAAAGTAGATGGTGCCTGTGATAGAATTAATAACTCATGCAGAATTTTTAAAATTGAAACTTATACAAATTTAACATTTCATTATTAAATTAGCAAATATTAATGGATCGCATACTATGCTGATAATTGCAAATATGGTGTTAAACAAAAATAGCATGATTTTTTTTCTCATTGAGCTTAAGGTCTAATGGGAAATGAAAGACAAGTGAACATAAAATTATAAATCTGACTAGAGCTAAACGATATGGATACAGATGTGGTAAACATCACTAAAATAGTCATTAGTCATAGCAGGTATCACTTCAGGGATCACTTCATTAAAGAAATGATATTTGAACTGAGAACTACGTGATATCTAGGAATTTATCCATCAAAGCCAAGAGAAAGCTGATCGATACACATTTGGAAATTCCAGATGTGGGTGTGTGTGGCGGAGGCTGTTGGGTGGCAGTGGGGGTATGGTCAGTGTGAGCACCTGTAAGAACTTAGAGAAGGAAGAGGACCTTGGTGTGACACGAGGCTGGAGAGACAGACAGGGACAACACATGTAGACCTTAAGGTCCAAGCTAAGAATTCTTCCCTGTGAGCAATGTGAAATTAACATAGAGTTGTAAGGAAGAAAGTGGCCTTATTAATCTTTAATATTTGTAGTATCTTAGGCACTTCTGATATTTTCCAAATAAACATGCTTTTAACATAACTTACCTACAGTGAACAAAAGTAGAAATTAAAGTGGAATAAAAAAGGGATTTGAAATAGAAATCTAGGAAAATATATATTCACATAACTACAGTCAGAGTAAAAAGAGTCACTGATTTTTAATGGTATTTCTGTTTTCTATGCTTAGTGGAAATATGAAGTGTTACAATTAAATAAAGGCATCAGTGCTAAATGTGCATCTGTATTCTGTGAGCTGTTTCCAGGCATACTAAATAAATATGAAAGAATATTCTTTAAAAACTCTAATATGCTTAAATTTCTTTAGTCTTCCAAATTTTTTTGAATTTCTGCACTATAAAAAAAACTTCTGCCATCACAATCAGGCAGAAAAAGCTTATTATAATTAAATTTCTTAGTTGAAAGTCTGAGAGCCTGTTTCAGCTAAGTATTTATTTATTTATTTTTTCTAAAGGAGTGCCAGCAGATTTTTGATGTGTGGGACCTATCACCTTTTTTACCACTTTGAAGACTAAGAGTTTGATCTGCAATTTACCATAGGCCTTACTCATTTCTCGGCTTTAAGATGTTCAGTCTCACTTATCTTTTATTCTGCTTAGGCCTAGCAAACAATTTACATTCATACTTTAGAAGATGGTGACTAATTTTCTTTTCTGAAGGACTGTTTTATCTGGAATGAACTGTTTTCTCGATTACTCAAACATAAATGCCCTGTTCTTTGTATTAAAATTAATTCATATATTAGGCCTAGAATTCTTGTTCTTTTCAAAAAGAAATTTAAACTAGGAAAATGTTGGTATCTGTAATATAAGCATATCAATGATGAAAACAGCATATTTGGAGTGGGCACAGTGGCTCATGCCTATAATCTCAGCACTTTGGGATGCCAAGATGGGAGGACTGCTTGAGCCCAGGAGTTGAGACCAGTCTATGGAACATAGTGAGACCCCATGTTTACAAAAAACAAAATTAAAAAAAAATTAGCTGGGCATGGTGGTGCATGCCTCTAGTCCCGGCTACTTGGGAGACTGAGTTGGGGGGATTGTTTGAGCATGGGAGGTTAAGGCTGCAGTGAGCCATGCACCACTGCACTCCAACCTGAGCAACAGAGTAACACTCTCTCAAAAAGCACATCTATAATTTTAAAAAGAAAAGAGTATATTTGATATAAGCATATCAATCATGAAAATAGATACCAGTATTAAGGGTGCAAGACACATGCCCAGGTAACAGACTAATGTAAACACAGAAAATGTTTGCTTCTTTCCAGTAAGCTTAAGATCCTGAGTATAAAGCATTTTCTGTACATAAAGCACATTTTGGGATCATTATATTTCAGTAAAGACAATATCATATTTTGTTGTGAATTACTTTAAATGAATACTATGTAGATCATTCATAATTTCAATCTCACATCCCCTGAGTATTAGTATTTATAGATGAGAAAACAAGGGAGGATGAACTCTGCTATTAATCTATTTGGAACATTATCTCACATCTTCTGACGCCTCTTGGTTGTATGCTACAATGTCATGGACCCTCTGTTTCCAAAAACGTACTCCCTGATAATGTAGCAAAAACATTAAGAAAAAAATAAAGATGGAAAGCTGAAAACCAGAGGATTCCTATTCTCAATGGTTGCTTTAGGCTGTTACAAATCATTATTTTCCAGTAGACATCATTCTTTGCATTGGAGAATAAGGTCTGTAGAAACCTGATAACATTAGCCAATGCAAATTAGATTATTCCCTTGCTGTTCCAACTTATTAAATGTACAACAGATGACTTCATATTTGCATTATTGGGAAATGGGCTTGTTAGAATTTTTGGCTCATATCACATGTATTGTATGTCATCACAAAAATAATTTAATACCCATTGCAAGTCTTCAATAGAATTAGAACTATAATCTCTTAAGTTAAATTCAATATAATCTGTGTTCCCAAAGATTGCAGGGATTAATATTTATGAAAAAATAAAGAAAAATTACCTGCTCCTCTGGTGTGATTAAAATCCCCTTTAATGATCTTGCATGATTTTCCATTGCCATTGCATACACCACAATGATCTTCTCTTGCAAGAGACCCTAATAAACCATCACAGCCAACTTTCTGTAACAAGAGAGTGACAGCACATCATAAATAGCAGTATTCTTTTCTTGTTTTACTACTAATTTGGGACAAACCTAGTCTCTATAAACCAGATATATTTAATTGTAAAACTTATGAAATGTCATATTATAAAATGTCATTCTCTGGTGCAAGCTAATACACAAGCCAATGTCAAATAACATAATCTGTAAAATTACCAAGATAGTGATGAGAGATAACCTACCTACCTTCCTTCCTTCCTCTCTCTCTTTCTTTCTTTCTTTCTTTCTTTCTTTCTTTCTTTCTTTCTTTCTTTCTTTCTTTCTTTTTCTTTCTTTCTTTCTTTTTCTTTCAGATGGGGTCTGGTTCTGTCACCTAGGCTGGAGTGCAGAGGCTCCATCTCGGCTCACTGCAACCTCTGCCTCCCAGGCTGAAGCCAGCCTCCCACCTCAGCCTCCCGAGTAGCTGGGACTATAGGCATGCGTCACCATGCTGGGTTAATTTTTGTGTTTTTTTGTTGAGACAAGGTTTCACCATGTTGCTCACGCTGGTCTCGAACTCCTGAGCTCAAGTAATCTGCCTGCCTTGGCCTCCCAAACTGTTAGGATGATAGGTGTGAGCCACTCTGACCAGCTTAGAGTATCTTTTATAGTAAGTATTAAATGATACCATAAAGTAATTTGGAAAAAATATTATTGAGAAAAATGCAATTTACATAAGTCTCAAAGGAAATCACATTTCTATTAAATACAACATGATTAGTTTAATTTCTTCTACTCAACAAGGAACAGATATACTTCACTATATGGATGGCTTAACTTTTAAAGTGATTGTAAAGTAAGTGCTAAATGGTAAATATTAACTTTCTGGAAAACTGAACATAGATGTTTATTTTTACTACAGTTCATGAATCAACTGTAGTTTATCCATCCCTATCTCCTTTGGCACCTAGCACATGAATGTGAGTAAGAACTCCTCACAACCTATGGCTGCTTTAAGAAAATATGAACAGTTGGGGAATTAATTTTTATAAGCCCCCAGAAGAATTTCGTTCATAGGAATCTTCTAAGGCCAAATCAATTGCCTCTTTTCTTGTAAATAATGTTTACTTCCCATTGATGAGGCAAAGCTGTACATACTCAAAGGGCAGGATTTAGTATGTCAGTACTGTCAGAAATAAATGGTAGTATTACATAATTCCTCCTAATTAAGAAGGATTTGGAACAGAGACTGATGATACATCCATTTATAATAGGTTCCAATTATTTTAGAGGAAATTTTAAAATATTAAATACAACTGAAACAAAAACAGAATCTTTGTGACTGGTGCTGCTGGTGTTGGGGTGGGGGAAGCTAGCAGATTATTAAATGCAGCCGCAGGATGAATGTGCTGGGAGCAAAAGTCACATTAAAACTGCACAATACAGCATTCCTTCCTTTTGTCAAGCGGGGCCTATCAGTGTCAAGAGGTACAAAGTGTTAGCACAAAACTCTGATCAGCAAGTCAAAGCTTATTCAGGGAGAAATAAAGAGAATGTCTAGATGAAAGAAGTAGCCACCACAGGAAATGAGCAGAACACAACCAAGTATGTGAAGAGAACATTAAGCAGAAGCCTGACCTGGGAGTCCTGGATTGAGAAGAAAAGTCTTTCCATGTTCCAATGGGGAAAAAGCTGAGGAGAGCTAGAGTACTTTTGAAATGATAAAAGTATCTTTATTGCTCTATCCCTGGTACCCAGATTGCCTCTTGGCAAATGGTGAGAAAACAGTAAGTAATAGTTCAACTATTAAATACGTTGGTAGTTAGTAGTTTCTTAGTTTTTCCCAGTCCTTTAACTAGGATATTACAAGGTCTGTAAATCTAAAGTAAAAGTAAGGAATAGACATATATACTACAGTTCAATAATCATATATTTTAAAAATAAAAGGTAAATATTTTGTATTTTATAATTGGTAGTTTTAAGTATGCACACATATCAAAATATGCTCACATAAATCCAAAAGTTGAAGATGAACTACTTTGAAGAGGCAATGCCTCGTGACTGGTAGCAAGTACCTGAGGTACCACTGGTGTGCGGGAGATACGCAAATAACATGATCATACAGGCTCCAGCCTTCCTTATCGTTTTCAGTAAGAGAAAATCACAGAACCAAAATGGGTCACCAGAGAAAGTTGTCTGCTTTCAATTGCCTTTCGTTCACTAAGTCTGGAATGCTACATTCAGCTTTGGTGCTATATATTTAGTGATAAAACTCTCTAGTCAAACCCCCAATTGTTGAGGGTTGTCAGAAAAACTAAAGAGGCATGTTTTCAATTTTACTGAAAGACTAAATGAAGCATTTTAATTAAAAAGCCAGAATCTTGAAGTGTTTTAATGCCATTATAAGCCACAATCCATTTCAAATAATTCTAATTTAATTATAATCATCAGGTCCACATAGCATTTGTGCAAAATCTTTGTTGTTGTTGCTATAATTTTAATTTTTACCCAGGGACTCTGTAAAAATTTGGCTTATACAATACTGTTAAGTAAAAAGCATAGCAATTTAGGCTATTATATTTGACATGCACAATTTAAGAAATAAATTCATTTAAGACATACAATAATCTAACAGATTTATATATAATGATGAGATGAAAGCTCTACTAGTACAGAATATAGTTCTGAAAACAAAATATGTATAGGTAAAATATCTATAATTTTTAATGAAAAACTACATTTTGGTAATTGCCGTATTCTGTTAAGGAATAAAATAAATTAATATGTAGTCAAAAGACTGCTTCTTATGCCAATGGTTTTACATGATTCTATGCTTTAAACTTTATAGCCTACTGGCAAAATATGGAATCTCAGAGCTGAGAAAGGATTTAAGTTTCGTGTTGTTCCCAGCTTCTTACCCAGAAGTACATACACTTCTATTGGATCATGGATTGATCCATTCATAGCTTGAAATTGTTTTCAATTTTTGGCATTTGTGTGCAGGTATGTGTGTATGTGTGTGTTCAGTTGTGCATTTTTACGAGGAAAAAAAAATTCATCAAATTCTCAAAGGAGTGTATATAGCACAAAGTCAATGACCAATGGTCTACCAACTTTGTTTTACAGATTAGTTCATGCATGCAAATATATTTTAAGTGATTTGCCCAGTTAACAGTTTCCTAAAGGCTGTCATGGATGCAGTGCCACTCCACTCAGCAGCCTCTTTCATTGCCAAAGGATTTATTTCTTTCCTGCTTCTGGAAGGTTTATCAGAAACTATCTAGACTAAGGAAACCTGCTTTCCCCAAGGTTGTAGCCACTTCCTGGGGCAGCTTGTATCCAAACAATAGTAGATGTTGAGAGTAAATGGCCTGATTTTCTCACCAAAATGGTAACAACTCTCAAGCCCCATGCCAGTTTAAGCACTTCCCACAGGGTCAGCTAAGGTCTTGTGACTGCACCAGAACCTGATTTCACCCTGTGCCCAAACCTGCCTCTTCCTTATCTCCACATAGATGTTGATCATGAAAACACTTGGCATTAAACTTTGTGCATATTAATCTTCCAGGGAATGTCAACTTGAGACAGTGGCAGAACCATGACTAGCAACTGCTCACTTCTACACTTTGATCTCTCCACTATGTTCTTCATAATCACTTTAACAGGAATTCTACTTTTTCTAAACATAGATGAAAAGCACATACATGCATATAAATGGAAATTTTTTAAAAGAGAGAAAAGCAAATAAAATGTTTATTAAAGAAAGTTGAATATGCATTTAAAAATCATCTGATTCAAGTATATTGATGATACTTGAATATGAGTTATAAGGTCAATTTTATTGATTTTTGACTCATGGCTCAGTCTTAGACACAAAGCATGGAGAACTAGAGTGCTTGAATTTTTGGTCTGAAATATTTTGACATAAAATGTCCAAAGTGCTCCAATTTTAAACCTGTAATATATATATTACACAATCAAAATCTCAGATTCTTTCAGTTAGTAATAGATTTTATGGAGTACCAAGTCAAACCCATTATTACACAGATGGAAAAATGAGGTTTCAAAGTAAATCAGACTTGCTCAAGGTCACAGTCAAGGCAGGACTATAGCAACATCTTTTGAATCTAAGTCCAAAGCTTTCCACCATGCTGTGAAGCTGCTCAGTGGTCCCACAATTTTCCTTCAACATATAAATTCTTTTTTTTTTTGGAATGTCTTACCTGGCACCTGCCATTTGCACAGATATCTAATCCCTGATAGCCACAAGAAGTTCCATCCATCACTTTTTCTGATAGAAGAATAGGCTGTTCTTTTCCAACAGGAGAGCAAAACAAGGCACATGGTTTTTCTACATACAGAGTAGATAAAAAGAAATGAGAAAAAGTTACCCCATAAATATTTTTATCTTAAGCTTCATTTTTAAGAATCGTTATTGAGTAAAAAATATAATTCAATGCTAATTAAGTAATGTAATGTTAGAGTAGATAACATTAGAAGATTTCTATGTGCAATAAATTAGGTGCCTGGAGATGTTTAATGAATATTAATCTTCTAAGAAATCTGGCTTCAAATTACCTTAAAATGTATCATTTGTTATTTTATGGCAGAACATATCTAGCACACACAATCCAGACCTCCTCCCTGAATAATATTGGCACACCCCAATTTTATGCTCATATTTTTTTTGAAATGATATCCTCTTCATCTTTAGTAGACACCAGGATTCTACCTGTCTTTAAGTCCTGGTTAAGATTTACTTCATGCTTGAATTATTTATTGATGTCTTACTTCTAAATTTCAATGTGCTAGTATTTATTTCTATATAGTTGACATTTTCTAATTGAAAAAATGTCTAAAGGGAGAAAGAAGAGCCTCTAAGATGAGAATTCTCATGAAATTTTCTGTTACTAGGATTGTAGTAAGAATTGCATTTGTAAAAAACATTTCTGTTACTAGGATTGTTACTACAATGCAACAGAAATATTGTTTTGAAATGCAATACCATCCCATGAGAGCATCCATAGTTATGCGCAACTGCTGATGTGCTAGTGAGAACTCTGTCCCCTTCACTACTTATGCAGAAACCATGTCGTTGTGTACGATATCTAGGTTGAGAACTTTTATTCCAGGTAAATAATTCCTAAGCAGCTGCGAGTCTTCTTTGTGCATCATTGAGCAATCAGATAGGATGTTTGGGGTTAAAACACTTGCCTTTTAGGCTCAGAAAGTGGCACGATATTTTTAAAGTGCTATGTCCATTTCTAAGCCTCCTACAGAGGAGCTGCAGTATTTGGTAACACTAGTAATACTATTATCCAAATCTGAAACGTCAGAGCAATTTCCATGCTACATTACTACTCTATTGGCTTGATGCCAGTCAGGTCCTTTACTGTTTATTAAGCTTATATAAATAGAATGGAAAAAAGTTTAAAGTCTCTGACACTGATCTTCCCTTATGTCTTCAGTAAAGTTCCACGTATGCTGATGGGATTCTATAAATACCAAATAACAGCCAGAGGCATGGAACAGGGTATCACTTTGCAAAGAGAAGACAGACAGTTAAATGAACCTTCAGAAGTGAACATTTCAAACAGTTTTCACATGTGGCTTCTGAATACTGCTCTCAACAATTTTGGGGAGTTGGAACATGGCCTTTAATGTGCATGGTTTTGAAATTTTCCTTTAAGATGCCATTATAAGCCGCAATAAAGCATTTCCGTGTGCTCTCACACCTCAAAGTAGGTTATGTTTATTCAATGACTGCTTACTATGTCATATCTTTGAACTTAAAAACAGCTGCTATAATTGCAACACTTTAAAAGTGGTATATATAATGCTCTTTCTGGAGTTTTCATTGAAGAGAAGAGCAAACCAGATATATGAATAAATAATATTGAAAGGAGTTAGTCTCCTAGAAAATTCCATTCATATTCCAAGCAAAAATTCAGATAAAAATCTTTTTATTTCTCCTTTTAAAACATATTGCCAACACACTCTGCTGACTTTAGCTGTACAGATGACATAAACATTTGATACCACTCTTCATTTCTGGAGTATACCCTCAAGGCTGTGACACTGTAGTGATCCATGTAACATGCCATACTTGGCAGGCAGGTTCTGTCTTGATTTAAGAGACCAACTCTTTCCAAGATATGCAATAGACATGGATTTCAGCCAAATTTTGGCACACACAAAGTATGTGAAATACCTGAATGTTGAAGCCATGCATGTCTTTTCTCTAAAAATAAATGTTCACTGCTGCATTGCTACCCCACATTTAATTCTCCTAGGCAGGGATTCAAGTATTATATAACAGATACAGCCACTTGTATTTTAAGGTGTCACATGTTTTTAAAAGAATTGTGTATTTCCATTTCTTCCACAGCGCTATAATACATGTAGGCTAGTGACTGTTGTATATTTTATTTGAAATATAGACTGATGAGTTTGATTGATACGTGTTGCAAAATCATCACAAATGGTAACCTGCTGATTATACAAATAGGTATTGTGGATTATTTTGATGATATACATCACTTTGTAAGAGTCAGAAGTTCCTTTAATTGTGATTTCTAACAGCTTTAGTGTTTTAAATTCATGCCCATCCAACTCTGATTTTTTTTTAATTTGGAGAACACCTATTTTCTATCTCTTATTTCACACGTAAGTAAATGGGTTTCAAATAAACTTGACATTATTAACTGTCACAGCCAGTTGGAAGTAGAGACAGGATTAACATTCAAATAATCAGAAAATTTTCATGATGTGAACAGTCATATTGATTATATTTTTATAATAAAAAGTTACTGGCTATGTATTCAAATTTATTTAACAAATATTCATTGGACACTTAATATACAGTAGATGATACACTAGGGACAGACATTAGAGGGAATGCAGACACAATAAAATGTGCTATTACAGGTTGTGTGTGTGGTACTTGGAAGGGACACATAATTTGGAGGATCAGAGGGATTCTTTCTTCCTAGAGGAACTGACATACACTGAACCCCAAAATCAGCAGAAGTGTTCAAGGTAAATAAATAAAGAACGATGTCAAAGCTTGAGAAGGAAAGCCTATTATGTCAAAACCCAGCTGGTATAAAGGCCCAAAAATAAGAGAGCAGATGTATCTAAGGGGTGGAATGGAAGTCAGCCTGGCCATATAGGATTCTATAAAAGAGAATGATGGAAATGAGGCAGGAGAAGTTAAAGGGGGCAGGACACAGAAATATCCTTATAAATCAGGTGATCAAGTTTGTGCAACTGAAAAGCAAGTGTTACCTTCAATGATATGGGACACACTAAAGAGGATCAAATGGACATGAATAGGAAGGGTTATGATCATGAGTTTGGTCTTAAACCTGCAGATATCCAATTAGATATATCAACAAGGGAGTTGTACATACAAGTTTGGAGCTCAAATGGAAAATCTAGTTGAAGACGTAAACTCATGTATTATTTGCATATTTGAAGTCATAGGAATAGATAATATCACCTAAAAAGAAAATGCACAGTGAAAACAGAATAGTGTTTGAAGTAGGCAGAAGGAGAACATACCAGAGATGTAGTAGGAAAGCCGGGTAGGTGTTAACAACACAGCAACCAAGCAGGGCACACGAGTGTTCCAAGAACCATGGGGGTGGGCAGCCACCTTAATGTATTTAAGAGTCAACTAAGAAGAGGATGGGAAACTATTTATTAGGTTTTGTTTCCATGAGACTCCTGGATGACATTAGAAAGACTTGTGTTGGTGGAATCCAGATTGAAGGGAAAAACACAAAGGGCTGGGATATAGGCAGGTCTTTTGAGAAGGGTGGTTGTGAGGAGAGAAACATGTAGGTGCACCAGCTCAAGATGGCTATGATCTTGAGGGGAAGTTTTTATGTTTTAGTGGGAGAGTCTTAAATATGTTAAAAAATTAAATGTGAATGATCCAAAACAGAGAAGATTAACTATATGAGAGAAAGTGGGGGTAATCAATAAGATAGCTGAAAGAGGAAGATGGGGATGGCATCAAGGCCACAACTGGAGGGACTGGCCTTGGAAAGGAGGAATTAAAATTCTGCCATATAGCAGAAAGCAGATGAAGTATCCTACGTTAGGCTAACGTGTCTTGATAGCAGAAAATAAGGAGGTAATCTGGTGGCTGCTATATTTCCCCCCACCACCACTAGTAGTGGAATAATCTGCCCTATTGTTTGGCTGTTTCCATTAGTGCTTGTATGTAGGTGCTACTGTGAGAAAAGGGTTTCATCAGATGGGGGCACTGAAATGGACAGGCAATGGAGTTTAGGTTATTGAGAAGAGTGTAACTGGAATGATGGAAAGCAAAGTTCAAATTGACTAAGGGGAGAAAAGAGAGACTAGTGGCATCATAACCAATGAAATCAGATGATCTGTCACCACTTTTGGTGGCTGCAACTCAGCCCACACCCACAGCCCACTCACCATGGGCAAGTATTATCATTTTTCTTTTCTTTGAGACAGGGTCTCACTCTGTCACCCAGGCTAGAGTAAAGTGGCACCATCTTGGCTCACTGTAACCTCTGCCTCCTGGGCTTGCCTCAGCCTCCTGAGTAGCTGGGACTACAGGCACATGCCACAACACCCAGCTAATTTTTTTTTCTGTATTTTTGGTAGAGACAGGGTTTTGCCATCTTGCCCAGGCTGGTTACAAACTCTTGAGCTCAAGCAATCTGTTTGCCTTGGCCTCCCAAAATGGTGAGATTACAGGTGTGAGCCACCTTGCTTGGCATATCATTCTTAACTAATAAGGCAGCATACAATTTTCTTAAAATTCTTATTTTGAAATAATTAAATATTTGGAATAACTTGCAGAAATAGTACAGAGAGTTCCCACCTACCTTTCATTCAGTTTCTCCCCATGGTTATACCTGAGCAACTATAGAACTACAGCAAACCCAGGAAACTGGCATTTGTACCTGTGTGTGTATAGCTGTACGCCATTTTATCACATTTGTAGATTTGTGCAACCACTGCCGCAATCAAGGTCTGAAACTATTCATTAGCACAAAGATCTTCCTCATTCTACCCCTTTATAGTAATACCCATCCCTCTCCCCACCACCATCCCTAATCCCTGGCAACCACTAATTTGTATGAATTTGTTTTCCATCTCTATAATTTTATAATTTCAAGAATATTATCACATGAAATCACATAACATGGGACCTTTTGAGATTGGCATTTTTCACTCAGCATAATGCTCTGAGATCTATCAGGTTGTTGCATGTATTAATAGTTTGCTCCTCTTTAGTGCTGAGGAGTATTCCATCACTCAGGAGTATGATTTCTGTATTGTTAGTGTATGTTTAGTTATTTACAAAACTGTCAAACTATATTTTCCAAAGTGGCTGCACGATTTTACAATCCCACCAAGCAATGCCTGAGAGATCCAGTTTCTCCTTATCCTCACTAGCAGTTAGTGTTGTCACTGCTTTGTATTTTAGTTGTTCTAATAGGTATGGGGTAACAGCTCCTCATATTTTTAAAATATATTTTTGTCAGTGCTTGTGGTTATTATATGTCCATACAGGTAGAAAAAATTAAAGTTCAGAAATATTTTGAAGATAATAGGTAAAATAATCTGACTATTGTAAAAACACTTCGCAAACCTAGAAATCTAGTTAACAAAGATGGTGGTGATCTGGTTGGTCATACCTTCATCCAGGACAGCTTGCCACTGAAGTATATGCTTTGGGGAGGAAGTTCTAACACTATAAGCCTGACATTGCCAGTCTCTGAATCCAGGCAAACCTGCAGGACAAGGTGGATTCTCACATATTCTGTATTGTTTTCTGGGACCATTACAATCCCTTGCTTCAGAATCTAGCCTAGAAAAGAAAGTACAAATAATCAATTTTATGTTTTTTATGTTAACTACCTAGGTTTTAAATTAAAAGCCATTATATTAATAATATATAACCCCTTATATTATATTTACTTTTGAAAACTTGGACACATTAAATGATAGTAGTAGCAAATTCATATATTTATTTCTTTAACTATATATATTTTCTAATCCTTGATCAATATACCTTCCAAAATATATGAGGAATAAAATCCCACTTGCCATGAAAATGATACATTAGAGTAAAGGGCAGAAACTGAAGGGAAAATAGAAAGCCTTCAAATGCCCATTAAGAAATTTGGTTCTTAGAATTTTTAAGGAGGTGTTTTTACATAAATTCATATAAATTCTTTAAGACTGCATGTGACCTCTACACCAATAGAGTTTAAAGCTCACAAGCTGGAATGACTTTCTCATACTTTGCTAGAATTCCTCTAGGAATAATGGGGTTGAACAAGCTGATCCCATAATAATTCCTGTCTGTACCTGTGCTTAGCATGTTTCTGTTTTTCGTTAGTCTTAGCTTTTGCTGTCATTAATTTTGTTCTCATTCTCTTTCTTATCATCCTTCTGCTCTTCTCCCAGTTCCTGTAAATGTTCACATAATTTTTCTAATACACATCTTCCTGTTTATTGAAATATTTTATAGATTTACTCAAGAAATAACCTTTTATAGCTTTCATTACTTATTCTTAGAAGGGTTGGTCTTTATTTTCTTCTTAAAGGCAGTTTTTATATAAAATAAATAATTTGAAGGACTTTTCTGTTTTCCAACGTGAGTAGAGTTTGAGGAGCTTCTTTTGCTTTCCAACATGCTTTATCAGTAAAACCTTTGCATTCCAAAATTGAAAAGTGCCCTCCCCCAACCAGGAACTTTGAGTTTACCCAGGACATTTGCGCTCTCGACTGCTGATCCCAGCACTGCAGGTTCGGCTACAAGGACTCCACAGGCTCCACTCTCCGGCCAGATGTTCAGGTGCTGAGGTCCTGCTGGTACATTCTCCAGCCTTACACCACTATTCCAAAAGTTATGTCTTAGGTGAACAAATCAGGGCACAACTGAAAATCATTCGCTGGCCTATAATGTCACTGGAATTGCAATTAAATCAGGTCTACTAGAGCCACAAACATGGGGAATTAGGAAAGACCAAAAATAAGTTGGCACTTGTTTTTTGTCATAGTAATATAATTGCCCAGTTCTCACAGATACAGTCTTGTTGGGAAAGCAGTGCGCAGATATTTGTTACTATAGCCCTAAGAATTCAGTTTTTGTGATGGAGACAGGGTAAAGATTATGGGTAGGGAATCTGAGGTTGCACAACCAGGAAAGAAAATCCAACACATTTAAGAAACCGATAATAATTTAAAAGGGACAAAAAAATCAGAGTAATATATAAGAATGGAAACAAGAAATAAATGTCCTACGTCAAAGCAGACATTTTTAGCAAATTTAGTAATTTTCGTATGAAATGTCAGTGACTCAGGGTACTTTTTTAACTTGTAGTTTTTAAAAAGTACTGTTTGATTTTAGCACTTTCCTTTATGCTTTTTTTTTTTTTTTTTTTTCTGAAAGAATTCCCATCAAGTTCAAACATTAACATTACAGCAAGTTGGTTTGAAAGACGTGGGCAATTAGATGCTGAAATTCTGTTATTTCATGCCAATTATTTTATACTTTACTTGGTATCTATTAACTGGTAAAGATAACTGGAATAAGAGAAAGAAGTGTAGTCATTCTCTTTTTTATTTTTATTTTATTTTTTCATTCACTGAAAACAAAAGCAATGAGAGAGATTGCTGATGGTCACCCAGGAATGGTTGCTAGAATTTGGGGGACAGGTTATTAAAATTTCTCCTCATTCCTGAAAATCAAATAGATGATGGTCGTAGCAAACATGGTAAGAGTAACAAAATCATATTGAGAATAATAAGTAAGATTACAAGCATTTAGATTAGTGATTGTATAACGATGAGGTTGAGTAAGTTGATCCTCCTAGCCCTAAATGAACTTCTACACTTAATGGCAACACAATTTACAAAGGATTTTGAGGAAATTACAGAAATGCTCTGATTCTCAGCTTGCTCATTTCTAAAATGTGAATGATAATCATAGTTACCTAACAGTTTTTTTTAGGAATTGAATGAAAGACTAAACACAATGTATAGCCCTTACTAAGGATTTAATAAGGGCTAACTGTAATAATAATAGAGTTATAAGTATCATTATGTTAATAATTTCAGAAATCTAAGCAAAATTCTGTTCATTCTGATATTTATTCATCTGTTTTTAGAATTTACTTGATAATATGTTTTTATTGCTGTTTTTAGAAAAGAGAATTAAAACTATACCATATAGTTTTGTGTGGGCCCTGTTAGTGCTTTACTTTTATAGGCCATAAAATAATTAGTCTCTGTAGATTTTCTCTAATAATGTCAACATTTAAATTCAACCTCTTTTAGATTCAAAAAGTTTTTAATCTAAACTTGAAAAACAAAATAAAGATCAACAACTCAGAGAATATCAATATTCTAAGATTCTCATTAAATAAATTTGGATTTTGTACAAAGATGCAGTTTAAAAATTGGAAAAGGAGGCCGGGCGCGGTGGCTCACGCCTGTAATCCCAGCACTTTGGGAGGCCGAGGCGGGCGGATCACGAGGTCAGGAGATCGAGACCATCCCGGCTAAAACAGTGAAACCCCGTCTCTACTAAAAATACAAAAAATTAGCCGGGCGTAGTGGCGGGCGCCTGTAGTCCCAGCTACTTGGGAGGCTGAGGCAGGAGAATGGCGTGAACCCGGGAGGCGGAGCTTGCAGTGAGCCGAGATCCCGCCACTGCACTCCAGCCTGGGCGACAGAGCGAGACTCCGTCTCAAAAAAAAAAAAAAAAAAAAATTGGAAAAGGAGAAAGAAACCATGTGAAAACTTCTACATTACTTACTTGTTTTAAGGACTTAAAAAAGTTATGCCATTCATGGAAAAAAAAATTCAATGTGAAAGTTGTCAAACTTCAATTGGTCACATTGTTTTAGCCTACTTTAAGGGTGTTTATGTTTCCCAGAGTGCATATCATACCTCCTTGGCCATTTAGCAGCAAGCTGGCATTGAAAGACTGGGCTAGAGTTCATAACAGACTAAAATATTCTGGAAATCACTGGGACCCAGATTTGTACATCATTTAAACAATGACACATCTGGCTGATGAAGAGAAATGGATACAGAAATGCAAACCTATTTGCATATACACATCAGTGAAATTTGAAGAAAGTACTACAGCATAGTATTTAAAGTTTGTCACCTTGCAGATAACCAGATGTCTGGATGAAGCTAGAGGGTACCTGCTTTTGTGTCTTCTATATGGTTCTGTGCTTCAACAATGAGGAAAGTGTTAAATGTTTTGTTTAAACTATTATACAATATGTTATATAAGATTATATGTAAAATAATCCCAATGATGCTTTCCATAAATATCATTAGGGATATTATGGAGAGCAGCATGATTTGTTTCATACAACGTTTGCATTTTTTAGCCTCAAAAAAGAAGTTATGTATTGTTGAAAACACTAAAAAATTGTCTTATCTACTAATTCAATCTGATTTATAAAAGTACTAAGGGATTATGTAATATAGACCACCTGGGGACAGTGCATGACCCAACACACTAATTATAGTTCTATACTCCTAAATTTTTATGTGGACATGTATAGGAAGTTCATGAAAACACACATTTGAAAGGGGTCTGTGAAGATGTCAAAGGAGCCTGAACAGTCTCTGATCAAATCTTGTACATATATTGTGGAAGAGAGAAGAGGAGGAAGGCAGGGAAAAAGCTGTGTACATATGCACATTGTGACTGTTAGGATATTACAGTCTTCATTGTTTCCAATAATAAATTATGATGGTAATTTCAAGATTCTCAATTTGGGAAAATAAATAACTAAAATATATTACATAGAATCCTTCCAAACAGTCTAAGGTTCTAGTAAATTGGTATTTAATGTCTCTTTCCGCTCTTTTCATTTCTAGTAAGTACTGTAAGTAAAATACATACATTTATTATTTTTGAATAAATCATTTGCCCACTACTTAATCTCTTTGAAATGTAAATGCCAACACATTGATATTTGTATTGTAAATTGAAAAATATGAAAATTATATAAAAATTATAAAAAGAGAAGAAAACAAGTTGTTTTCAATTTGCATTATGCTGTCCATAAAGAGTATATAAACCTCTTTGTTCAAAATCATTCAGAAGCATAGAATTCTGTAAGCACCTTCTCAGATGTAATTATATACTCTTAGATTAACTAGATTTATACAGTTTGATTAATATCACTAGAGTGTTATCAGTTACAAAATCCCAAGCTTTGTCTCTTGGTTAGCAATGTATTGAGCTTGCAGTGTTTGGTGTGAGGTTGCAAGCATTCAAATATTTTAGCACTACTGCACACAATGGCAGAGTGTTGGAAGCTATTTTCACGATGGCTTCTAAAAGAGCTGAAACAGATGAATATTTGAAGAAGCCCACATGGCCTGGAAAACTGAGAGGTTCATTAGTTATTTCAATATACAAAGCATTACAGAACCTCTAAGAGAGTTATCATTAACACAATTATAGGAAAATAAAACTTTTTACTTTTGTTTAGTAATTACAGTTTTAACTGCCAAAATAAGTTTACTTTAAAGATTTCAAGATTGCAAATTATGTTTATATATACAAGGGAAAAAATCATAGCAGAAAAATATTGAAGGTGCCAGATATAAAAATAAAGATATTTTTATATTGCTAAAAAACTAAAGACAAACAAGCTATGTGATGTTTGAGGGCTCATCGCAGTATGTTTGGTTATCTCTTAATATTACTGCTTTTGTGTTTCAGGGATGATAAAAATGATTGCTGGTGCAAAGTTTTATGATTCAAGCAATAAATTAGCACAATATCAGGAGACTTGCTTGATATACACAGGTTCTTATACTTTTGTGTATATATTTAAAAAATAAAACAGACCCAAATTCTGATGCTTTGTTTAAGCTTATAGGAAATATTTGGCACAGTCTGTAAACAATTAACTGATATTTCACAGAAATTCCCTCTAAGGAATCATTTTCTTATTGATAATATATAGTGATAAAATATTTCTAGTTTTTTTTCAAAAATAGTTTGGATTTAAACAATTTGTACATTTTTTCTTTTCTAATTAAAGAAATCATAGAAGTAATAAATCACTGCATGCTTATGTCAAACAATCCAGAAATGGCTGCAGAAAAGTTATATTCACCCATCCCTCTCATTGATGTACTCCCAGCCATCAATCCATCAATTCTACTTCCCTCCCAAGAGGTAACTTCTAATTACACTTTGGAGTTTTGTGTTTATATTTTCTTTTTTTTTTCTTTTTTTTTTTTTTTTTTTGTCTTTGAAACAAGGTCTGGCTCTGTCGCCCAGGCTGGAGTGCAGTGGTGCAGTCTCGGCTCACTGCAACCTCTGCCTTCCAGGCTCAAGCAATCCTTCCACCTCAGCCTTCTGGGTAGCTGGGATTACAGACATGTGCCACCAAGCCTAGCTAATTTTATGAGTTTGAAAATATATACTTGTGTGTGTGTGTGTGTGTGCTTTTGTGTGTGTATTCACATCTGTATACACACTGTGTTTTCCTTAAATGTCAAACTGTATTGTAAAGTATCAAAATTTCTGACATGCCTATCAACTAACAGCCATGTCTTATAGATCTCTTCAGGTTAGAACATATGTATCTCCCTCATTTTTTAACAACTACATTGTGACCATTTGTCTCCTAATGAATATTTTTATTGTTTCTCACTTCTCACCATTACAAACTGCATCCTTGCCTAAGCATCTGTGTGTGCATGTGTGAGTGTGTGTAGGTGCGTCTGTGTGTGTACTTTCTTAAGACGAATTTCTAGAAGTTAATAGCTTCATTTCTGTCCATTTTTCAAATCGATATGTTTTTAAAATAAAACTCCACCTAATTTCATGTTTTCTTCAAGTATTTCACCATAAGAAATCTATAGGTTCTTTACGTTGCTATTTATTTTCAAATGTAATACACATTCATGCTCTTCAGAGGCAAGCTTTCTGATCTTAACAATTGAGTACAGTGATAACAATTCTACTTTCCCATCACAGTATGCAAATTAGAAAATTATGTAAACTATTGATCTGTTATCTTTTGATTATGTTAACCATAATTATTAAATACATGTGAAATCCATCTTCTTCATATTCCTCAAAGGAAAATTAATTTTCAAAAGCAGTTATTTAGATCTGGAAATGTATACTAACAAATTTTTAAAGCCTTATGAAGTACATTAAACTACACAGACAGCCAAATATTTACTAATCTCCAAATGTCAACTGGAATATTTTATGGATGATTATTATATTGACAAAGAAAAAATACTCAGTTGCTCTCCTAAGTCAATTATTTTATACTTGAAAAGATCCATTGGCAATGAGAAATTTTACCATTTATGCTATTATTTGTGCTTAATTTACTTCTGTTTAAAAAGTAAAAAAATTCACATTTTTGCTATATTAATGCATATATATGACTCTCAACATTCTCACAACAAATAAAATAACAAATAAAATAAAACCTCACCACATTGATATTAACAAAACAACCATGGATTTTAAAAAGTATAAATGTTAAAACTGATGAAATACTAATATTTTTGTATATACTGTTATTATTCCATCAGTGCTAAGATGAATACAAATGTAACTGGCAGAGAAAATGCAAGATTCTCAAGTTTCATCTAGTATGCTCATTAAATTCAGACAACACAAATGACTTACCTTACCAAGGTCACAGTCAGTTCCATCCATTGGTGGGTCTAGCTTGGTTCTGCATTCTTTCTCACCTTCTACCTTGCACCATAATCCTGTGCAAATAACATGCTGAAAACAAAGGCACAATAACTAATAAGGGGAAGGTATCACATTTTTTTAAGTGAAGCCAATCATTGTTAAGAAAGCTATTTTGATAGAATAACAAAAATTATTTGAAGAAAAATATGCTTTAGGTAATTAAAATATTAAATCTGTAATTGAAATAGTATAGGGCTCATTTATAGTGATGGGAAGATTGATACATAATGATAGAAAAATCTATTTCATAAAGTTAAATCTTTTAAAACTTCCTTAAATAAAACACATATGGTTATACAAGATGATGTAGATACAACAGAAAAAATTAAGACAGAAATCATCATTTATATGCTATGACACATGGACCAGGCTGGAAGAATAAGTGTTTGTTTTTGTGTTATAAATTCAGTGTCTGCTGCCCTAAGGTCTATTCCCACTTATGCTCTGCTTTTATGCTTAAATGCCATGGTTAGTACTTTATTAATTCATTATATAGTCTTGACCCCTGACACAATATAGTCTTAGTGTGTATGTTTCTGTAAATTGTTATCAGTACTTTTTACTTCAGTATGAAGGATTTTTACATTTTCAGAACACAATGAAATTTTTTCTACGGAAATGTTAAAGGGAATAAAAAATACTTGGATAAGGCAGCTGAAACATGGCAACAATAAGCAAAGATAACTCTGAGGAAATGTAAAAGAAAAATTGTCAAAAACCTTAGACAGCTATAATTGTGGTCAGCTCAGAGACATAGATATGAAGAGGCCAACACACATATTAATAAAGACTTTCTATTTCTGTAAGGTGGTTGACATTTTTTAGACTCACACATATTGTTAACAATTGTACAGAAATATGAAATCCATAAAGGACATTTAAAAGTGACTTAAAAATTTAGCTGAGTGTGGTGGTGCACACCCATAATCCCAGCTACTCAGGAGGCTGAGGCACGAGAATTGCTTGAACCCGGGAGGCAGAGGTTGCAGTGAGCTGAGACCGTGCCACTGTACTCCAGCCTGGGTGACAGGGTGAGACTCTGTCTCAAAAAAGAAAAAAAAAAGTAAGTTGAGTATTAAATCTGTAGTGAAGATGACTGTGTTACTACCTATCCAGATACTGGGAGAAGAGAGTGGAGGAGAACAGGTCAATAAAGACAGAACAAGTAGAAATGGGGAAGGCATAGTTATGAAAAGGTGAGCAGACTGGTGCAAAGGGAGTAGGAATATCATGGGGGAGAGTAGTAAAGAACAAGGCTGAAAAGACAGAAGAGCCAGGAAAGACTAGGGACTTTATGTTTGTAGGGAAAAATAAGCCATTTAGCAGTTGACCAGCAGCAGATTGATAAGATAATAGGTTATTTTAGGAAACTTATTCTGGTGTTGGTGTTCAAAATAGACTAAAAATCACAGCAAAATTAAAGTCAACTTATGACCCAAATCTATTAGATATATTTGAAGAATATATTTAAATTGTAACAGACCTATTTGAAACATACATTCTTTCAATATATTAATATTTAATTACCCTAATACTTACTTTGTTGCAAATCCCAAAATATTATTTTCCTATACTTTAGATTTCTGAACTGTTTGTAAGCTTTTTTTAACAACAATTTACTGTATATTTCAAAATATCTAACAGTGAAATTGAAATGTTCCTAACACAAAGAAATGACAGATCCAATGAAATTCAAGTCTATGGAGAGAGTGAGATATATTTAATTTACCTTATTTTCTTTTCTGTGACTTTTTTTCCAGCTTCAAAATATGTCACACAAATATATCTTATTATATTTAGGATATGGTTTAGCTTAACTAGTGTGCTTCTTCTAACTGCCCATAGCATTTACCAAAAATTCACCTAGAAAATTATTGTAAAGAATGCCTATAAATCATATTGCCCCTTTGTAATATTTTAAACTATTGAAAATAGGCAAAGAGTTCAATTGTTTTTCATGTACTTTTGTGGAGACATTTAAGAGTATTTCAATTAACAGATGTCTAACCTGAGCATTTTTGATTCTAAAAATATTTCACCCATCTAGGAACTTTCTGTCAAGGATGTTTGATAATTATGGGGTCAAATGTTGATTTTTCTTTAGAAGAAAATTCAAAGAAGAATTTTTCTTTACTTGCATTTAATAAAACTTAGTTATCTCATAACAATAATTATTTTATTCAAGTTCATTAGTTAACCAATGCATACTGAACTGAAAAAGCAAATCTACACTGTAGTTTTGGAATAATGCTTGCTTGTTGAACGTTGTTGGTGGTCTACATTCTGCCCTTCCACCATTATCTGCTGCTATTTGAAACGGCAGGTACTCTCATTGATTCCCACTTGAGACACTCAGAGCATACAAGCAAACTTGGCAGCTTTTCAAAAGAAGCATGGTCACGTAGAATAAAATCTCTCTCAGAGATGTCTTTTACCCTTTCTGTTCTGCAGGTCTAGGGATCTTATGGTAAATAAATTACAGCCTCGGTCTTAAAAATAACTCAGATTTAGAAGTTCAAACCAAAATCCCACAAGTAAGGCAAGAAAATGTTGAAGAAATAGTATGGATAGTTTTCACCTTGAAAAGTGGAATACCTCAGATATGTCACATTAGAGGTACATAACAGCAAGCCCTTTCTAAAGGGCAGAATGGGGCATTACGGGTATTATATTAGAGACAAACACTGTCCATATGTTACACAGGCAAGGGTCAAATATTTTTTTCAACTTAGTTGCTGAAACCACTTAATAGGTCAGTTACGAAAATAACTCTATAACTTAAAATGCTTGGCATAGGAATCCACAACAGAGATGCAAAACCCAGCATTTTCTCGCAAACTAATAAAAATAATACGATATTCCTTTGTTATGCTTCTATAGTAAAAAGAGTTTATTAAAAGAATATAATATGTACTTGGATGTTTATCTCAAATAGGTTTTTAAATATTACATAAATGTACTATGTATTGAAATGGAAGGTTAATTGTCCTGTACAAATATTATAAAATTTATCTTCAGAGCTAACCTGTGCCCATGCCTTTCTTTATAGCAAATAGTTCCATTAAGATGTTCTGAAATTTATGTTAAAATAAGACAATTTTAACTGCGTATGCATTGAAGTAATAATTAATCCTTGGACATATAACTACCTTCTTTTCCCTGCATTACTCTCTACAATACATTTTCAATAACTTAACAGATTGCAAAGGAAATTCAGATATAAAATAAAATTTTAGAAACATTCTTTTCTAATAACAGAACTTTATTATAATTATTAGAATAGCTTGTGTGTGTGTGTGTGTGTGTGTGTGTATGTGTGTGTGTGTGAGACAGAGAGTACTAAAATAGGAAACAAAGACTCAAAAGGGAAAATAAAGCTGAATTCTAATTCTTTATAAAGACTAATATAATTGAAAATTAATCAAGCAAAAAGAGAAGGCAAAAATAAATACTATTAGGAATAACAAATGAGGGCATAAAAGATAACAGTTCAAACAGAAAATAGACATTATAATTAAGTCTATGCCAATACACTTGAAAAGTATATGAAACTGAAAAATAGAAACTAAAAATTTACTAAAGTGAAACCAAGAAGAAATAGAAAAGGTGAACAATTCTATAATCACAGAATAGTTAAGCCTGTTAAAAATCTTCCCACAAAAATACACCTGTCCAGAGACTAACACTCTTTCAAGGAACTTAGATTCTCAACACAGAGAAACTTTCTAGAGAACAGAAAAAGAGAGCATCACTTCTTCTTTTTAACTTTTCCTTTAGGATTAGTGGTACATATGAAGATTTGTGACACAGGTAAACATGTTTCCTAGGGGGTTACTGAACAGATTATTTCATCACCCAGGTATTAAGCCCAGTACCCAATCATTACCTTTTCTGCTCCTTTCCCTCCTCCCACCCTCCCCATTCAAGTAGGCCCCAGGGTCTGTTGTTTCCTTCTCTGTGTTCCTAAGTTCGTATCATTTAGTGCCCACTTGTAAGTGAGAACATGTGGTAGTTGGTTTGTTGTTGTTCTTGTTGTTTTGGAGACAGAGTCTCGCTCTTGTCACCCAGGCTGGAGTGCAGTAGCACAATCATCTTGGCTCAATGCAACCTTCACCTCCCGGGTTCAAGCGATTCTCTTGCCTCAGCCACCTAAGTAGCTGGGATCATAGGCACCCGCCACCATGCCCCGCTAATTTTTGTACTTTTAGTAGAGACAGGGTTTTGCCAAGTTGGCCAGGCTGGTCTTGAACTCCTGACCTCAGCTGATCCGCCCGCATCGGCCTCCTAAAGTGCTGGGATTATAGGTGTGAGCCACCGCGCCTGGCATTATTTGGTTTTTTGTTCCCGTGTTAGTTTGCTGAGGATAATAGCCTACAGCTCTATCCATGTCCCTGCACAACTTCTAAAATCTGTGATATCCAAACTAGGAGGGATTTTAAAAGAAAGTAAAAATAGTGATCTACTTCATGTATTAATTTAGAGCTGAGTATGCTAAACAAATTTCAACAGACTGAATCTATCCATGACCAAATTAGGTTTTCTTCCTCAGAATACAGGTAAGTTTGATATTAGGAATTTAATTAATATACTTCGGCACATTAATAACTTAAAATCTATGATTTTTATATCTGTGGATACAAAATATGTGATGCAATTTAACATTCACTTAAAAATCTTAGCAAACTAGTCATTGAAATTAATTTCTGTATAATTAAAGGGCATCTAAGAAAATCTATAGCAAATATGTCAAATATGGCAAGTTTTCTTTTCACATTAGGCACATGGCAAAGATGACATCTTGACATCAGTGTAAGGAGGTGAATTTATGATATATTCAAAGAGGCAAAAAAGAGAAAAAAAAATCTGTCAATCTACACTCCTGAACTCAGCTAAAATTTTATTCAGGTTTGAAGGTTAAAAACAGGCCCTTTCAATGAAACAAACACTGAGTGTTTACCTTCTATAGATCTGCCCCAAAGTTGCTTCTAAATGATGTTCTTTAAGAAAAAGAAATAAGACTTTATAAGAAAGGACGGAAAAGCAATGGTAAGCAAATAGACTGATAAAAATGAGGATAAATCTTAATAAACATTGACTACATAATGTAACACTTATTGGATTTAAACATTAATTATAAACCTTATTTTAGTGGGAAGAAATGCTAGAAATCTAGCTCATTTACATCCTAGAAACTTTATCCTTTAACAGAGGAGATTTGACCACTGTCCACTGAATAAGTTTGACATTCTCTCTTTCACCTCCTCCACTCCACATACATAGCTACTGGCAGAAGTTGAGTGATAGGCATAGAAAGGGAAATGTAACCCATGGACAGCCAATGCATGAAGCAGCAAGCTGCAAGGGACTCTTTCATGGTTACATCAGGAAGTGTTAAAGAAAGGGAATAAAAATAAATTAAAAGAAAGGAGAACTGTTAATATCTATATAATGGAGGCCCTCAAAGAAAAGAAAACAATAAAAAGAAGGAAGAACCTATTTTAAATTTTTAAAGAAAATGATACAGAATTAAGATAAAAAGATTCCCCTTCTGGAATGGTGGATTAATTTCTCAAAAAACCAACCCTCTTGTAGGTATCAACTATAAACTGTGAACAGAATACAAAAAACAACTTCCTGAAGTCTCTGGAGAGTGAACCAAGGCAACATACTTTTTGTTTTAAATTTAACTTTTGGCCAAGCATGGTGGCTTGTGCCTGTAATCCCAGAACTTTGGGAGGCCAGGGCAGGTGGATCACCTGAGGTCAGGAGTTCGAGACCAGCCTAGCTAACACGGTAATACCTTGTCTCTACTAAAAATACAAAAATTAACCAGACGTGGTGGCAGGCACCTATAATTCCACCTACTCAGGAGGCTGGGGAAAGAGAATTGCTTGAACCTGGGAGCTGGAGGTTGCAGTAAGGTGAGATCATGCCACTGCACTCCAACCTGGGCAGCAGAGCAAGACTCTGTCTCAAATAATAAATAAATAAATAAATTGAACGTTTAAGTTCAGGGGTACATGTGCAGGTTTGTTATACCTGAACTTGTGTCATGGGGGTATGATGTATAGTTTATTTCATCACCTAGGTAGTAAGCCTAGAACCCATTAAATATTTTTCCTGATCCTTTCCCTCCTCCCAGCCTCCACCTTCTAATAGGCTCCAATGTGTGTTGTTCCCCTCTGTGTCCATTTAGCTCTCATTTATAAGTGAGAACATGTGGTATTCGGTTTTCTGTTCCTGCATTAGTTTGCTAATAATAATGGCTCCACTTCCATCCATGTTGCTGCAAAAGACATTATCTCATTTTTTATGGCTGCATAGTATTCCATGATGTATATGTTCCACATTTTCTTTATCCAGTCTATCACTGATGAACATTTAGGTTCATTCCATGTCTTTGCTATTGTGAATAGTGCTGCAGTAAACACATACATGCATGTGTCTTTATAACAGAATAACTGATATTCCTTTGGGTATATACCCATTAATGGGATTGCTGGTCAAATGCTATTTCTGTTTTTAGCTCTTTGAGGAATTGCCCCACTGTTTTCCACAATGGTTGAACTAATTTACACTCCCATCAACAGTATATAAGTGTTCCCTTTTCTCCACATCTCATCAGCATCTGTTATTTTTTGACATTTTAATAGTAGCCATTCTGACTAGTGTGAGACAGTATTACATTGTGGTTTTGATTTGCATTTCTCTAGTGATCAGCGATGTTCATATGATTGTTGGCTGCATGTATGTCTTCTTTTGAAGTGTCTGTTAACGTCCTTTGCCCACCTTTTATTGGGGTTGCTTGTTTTTTGCTTGTAAACTTAAGTTTGCTATTGTTGCTGGATATTAGATCTTTGTTAGATTCATAGTTTGCAAAAATTTTCTCCCACTCTGTAGGCTGTCTGTCCACTCTTGGTGGAAACTTGATAGTTTATTTTGCTGTGCACAAGCTCTTTAGTTTAATTAGATCCCATTTCTCTCTCTCTCTCTCTCTTTTATTTTGCTTTTGTTGCAATTGCTTTTGGAGTCTTTGTCATGAAATCTTTGCTTGTTCCTATGTCCAGAATGGTATTGCCTAGTTTGTCTTCCAGGGTTTTTTACAGTTTTGGGTTTTACATGTAAGTATCTAATCCATCTTGAGTTAATTTTTGTGTACGGCCTAAAAAGGGGCCCAGTTTCAATCTTCTGCATATGGCTAGTAAGTTATCCCAGAGCCATTTATTGAACAGGTTTGTCAAAAATAAGATAGTTGTAGGTTTGCAACCTTGTTTCTGGGTTTTCCCTTCTGTTCCATTGGTCTATGTGTCTGTTTTGTCCCAGTATCATGTTGTTTTTAGTACTGTAGCCCTGGAGTATAGTTTGAAGTCAGGTAACATCATGCCTCCAGCTTTGTTATTTTTGCTTGATTGCCTTGGCTATTTGGGCTTGTTTTTGTTTCTATATGATTTTTAAAATAGGTTTTCTAATTCTGTGATGAATATCAATGGTAGTTTAATAGGAATAGCAGTGAATCTATAAATTGCTTTGGGCAGTATGGCCATTTTAACAATACTGATTCTTCCTATACATAAGCATGGAATGTTTTTCCATTTGTGTCATCTCTGATTACTTTGAGCAGTATTTTCTATTTCTGCATGTAGAGATCTTTCACCTCCCTGCTTGGCTGTATTCCTAGGTATTTTATTTTTTGTGCATGGCAATTATGAAAGTGATTGCTTTCAGCAGGCACACTTTTGAGGGAAACCGAAAACACTGGCACAAGGTTAGTTCATCATCTTTGCAGCTTTAACCTGATAGATGCCCACTATTGTGTCCTGACATTAGGTTCCAACTGGAAAAACATATCATCTTATAGACTCACGAAGACAGAAACTGAGGTGGTGAAGGCTGCCATAAACTGAAGGGAGTGTCCTGACATTAGGTGCCAACTGGAAAAACATATCATCTTATAGACTCGTGAAGACGGAAACTGAGGTGGTCAAGGCTGCCATAAACTGAAGGGAGATTTCCAGAGGGAATAGAATTAGAAGAGCTTAAGTCTCCCCTTGGCAACTGACCCATACATACACAACACGCACTACAAATAGCACAGATAAGAGAAAAATGAATTGATCTAAGATATGAGCTGCTGCCTACAATAGATGAGACAAAATTTCCAGTTTAAATCTAATTAATATAATTGCCTGTGAAAACAAAAAACAGTCTTTGAAGGAATATAACAGAATCCAGAGTCTCTACAACAGGGGTCAGCAAACTCTTTCTGTAAATTGCCAAATAGTACATATTTTAGGCTTCTTGGCCAGGTGGTCTCTGTTGCAACTATTCAATACTGCCATTGTAGCTTGAGGGCGGCCATAGAAAATAAATGAAAAAATGTGTGTCACTGTGTTCCAGTAAAACTTTAAGCCATAGTTTGCTCATGTTTGCTCTATAATATAACAACAACATTTCTAGTATAGAAGTAAAAATTACTGGCTATGTAGAATAGCAAAATGCAACCCTTTCTTTAAAAATGTAAATAAACAATTCAAACCTGAGATGACACATGTGTTATGATTTTCATAAAATTTGAAACTGACTCTATGAATATACCTAGTGAGGTAACGGAAATTGGCTTGTAATAAATGAAAAGATATCTCAAGAGAAAAGTTTAAAAAAAGTAAATTGAAACTTTCACTTTAGATGTGAAAAATACAATATGTAAAATTAAAAGTTGACTGAATGGATTTGAGCAGGATGGAAATGATAAAAATTCAGTAAGCTTGAAAATAGTTTAAAGGGAATTACCCACTCTGAAGGAGAAAGGGAAAATATTGAAAAATATGAAAGATTTACAGAAAGCTGTGAGATTATATCAAAAAAATTAATGTGTGTAACTATTCTCAGGAGAGGATGGAGAGGTAGGAAGGTATTTAAAGGAATGATCACTAAAACTTCTTTCCAAATTTGAGAAAAGGCATAGATTTACAAAATCAATAAGTTCAACAATCCTCTAATGGGATAAATATGCAGTAAATTATATGTAGACACATTATAGTCAAGCTTCTGAAAACCAAAGATAAAGAGACTATCTTGCACATAAACAGGGAGAAACAACAGATTACTTACAGGGAAATGACAATCCAAGGGCTATACATTTCTCATCTTAAACTATGGAGAAGAGAAGATAGAGGAAGGTTTCTGAGATGGTAAAAGAAAAAGAAAAAGTCAACCTATAATTTTATATCTAGTGAAAATATATTTCAAAAATTATGATGAAATGAAAATTTTCAGGTGAAAGAAAATTAAGAGAATTTGTCATTAGCAACCCAACTAAAAGACATGGAGAAGGAAAATGAAACCAAAGGAAAACTCCTATCTTCAGGAAGTCATGAAGAACAATGGAAAGGGTAAATATCAAGCTAAAAGTAAAAGACTATTTTTACATTCTTAATCCTTAAAATACATGCAATGTATATTAAGTAAAATGTATACAATTTTATTGTATGGTCTACAATGTACACAGATGCTATATTATATCTATATCTATATATATATATCATGACTATAGTACAGAAAAACTGAATGAGGAAGTCTAAATGAACATATGTGGTTGCATATTCCAATAATTCCAAATGAAATAGTACTATAATAACTCTAAATAGATTCAGAAAAATAGAGAGTTTATATTTTAATCCCTAGAGATGAGTTTGGCAAACTGTGGCCTGGAGACTGGCCAACTGTCTTGCTCATCCCATTACATATTATCTATGGCTGATTTGAGCTAGAGCAGCAGATTTGAGTTGCAACAGAGGCTCTGCTGCTGACAAGCCTAATATATTTACTATCTGGCCCTTTAAATAAAGATGTGTGATCCCAGACCTAGACCCAGATCAGGCCTCTTAAAGAGGTAAAGGATTATAGCTAAAAATGTAATAGATAAAGTAGGATCCTAAAGAGAATTCAAATAATATAAAAGTAAATTAATGGGGATCAGAGGGAAATAAAGAGTTAAAAAATAAATTATAAAATCTAGACCTAAATTCAAACACATTGTTTAATCAATGATTAAACATTAATGAACTACCTCAATTAAAAGGTTATAATTTTTATAACAGATGAATATCAAGACAACTACATGCTTATACTACAAGAGGCTCAGTTGAAATAGTACACAGATACATTTAAACTAAATAAAAGCATAATATACCATGCAAAAAAATAAACACACAAAATCAGATTAATATCAGATATAATAAACTACAATATAAAAAAGTTATACTTCTACCAGTGATAAAGAAGACTTTTTCATAATGAAAAGAAATGCAATAAGAAGACATAATGCATCAAGAAGACATAACAATAATAACTGTATTAGTGTCTTGCAATAAAGCCTTACGAGGTATGAATCAAAATCTGACATAATCGAAGGGAGTAGACAATTGCAGTCATAGTAGGATATTTAAATTCCCCACTTTAGCAATTATTAGAACATCCATACACATAATAAAAGACGATTTGTATAACTCTATTAATAACCTTGACCTAATTAATATTTATGAAACACTGACAACTGTGGAAATGCATTCTGTCAAATGCATATAGAACATTCACCTGGATAGATTATAAATGAGTCTCAATAAATTTAAAGAGATCATGCAGAGTATATTTTTGGATCTAGGAGTGGAAAGTTTGGATCATATAAGAGGTGAATGCTTAAGTGATAAAAAAAAAAAAAAAAAAAAACCTAAAATTTTCCCAAAGTGATTATACTATATTCCCAATAGTGGTATGTGAATTCTGATTGCTCTGTATTATCAGCAACAATTTAGTTTTTTCAATTCTTTAAACTTAAGACATTGCAATGTATATGCAAATGTAGGTCTTTATGGTTTTAATTTGCATTTCTTGATACAATATTAATGATGTTAAGCATCCTTTAAGGAGTTTGTTGGCTATCTGCATATCTTCATTTCTGAATTGTCTGTTGAAATGTTTTGCCCATTTTATTGTATTGCTTGGTCTTTTATTACTATTACAGGGATTATATATTTTGGACAACAACCCTTTGTCAGATATGCCTATTATAAATATTTTCACCCATTCTGTGGCTTACCTTTTCATTGTCTTAACAGAGTTTTCCTAAGATAAAATAATTTATTTTGATACATTTCAAACAATAATTTTCTGTTTTGTTTTTCTTTTATGGTTCATGCTCCTGGTGTCCTATTAAAAAAAATATTTCCTCTACCTTTTTCCCTGAAGTTTTATAGTTTTGTAGATTCCACATTTAGGTCAATAATACATTTAGGGTTAATTTTATCTTATGATATGATGTAATTTTAAAAGATGAATGTCAAATTGTTCCAGCACAATTTGTTGAAAAGCTTTTATTTACCCATTCAACTGCCTTGTTACTTTTGTTGAAATCAATTGTACACATATGTGAGAGTCTATAATTGGACTCTCTATGGTGTTCCACTGAGGAGTTAAGTCTCTCCTTTCGTCAACACCACATTGTCTTCATTACTGCAGCTTTGTAAGTCTTAAATCATGCAGTTTATGTCCTCCAACTATTTCATGTTAAGCCTTTTTTAAATCCAAATTCTTGTTGCCTCTGGAATTTTGCAATGCCAAATTACAGAGACTAGGCCTTCTATAGTTCTTCATAATATTAGGTTGGTGCAAACATAATTGCGGTTTCTGCCATTACTTTATTTCAATTCCAGTCTGTGCATTGGCTTCAAGGAGAGGTTTGAGAGAGTCCTACAAACTTGGATGAATCAAGTAGATACAGGAGAAATGTAAAACTGGAACTTTCCATGTCAATATTTAAAGTAATCATATGATTCAGTTATACTATAAACTTTTCTATCCATTTAATACATATGCAATTCATAGTGTGCCTAGTTCACAAAGACAGGATCTTAAGTTTCCTGGAGGTCTTCAGTTTTATCACACTTCCTTCCTTTTCAGAAAAAGGTTAACTCCTACGGGGCCACTTCTTACTATTTCTAGGGAAAAATCCTTCCATACCTCTGTATTTTTAGCCAGTCTAAGTAATTTCAGGAAGCTATTACAATGACTTGATGCAGTTGGAGCTGGCTCAGCCACAAGATGCCAGATGGCCTAAAGGTACCCAGCACCAATTGCTTAGGACTCAGGAACAAAGCCATCCAAGAAGTCAGCCATTAATTCTGCAAATTTATGCAGAAGAGTGAGCTATTATTGCCTGTGATCAACATTTTTCACCAGAATCTCTACATCTGTGCCTTTAAACACTTTGCAGATGTAAGTTGTTATCCTAAGGGTAAATTTATATCATTAATTAGATCAGCATTATGCAATAATGCTGAGCCTCTAGTGTTTGTGTTTAAATATCTGTTTATAAGTATGGAAGTGATACATCTAATTTAGATGCTATGGCCCAACTGCCTTTGTCAGATTCAGAGTTACCTTGTTTTTAAGATTTTGCCTGAAACATACATATTGAAGGTTGCTGTGAACCCTCACACTACAAATCTTGATGTTTATTTGTAATTGATTAGAAATGAGCTGGTCATAAGGATGCCTAATTGAATTATGAATAAGCTGTGAAACAAGATACCTGCCCTATAGCATAGGTAGGCTTTTATGTAGTCATTGCATTAATATTCTAAAAGGTTATCATGTTATCTACATGAGTGAAAAATTTAGAATCAGTACTCCATTATTCAATCGATTCACTTATTCATCAAATATTTATTGAGCACTTATTTGGGTGCTAGAGATACAATGACAAAAGGGCTGACAACTCTGCTAATGTTAAGGAGCTTACCATATAGGAGATTTGTTTTGTATAGCACTTAGATGACAGACTGCCAGGTAGGGTGACTCCACATAGAGCCAATTGAAGGTGTATATGTATGTAGCAGAACTACAGTCATGCTTTGCTTAATGATGGGAATACATTTTGAGAAATGTGTCATTAGGCAATGTAGTCATTGTGTGAACATTGTTGAGTGTACTTACACAAGCCTAAATGATATAGCGTACTACACACCTAGGCTATATGGTGTATCCCATTGTTTCTAAGCTACAAACCTGTATAGCATGTTACCTTACTGTATATTGTAGGCAACTGTAAAACAATCCTAAGTATTTGTGCATCTAAACATAGAAATGTTACAGTAAAAATACGGACTATAATCTTATAAGACCATTGTTGTATATGTGGTCCATTGACTGAAATGTCATTACATAGTGCACAACTATTTTCAGTCTTCTACAGTTATAACTATTTTCTGCTATACTTTTAAGTTATACTTCCTGACACCTTATATATTCAGGCATTCCCATATAGCTTCAAATAATGATGTGTCAAACCCTTTGGGAAAAAATATCAACCGTCTAATCTCAGCCTTCATTTTGCTCCACTTGTCTTCAGCTTTAAAAATTTTTTTTTATACTTTAATTTTAAGTTCAGGGGTATATTACAGGTTTGCTATATAGGTAAACTCATGTCACAGGGGTTTGTTGTACAGATGATTTCATCACCCACGTACTAAGCCTAGTACTCAATAGTTATTTTTTTCTGATCCTCTCCCTCCTCCCACCCTCCAGCCTTCAGTAGGCCCCAGTGTCTATTGTTCCCTTCTTTGTGTTCATGAGTTCTTATTATTTAGCTCCCAATTATCAGTGAGAACAAATGGTATTTGGTTTTTTGTTCCTGCATAAGTTTGCTAAGGATAATGGCCTCCACCTCCATCCATGTTCCTGCAAAAGACACGGTCTCATTCTTTTTTATTGCTGCATAGTATTCCATAGTGTATATGTACCACATTTTCTTTATCCAAACTGTCACTACTGGGCATTTAGGTTAATTCTATGTCTTTGCTATTGTGAACAGTGCTGCAGTGAACATCCACATGCATGTGTCTTTATAGTAGAATGATTTATATTGCTTTGGGTATATACTCAGTAATGGGATTGCTGGGTTGAATGGTAATTATGGGTAGTTTTTTTTTTAGCTCTTTGAGGAATTGCCACACTGCTTTCCACAATGGTGGAACTAATTTACACTCCCATTAACAGTGTATAAGTCTTCCCTTTTCTCTGCAACCTCACCAGCATCTGTTATTTTTTGATTTTCTAATAATAGCCATTCTGACTGGTGTGAGATGTTATCTCATTGTCGTTTTGATATGTATTTATCTAATCATCAGTGTTACTGACCTTTTTTAATATGCTTGTTGGCTGCATGTCTTTTGGAAAGTGTCGGTTCTTGTTCTTTGCCCACTTTTTAATGGGGTCGGTTTTTCCTTTTAAATTTGTTTAAGTTCCTCCCATTCTGTAGGTTGTCTCTTTACTCTATTGATGGTTTCTTTTGCTGTGCAGAGCTCTTAAGTTTAATTAGGTCCCATTTGTCAAATTTTATTTTTGTGGAAATTCCTTTTGGAATCTTTGTCATGAAATCTTTGCTCATTCCTATGTCCAGACCAGTATTGCCTAGGTTGTTTTCCAGGGTTTTTACAGTTTTAGGTTTTACATTTAAGTCTTCAGCTTTTGATACAGCTGATCAATCTCTCTTTCAAAAATATCCTCCTCATATTACCTCCAAGATCTTAATTTGCTTTGGTTCTATTCCTACCTCAATATACTTCGGCATTTTATTTCTTCTTTCTCCTCATTTTCCTAAACTCTAAATATTGCATTGACCTGGGTCTTAGTCCTTGAAACTTTTCTAACTCACTTGCAATTGTTATTTAGTATCATGTCCCCAATATCTTATACTTCTTAATGACTTCCAAATATATATCATGGACCTGCTTACATTCCTACTTGGATGTGTAATGGGCATCTCACGACATGACCCACAATGAATTCCAGGGCATTTTGCATTCTGTTTTCTCTTGCTGTATTCCTCCCAAGATAAATGCATAGCTTGTTCTCCCACTTTCTTCAGATCTCTAAACAAATGTCACCTTTCTAGGAAACTTTCCCAGGTCACCTTATAAGAAATAACACCATCCTAACCATCTACCTTGGTAGTACTTCCTGTTTTACCTGAGTTTATATTTCTTCTAAACAATTATCATCAACTAACATATTAGATATGCATTTGCTTATATTTCCTCCAACTAAAATGTAAGTTCCATGGAGGTAGGATCTTTGATTCCTGCTGTATTATTTGTGCTTCATACAGTGCCTGGAAAGTAGTTGGAACTTAATAAATATTTGTCAAATCAATGACTAAATATGTAAATTATCTTTTCCATGGTTCTAGCTACCTATCTATCGTCTATTAGGTTACTACACTTTACATGCTGTACTGATTTGGGACTGGAGTATAAGAGTGGAGAGAAAATAAAAAGGAGAACATTTCTGGAAACCTTAAACCTAAAACTTTATTAGCACAATGTGTAGTTTTAAAACAAGGCAACATCCTAGGATACTGAGAAACAGATTTAAAAAACCTAAATAAACAATCATATTTTCAGAGATCAAGGAAAAAATCTGTGCAGGTAGGTTATTGGGAAATAATCATATAAATAGAGCAAATAGTTTAGCAAAATGAATCAATTAAGATACTGGTTAAAACTGATAGTATAGGTGCTATAGGAGACAAAAAAATTAGTTTAAATATGAGATCTGATCTAAGGGTTTTTCCATAGAGAAGACAATATAGCATATAAAGAAGTTTGAGTTCCATAGGAGACTGGAGAGCATCTGATTTTTGGGATTTAGACATAATCTGAGTTTGGATCTAGCATTCTCTGTTAATAGGTATAAGAACTTCAAAGTATTATTTAACTGCTCTAGACCTCAAATTGTTGATTTGTAAAATAGGACTAGACAATATGGTATTTAATGGTTATAAGAATCAAATTATGGTTTTAGGTCTAACATTTAAGTCTTTAATCCATCTTGAATTAATTTTAAATGTTAGACCTAAAACCATAAAAACCCTAGAAGAAAACCTAGGTAATACCATTCAGGACATAGGCATGGGCAAGGACTTCAGGACTAAAACACCAAAAGCAATGGCAACAAAAGCCAAAATAGACAAATGGGATCTAATTAAACTAAAGAGCTTCTGCACAGCAAAAGAAACTACCATCAGAGTGAACAGGCAACCTACAGAATGGGAGAAAATTTTTGCAATCTACCCATCTGACAAAGGTATAATATCCAGAATCTACAAAGAACTTAAACAAATTTACAAGAAAAAATCAAACAACCCCATTAAAAAGTGGGCAAAGGATATGACCAGACACTTTTCAAAAGAAGACATTTATGCAGACAGCAGACACATGAAAAAATGCTCATTATCACTGGCCATCAGAGAAATGAAAAACAAAATCAAAACCACAATGAGATACCATCTCACACCAGTTAGAATGGCAATCATTAAAAAGTAAGGAAACAACAGGTGCTGGAGAGAATGTGGAGAAACAGGAATGCTTTTACACTGTTGGTGGGACTGTAAACTAGTTCAACCACTGTGGAAGACAGTGTGGCGATTCCTCAAGGATCTAGAACTAGAAATACCATTTGACACAGTGATCCCATTACTGGGTATATACCTAAAGGATTATAAACCATGCTGCTATAAAGACACATGCACACATATGTTTATTGTGGCACTATTCACAATAGCAAAGACTTGGAACCAACCCAAATGTCCATCAGTGATAGACTGGATTAAGAAAATGTGGCACATATACACCATGGAATACTATGCAGTCATAAAAAGGATGCATTCATTTCCTTTGTAGCTACATGGATGAAGCTGGAAACCATCATTCTGAGCAAACTATTGCAAGGTCAGAAAACCAAACAACCCATGTTCTCACTCATAGGTCGAAATTGAACAATGAGAACACTTGGACAGAGGGCGGGGAAAATATCATACACCAGGGCCTGTTGTGGGGTGGGGGGATGGGGGAAGGACAGCATTAGGAGAAATACCTAATGTAAATGATGAGTTAATGGGTGCAGCAAACCAACATGGCACATGTATACATATGTAACAAACCTGCACATTGTGCACATGTACCCTAGAACTTCAAGTATAATAAAAAAAGAAAAAAGTGTCAAATTACATCATAAAATAAATAATTAAACACATTATGTGGAAGATATTCAGAGGTCAAAACATTGTAGAATGGCACTAGCAAAATTTAATTGCATGTGATATATTAAAATAATTTCTAAAAGCTTGTAAAATAGTATTTATGGAAAAGAATCTACAATTTAACAGAATCGTGTGTAGTTGATCATCTACTGAGCTTTTACAGTAGGAATGCTTTATAAAATATGAACATTTTGGATGAACTGATCCATTGATCAGTTCTATCAATTCTCTATACCACATGAACTGAAACTGTCTCCTGTGCAATGCTCCAGTGACAGTGACCACAAAGAGCCTATTTTGTTGCCTAAAATAATAGTAACTTCAGCCTGTAAAAGTGTCTGCCCACAAACCCAAACCTTTGTACCTCAAAATCTTTCATTTTACCATGAAGATTTAAGAAAGAGGATTGTGACCAGACTTTTGATTGTCTAAAGACTCAGAGGTGAAAGCAGAGTGGAGGTTAGTAGATGAGGTCAGAGAGGTACCGGAGACAGACCTTACAGAACCAATGTCATAATTGTCACACACGATGTGGAGTTCCAAGGATCCATGACTGTGCCACATGTAAACCCTTTGGAATTAGATCACAATTACATAGCAACACCATTTCCTTTCAAGCTCCATAGTCCGTACAGCCTTTTTTTTTTTTTTTTTTTTTTTTTTTGAGACTGAGCCTCACTCTGTAGTCCAGGCCGGAGTGCAGTGGCGCGTTCTCGGCTCACTGCAAGCTCCACCTCCCAGGTTCACACCATTCTCCTGCCTCAGCCTCCTGAGTAGCTGGGACTACAGGTGCCCGCCACCATGCCCAGCTAATTTTTTTTTTTTTATATTTTTAGGAGAGATGGGGTTTCACCGTGTTAGCCAGGATGGTCTCGATCTCCTGACCTCGTGATCCGCCCGTCTCGGCCTCCCAAAGTGCTGGGATTACAGGTGTGAGCCACCTCGCCTGGTCCATACAGCCTTTTACACATCACATCTGATGCAGCTCCAACTCCATACATTCACTCATTTTAATTCTAAATCATTTGTTCACTGGATATTTCACTTACTCTGTGCCAGTCCCTAGGCTAGATGCTGGAGAAACTCACTCTGCCCTCATGCAGCTTACATACTGGTGGGTGAAACTGATCAAAAGCAATTAATAAACAAATAAGTGCACAACTCTTTTAATAAGAACCACAAACCAAAGAGAGCATTCAATAAATTATAATGTCATATGCTTTGTTCGTTATAAAGCATCTTAATTATGCTGACAGTTACCCAAAACAGCATTATCCTCAACAAAGCCAAACTCCTTTGAGGCATTCACAGAAACTGTGGCTGGGTAAAATAGGCTATGTTTCAGCGATACTTAACCAATTTACTCTCAGTGTGGTTATCAGTTTATTCCTGAAGTACAATGTGTATGTGTGTGTGTTAGGAAGAGGCGAGAGGAGATGGGCAGATAGGGGATGGGCAGCAGGAAAGAAAAAAAAAGGTTACTAGAGCTTAAACTCTTCCATCAGTTAAGAAGGTCATTTTGCTTCATCCTTTAGATTTTAAGGACCTAACACTACTGTTCTCTCTGAGTAATTACTGACTACTGGAATATTAATACATAAACACTGCTTTACCATTATACATTTTCCCTTTTCTTCCAGTTTATGTAGAAATGTACTCTCTTAATTTTTGTTCCTATAAAAGATACTTCTAAAAATTTATTTTCAGGATTAAAATGTATAGTTCCTCCTCCACAATTACATGTTCATATTATTGCATTTTTATCAATTATATTTTCATATCGCATTTTTACCCATTTCCATATAAGAAAATACAGTTGGCCCTCCCCGTTTGTAGTTTCCACATCCAGGGATCCAACCAACCACAGATAAAAACAAATTTAAAAAAAAGAACAATACAACAATATAAATAATACAAATAATAAAATAACATAGTATAATAATTACATAGCATTTACAATGTATCAAGTTCTGTAAGTAATCTAGGGATGATTTAAAGTATTTGGGAGGATGTGGGTAGGTTATATGCAAATACTACATTATTTTTCATAAGGGACTTTAGCAGCTGGGAGTTTTGGTATCTGCTCAGGGAACAGGATGTGGGTACTGAAACCAATTCCTGCAGATAATGGAGAGAAAACTGTATGGGATTTAAAATAGAAGCATTGAACTGACGTAATAAAAATACTTCCCTGATATCAATGTAATTTTCAAAGTAGAAATTATTAGGTCTTTCTTTATTCACTTTGATTAAATGCTCACATCTTATTTCTATCGCTTCCAAAGTATAAGAAAAAAATGCACAAACCTTTTCTTAGAAAATCCTTCTTTTATATATTGGGGTGCTTTTGATCCACAAACCCTAAAATAATGTTACCTTCTCCTACCAATCAATACTTCTAAACAATGAATGAACGCACAAAATCCCCACCTGGATCTTTACCTGCATCTCCTGACAAAAAGAAGCCAATGGCCCAAAAAGGATCTGGCATTGTTCATCAGCAGTGTATGTCATCCCTGGCAGCTTGGAGGGAACCATCACAGAATTGACACTCTGCGGATTTGTTTGTAGCAAGCAGTTACTGGCCTTTGACCTGGCAATAGGCAGGTATGTGTAAACTTTTGAATTTAATGTAAAAAGCTGATATGATTGGTTAGCATACAACAAGAAACACTTTAATAATATCAAAAATATATCTCTAAGCTCTTCCATTGAATACTCATAGAAATTATTCTATATGTCAAAAATCATTTATTTACAATGAAGATAATCGTAATAAATAATTTTCAAGTTAAAAGAACTTTATGGTGTACAAAACACATTCATATGAATTAACTCAGCTGATCTACATAACATTGTGAAGTGGGTGTTATTTTATGCATTTAATAGGTATACAGGCTCAGAGTCAGAGAGTAACTTGCCCAAAAGTAGTATGTGAATATAAGATATCAGCTATATTTGGGGATTTAAAGAATGTATGGAAAGCATCCTCAGGTGAATATTAACAGTGTAGATATATTTGTGCTTGACATTGTAATACAACTTTGTATACAACTCTGTAATATATTTTAAAGTGGTATTTGATGTCATAGGAGTCCTGATTCATGTGAAGGCAGCCATACAAAATCATGCATGTTCCTTAGGAACTCATTAGGGCCTACAGAAGGGCTGCTGATGCAGCTACTGATGGTGTGTCTGAAATATCACATGCTCTGAGTGCTCTTCTCTAGACTGTTATGACAAACAGCATGCACAGAATATATTGTACATATAGCCATTTAATAGAAAAATGGGCTTAACTATTTAAAGGATATACAAAAGTGAATAAAGTTCATCTGTGTAGTGAGTTTAGCAAGCTAGGTGTTCCTGTATTTCTCACTAAGACTTGTTTTGGATACCTTAAACATCTCACTAACTACTTTGCATATTGCTTACTGCTTCAGGTGATCCTTCTATAATTATAGAAATAAGTGCTTTAAAATGAACAAGTGCTTTAAAATGAAAATGAGAATAACAGTAATATTTTTCATTTACTTTTCGAACAAGACAGAAGCTAAGTGTTACTGCCACTGAACATGGAAAGGGCTATGATAATGGTGGAAACTATTTATTAATGAAAAAACATTAGAAGTGTAGATGTATTACAAACGAAAAGTGAAGATTTTGTTAGAGGGGCCCTGATCTTCGTGATAATAGACGTGCTGGGTGATGAACAGTGTGAATATTTCCACTGGGCAAAATTGAAAAGGCAATTAAATACTGTGACAGATTTTTAAAATCATGATAACAATTTTTCAATCTTACAAATAATCTTAACTGTCCTTTTTGAAAAATGTAGAAATTAAAAAGCAGGGGGTTAAATAACATGTCCCAAACTACACCATGAGTTAATGGAAAAGCCAGGATTGGAACCAAGTACCTTCAGTTTTACTCTGGTGGCCTTTCCACTTTGCCACACTGGCTTCTCTATTTGTAAAAAGAAACAGCACACATAATCATTCACAAGGCAAAAACAATAAGTGACCTCCATACCTGAGAAATCTTTCCAAATCTTCCTTGCTACATCGAGACCATGAAACGTCACCAAGATTCTGTCCTTTAATCCATTCACCAGACATGATATGAAGACCATCAGCACACGATGGGTGGTCATTGTCATGGTTAATGCCCATGCTGATTTGGAATATAATAAAATTTTAAAATTTACACTAAGTAAATGTTACTTGTTAACTTTTTATAACTGCAGTTAAATAACGGTTAAAATACTTAAAATACTGGGGGCCAAATTTGTTTTAAGGAAATTAGTTTCAAAATAAAATTAGATTTCAGATTAAGTTAACTTTTTAAATTTTGTTACCCCAATTTAAGGTAAATATTTTTATTTAATAAAAAACATTTCCCTAATCAACCTATAAAATGACATGTTTAGGTCCTTTATACGGAAATGACCTACAGATATATTCTTTGCATAATAGTATGTATGAAACTCAGAAATAATACATTTATGTTTAACCACACTAGATTCTTGCTGTTGCCTGAATCAAATTTTCTTCAAAATTTGATTTGAAAACAAACACATCTTTTACCAAATTTGAAACCTCATTAATCTATTAATTTCCTATGTCTTTCATTAGACCATCTTCTTCCTCCCACATCATATAGCACAAATTATCCTGGCCTTCTTTGTCTTTTTTTAATGAATCCTGAATCTGTTGAAATTCTATTCTAAAAGTCGGACTTATTTCTAAATAGATGTTCTAGAAATACCTTCAATTTAGTACGTCTAAAGACTGCCTTTCTTACTTTCTCTTTCAATTCTCTACTTACTCCTCTATTCTATTTTTCTCTTGCTCTCTTTTTATGCTTTTGCTAGCTACTAAGTTCCACCAAATAAAGAATCTTCAAGTCATCATTTATTTTTTTCCTTTCCTGAATTATCACATAGCCTCTATTTTGTTTACTGTTAGAGGCAAGCCTTGCCAACTCTACCTTCTAAGTGTTTCACTCAACTGTCATCTCCCTTCTATCCTATAGTTACTATTAAAATTATTGTATCGTATCCTTATGACAGTATATACAAAGTCTTGAATTTTTATGGTATTGTACCTGAATTCTGTCCCTCTAATCTTTACCAACATTCTCCCTTCCCCTCCTCCTACCCTGCTCCAGTGAGATCTATTTAAAACACAATCTGCCTATGCCATTCCTATGTTTTCTCATTATCCATAAGACAATTTCCAGCTCTTTAACATGATACATATCCCCTTCATATTCTTCGACATCATTATTAGTTTTTTACTTCAGCAATACCAAATGACTTGTAGTTTCCCAAACATTATGTTGTTTCTTATTTTCTTGCAGTTAATTGTTACTTAGCATTTTCTAGGTATCATAAATCATATAAGGGAATTTATAAACTTGAGTTAAACAACCAAATGTGGTAGAAATGATTATAATATGCATTTTGCAGATGAGAAGTAACTTGTCCAAGATTATACATTGAGAAATTGGAAAGTAATAATGTTTGAACTGAGGTGCCTGGCTCTAGAACTCATATGATTAACCATTCCACATTGGGCGTCTATAAATTCCATCCTGCAACCCCATATGCTGTCTAAAGTGCCTCTCCTTCAGCTCCTTTGCCTGGACAAACTCAAATTCTACTTAATCATCAACATTAATGCAGTTTACTTCTATCAGGTTTTCTTTCACTATCCCCTACCTCACCCATTTGTACTATCTCTTCTGGAAACAACATAGGATTCTGTGAACAACATTGTTACAGCATTTTCTATACTGCATTATAAATTTTTACTTTTGGTTCACTCTCCAAATTCTTGAGACTCTGTAACCAATGTTGAATCATGGGTTCAATGATCATGTAGAAAAAAAATTATATAGTCTCTTGTGAATTCTCATAAATGAGGCCAGTAAAATATTTTTGTGGATGAGGGTTAGTACTGAAGAAGCAGAGAAAAGTCCATTTTTGTACATGCATAGCCTGAGATAATGGCAGGATAGTCCATTATTCTCTTTTCTGTTATGGTCTAGATATTAAATAAAATTGTTTTCATAATGAAAAATTCACAAGAATATCTATATTGTGTTTTAAAACATGAAATTAAAAGAACTGTTATAGAAATTGCTAAGGGAAATTACAATGAGAGTATCTATGTTTCTGCAAATCAAAATAAAATTTTTAAAAACTACCAAACTATATTTTTAAGATGAATTATGAGTTTGAATCAAAATTGTTAAAATTAAATATGTTTTTGAAGGAAGAAGATAATATGAAAGGAATAAATAAATTCCATCCATATCATTAATGAATTAAGACTAATTCTATCACCATGCTAAATTTAACTATAAAAATTCTGGTATAAATAAAACTAAAACACATTATTGAATATTACTTTTCACTTTTGGTGTTAGAAAAATTCACCAGTGAATCATACTTGTCTTTCCTATTCTAATTAATTTCTTCAAATAGAGTCTGTAGCAACACATATTAATAGAATAAACAACAGAGAAAATAGGAAGATAAATGTTTTCATACTTTGAAGATAAAGAGGAAAAATAAGAGATTATATGAAATAGGTATGAACCAGTTCAATTAAAATATTAGAAGGCAGAGTAAAAAGATGTTGAAGGTAGAAAGTGATTTAATCTCTGCATCTTCCCCTTGTTAATGTGACCAAAGGCAATTTAACAATAAATAAACCTGCCTCAGTTGCCTTATTTGTTAAATATACTTCCTTGACTGATTTGTTGTGATGACTGCATCACATGATATGTAGTGCCTGACCAGTGCCTGGAATACAGACAGACCATAATGATCCTCTATACTGGGGAAATAAATCAGAGAAATTTTATTATATGATTCTAATTTGTCAAAAGATACATAAACAGATTTATCATTAATTATATTAAATTCACTTTGCTGTATTTTGCTTTCTTTGGTGAAAGTGTGCCCTTCAGAAAAACCAAGAAAATAACAATCAAAAGAATTTACTTAGATATTAAGTTAAAATAAGAAATTATAAATATGACATAATATCACAAATCAGTAAAAGTGGCTTAATGTAATTCTAACTGTGTGGTTCAAATGCAGCCCATCAGTGTCCTGTCTCCTCTCTGCCATGGATTCTGGCTACAGCCCACATCAATGGGTGACCTGTTAATTAACAAACACTTGCCATGTGGAACGTGCTTGACTCTTCCATCTGTGGTGGCATAATCTTTCAAACCATACACAAATGCTATTATTTTTGAAGGGTAACTAGTCTTTCTCAAAAATAATAAACCTTCCTAAATAATGTGTCCCAATGAGGGAAGGAGAGGGATTGCTTCCAAGATTTGGCAATTTGGACATTTTCCCAACATAGTGTAATAGGATTTTCCAAATATGGATGATTACAACCTCTCATCCAGATAATCATTTTCCTTTTGTGATCCTGGTCCTGATTCTGATGTAAGAAATTAGCTTCAGCCATGGGGAGGTCTGGTGATTCAAGCATTGTTTACCAGTAGTTAAATTTTCCTAAAGCCATTTAACTCATAACAGAAAAGATTATCATTAAATTGGGACAGGCTTTTTTAAGCACACATCTGGAATTATCAGGAAACAATGCTTAGTCCTGACTCTACAGGTTTGAAATAAAACAATTAATTGTGTTCCTTAATCTGTGCCAGCTACTCTATTAACCACTGACAATGATATCACTTAATCCTCACAATATTCCCATAATGTATCTATTATCATGACTTCTATTTTACAAATGAGGAAGGTGCTGAGGTTAATGGTGAAGCTGTGACTCAAATCCGGGCAGTTTGATGCTCACACAGATGAACCTCTAAACTACCACACAATGGTGCTTTTCTTTCTGGATCAAAACTCTCACTTTTGGAGATGATTTATTGTTTTCTGAATAATTTTAAATGCCTCTGTTCTTTTAGCAGAAATGTACCTCTACATGTAGAACCTTGTAACCAAGTCACATGCATTGCATGGAAAACATTCTCTAAGTAAGACATCAGCAACACCTCTCCTCACACTGCAATTGAACTACATTTTAATAATCTCAGTTTAAATTCATTTTGACAAAGAGCCTTGGGCAAATAAACTCTTCACTAACATTGTACATGGTTGTCAAGTCAACTGAAAAAATATTTTTATCTTATAAAACTTCTCAGCTTGTTTAAAAATCTTTGCCAGGAAGTTTTGTGATATCCTGCGGAAAGCTGGAGAAGCATTTGGATTTTGAAGATGGTCCCTTTTGATGTTCAAAGAATTAGGGAGGAGAAGCCTTATGAATTCACTCATTTTTTTGGATAATTTGGAAAGGATCTGATTTGTAAACAGTAATATTTTAAAAGAGTAGGCTTTTTATGCTGAATACATTAAGCATTTTATGACATAATATTTCCCACTAAAGCCATATATTATGTGGAAACATTAATAAAAGAAAGAAACAAACTATTACAATGTCTTACTGGAAGTAGATTATATTTATACAAAATGACATTTAATTACATATTTCTTAGAATTCAGTGGTATATCTAAGTCTATATAATTTCACTATTGTGTGTTCATGGAGAAAAAATTCAGACATTCAGATATACAATATATTTTTGTATCATATTTCCTTTTATATTTTAAGTCATTTCAATTTGCACAAACAATGAAACCTACTTTTACTGGCAAGTCAAAAGGCTATATAAAAGCAAGGTAAAAAATTAGAGGTTAAAAGAAGAAAAGTAGAGGTACAAAAAGAGATTCCTTTTGACGTTGTCGTGCATTATATTACAGGTTTATCTAACAATGCACATACACTTGTTGAGAACCCACTACTGTGCTGAACTGTAGTCAAAAAGATAAGTAAGACTCAGTTCCTACATTCAAAGAGTGTATTATCTACTGGGATTGGAACACTATCCCTTGCTCTTGGATAGCCAATGGATGCCTGGATCCTGTTAGTCCTATATTCCTTAAACCTCTACTACTTACTTATCTGCCCCTTTTCAATTCTATTGCTATCAACCAAAATTGGTGCTGATTCTTTTTACTTCTAGATTATTGTACTGTCTGCCTGATTGTCCTCCTGCTCTTTAACTCTTTGCCTCTTAAACCATGCTTTAATGGTGCTAGTTCTTATGAGTGTATTAATATAAAAAAGCTAGTTTCCTATGCAAAAACTTTTCATTTGCCCTGGCAAACAGAGATTCTAAAAATGTTAATAATGAACCACTTGCATCAGAATCATAGGGCATGAGGACATTAGAGTAGTTAAAATGCAGATTCATGGGCCTGCCCCCAACGAATTAAAATAGAATATTTAGAGGTAAGGTCTAAGAAATGGCATTTTGATACATTTTTAGATGATTCTTATTTACTTAAAATTCTGGAAAGCAATGATCTACAGGATGAAATCCACTCTTTATCTCATTATTCAAAATATCTGTAAACTGATATCAATCTGATTTTCATAGTTAATTCCAGCCTAACCTTTTGTATAGTTCCTTTCCATTAGAATACCTTCCATTCTTTTGGCTTAGGGTTGTCTTGGCAATGTGGGCTCTTTTTTGGTTCCATATGAACTTTAAAGTAGTTTTTTCCAATTCTGTGAAGAAAGTCATTGGTAGCTTGATGGGGATGGCATTGAATCTATAAATTACCTTGGGCAGTATGGCCATTTTCACGATACTGATTCTTCCTATCCATGAGCATGGAATGTTCTTCCATTTGTTTGTATCCTCTTTTATTTTGCTGAGCAGTGGTTTGTAGTTCTCCTTGAAGAGGTCCTTCACGTCCCTTGTAAGTTGGATTCCTAGGTATTTCATTCTCGTTGAATCAATTGTGAATGGGAGTTCACTCATGATTTGGCTCTCTGTTTGTCTGTTATTGGTGTATAAGAATGCTTGTGATTTTTGCACATTGCTTTTGTATCCTGAGACTTGGCTGAAGTTGCTTATCAGCTTAAGGAGATTTTGGGCTGAGACAATGGGGTTTTCTAGATATACAATCATGTCGTCTGCAAACAGGGACAATTTGACTTCCTCTTTTCCTAATTGAATACCCTTTATTTCTTTCTCCTGCCTGATTGCCCTGGCCAGAACTTCCAACACTAGATTGAATAGGAGTGGTGAGAGAGTACATCCCTGTCTTGTGCCAGTTTTCAAAGGGAATGCTTCCAGTTTTTGCCCATTCAGTATGATATTGGCTGTGGGTTTGTCATAAATATCTCTTATTATTTTGAGATACGTCCCATCAAGACCTAATTTATTGAGAGTTTTTAGCATGAAGGACTGTTGAATTTTGTCACAGGCCTTTTCTGCATCTATTGAGATAATCATGTGGTTTTTGTCTTTGGTTCTGTTTATATGCTGGATTACGTTTATTGATTTTCGTATGTTGAACCAGCCTTGCATCCCAGGGATGAAGCCCACTTGATCATGGTGGATAAGCTTTTTGATGTGCTGCTGCATTCAGTTTGCCAGTATTTTATTGAAGATTTTTGCTCTGATGTTCATCAGGGATATTGGTCTAAAATTCTCTTTTTTTGTGTGTCTCTGCCAGGCTTTGGTATTATGATGATGCTGGCCTCATAAAATGAGTTAGGGAGGATTCCCTCTTTTTCTATTGATTGGAATAGTTTCAGAAGGAATGGTACCAGCTCCTCCTTGTACCTCTGGTAGAATTCTGCTGTGAATCCGTCTGGTCTTGGACTTTTTTTGGTTGGTAGGCTATTAATTATTGCTTCAATTTCAGAGCCTGTTATTGGTCTATTCAGAGATTCAACTTCTTCCTGGTTTAGTCTTGAGAGGGTGTATGTGTCCAGGAATTTATTCATTTCTTCTAGATGTTCTAGTTTATTTGTGTAGAGGTGTTTATAGTATTCTCTGATGGTAGTTTGTATTTCTGTGGGATCGATGGTGATATCCCCTTTATCATTTTTTATTGGGTCTATTTGATTCTTCTCTCTTTTCTTCTTTATTAGTCTCGCTAGCAGTCTATCAATTTTGTTGATCTTTTCAAAAAACCAGCTCCTGGATTCACTGATTTTTTGAAGGGTTTTTTGTATCCCTATTTCCTTCAGTTCTGCTCTGATCTTAGTGATTTCTTGCCTTCTGCTAGCTTTTGAATGTGTTTGCTCTTGCTTCACTAATTCTTTTAATTGTGATGTTAGGGTGTCAATTTTAGATCTTTCCTGCTTTCTCTTGTGGGTATTTAGTGCTATAAATTTCCCTTTACACACTGCTTTAAATGTGTCCCAGAGATTCTGGTATGTTGTGTCTTTGTTCTCGTTGGTTTCAAAGAACATCTTTATTTCTGCCTTCATTTCGTTATGTACCCAGTAGTCATTCAGGAACAGGTTGTTCAGTTTCCATTTAGTTAAGTGGTTTTGAGTGAGTTTCTTAATCCTGAGTTCTAGTTTGATTGCACTGTGGTCTGAGAGACAGTTTGTTATAATTTCTGTTCTTTTACATTTGCTGAAGAGTGCTTTACTTCCAAATATGTGGTCAATTTTGGCATAAGTGTGATGTGGTGCTGAGAAGAATGTATATTCTGTGATTTGGGGTGGAGAGTTCTGTAGATGTCTATTAGGTCCACTTGTGCAGCACTGAGGTCAATTCCTGGATATCCTTGTTAACTTTCTGTCTCGTTGATCTGTCTAATGTTGACAGTGGGGTGTTAAAGTCTCCCATTATTATTGTGTGGGAGTCTAAGTCTCTTTGTAGGTCTCTAAGGACTTGTTTTATGAATCCGGGTGCTCCTGCATTGGGTGCATATATATTTAGGATAGTTAGCTCTTCTTTTTCAATTGATCCCTTTACCATTATGTAATGCCTTCTTTGTCTCTTTTGATCTTTGTTGGTTTAAAGTCTGTTTTATCAGAGACTAGGATTGCAACCCCTGCCTTTTTTGTTTTCCATTTTGCTTTGTAGATCTCCTCCATCCCTTTATTTTGAGCCTATGTGTGTCTCTGCACATGAGATGGGTTTCCTGAATACAGCACACTGATGGGTCTTGACTCTTTATCCAATTTGCCAGTCTGTGTCTTTTAATTGGAGCATTTAGCCCATTTACATTAAAGGTTAGTATCGTTATGTGTGAATTTGATCCTGTCATTATGATGTTAGCTGGTTATTTTGCTCTTTAGTTGATGCAGTTTCTTCCTAGCATCGATGTTCTTTACAATTTGGCATGTTTTTGCAGTGGCTGGTACCAGCTGTTCCTTTCCATGTTTAGTGCTTCCTTCAGGAGCTCTTGTAGGAAGGCCTGGTGGTGACAAAATCTCTCAGCATTTGCTTGTCTTAAAGTATTTTATTTCTCCTTCACTTATGAAGCTTAGTTTGGCTGGATATGAAATTCTGGGTTGAAAATTCTTTTCTTTAAGCAACCTAAATGTCCAACAACGATAGACTGGATTAAGAAAATGTGGCACATATACACCATGGAATACTATGCAGCCATAAAAAATGATGCGTTCATGTCCTTTGTAGGGACATGGATGAAACTGGAAACCATCATTCTCAGCAAACTATCGCAAGGACAAAAAAACCAAACACCGTATGTTCTCACTCATAGGTGGGAATTGAATAATGAGAACACATGGACACAGGAAGGGGAACATCACACACCAGGGACTGTTATGGGGTGGGGGTAGGGGGGAGGGATAGCATTAGGACATATACCTAATGCTAAATGATGAGTTAATGGGTGTAGCACACCAACATGGCACATGTATACATATGTAACAAACTGCACATTGTGCACATGTACCCTAAAACTTAAAATATAATAATAATAAAATAAAATAGATTAAAAAAGATCAAAAATTAAGAATGTTGAATATTAGCCCCCACTCTCTTCTGGCTTGTAGACTTTCTGTGGAGAGAACAGCTGTGAGTTTGACGGGCTTCCCTTTGTGGGTAACCCGACCTTTCTCTCTGGCTGCCCTTAACATTTTTTCCTTCATTTCAACTTTGGTGAATTTGACAATTATGTGTCTTGGAGTTGTTCTTCTCGAGGAGTATCTTTCCAAAAGAAACACAGCTGGAGGCATCACACTACCTGACTTCAAACTAAACTACAAGGCTACAGTAACCAAAACAGCATGGTACTGGTATCAAAACAGAGATATAGACCAATGGAACAGAACAGAGCCCTCAGAAATAATACCACACATCTACAACCATCTGATCTTTGACAAATCTGACAAAAATAATAAATGAGGAAAGGATTCCCTATTTAATAAATGGTGCTGGGAAAACTGGCTAGCCATATGTAGAAAGCTGTAACTGGATCCCTTCCTTACACCTTATACAATAATTAATTCAAGATAGATTAAAGACTTAAATGTTAAACCTAAAACCATAAAAACCCGAAAAGAAAACCCAGGCAATACCATTCAGGACATAGGCATGGGCAAGGACTTCGTGTCTAAAACACCAAAAGCAATGGTAACAAAAGCCAACATTGACAAATGGGATCTAATTAAACTAAAGAGCTTCTGCACAGCAAAAGAAACTACCATCAGAGTGGACAGGCAACCTACAGAATGGGAGAAAATTTTTGCAATCTACTCATCTGACAAAGGGCTAATATCCAGAATCTACAAAGAACTCAACGAAATTTACAAGAGAAAAGCAAACGACCCCATCAACCAGTGGGTGAAGGATACGAACAGACACTTCTCAAAAGAAGACATTTATGCAGCCAACAGACGTGAAAAAATGCTCATCATCACTGGCCATCAGACAAATGCAAATCAAAACCACAATGAGATACCATCTCACACCAGTTAGAATGGCGATCATTAAAAAGTCAGGGAACAACAGGTGCTGGAGAGGATGTGGAGAAATAGGAACACTTTTACACTGTTGGTGGGACTGTAAACTAGTTCAACCATTGTGGAAGACAGTGTGGCGATTCCTCAGGGATCTAGAACTAGAAATACCATTTGACCCAGCCATTCCATTACTGGGTGTATACCCAAAGGATTATAAATCATGCTGCTATAAAGACACATGCACACGTATGTTTATTGCGGCACTATTCACAATAGCAAAGACTTGGAACCAACCCAAATGTCCAACAGTGATAGATTGGATTAAGAAAATGTGGCACATATACACCATGGAATACTATGCAGCCATAAAAAATGATGAGTTCATGTCCTTTGTGGGGACATGGGTGAAGCTGAAAACCATCATTCTCAGCAAACTATCGCAAGGACAAAAAACCAAACACCATATGTTCTCACTCATAGGTGGGAATTGAACAATGAGAACATTTGGACACAGGAAGGGGAACATCACACACTGGGGACTATTGTGGGGTGGGTAGAGGGGGGAAGGATAGCATTAGGAGATATACCCAATGTAACTGACAAGTTAATGGGTGCAGCACACCAGCATGGCACATGTATACATATGTAACAAACCTGCACATTGTGCACATGTACCCTAGAACTTAAAGTATGATAAAAAAGAATATATAAAAAAGAATACCTTCCATTCTAATCTGCGTTTACACAGACTTTCTGCCTTTAAAAAGGATTATTCAATAAATTATAGCCCATATTTATCATTATCTTTAACTTCTACACCCTTCACATATATGGTGTGTAAGACATATCAGAACTGCCTCGTATTTCTGGTTAATTTTAAATAATATATATATATATATATATAATACCACTACCTAGAATGTAAGCATTCAGAGAACAGAAGTTGTTATATTTTCTTTTTACTTCCTTTAATTATTTAGTTGAATGTCTTGTTAAATGTCTACTGATTTATCAACTAATATAGGATCATAGAAACACCAAATATGCTACAATTAGAGATGTGAAACTACTGTGGCCTCTTGCCAACACAGAGAAACTGTGACATGAAAAAGTTAATAGATGATCTACTCCAGGAAGATTGCCTGCTTTACTCTAGGACATGCATTTGCCAAGAAACATCAGAGAATTGCAAACAGAAAGCTATCTCTTCCAAGGTCATTCATTTGCTGGGTGATTTTTTTCCGTCTTCCACTAACTCACTCCAACATCCAAACCTACATTTGGAGAGAATCTGGTATGGGAGAGCTGCCACATCTATACTGGTTGAAGTCTCATTATGAAAGTTAACTTGGAAAAATTGCTTATTATTCTACGTGGTATCGTTGTCTAAATAAAATATCAAATACGAAAGCCGTGCTAGTGGTCTACAAGTCTTCATGATAAGTAAACTTCCTGTCAATCTGGTTAAAAACCTCTAAAAGGCATGAAATCACTCCAAGAAAGAACAGAAAAATGAAAGGCCAGTGAAGGCTGAAAATCTCCTTTTCACATTAAGGTATTCATAAAATAACTATAATACTACTAATTATTGTTATTATTCAGTCACTCTGTATTTTGTGCCAATCATTGTGCCATGACACTAGAGTATCACAAACCCTAACAATGAATCTTGAAATTAAAAACTATCCAAATTTTAGGAATAAAGGAAATGAATACAGACAGATTGATTTATCCAAAGCTCATTCATTAAGTAGCTGGCAGAACAATAATTCAAGCCCAAGGCTGTATGTCTAATAATGCACTTTCCCTCTCAACTATCCACATAGGTAGTTTTTAACATTTACCAAGGCATTTGTGTCAGAGGAAGATATCTGTGACATCTGCTGTAGAAAATTCTAAAGAGTACAATGGGGACAGTATATTTAGATAGCCATTACTAATTATAGTTGGTCAACAATAACTACAAAAAAATTAATTTTCAACATTTTAAGGAGCAATGTATTTCTAGAAGAGCATATTTGGTTTTTGCCTGTTATAACAATTTATTCTTATTTCATCTATTTCCCATTCTAAAAGTCTTAGGAGATGATATACTTTATATGCATTTCTTATTTAGTTCTTTTCTTCTCTTTTTTTTTTTCTTTTTTTTTTGAGACAGAGTCTTGCTGTATTGACCAGGCTGGAGTGCAGTGGTGTGATCTCAGCTCACTGCAACCTCTGCCTCCCAGGTTTGAGCAATTCTCAGGTCTCAAGCTGGCATGGTGGCCAGAATGGTCTTGAACTCCTGAACTCAAGTGATCCGCCTGACTTGGCCTCCCAAAGTGCTTGGAGTACAGGTGTGCTCCACTGTGAGCCATTATAACTGGTCTCTATTTAGTTCTTAGTGTATATCTAATCTCCTCTTAGAGCATATCCTCTCTTCTTAGAGCAGATATACTACTGCACATCAATGCAAATGAGTGCCAAATTTAATTCACTTCTGAAAAGGACTCTTCTTGGAAGCTGAGAGAGTGTAACCAAATCTATGTATGCCTCCTGGGGCATATGCTAACTTCTTTAACTATAGTCATCATGCTGTACATTAGGCCTCCAGTACTTATACATCTTGTGACTGAAGGATTGTACCCTTTGACCAGTATCTCCCCATTCCCCTCATCCTACAGCTCCTGGTAACCACCATTCTTCTGTTACTATGAGTTTGACTTTGTTTTTGTCAGATTCCACATATGAATAAGATCATGCAATATTTGTTTTTCTGTGTCTGGCTTTTTTCACTTAGCAAAATACCCTCAAGTTTCATCCACACTGTTGCAAATAGTAGAATTTCCCTCTTTTTAAAGACTTAGTAATGTTCCATTATATATATATATATATATATATACACACACACACACACACACACACACATATATATAAAATTCCAATTATATAATGAATATTCTGTTGTGTGTATATATACATATATAGTAATACATATATAATAAATATTCCATTATATATATAGAATTGTTTATATAATGGAAATATATATATGTGTGTGTATATATATATGCATACACACACACACACCACATTTTCTTTATACATCCATCTTTATACATTCATCTGTTAACAGATGCAGGTTGTTTTCATATCTTGGCAGGTATGTTTCCATACCTGTTGTGAATTAACAGAATTTCAATTAAATATTCCTATTACTACAATTGCTAGATTTGGCCCTTTCACATTCATAACTTTAGGATTTGGATGAAATAGTTGGACAGGCCTATAACCAGACTTTAAGTTAGACTCATCATAACTGAAATATAATTGAAGTATTGTATTTTCATACAGTTTATCTTAAACAGGAATTCAAAATATCACGTACCAAAAGGGAAAAATATACTGCCATTATATTTGTGTAGCAATAAAACCATATTTTCTCATAAAATCATATTACTTAGTCAAGACAATTGCATTCCTTGACCCAAACTGATTCTTCCACTCTGGGACTCAATTGCTTTATGTCCTGCACCTCAAGATGACCAACAGATGAGCATTCATACAACAAATGTTTATTCACTTGTACAACATATGTTGGAGACTTATGATGTCTAATACATTCAACTTCGTGCTGTGAAAAAAATGTATTAGACATGAATCATATTTTCACAGAGATTGCTATTCAGTTGGGAACCTATATATAGGTAAATATCAGTATAAATCAGTATATCTCAGAAATAATTCTAAGTGACAAATGATATTTAAAATAATCAGTGTAAGAGACTTAAAAGTGGAAACAGGCTGGGTGTGGTGGCTCATGCCTGTAATCCCAACACTTTGGGAGGCCACCGCGGGTGGATCACCTGAGGTCAGGAGTTCAAGACCAGCCTGGCCAACACGGTGAAACCCTGTCTCTACTAAAAATACAAAATTAGCTGGGTGGGGTGCTGAGCGCCTGTAATCCCAGCTACTCAGGAGGCTGAGGCAGAAGAATCGCTTGAACCCAGGAGATGGAGGTTGCTGTGAGCTGACATGGTGCCACTGCACTCCAGTCTGGGCAACAGAGTGAGACTCCATCTCAAAAATAAATAAATAAATAAATAAATAAATAAAGTGGAAACATATTTCCAACCAGGCTTTCAAATTTACTTTCACGAAAGTGATAACATTTGTTGTGGCCATTAACAGGTAAGTACAATTGGGATAGGTATAAATCATTAGTGCTGGAAGTTGGGATAATAAAAAAATGAATAAAGGCATGATGTTTGAAAATTACAGTTCATTTGCATTCATAAAATAGAGAAGTCCATTGTAAAGTTACAAAAATAGACTAGAGTCACTCTATAGAAGTCATGAATCTCAGGCTAAGGAATTTCAAATTCATTCATTAAGTTGTGAAAGGCAATAAAGTTTTCTGACATGAAGGTTAGGACCACAATTCAGGAAGCTGAATCTTAATGTGTGAGTAGATTAGAAAGATGAGGTAGCAAAGGAGACGACACCAGTTAAGTGGATACTGCAAGAGTCCAAGCCAGAAGGAATAACAGAAGAAAGAATAGACAGTTGAGATAGCTTTCTCGGACGAAGAATGAATAGAATTTGGCCACAGATTATGGAAGTAACTAAGGGGAGAAAGAGTTAAAGATGGCTCAGATGTCTCAACTAAAGGCCTTGTAGCAATAATGGTGCCAATAACAGAAATACAGATGTCTGAAGAAGCAGGTATATAACCTGGCCCTCCCCTCTATTCTATCCAGGCGCAATTTCCAGAGAAGTAAGTGTGTATGTAAATGTTATTGATTCCAAAGGCTTACTAGTCACAAGACGTCTGTATTCTTGGTACTCTGGCAATTCTTAAAATTTTAGCAGGTGCCCCAAATATTTATTGCCTTCAAGGAGGTAACTTTGCATATTTGTTGCCCCATTAGCCTTTTAGTTCCAAAGAAACTCCTGAATTGCCTACTTGGTGGAAAAACCATGTCTCCATGCCAAAGTTTAATTATATATATTAGACCTTTTTCTCTGGTTCAAAAATCAAAACAAAAATGAAAAATACATATGCATTTTTGGCCATATCAAAACAAGCTTGACATTTTTATAATGAAATGAAATATAAGTAATTTCCCCTAACTCATATAATTTTACCCAACTCAACATCTCTAGGAAGTAGACAGTCTAATTATCATAAAAAGTTCTCAATCAGTGGGTAAGTGGTATATGTTTAATGCAGTCTCTTTCAACTTGTACAAATGTAAAACTCTATTAGGGCTATATTGGTTATTTTCTTGACTATCTATTACAAGCATAAGTTATAAATGGCTAACATGCTGGGAATATGACAGTGAACTAAGTAGACAAGATCTCATTATATACAAACAGAAGAAAGAGACATAGGGTAGAGAGTTACATTTTGAAGTTTTATGAATAAAATTAAGGAAGGCAAAGGGGAATAAGGCCAGACAGTGGTTGTGCTTACAATTTTAAGAAATGTTATCAGAAAGGCCTCACTGAACCCTGATACGTGAGTGGAGAACTAAAGAAGAATGGGAGACAGCCATGTGGCTGCTCTGGAGAACTTTCCAGGCAGAAATCAAAGGAAAGGCCAAGTCCCCAAAGTGACTGTTAGTCTTTTATGTTTGAGTTTCAACAAAGAGGCAATGAATCTGGAGCACAGTTGGTAAGAAGGGAATGACAGGCTATAGGGAAGGAGGCTAGAACATGTAGAACTTGGTGGGCTGTGGTGTGGGCTGGGGATTTTACAGAGTGAACCAGGAAGCTCTTGGAAGGTTCTGAGTAAAGAAGCCAGGCAATTTGCTTTGTTGTAAATGAATCTCCCTGAATCTAATTTGAAAACAGGCTATAGGATGCAAAGGCTAAAAAGGAAAGATTATTTAAGAGGCTACTATAATAATCCAGATGAGAAGTGTTGGTAGCTTAGTCCAAAGAACTAGCAGGACAATTAGTGAGAAGTAATCAGATTCTGGATGTATTTTGAAGGTGGAGTCAACAGCTGATGAACTGAATGTGGACTATGAGAAACAGAGAACACTCAAAGATAATTCTTTGGCTTTTGGTTGTCCCACTAGAAGGATGGAGCTTCATTTACTGTCATAGGAAGACTTCAGGGGCAACACTTTTAGGGCTGGGGTAGTCATTTCTGCATGTGTGTACCAGAATAAAGTCTCATTTATGTGGTCTTGGGTACATTTCAAAATACAGAATATTGTTTTTATAAGAATTTACCTGATACTTTATTGAAAGTCTCATGCAATATCAAAAAAAATTCTAAACCCTTTGAATATGCATACAGCATCTGTTTTGAATCAAGTTTCACTGATAATCTATGCATAATGATACTTTACTAAGATTACTATGTTCAGTCATTCACTTATTTGATATATATCAAGAGCCTAATATCTACCAAGCAGGTTTTCTTGGTATATATTTCTTATGCACTGTCAAATGCATTAAGAATCCCATTATAAGCAAAAACAGATATGGTTCCTCACCTCTTGAAGCTTACAGCCTAATGAAGCATATATCTAACAGATGAACAAATGTGCATTTACGAAGGAGGTGGTGCCACTAAAATGCTTAATAGAGAGACTGACCCATAGAGAATGCTTTCTTTAGAACATGACTATTGAGGGGGTATATGAACTTTGAGCAGGAGGAGATAATTAAACTAAGCTTAAAAAGTCAGTATACTCCAGGTAAAGGAACAACATGTACTTAGGTCCTGCAGTGTGAAGGAACATGGTATTTTTTAAGTTCTGGGGTACATGTGCCTTTTGTTACATAGGTAAAACGTGTGCCATGGTGGTTTGCTGCACCTATCAATCCATCACCTAAGTATTAAGCCCAGCATGCATTAGCTATTTTTCCTGATGCTCTCCCTCCCCACCTCCTCCCCACCGAGCCCCAGTATGAGTTGTTCCCCTCCCTGTCTCTATGTGCTCTCACTGGAACATGGTACTTTGGAAACACTGTGGGAACTCTAGTGCTGAGAATGAAAGGGGGTGTGAAATGAAGTATGGCTGAAGAGATAAAGTGGGAACAGATAATCCCGAGCCAGCCCAGAAGTAGGTTGAGTAAAGTTAGCTAGAAGAACTCTTCCATGTTTCTCACAGAGCACTGTAATTAATAACATGGGCTTTGGATTTGGATGGACTTGGCTTTGATCATGGATTCAGGCACTTATTAGCTGTGTGAGCTTTGGCAATCATCATCTCTAAAGTAATATTATTGCCTTCCATCTTTAGGTGGGAGCAGAAGTCTTTGGCCTCAATGTGCTAAGCCAGTGCAAAATTCTGCACTTCAATAAATGTCCAGATTTAGCAAGGTCAGAAAATGGTCACGGGATTATGCTATTAATAGGTATATTAAAATTATTATTTCCCAGATAATTTAGATATTGTACAATATCTTAGACTTAGGCTAAATTTTCCTAAAACCATACACAATAATGCAAGGGTTAGTTTACTTTTGGTTGGAATCCACAACGCAAATGGAATTATTTGTAGACCTAAAGAAAAAAAGCCTACGTTGTATGTGTGTATATAAAAATATGGTATCTTTATTTATATAACAAAATAATCTAAGACACCACTAAATATTTGTACAAAAGAACAACTTTTATTATTTGCAGTGAATGGTATCATAGGATTATGTCTACATGCTTCACAAAAAGGACAAAAATATGCAAGTATAGACCACCTTTCAGGCCAAAGATAAAAATAATGGCTTTCTGGCAACTCACACGCAACTTCCTAGTGCAACACTGACTTAGACTGAACAGTGACTGTCACATCTGTTATGTGGCAGGGCTACTCAGAGTGTGATCTGTGCACTCGCTGCCATTTGATGAACTCTTTTTATTACTGATTTGTATCCAGATAAGTAGCTGGTGCCGGAATGTAAATCAGCTACATCACTAAGCACACAGTTTACTTCAGCTTTTTTTTTTCACGTCAAGACTCTTTCAATGAGGGAAGCAGTGTCCTATATTCTGGCATAGATCCCTATCTCATCACAGACCACACTTGAGTAGTAAGATCATTTACTGAGCAGTTAATGCAAAATACGAACTTAGTGGAGAGAAATTTACTATGCATAATAAAGTAAATTCTAGATGGCTTAAAGTGTTAAACAGTGAAAGACACACACACACACACACACACACACACACAGAGAATATAAGACAACAATACAAAAATGTGTTTCCCTAATTTTAGAATGAGAAAGTACTTGTAATTGCAAAAACCTACGGAAGAAATTATGAAAGTATGAAATTTGACAATTAAAAAAATCTACAAGTTATAAACATTAAAAATCAAGAATAAACCAATTATTAGAACTAGGAAAATCTTTACAATATACTTAATGAAAAGAGAATGACATTAATATTGCATAAACTGAAAAATGAATCTCTATTAGTTTATTTTCTCATCTGTAAAATGACAATCATAACAATACTTAGCTCAAGAATTTTTATGCAGTTGAATTAGATATGAATACATAGTATTTAGCAAAATACCTGCTAATAAAAGAAGACACTGTTGTTTTTATTAGAAACCCTTTGGCAACTCAATATAAAATATGGGATTTTGAAAGTTTAAAAATATTGTGTAAGGCCGGGTGCGAAGTGCTGTAATCCCAGCACGTTGGGAGGCTGAGGCGGGCGGATCACCTGAGGTCGGGAGTTCACGACCAGCCCGACCAACACGGAGAAACCTATCTTTACTAAAAATACAAAATTAGCCGGGTGTGGTGGCACATGCCTGTAATCCCAGCTACTTGGGAGGCTGAGGCAGGAGAATCACTTGAACCCAGGAGGCAGAGGTTGCGGTGAGCCAAGATCGTGCCATTGCACTCCAGCCTGGGCAACAAGAGTGAAACTCCGTCTCAAAAAAAATAAAATAAAATTGTGTAATTTTGCAGTAAAGAGTTCACAAGTTTGAGTGGTCTAAAATCTGCACATTCCAAAGAACTATTTAGTCCTTGCCTGACTCCTTGGAAGTAACCTCTAAGTCCTTGGGATATCCCTCCAAAGTATCTTTGACAAGAATATCTTTGTTTAGCTGGAGGCCTTCTACCAGGATGGTTTTTGCTAACAATGTGATTTATGGTTGGGGACTAGGGCCAGGTTAACCTCAGGAGGGAATGGAGACTTGAAGGTTTGCCTTGTGGGGAGTCAACCAAGCCTACATGATCAAACGCCAGTAAAATCCCTGGATATCAAGCCTCATATAGCTTCTCGGGTTGCCAATACTTTGTGCATGATTTCACACATTGTTGTTGGGAGAATTAAGCACTGTCTGCACAACTCCATTGGGACAGAACAACTGGAAGCTTGAGCCTGGTGTCTCCTGGACTCTGGCCTATGTGACTTTTTCCTTTGATGCTTTTAATCTATATCCTTCCATGCTAATAAACTGTAACCATGAGCAAAACCACTTTGCTGAGTTTTCTGAGTTATGCTAGCAAATCAACTCAGATTAGTCTTAGGGCCTCTTCCCTCAAAGCACAGCAATCTAATAACAATTAATATATTAATAAGTTTTGGCCTAAAATGAAAGTAAAATCCCTTACTTTAACAACCTGTTGTTCATAAAGATCATATAAAATATAGTGGACATAATAAATATGTGCATATATATGAATTCAATAAAACATCAAATTCATGAAAAACTAAGTATTTTCATTCACAAAAATAAAGTTTTAGACTTCATCACATTAAATTATGAAGATCCCAATTATATTTGATGAATATGTGTTAATTCAGCACTACCAGTAAAAATATTTCTTGTCAAAAATTTTAGTTACCAGAAAAATAATAACTCCTGGCTGGGCGTGGTGGCTCACGCCTGTAATCCCAAGCACTTTGGGAGACCGAGGCGGGCGGATCACGAGGTCAGGAGTTCGAGACCAGCCTGACCAACATACTGAAACCCCGTCTCTACTAAAAACAAAAAAAATTTAGCCGGGTGTGGTGGCACGCACCTGTAATCCCAGCGACTCAGAAAGCTGGGGCAGGAGAATCGCTTGAACCCGGAAGGTGGAGGGTTGCAGTGAGCAGAGATCGAGCCACTGCACTCCAGCCTGGGCTACAGAGGGAGACCCCGTCTCAATAATAATAATAATAATAATAATAATAACTCCTACTACTTATTGTTTAGGAAGCAAAATTGTTCTGAAAGGCAATTTTAAAATGTTGGCTTAAATAATTTATTTCCTCTTTCTTACTGTAGATCTTAATTTACACTTTTTTATATATTTATAAGTTGATAATTTGCCAAAGGAGAAAGTCGATACATTTTTGCTGACATTGTTTTAGATTCCTTTGCACTAGTAAGGAAAAATTGTTGGTTCTCTTTATTTACTCAAATTTTCATCCCCAAGAGTCATTTTTTTAAATACTTAGTGGACCGTATTGATTTTTCCAGCTATATATGAACTTGTTCTGAGAATTTCTAGAAATCAAATTCAAGTCAACAAACATAAATACATTCATTTAAAATCTGTTTATAAACATTTTATATGTGATTATAAAGGTATTCTTGAAAAGTTTACATGGAATCATTCTGTCATTCTAAGATTGTAAGTTGCAGAATTACATGGTATCATAGTTCGTTATTAGTTTCTAGAAGATAGTCTTCACTTATAAAATTTAACGCAAAAAAAAGAAAGAAGGAAATCCAAAACGAAAAAGAAAAATATAGGATTAAAGAGTTTCACTTACATAGCTCTTAATCATACCTCTAAATAAAAGGGCTCTGCGTGTATGTGTTTGTGTGTGTGTGTACGGGTGCATGCACATAGAATCTGTAGATACCATTATTTAACATCCATGAACACTTTCCCTACTAGAGAGACTATGAGCATATGGACATTTTTTCTTGTATTCTTCTTTCTTCATTTCTTCTTACATTGTGCCTTATATCTTATAGTGGATGATAATGATGATGATGTAATTCATATAGATACTTTTCTTCCTGTTTGTTTTTTTATAAACATGACATTATTCTGACTGCTATTGTCTCTCACTGTCTAGCATCAGGAAAACACCAGCCACTACTTTTGAGACAAATATTGCTTACTGCTATGGGGAATTTTTAGTAAAGGGGTAGTTTAACATATATCACATTCTGGTCCTAGTCCATCAAGTATTACACATACCTTTGGCACATCTCTATTGATTTTGGGTACAGCTCTATAAAAGTCAAATAAAATAATATTTTCGTACCATTTGAGCTATTCCAATCTGAGCTCCTGGTCATAAACCAACATTTCTACTACATAAAACTGAAGTGGCCTTTCCCTAAATTACCTCATTTAGTTTTTAGTTTAAATAGTTGTAGCTCCATGGTCAACAGTTTAGATGTTAATAAATTAACTCGTATTGTATTTGATTCCCTTAGTGTTTCTCCTACATTTTAGAATACAATGAAGATTGAAGAAATCAATTTTGCATATCTGGTTTTAAACATATCGGTTTAAAAATATACTTTTTAAAAGTAAACTATTCAGGGTACTTGACAAAATTATTTAAAATCTGTTTACAAAAATATACACTGTTTGTACATCAAGGTGTTACTGCATAGCTCAAGAGCAAAAATCATAATTATTCATAAATCTGTATTTTATGAGAATTATATTTATGATGACATGTATCTTTGTAAAATTAATTATTAATAATTTTTTCTTGCCTCTAGACATTATTCTCAGCATTTTTCCTTCAAATGATGCCTATGATTTTTCATAGGTTTTATTACTAAACTGAAAATACCTTTCAATTATCAAAATTGTTTTGGAATTAAGAATCTATAGCCTATCATTCCTAGAATGAAATATTAAACAAGGTTATTGCACTGCATACTTTCCCTAAAGGATGATGATGTTAAAGTATATTTATCTTTTTTTTTTTAAGTAATAAATTAACTCTTCATATTCTTGGTCAGTTGACTGAAGACTGAAAGCTTGTATGGGAGCATCTGAAAGGACACTTGACCCTTGAACAACATGGGTTTGAACTGTGTAGGTCCACTTACAGGCAATTTTTTAAAAACTAAACAAGGATCAAAATTGCAGTGTTTGCAGGTTGCTAAATTTGCATATATAGAGGACAAACTTCTCAAATAAGTGAGTTCCACAAGACCAACTGCTGGACTTGGATATGCATGGATTTGGGGATATGCAGAGGTCCAGGAACCAATCCCCTGGCAAATACCGAGGGACAACTGCATATCTATACATTTAAAAATGGTGACATCAAAAATCAATTACTTGAAAATTACTAGGAGAGTAGATTTTAAGTTCTCAACACAACTGCTAAATATGTGAGGTAATGCTTATGTTAATTTGCTCAATTTTGCCATTCCACAATGTATACACATTTCAAAACATTTGTATGGAGTAAATTTTGGTCAATTAAAAAATTAGAAATCAATTGGTATTGATATTGTTCTGTTTCTTGGGCTGGGTGATGGATACATTGCTATATTTAATTTTGTTAATTCAGTGAGCTGTGTAATTACAATTTGATCACTTGTGTTTACTTGAATAACTTTTTAAATCAACTACTGTCATGTCCAATGTAAATTGTTTCTTCTAAGCTTTCCTTTACCAATCAAATTCCACTGCCAACTAAACTTTACTGAAGTGCGTACAGACTCCAGGAATATAATGAAAATGAAGTGAGCTGGGTGTACCATATACTAGGGTGTTGCGGCCTCTGATGAACTGAGAAAGATGGGTCTAATTTAAAGGGTACAGATCCTACACAGCTCCTAGGAATGGTTGCCATATGGGCTGTGGGTTGAGTGTTACCAGGTCTGCAAATCTTACTTTTATGTCAAATTTACACTTTTTTAATGTTGGCAACTAATTGAATTTTTTAAACACTGAAGGCCAAACTAAATATGTCTTTAACTAAAGAGCCCTCCCTCCATAAAGATCACCTCCCTAGTAGGGCCTCACTAAATCTGAGTCCAATTAAAATACTTTCATTTGTACTGCTGATACTGCCAGCAATTAGGGAAGCCTGCATTCAAAATTAAGTCTGATTCCCCAACCTGTGCCATTTCTTTTTTTTCTTTTTTTCTTTTTTTTTTTTTGAGATAGAGACTCACTCTGTCACCAGGCTGGAGTGCAGTGGCGTAATCTCAGCTCACTGCAACCTCTACCTCCTGGGTTCAAGCGATTCTCCTGCCTCAGCTTCCCCAGTAGCTGGGACTACAGGCGCGTACCACCATGCCTAACTAATTTCTGTATTTTTAGTAGAGACGGGGTTTCATGTTGGCCAGGATGGTCTCGATCTCTTGATCTCGTGATCCGCCCACCTCGGCCTCCCAAAGTGCTGAGATTACAGGCATGAGCCACCGTGCCAGGTCTCCATTTCTACTTTAATAAACTTCCTAAAAATATGATCACAGCTTTATGTAATTTGAATCCTAAACTAATCCCATAACAAAGGTATTATCCCGATTCACTGACGAGGAATCTAGGCCAGAAGATAACAGATAACTTAATGGAACAGTTTGACCTGAGTTGAATGGCTTGAGTTCAAACCCCTCGCTCCAACAATTGCCATTTTAATAATTTCAGGAGGGTAAATTCTCTATATTTCTGTATTTTTCCAATAAAATGGGTACACTAATAACACATCACAAAATTGTTGTGAGTACTTACAAAGCACTTAAAAACGTGTCTGGCAAACATTAATAGTAAGTACTATGTAAGTGTTGCTATTACTAATTATTCCTATTATTAATTTCAGTGAAATGAAAATTAGAACAATAACTACCTCTTTGGGTTTTGTATTAAATGAACTAATCTATTGAAAATGTTTATAACTGTTCCTGAGACATAGTTAATATTCAATATGTGTTAATTATATGTCTAATTTCATTGTCTTTCAAATACATTATATCTAAACCATGCGGGTTAATTCCTTCACTTATGCCTGGTAATAACAAATACAGGTACTACCATAGGCTGGAATTACTTTCATTTGTACTAAGCGTTTGAAAAGTTTATAGCTTTGTAGTCTCAAGATTATGGAAATATTTGTATCATTTACAAATCTGTAGTGAAATCAATCATGCACTATGTAATGACTGTCTTGATAGGGATTTTAATAATGTAATAAGATTTTATTCAAAGAAGCAGGAATAGTTGCAACACTCAAAAGACATTCTTTAAATGTAGTCAGTCTTCACCCCTTCTTGTCTCCCTAGTTTTTCAAAAACTTGAAGCCCAAATTAAAAATCAGAAGATATCCAGGTAATTCAGTAACTCGAATTACAAAGTTATATGCTAACATATTTAACATAGCCATGATTTTTACTTACTTGTGACCCATTTCATGAGCAATTGTAAAAGCAAGATTCAAGCCATTGTCTTCAGCAATAATACATTTTCTCTTTTCACTACACATTCCACTCAAGTAAGCTATACCTAAAAAATACAAACATTAATTATTATATGTCTGAATGAATATGCAAATATTTATACTAGTTATTAGCAGCAGGAATGAAAATGGCAGTTGTCACGACTAAAATGTCAGTATTAATCTGTGAAATCTAGCCCTAATAAATGAAATTTTAGGGGCAAGTGTATATGTATAGGCCAGGCAAAAAAATGTTCATATCATTTTCATTTTCATATTTTAGATAAAATTATTTTACCAATTATCAAGTTCCCAAAAGGAATAATATAAGAATATAGGTTATAAATACCAATTTCATCATCATGTAAGACAAATGAATAGTTATAACTTGGAAAATATAATCAAACAGCAATGATTATTTTAAATATACTCAATTATTGTGAAGAACACAGTTTCAAAAAAATTAATGCAAAATAAACTACATATAAAGCAGTCTTGAACTTACATTTATATTTTGAATTAATACAATTGTGAAATTCTATTTATGAAATACTATGTTAACTAATATGGCATAGAGCTATCTATCATATTTAAAATACTAGAAAGATTTTATTTGAAAATTTCTTGGCTAAATGGTGTGTTGCATAGTATATGATACTGAAATATTAAGATAAAATTTTAGCAAGATATTTGATCTTTTGGTATAAATTATCAGTAAAAATGGCAATATTTAAACTCCTTGATATTCTTTAGTTAAATATTTATGTTCTATTTTACTAATGAAGACATATACTTGAATAATCATTTCAGAAAATGAATTGTTACCAAGTGTAAGTTATAATGTTATTTTCAAATAACAAGTTATCATAATATCAATTATTTTTGATCCACTATATGTTCTCTATTTCCCATATCCTCATAAAATAAATTTTAAACTCCTTTTATAGATTAAGATATTTAGGCGTAGGAGGTTCTGATTTACCAAAGATCACATAATTACTAAACATGATGGAATGGGGACTTAATTTCACCTTTGAATCCATCTGCTGGATATTTTGTTTCTAAAAAAAATTTAATGCAGAGCTTACCCTAATTAAAGATGGTCAACTGACTGCTTGTGACTTTTTTCTGTCTCCAGAAACAAAACATAATGGTAAGAAATAATTTAAATAAATTATTTTAATAAAATTTTAAAAGAATCACCTTGCCCATGTGTGGCAAAGTTAGAAGATTCAGGGAAGTATAGGAACAGATTTAGTGAAAGCTACAGCCTAAATGACAAGAGGAAGATTTTTGATGAGAAGAGAACTTCTGAATTGGGTGGAACTCCAGAAAGTCTCAAGACTGAGGCACACATGGTCTAGGGAAAAGCAATGCAGGAGGGTTGAAAATGGAGATTAGCTGAAAGTATATCTGAAGTTCTCAACAACTCATTTAAACCTTCACGCAGAATGTCAAGGCCTGGTATCCACAGGCCTATCAGGAAAGTAGAGATGTAATCTTTAAGCAAAAGGTAGAATGAACATATTATTTTTAGAAACATAACTACATGAAGAAACAGCAAAAAGACGAAATACACATATGGATGTAGTTTTTTTTATATCTTTACAAATTAAAATAGATTTTATAGAAATTTATCATCTACAAACAGATGAAATGACTTCTTAATGAATGGGTGGTTAGGTGGACGGATGGATGAATAGACAGATGATAAGCCCAGTTACTTCATTTGGCTTATTAAGGTAACTGAAATTACTTCAAGGTTAAATTAAGACAAAGTAGGACAGAAAGATGAAGGTAAGGATACACAGAGAGGGATTGGGGAAGGGAGAAGAGGAGGGGAGAAGGAGAAAATCATATTTTTATTATAGTTCTATTAAACAACAGATGAAATAAAAACTTTAAAATTTGATTTAAACATAAAAGATAACATGAATTTTAAGAGAGCTAAATCACATGAATACAACAAAGAGTGGAAAACGAAGATTTTGAGATAATTAATTTTGCATTATAATCAAATGGAAGAAGGCAGGAAGAAAGAAAAGAAAGAAGGAGGATAAAAGAAAATATCTCCTCTAAATAGGGTATTAAAAGTTACAGCATTTGAAAATAAAATAATAATTTGAGATTAAACGTCCCCCCAAAATACTAAATTAAGCTCACTGTAATTAGCATGCTGCTACCATTGATTGGTACAAATTTTCTCTTAAGATTCCCATATATTTTGCCACTTTTTTTCACCACAGCTAGAACAGTCCCACCACCCTGTTCAGATTTAAAACTCAGCTAACATGGGTTATCATATGTCATATACCTGTTTGTCACATGGACTAGGACATATAAACTTCAGTCACTTTAATGAGTTTTACATGTCTTCTCCAGTATCCATTCTAATATTATACTTTCCCCACATAAAAATAGTACTGCCACTTGTTTCTAATTCTTATTTCTTCTAATTTGCATTGGCTAGGATTTCCAACATACTATTGAAATATATGGGCAATACTGAGCTCCTTATTTTTCCTTCTGAGTTTAACAGGAATGTTTACAGTTTCACAGTTGCATATGATGTTTGCTGAAGGTATTCATAGAATACCTTACTAACTTAGGGAAATAACTTTCTGATATCAATGCATGTCTGAGTGAAGAAGGAGGCAACATTATTTGATATATAGGTCAAAGGTGAATGGAAGTTTATTAGTAATATTTGGAAAAGGATTCAAAGATTAGAACAGCCACTGAGGGAAATATGGAAGAGCTGAATAAGTACTACAGGAGTGCTTAATGTAATGAGTCAGAAAATATGTTGCTTCAGCTGAGGATGGAGTGCATGAGTTTGGAGAGCACTAACATAGTACTCAGTTGAGTGATATTCATCCTAGTGGCTGAAACAAAGATGAGTAAATTTAGATTCAATTTAGGTTGACGTTTTGCAGATCATGTGTGGAGAAAGACCAAAGGTATAAAAGCTGTCAGTGAAGTTGAAAGTGAAAGAAGGCATAACACTTACAGGGATCTATGGGGAATGAGTAAAAGAGTAAGGTTAGAGGGAGCCCGATAATTTGGAGAAAAGAATACAGTAGTAAAGAGAATGGAATCATCAGTGATGAAAAAGAGCAGACATTTTACAAAAAAAAGGAACTTTATCAGGGAGTGAGATTTAGGTATTTAAGATTTCAGAGAGAAAGTTCTGAGACATGACTAGGTATTGTCACAAGAGTAAAGAAGGGTGCAGGTAGAGGTCATCTAGATTGAGGTCAAATCATTATTAAATAGTGTTGGGTGAACTAATAATATAAACGTGAAATTGCACATGACCAGAAAGAACTTGGGACAGTGGTAGGTGGCCAACATCCATAAGAAATGTGGGTGAGAATCAAGATCAATCACAGCTTTAAGATGCTAAGGCTCAAAAACTTCAGGATCAGAGAGATTTGGGTTTAGAAGCACCAGTGGGGAACAGGAGGAATGTGACAAGTATACAACTTTTGTTTCTTTCTTGTTCCAGCCCTATGATACAGGGGCCTCTCTTGGAATTCTGGATTATGGAAACCCATAAACACCAGTTATAGGAAATCAATGACTATCATGTGGTCATGTAAAAAAATACGATGATAAAGCCAATAGTTTATAATATAATAGCATGTTTATGCAATAAAATGTAAATGTATATAAAATATAAAATATTCAAAAACGATGAGTGCATACTTACATAGAGGTATGATTGCAACTATGTATCAAAAATATCATACCATCATATATTCATATGAACAAAAAGATACAGTTTTATCATGAGAAAATTAAAGTCTTATAAACATGATAATCATGTCTATGAAATTTGAATGGTAATTAGTAGAACTTCTTATAGACTAGGGTGAGGTCTGTAAGACAAAGAATGACCCAAAAGAACCCTTAAAGTGACCATCTATTCCTATTCTTATTTTGCTCAAGTGTAAAGTCAGAATCTTCAACTGAGACTCTGATAAATTTAAATTTCATTGTTCTTAGATTTGGAACACCAAGGAATTTTTTATTTGATTTGAAAGTTATAGAGAATGACTGTAACCACGACTAATGTAAATGATTTGAATTATTCTGTTTAAAAGCCTAGCTTTTCAGTTCAATAACCCACGTGTGTTATTATAATAAGAGATGAGTTTAAAAGGGAAAGGAATTAACACAGATGTTATTTAAAGATAGATGCAATAGAGGCCCTTTTCAAAGCACTTTTTTTTTTTTTTTTTTTTTTGAAACGGAGACCCACTCTGTCGCCCAGGCTGAGTGCAGTGGCATGATCTCGGCTCACTGCAACCTCCGCCTCCCGGTTTCAGCGAGTCTTCTGCCTCAGCCTCCCAAGTAGCTGGGATTACAGGCACCTGCCACCATACCCGGCTAATTTGTTTGTATTTTAAGTAGAGATGGGGTTTCACCATGTTGGCCAGGCTGGTTTCAAGCTTCTGACCTCAAGTGATCCATCCACCTCAGATTCCCAAAGTGCTGGGATTACAAACGTGAGCCACTGCACCCAGCTCAATTTTTTTTAATACAAAAAGTTCTGGAAATAAAAAGCAAACAAAAACAGCCTTCTCATTTCTCAACTAAAAATGAGTCATGTACAAGAAGTCAATTGAATCTCTCATCAGAAAACAAAACACAAGCCAGATGTTATGTGACACACCTCATAAGATGATCACAGACTCCTAAAACCCTCCAGGATGCCTTTTCCAATAATGGAACTAATGAAGAAATCAGAGTTTTTATGTGATCAGATGGATGCATTCTAACAAAAGTTAAGTCTCTGGGCTCCAGAAGTGCTGTTTTTAAGCATTATCTAAGCTACCTGAGTTCAAAATCCAGGCACTCTTGGTACAAACTCCTGGCGAAGTTCCAGTTAATTACTGGTCCTATGACTGTAATCTGTGAGTCTTACTATGAGTCTTACTATTATTTGAAGCATAACAGAAGAAAAATCATAATACATGACAAGCAGTGAAGGTGCAAAAATGCTGAGTATGACTTTGGGAGTGTGACTTTGGCTGGGTATGGTTGCTTATGCCTGTAATCCTAGCACTTTGGGAGGCTGAGGCAGATGGATCACCTGAGGTCAGGAGTTCGAGACCACCCTGGCCAACATGGTGAAACTCCATCTCTACTAAAAATACAAAAATTAACCAGGCGTGGTGGTGCATGCCTGTAGTTCCAGCTACTCGGGAGGCTGAGGCAGGAGAATTGCTTGAACCTGGGATGCAGAGGTTGCAGTGAGCCGAGATTGTGCCACTGCACTTCAGCCTGGGCAATAGAGCAAGACTCCATCTCAGAAAAAAAAAAAAAAGTGTAATTTTAAAATGCTCATTTTAAAATCTGTTCATTAACACATAAAGATGTACATAAGATATTATGGGAGAATATAAAAGGGAAATAAGGTAGAGAAAAATGTAAGCAGGAAAGGCTTTGAGAGAGGGCAACAACTTGGTGATACCATTGAATGGGCAGGGGTTAGCCAGGGAAAGGCAATGGGAGTTGGAGGGAGTCCCTGAACAAAGGACTAAACAGGGTAAAAGGGCAAGCGATGCTTATGAAAGTTAATGTCTCTCACAGAGGTGGTGGCCTAGGGTGCCAACCATGTAGCACATCTCCGCATCAACACTGTATTTAGGATTTCCTCAGTAAAGGGTGTGTTAAAGGAACTGCACAGGTGAAATTGTCTGAAACAAAGATTAACATGTAATGTGATCCAGTGCAATCCAACAAAAATGTAATTGTGAAGAACCAAAATTCATTTTATCTACTAATGAGAAAAAAATATGGAATGATATAAGAATGGTACCCAGATAATATGAAACCCATTTACATGATTAAATTCAAATTGGGCTTTGAACATATTTTTCAATAATAAGTTGTCTCACTAGTTGACTAATAATCTGCCTGTTTCATTAAAAGACAAGAAGGTGATCTAGGAATGTAAAAATACTCTTACGGAAGTTACAAGTTTGGTGTCAGCGCAGTTAATTTCTATTTTTAAAAAAATATTTTTAAAAAAGCCTTCTAGATTTTCTTAAATGTTTAAGTAATTTACAACACTCTTAACGTGCAGTTTTTATGAATACTAAGAAAAAACTGATCTAGAAAGAGAAAGGAGTGAGTGTAATAAAAGTTATAATAAATCTCTGATCAAATAAGATAGAATATTGTATGGATATTAAAGTGTTGTTTATGCATTCTAGCTTCATGGTAGACTGAATCCCCTTTCGCTAAAAACACGTAGAAATCACAAATCATAGGTAAAATACATTTTTTTGAATGTATAGCTGAGGTTGAAGAAGAAAAGATAATTCCCAGGTGCAAAATTAAAGTTTAAAAAAATTCAAATCTGGAGAGATAAAATCATGAATTGATGCTGCCACTGCCTGAGTATCAGATAAGATATATAACTGATTAAATAAATGTGTGGTTTCAAAATGTCTGTGAGTACAGGTACTGGTGAGTAGGGGATGGAGATTCATGCATAAATCAAAAAGCCTGAAAATGCTGTTGTTAACTACCATCAAGCATATTTGAAAATAACTTTAAGAATCTGTCAGTGCAGGGAAGTATCAAGAAAACTTGGCTTAAAAAAAATCTGAGAATGCTAGAAATCAAAACCCGAAGCTACCGTGAGCACATGAACATCAGTATGAAGCTTAAGAAATACTAAGCCATATATGTAACATAAAAGATCTCCTATTATGTGGAGATCTTTGCTAGTCCTGTGATAACAAATGAAATATGACTATGATAAGACACTTTATCACCTCAGCAAGCATGAAGTTCTCAAAGGGGAAACATGTTCCACTGAATATGAGCTCACAAATCATAATTACAAACCAAGTAAAGAAATGTTTCCCTGTGAAGAGACAGACCACAGATATAAAACTAGAGAAAAATGATGATGAAATAAATACTTTTTTAACATAAAGAGAGAGAGTTTGAAGTTCACATTTACTGGGCCACCACAATCCAAATATATCTTTTTGTAAGTTAGAGAAAGAAACCACTTCATAATAATACTTCATATACAATTATTGGTGTAATAAACAGTTTTTTGAGAATAAAAACTTTCACTGATCTGTGATAAAAGTTGTTCAAGTAAATACACAAATGTATGATGTATACAGTTGTAATGTACTTGTGTGTATACATATATATCCGTTATACATTTGGATAACATATATGTAATTATAATGTATAAATAACTACACAAATGTATAAATGAAAATTTATCTATTACAATAAGCATTAATCTGGAAAAGACCCTCAGTGAAGGAACTAGTAAAAAAAGTGCTACAAAAAAAAGGAAGCTGACCATAGAAACAAGGGGCAAATACAAGAAAACTGGCATGAAAATCTTCATAAACATTCTCAATTAAAAAAAAACAGTGATAGTAATAATAATGTCTAAGTTTTGAGGTATGTGAGATTTATGCAATGAAGGAAGTAATATAGTGAATTCAATAGCATAAAATTAGATAAAACATGAACAAATCTAAACTCTACTATTGTTCAGACTCAGGATAGAAATAACTAATTTTAGACTATGTTAATATAAGAATATGTACTTTTTAAAATGAGTACTGATATAAAGAACTATAATTAATAACTAGCAAAATAATAGGGGAAAAGAAAATTTAAAATAATCATTGCAATAGAAGTAAAAAAGAAAACAACTGGAGAGAAAATATCGGGTAAAATGAAAACAGAAATAAAGTAAAATATATTAGTAGTCAAATTAGGGTAAAAGGAACTTGCTTTAAAAACCTCTTGAATTGGGTTTAATAAAATTCCCATATATCTGGCCATAAATAACACATGTAAAGCTTAATAATTAATACAACAACAAAGAATCACCAAATAAAATAACCCCCAAAGAGCTGGCTCACAATATTAATATTTTACAAAATATACCTTGAGGTAAAAATATTATTATGCATAAAAGGAATAATTATATAATTATAAGAAGTATTTGATAGTATTTAATATATGTGTATGTTGCAATTTCATCTCAAACTAATGATAAAATATAGATAATTCTAAACTAGTATCAATAACTGATCTTTCAATAATTGATAGATTCAATAGATGAAAAGAAAGTAAAGATACAGAGAATCTAAATATTCCATCTAAAAAGTTTTATCTAATTTTCTCTCTCACACACACACAGACTTTAACAATTAGAAGATTCATATTATGTTCAAACATGTATCGAACTTTTTCTAAAGTTGCCAATGCCACCAAACAACACTTACTACCTATACAAAGAACAACGTCATAGAGGTAATATTCTCTGACTGCATTGCAATAAAATTAGAAATCAACAAGAAAATGGTTACCCTTCCAATTCCTCCCTCTCTTCTTCCTCCTAAAAAGTGGATATTTTGGAACAGAGTTTTAAATAATGTATGGATCAAAGAAGAGGAACTACAGTGGAAATAATAAATATTGTAGAAGTAAACGTATCCATTCATTACATAACAAAGCCAGTGGTACACAGTGTAGAGTAGTTCATAGTGTTCCAATATTCCTGTTGGGAACAACTATGAAGGCTGGATAAAACAGAAAATAATATTTGTAAAGGCATCAGTGAACTATAGAAACAAAAAAGACTAGAAGTTTTTAAATCCTAAAAATAGGAGAGAGTCTCAAAGGTGAGCAAAATCACTAAAGGCACTTTTTCCCTGTTAGTATTTGCTGATTTTTAGCAAGAACTAGAGACTGAGAAGCTGGACTTGATCCAGAAGAGTACAACTGCAGAAGAAACAACAACAACAACAACAAAAAACCTGGGGGTGGGAGGTGCCACCCAGCACTGGATTTTACTGTTCATAAAAGGCTGGAGATTTTGACAGTAGCACAAGCCGGAGTAACAAAACTGGAGAATTGAGAAGCCATAGAGTATTCTCCTTCAAGAAAATTGCCATATTCTAAAATTGGCATGGAATGGTATTTTAAATAGCAAAACCCCAAACCTCTGAAGAGCCGAACAGAATCTCCATGTGAACTTGTGACACAATACAGTCCCAAATTAGATCATTAGTTCCCATACTATCTGTCTAGACAAAGAAAGACTAAATCATTTCTCCTATATAATAATATCATCTGGAACCTCCATTGCTGCAGAGATTTCTAAAAATTAATCATTGATTCAAAAAATACCAGGCTTGCGTGAGCAGGTCAATTTGAACAAACCACGACAATAAACTGTCACCAAGGAGTGACCAAATATAGCAGTTAGCAGATGAGATTTAAAAAAAAAAAAGAACATCGAGTAAAAGTTAGACAAAATTGATAAAAGATGCAGAAACTCTCAAAGAATTGGGATTTATAAAAAAAATCAAACAGACATTCTTGATTTGAAAATTACAGTATTTGAGATTAGTAGATTATGATCTCTAGTAGTAGATTATAATCAGTAGATTATATAATTACATATATAATTAGTAGTTGATAATCAGTAAATTATTATCTCAATAGATAATGTAACTGCAAATTAAACATAGGAGGAGAGATAAATAGTTTCCTGGATTAATTTAAAATACCCAAATTCCAGCAACAGAGAAGAAAATAATTAGAAAATGTTTTAAAGAGGAACATAGTATACATGTGAGACACAATCACAGGTGTTGCATTCTTCTAATTTGAATCTTAGAGGAAACAGACAACAAAATATGACATTTTTATTTGAGAATTAATCATTAAATGTATTTCGAAAAAAATTGTAAGGCAACACAGAATAAACAAAGCTCAGCAAGGCCCAAATTCAAAACACGGATAACACCACATGCTGAAGAGAATGTGGAGCAGCAGGAACCGTCATTCATTGTTGATTGGAAAGCAAAATGGTACAGCCACATTGGAAGGTAGTTTGGCAATTGCTTATAAAACTAAACATACTCTTACCATATGATCCAGCAATCACACTAGTTAGTATTTACCTAAAGCAGCTGAAAATTTATGTCCATACAAAATCCTGCACATGGATGTTTATAGCAGCTTTATTCATAATGGCCAAAACTTGGAAAAGGTGAATGGTTTCATAAACTGGTATCTCTATCCAACAATATTATTCAGTGCTAAAATGAAATGAGCTATCAAGCCATGGAAAGAGATGGAGGAAACTTAAATACACATTACTAAGTGATAGAAGCTAGTCTGAAAAGGCTACCTATTGCATGATTTCAACTATGTAACATTCTGAAAAAGGCAAAACTATGGCAAAAGTAAAAAGATCGGTGGATGCCAAGGATTAAGAGCGGAAGAAGGAATAAATAGGTGGAACACAGAAGATTTTTTAAGGCAGAGAAACTACTCTATATGATACTATAATGTGGATACTATTATGCATTTGTCTAAACCCATAGAATTTAAAATACCAAGACTGAATTCTAATGAAAACTGTGGACTTGGGTGATAGTAATGTGTGAATGTAAGGTCACCAATTGTAAAAATAATGTACCATTCTAGTGGTGAATGTTGATAATGGGGGAGGCTATGCATATGTGTGGACAGGGGGTGTAAGAGAAACCTCTGTACCTTACACTCAATTTTGCTGTGAACCTAAGACTGCTCTAAAAAATAGTCTATAAGAAATTTAAAGGCTTGGGAAGCAACAAGCAGAATCAAACAAAACAAACAGAACAAAACACAATGCAAAACTGCTGAAAATGAAAAGGAAAAAAAGAGAATCTTAAAAGTGCCCAGGAGAAAAAGGAAACTTCACTTCAAAGTAACAACAATAAAGCTGACAGGTGTCTGCAACATCACAATACAAGCTGGAAATAATGAAATGGCATGTTTAAAGTTTTATAACAAATAAGAATCTGCCAACCTCTAATTCTATACTATGTGAAACAACTTTTTTAAAAATACAGGTACCATAAGAATGTTTTCCTATATACAAAAACTGTTTCTTCAGACAGAAAGAAAAATCATTGCAAATTGAAACACGGAAATGCAGGAAGAAATGAAGAACACCAGGAAGACTGGCCATAAACAAATATTGAATACATAAAACATTAATGTTAATATCTCCCCAAATTCAAAATATATGCAACAATATGTAGTAGGGATATAGTACAAGTGTTCAAAAGTTATTTTTAAAAAAGTATAATTGACATTAGAAAATATTTTAACATAGTCATTACAAAAAAGAACACATTAAAAATGTGTAGCCTAAAATGAAAACTGTCCTTAGGGAAGTTCATAATATATATTAGAAAGAAAAAGACTGGAGGGTTGCTGGCAAGATGGCCGAATAGGAACAGCTCCGGTCTGCAGCTCCCAGCCAGATCAACGCAGAAAGTGGGTGATCGCTGATTTTCCAACTGAGTTACCCGGCTCATCTCACTGGGACTGGTTAGACAGTGGGTGCAGCCCACGGAGGGCAAGCAGAAGCGGGCAGGGCATTGCCTCACCTGGGAAGTGCAAGGGGTTGGGGAACTCCCTCCACTAGCCAAGGGGAGCCATGAGGGACTGTGCCTTGAGGAAGGGTGCATTCCGGCCCCAAATGCTACGCTTTTCCCACTGTCTTTGCAACCCGCAGAGCAGGAGTTGCCCACAGGTGCCTGCACCACCAGGGCCCTGAGATTCAAGCACAAAACTGGGCAGCCATTTGGGCAGACACCTAACTAGCTTCAGGAGATTATTTTCATACCACAGTGGCACCTGGAATACCAGCAAGACAGAACGAATCACTCCCTGGAAAGGGGGCTGAAGCCAGGGAACCAAATGGTCTAGCTCAGCAGATCCCACCCCCATGGAGCCCAGCAAGCTAAGATCCACTGGCTTGAAATTCCTGCTGCCAGCACAGCAGTCTGAAGTCGACCTGGGATGGTCAAGCTTGGTGGAGGGAGGGGCATCCACCATTAATGAGGCTTGAGTAGGCGGTTTACCCCTCACAGTGTAAACAAAGCTACCAGGAAGTTCAAACTCAGCATAGCCCACATCTCAGCTCTGCAAAGCCACTGTAGCCAGACTGGCTCTCTAGATTCCTCGTCTCTAGGCAGGGCATCTCTGAAAGAAGGGCAGCAGCCCCAGTCAGGGACTTATAGATCAAACTCCCATCTCCCTGTGACAGAGCACCTGGGTGAAGGGGCGGCTGTGGGTGCAGCTTCAGCAGACTTAATTGTTCCTGCCTGCGGCTCTGAAGAGAGCAGCAGATCTCCCAGCACAGTGTTTGAGCTCTTCTAAGGGACAGACTGCCTCCTCAAGTGGGTCCCTGACCCCCGTGCCTCCTGAATGGGAGACACCTCCCAGCAGTTGTTGACAGACACCTCATACAGGAGAGTTCTGGCTGGTATCTGGTGGGTGTCTCTCTGGGATGAAGCTTCCAGAGGAAGGAGCCAGTGGCAAACTTTGCTGTTCTGCAGCCTCTCCTGGTGATACCCAGGCAAACAGGGTCTGGAGTGGACCTCCAGCAAACTCCAGCAGACCTGCAGCAGAGGGGCCTGACTGTTAGAAGGGAAACTAACAAACAGAAAGGATTAGCACATCCAGTCAGAGACCCCATCTGAAGGTCATCAACATCAAAGACCAAAGGTAGATGAATCCACAAAGATGGGGAGAAACCAGCGCAAAAAGGCTGAAAATTCCAAAAACCAGAATGCCTCTTCTCGTCCAAATGATCACAACTCCTCGCCAGCAAGGGAACAAAACTGGACAGACAATGATTTTGACAAATTGACAGAAGTAGGCTTCAGAAGGTGGGTAATAACAAACTTCTCCAAGTTAAAGGAGCATGTTCTAACCCAATGCAAGGAAGCTAAGAACCTTGGAAATGGTTAGCGGAATTGCTAACTAGAATAACCAGTTTTGAGAAGAACAGAAATGATGCGATGGAGCTGAAAAACACAGCACAAGAACTTCGTGAAGCATACACAAGTATCAATAGCTGAATTGATCAAGCAGAAGAAAGGATATCAGAGATTGAAGATCACATTAATGAAATAAAGCACAAAGACAAGATTAGAGAAAAAGGAATGAAAAGGAATGAACAAAACCTCCAAGAAATACGGCACTATGTGAAAAGACCAAATCTACATTTGATTGGTGTACCTGAAAGTGACGGGGAGAATGGGACCAACTTGGAAAACGCTCTTCAGGATATTATCCAGGAGAACTTCCCCAACCTAGCAAGAGAGGCCAACATTCAAATTCAGGAAATACAGAGAACACCATAAAGATACTCCTCAAGGACAGCAACCCCAAGACACATAATCGTCAGATTCACCAAGGTTGAAATGAAGGAAAAAATGTTAAGGGCAGCTAGAGAGAAAGGTCAGGTTATCCACAAAGGGAAGCCCATCAGACTAATACCAGATCTCTCTGCAGAAACCCTACAAGCCAGAATAGATTGGGGGCCAATATTCAATATTCTTGAAGAAAAGAATTTTCAACCCAGAATTTCATATCCAGCCAAACTAAGCTTCATAAGTGAAGGAGAAATAAAATCCTTTACAGACAAGCAAATGCTGAGAGATTTTGTCACCACCAGGCCTGCCTTACAAGAGCTCCTGAAAGAAGCACTAAATATGGAAGGGAGAAATAAGTACCAGCCACTGCAAAAACATACCAAATTGTAAAGATCACCAACACTATGAAGAAACTGCATCAAATAACGGGCAAAATAACCAACTAGCATCATAATGATAGGATCAAATTTACACATAACAATACTAACTTTAAATATAAATGGGCTAAATGCCCAAATTAAAAGACAGACTGGGCCGGGCATGGTGGCTCACACCTGTAATCCCAGCACTTTTGGGAGGCTGAGGCAGGCAGATCACAGGGTCAAGGAGATCAAGACCATCCTGGCTAACATGGTCTACTAAAAAATACAAAAAAAAAAAAAAATTAGCTGGGCATGGTGGTGGGCGCCTGTAGTCCCAGCTACTCGAGAGGCTGAGGCAGGAGAATGGCATGAACCTGGGAGGCGGAGCTTGCAGTGAGCCGAGATCATGCCATTGCACTCCAGCCTGGGCAACAGAGTGAGACTCCGTCTCAAAAAATTAAAAAAATTAAAAATAAATAAAAGACACAGACTAGGAGATTGGATAGTCAACACTTATCAGTATGCTGTATTCATGAGACCCTTCTCACATGCAAAGACACACATAGGCTCAAAGGGAGATGGAGTAATATTTACAAGCAAATGAAAAGCAAAAAAAAGAGCAGAGGTTGCAATCCTAGTCTCTGATAAAACAGACTTTAAACAAAGATTAAAAAAAAAGATAAAGAAGGGCATTACATAATGGTAAAGGGATCAACGCAACAAGAAGAGCTAACTATCCTAAATATATATTCCCCCAATACAGGAGCACCCAGATTCATAAAGCAAGTTCTTAGAGACTTACAAAGAGTCTTAGACTCCCACACAACCATAGTGGGAGACTTTAACATCCCACTGGCAATACTAGATCAATGAGACAGAAAATTAACAAGGATATTCAGGACATGAACTCAGCTCTGGACCAAGTGGAACTAACAGACATCTACACAACTCTACATCCAAAATCAACAGAATATAAATTCTTCTCAGCAACACATCAGACTTATTCTAAAATTCACCACATCATTGGAAATAAAACACTCCTCAGCAAATGCAAAAGAATGGAAATCAAAACAGTCTCTCAGACCCCAATGCAATCAAACTAGAACTCAGGATTAAGAAACTCACTCAAAACCGCACAACTACATGGAAACTGAACAACCTGTTCCTGAATGACTACTGGGTAAATAACGAAATTAAGGCAGAAATAAATAAGTTATTTAAAACCAATGAGAACAAAGATACAACATACCAGCATCTCTGAGACACAGCTAAAGCAGTATTTAGAGGGAAATTTATAGCGCTAAATGTCCACAGCAGAAAGTGGAAAAGTTATAACAACAACACCCTAACATCACAATTAAAAGAAGTAGAGAAGCAAGAAGCAAACAAATTCAAAAGCTAGCAGAAGACAAGAAATAACTAAGATCAGAGCAGAACTAAAGGAGACAGAGACACGAAAAACCCTTCAAAAAATGAATGAATCCAGGAGCTTTTTTTTTTTAAAAGATTATCAAAATATATAGACCACTAGCCAGATAAAGAAAGAAGAAAAGAGAGAAGAATCAAATAGACACAATAAAAAATGACAAAGAGGATATCACCACTGGTCACAAGAAATATAAACTACCATCAGAGAATACTATAAATACCCCGATGCAAATAAACTAGAAAATCTAGAAGAAATAGATAAATTCCTGGACACATACACCCTCCCAAGACTAAACCAGGAAGAAGTCAAATCCCTGAATACAGCAATAGCAAGTTCTGAAACTGGTCACAAGAAATACAAACTACCATCCAAGAATACTATAAATACCTCAATGCAAATAAACTAGAAAATCTAGAAGAAATAGATAAATTCCTGGACACATACACCCTCCCAAGACTAAACCAGGAAGAAGTTGAATCCCTGAATAGAGCAATAGCAAGTTCTGAAATTGAGGCAGTAATTAATAGCCTACCAACCTAAAAAAGCCCAGGACCAGATGGATTCACAGCAGAATTCTACCAGAGGTACAAAGAGGAGCTAGTACCATTCTTTCTGAAACTACTCCCAACAATAGAAAAAGGAGGGACTCCTCCCTAACTCATTTTATGAGGCCAGCATCATCCTGATACCAAAATCTGGCAGAGACACATCAAAAAAAGAGAATTTCAGGCCAATATCCCTGACGAACATCGATGCAAAAATCGTCAATAAAATTCTGGCAAACCGAATCCAGCAGCACATCAAAAAGCTTACCCACCACGATCAAGTCAGCTTCACCCCTGGGATACAAGGCTGGTTCAACATACACAAATCAGTAAATGTAATCCATCACATAAACAGAACCAATGACAAAAATGACACAATTATCTCAATAGATGCAGAAACGGCCATCAATAAAATTCAACACCCCTTCATGCTGAAAATTCTCAATAAACTAGGTATTGATGGAACGTATCTGAAATTAATAAGAGCTATTTGTGAAAAACCCACTGCCAATATCATAGTGAATGGGCAAAAACTGGAAGCATCCCCTTTGAAAACCAGCACAAGACAAGGATGCCCTCTTTCACTACTCCTATTTAACATATATTGGACGTTCTGGCCAGGGCAGTCAGGCAAGAGAAATAAATAAAGGGTATTCAAATAGGAATAGAGGAAGTCAAATTGTCTGTTTGCAGATGACATGATTGTCTGTTTAGAAAACCCCATCGTTTCAGCCCAAAATCTCCTTAAGGTAATAAGCAGCTTCAGCAAAGTTCAGGATACAAAATCAATGTGCAAAAATCACAAGCATTCCTCTACACCAATAACAGATGAATAGAAAGCCAAATCATGAGTGAACTCCCATTCACAATTGCTACAAAGATAATAAAATACCTAGGAATACAACTTACAGGGGATGTGAAGGACCTCTTCAAGGAGAACTACAAACCACTGCTCAAGAAAATAAGAGAGGACACAAACAAATGGAAAAACATTCCATGCTCATGGATAGGAAGAATCAATATCGTGAAAATGGCCATACTGACAAAAGTAATTCATAGATTCAATGCTATCCCCATCAAGCTACCATTGACTTTCTTCACAGAATTAGAAAAAACTACTTTGAATTTCATATGGAGCCAAAAAAGAGCCCGTATAGTCAAGAAAATCCTAAGCAAAAAGAACAAAGCTGGAGGCGTCATGCTACCTGTCTTCAAACTATACTAGAAGGCTATAGTAATCAAAACAGCATGGTACTGGTAAAAAAACAGATATATAGACCAACGGGACAGAACAGAGGCCTCAGAAGTAAGGCCACTCATCTACAGCCATTTCATCTTTGACAAACCTGACAAAAACAAGCAATGGGGAAAGGATTCCCTATTTAATAAACGGTGTTGGGAAAACTGGCTAGAATGCAGAAAACTAAAACTGGACCCCTTCCTTACACCTTATACAAAAATTAACTCAAGATAGATTGAAGACTTAAACATAAGACCTAAAATGATAAAAATCCTAGAAGAAAACCTAGGTAATACCATTCAGGACACAGGCATGGGCAAAGGCTTCATGACTAAAATACCAAAAGCAATAGCAACAAAAGGCACAATTGACAAATGGGATCTAATTAATCTAAAGAGCTTCTGCACAGCAAAAGAAACTACCATCAGAGTGAACAGGCAACCTAAAGAATGGGACAACATTTTTGCAATCTATCCATCTGACAAAGGTCTAATATCCAGAATCTACAAAGAACTTAATCAAATTTACAAGAAAAAAACAACCCCATCAAAAAGTGGGCTAAGGATATGAACAGACACTTCTCAAAAGAAGACATTTATGTGACCAACAAACATATGAAAAAAAGCTCATCACCACTGGTCATTAGAGAAATGCAAATAAAAACCACAATGAGATACTATCTCACGCCAGTTAGAATGGCGATCATTAAGAAGTCAGGAAACAAGAGATGCTGGAGAGGATGTGGAGAAACAGGAATGCTTTTATACTGTTGGTGGGAATGTAAACTAGTTCAGCCATTGTGGAAGACAGTGTGGCAATTCCTCAAGGATCTAGAACCAGAAATACCAATTGACCCAGCAATCCCATTACTGGGTATATACCCAAAGGATTATAAATCATTCTACTATAAAGACACATGCACACGTATGTATATTGCAGCACTGTTCACAGTAGCAAAGACTTGGAACCAACACAAATGCCAATCAATAATAGACTGGATAAAGATAATGTGGCACATATACACAATGGGATACTATGCAGCCATAAAAAAGGATGAGTTCATGTCCTTTGTGGGGACATGGATGAAGCTGGAAACCATCATTCTCAGTAAACTAACACAGGAACAGAAATCCAAATACCACATGTTCTCACTCAAGTGGGCATTGAACAATGAGAACACATGGACACAGGGAGGGGAACATTACATACCAGGGCCTTCAAGGGGTGGGGGTTAAGGGAGGGATAGCATAAGGAGAAATACCTAACATAGATGACGGGTTAATGGGTGCAGCAAACCACCCTGGCACGTGTATACCTATGTAACCTGCACATTCTGCACATGTACCCCAGAACTTAAAGTATATATATGTGTGTATATGTGTGTATATATACATGCATATAGGTATATGTACGTATACGTACATATACATGCATATAGGTATATGTACGTATACGTACATATACATGCATATAGGTATATGTACGTATACGTACATATACATGCATATAGGTATATGTACGTATACGTACATATACATGCATATAGGTATATGTACGTATACGTACATATACATGCATATAGGTATATGTACGTATACGTACATATACATGCATATAGGTATATGTACGTATACGTACATATACATGCATATAGGTATATGTACGTATACGTACATATACATGCATATAGGTATATGTACGTATACGTACATATACATGCATATGTATATGTATGTATATGTATATATGTGTGTGTGTGTGTGTGTGTGTGTGTGTGTGTGTGTGTATGTAAGTTTGAAAATCAATAAATTCCTTCAGGGAGCTAAAGAAAAAAAGAAGACGATTAAAGCTTAAAAAAATAAAAGGAAGTAAAAAAGAGGAAAATCAATGAATTATAAAATAAATGTATAAGAAAGTTGGCAAAAACATGAACAATTCCCTGGTAAATCTATCAAGGATAAAAGAGAGATAAATACAAATTACCAGCATCAAAATAAATAAGGAAACATCTCTACAATTCTTAAAGATATCAAGGCAATATAACAAATATATGTAAATAAATTTTACAATTTGTCAAATCAGTCAAAAAAAGAAATACAAAATCTGAAATTCCTGTAATCGTTCATTAATTCAATTCCAGCTACCTTGGCTTTCTCTTGGTCATTTCTCAAATGTGAGCAAGCATCGTTACATCTTAGGACCTCTTGACTGGATTTCACTTTGCCTGGAACATTCTTTCCTTAGATGTATTTTCCAGATCATCATCAAACCTTTATGCAAATATCACTTGTCACTTTCTTCAGTGAGACATTTCTTGATCACTCTGTTTAAAATTATAAATTTCCTTCTCCCCTGGAACTCCCGGATTATCCCTTATTTGTATGGGCTATTTTTTCTATATCAGTTTTATCTTTTAATATACCAACTAATTATTTAATATGTATATTCTCTGTCTCCATCAAAATGTAAGCACAACAATGACAGGAAATAAAACAATATGTTAATTCCCAATGTGTGAAACAGTTTCTGGAATTCTTTGTGGGAACCTGAAAAATATTTAGGTGAATAAATTATGAGTCCAGGTATGTTTCGTACAGTGTAGCAATAAAAAATTTGAAAATGCATTAATATGCATCTCTCTTCTATTTCCATGTAACTGATGTCTTTCTAGTCCTCTAAAGGCTTCTCTCTGATGGCAGGTGAGGAGGAATTAGGATTAGTGAACACTTTTGGAACTCTATTCCATGTCAGTATAGGATGGCTCAAGAAGAAAAGCAGTGAAAATACTGAGTAATTAGGCAGAGAGAAGGGCTGAGTTATTCCTGAGCCCACGTTGACTCCGACTGCCATGGAAGTCAGAGAGGTGGGCAGTTTAACACAGGGAACCTATGGATGATGTGCCTGAAGCTCAGCAGTGTCTTCAGCAGTACAAGCTAGTAGGGTAAGCATCAGGGGAAAGATAAAAAATTGTGGTGTAGATGAATTGAATAGGTAGGTCAGCCAATATGCTTAAGTTGCACTCGCCAACTGCATGGTTGGCCACCAAATCCAACAGTGTGCTCTGGTTGCCCAGAAGTAAGGGAATTTACTGCAAAGATCAAAAAAGTTTCAGAGAGTAGTGAAAGAACCTGTGATTGCTGACCTACACAAAGTCCCCCTCCCAGCTCCTTGGAAAGCACCAGATGAGAGGTTAGGAGGGGCTATTTGGAAAAAATGGGTATTTAACTAAAAAAAAAAAAAAGAATAAAGCAATTTAAACTAGAGGGAAAATAACACAAATTGACAATTTTAAGTTTTGATTTTCTTGGAATTAAGTGAAATAGAAACTTATGAGAAAGATTTAATACACTGTAGAAAGCTAAATGCTACATTTTCTTTGCCTAATTTAGTATAATTTTTTGCCCTGCTCCGTGTATGGAGACAAAATTAAGTACAGATGGAAATACCTATATTTTTAAAAGTGTGTGTACACACATAGGTCACTTCTACATCTTTGGCAAGCTTTTATATAAAATATTAATATGGTACAGGAGGAAGAAGATGAAAGATGATTCAAGTAAATGTTTAGAGAAAAAGTGAAAGAAAGGAGATTCAATCACAGGGACAATGGTATGTAGGAGCAGCAGTGGTGATTTCTAAATTCTGCTCTTTGAAATGAGAAGGATGTCATAGTAAAGAACACATTCCAAAATAGGGTTTGTTTCTGCTGTTATTGTTTTATATTTCCTTTAAGCTTTTTTACAAACTACACCACCGAGACCCACCCACCCCCTTCCTCCCCGCATTAAGATGATGAGATGGATTGCTTTTATATGGAAGGAAGAATGTTAAAAAAAATTATGTCTGCAGCTAGCTTTTGTGCTCCTGTTCCAGATTTATCCTACTTCACATTCACATCTTATCCCTCTTCAGAAAATATAAGGGTAGATTATTGGATGGCTTTAGAAGATAAACCCTCAAATCCTTAGAGATTTTGAATTAAGCCAAACTCTGATATACATTATTGTAGTTTTGACAGATCATAATAAAATACCCCATCTGAAATTTTTAATTTAGATTTCAGTGTACCTCGGAAAATATAATGTTTATGACACAATCAAAAAGTCATACATGGTAGATTACACAACTAACTCTTGTAAATCAGTAATGGGAACACTACTTCACAGTCTACACAGAAACAGCTGAAAATTGGTATTCTCATTGTTATGTTAATTAAAAGAAAGATAAAAGTCAGAGTTCTTAGACTTTCTATATGACTTTGCTCACAAGCCAAAGAAGTTATTTAGGTTTAATGATTTCATCTGCCTTGGAGATTAACAAACTGTCATAACTCTGAAAAATAGGTAAGATGAATCACAGTTAAAAGATTTTCATGAAGTAACTTTAAGGATACAGCTGGAAAAATTTAAAAGTGTTCTGATTGCACATAAATCAGGAATTCTGGCTGACACATTTTTACAATGTTATAACATAATCATATCCTGAAGGCATTAAATAGGGACAATTAAAAAATTAAATATCATGCTAGCAAAAAGCTGTATAAATTGCTTTTTTAGTATACTAGCAAAAGCACTGACAGCATTCATTTACAACTACAAACCAACTCAAACTTCCAAACAGTTGGACACAATATTTTTACACCATTCCAATTTTTAATCATTTTGTTATTCTTCACAACTTGCTTTCTACTCAGTGTGATCAGCATTTTTATTCAAGTAATCTATAAACTGCAGAAATATAAAGAAAATAGTTATAATTTCAAAGCAATTATACCTACAAATATCTGAAGCTCTTAAATATTACTATTTAAAATATAAAGTTTAATATAGTTTTTGACATAATTTGTTAAATAGAATAAATATTTAAATTCAAGTGACTCAAACTGTAGATGTATTTTTAAGACATCAGTTTTTAGGTTTGTACATTGAGGAAATTGCCATAGTAAATAAACACGTTAATTTTTTTTTTCAAGAATGCTTTGATACTTAAAAAAATTTCTGATTTCTGATTGGAACTTAATAATAGATGCTTTTTTACCTTTTTCTGCATTAAGTATAAAGAAGGTCAAATGAGGAGAATAAAATTTTAAGAATTTATATATACATCCAAACTCATCAAATTGTATAAGCAAAACAGGCTTATTATAAATTAATTTTGCCTCAATAAAGATGTTTTATTTTTAAAAAAGGACCTGCCTAAAAATAATAACCAATGGTCTTGTGTCAAATACTGTAGGGTTTGAATCCCAGCCTCAGTTTTAAATCTGTGACTATAAAAAAGTCAGTTTTCCAGAAAACCAAACATTGCATGTTCTCACTCATAAGTGGGTGGGTGTTGAACAATGAGAACACATTGACACAGAGAGGGGAACAACACACACCAAGGCCTGTCGAGGGATTGGGGTGCGAGGGGAGGGAACTTAGAGGATGAGTCAATAGGTGCAGAAACCACCATGGCACATGTATACCTATGTAACACACCTGCACGTTCTGCACGTGTATTTGTTATTTATTTATTTTTAGAAGAAATAAAGAAAAAAATGCCGAAAAAAAAGTTAGTTGTCTTTTCTGACATTCAGTTTTCCCACCGGTAGAATTGTGATAATTTGTCTTAGGAATGCTAAGTAATTTAGACACATATTTCAAGCATATATTGGCTGGTCTAAAATATGATAACCATTAAACATAAACTGTGGCTTTCTTTATTTGTAAAATGAAATAATCTCTTATTGCATTGAATTCTCCAAGGGTTAAAAGAGGTGACATTTTAAAACCCGTGGTACTTAGTAGATGCTTAACAAGTATTATTGTTCACTGACAACATTGGGTAAATGTGTGATGAATAGAAAGCTGCCATTTTCCAGAGTTTATCCCAACAACTGAAAAAAAATATGAGGACTTTGGGGGGTTTCTAAATTCAAATGGTCTAAATTTCCCAAGGATATAATCAACATATTTTAATATTCATATATTATTTAATAGCACCATCAAAACATTTTTAATAGAAGCAAAATGCTATAATTAAAGTCAATTGTTAACAGTAAAGAATCTTGAGAAGAGAAAAATCTTAAGAACAATCAACTTTGACAATGTATCCAAGTTTTATCCCTATTGCTAAAATAGAAATATAAAGTGTCCAATTTAGGTTTTGGCCAGTGCCTAATAAAATATACAAGACAGCCAAAAATTAAACATGATTACATTCAGCTTTGCTTTTCTTGTGAACCATAGGAAATATTTTCTTATCAGAAATTCACTTCTATTCCGAAATATATAGATATGGGAAGCTCAGGTGACTATGCTATGTGCTGAAGAGACAGACATGCATTAAGTAAGATCCTTGATCACACAGAGATGAGAATCTAACTGGGGAGACAGAATGAATAAAATGCAAGTTATAAGAAAGGCATACTGAAATGTGATGCGTGGTCGGCTGAGAAACAACCTAGGATATCTAAAAGAATTTATTTAGAGTTCTGAAGAATGGGTCAAATGTGGAAAAGGAATAAAGGGAGAAAGGAACAACGAAGAAATAGCTCTCCACTTGGAATTTCTAAAACAATGTATTTGAACACAGAAACTCACTAAAATCTGCAAAAAATATTGGTCCTAAGCAAGGCTTCATTTATGACAGTATGTTAATGTCAATTAAAAGAGGTACAAAACTGGGAAGATGGATATTTTTAAAAGGCTTCTCAAGTTCATGGAAGGATTAGAAAAAGGGATTGGCAGGTGAAGTCTGGGATGGATTTCAATATGTACTCCCCTGTAGGCCCTATAGATTAGGTACCTTTGCAAAGGGCACAACGTGCACAAACCTTTTGTGGAATACACAGTTGTAATGCTAAAAGCAAATCTAACAATCAGATAAAATTTCTTACTCTTTTTTGTTTTGTTCTAACTTTAATTTTTAAATTCATATACAGTAACATTTTCTTTTTACTGTACTGTCCTCTGTGTTTTAACACTTCTATTGATTTGTGCAATGACCACAATAATCAGGGGACAGAACATTTCCATCACACCCCAAAACTTCTTTGTGCTATTCCTGTAAACTTACAGCCTCCCCTCTCCCTCATCAATAGTAATCACTCATCTGGTCATTATGTTTGTTTTTTAGAAAATGACACATAAATATAATTGTACAGTAAGTAACCTTTGAGACTATCTTCTTTCCCTCAGCATAATGCTTTGGTATTCTTCCAAGCAGTTAGATGGATCACTAATTCATTTCTTTTCATTGCTGAATAGCATTTCCTTGTATGGATGTACCACAGATTGTTTATCCATTCACCTGTTAAAGAACATTTGGACTGTTCCTAAATTTTGGCAATTATGAATAGATCAGATATAAACATTTGTGATCAGGCTTTAGGTGAATGTAAGTTTTCGTTTTTTTGAAGTAAATGCTCAGGGGTGGGATTGCTGGGTCATATGTTAAGTGCATATTTACCTTTAGGATAAACTGCCACACCATTTTCCAAAGCGGTTGTGAAGTTTTCCATTCCCAGCAACAATGTATGAGAGTTGAGTTGTTTGATTTCTTAATGTTGAGTAATTTACATATTCTGCATACAAGTCCTAGTATCTGGATATGCAACTTGCAAATCTTTTCTCCAGGGCTATTACTTGTATTTTAATCCCTTAACAGAACAAAGTACTTTTGTTGTTTTTTAATATTGATGAAATCCAGTTTATCATTTTTCCTTTCATGGACCAAGCTTTTGGTGTCATATGAAAGAACTCTTTGCCTAATCCAAGGTCATCAAGATTTTCTCTTATGTTTTCTACTAAGTTTTTATAGTTTTGCATTTTACATTTGGATTAATAGTCTATTTTGTATTAACTTTTGTATAATGGTCATTCTTTTGCATACTGATATTCAATTTTTTAAGCACCATTTTTTGAAGAGATAAAACTTTTTTCATTGGATAGCCTTTTTACCTTTGTAGAAAATCAATTGGCCCCTATTTGTGTGGATCTATTTCTGGAATCTCTATTTTGGTCCATTGATTTATGTATGTTTTCTTTCGCTGACAGTACACTGTCTTGATTACTAAACCCTTGTTTTATAAATGATATAATGAGTAGTATTTCTCCGAAACGATTTTTCTATTCAAAATTGTGTTGATCATTCAGTTGCATATAAATTTTAGAATCATCTTGTCTATATCTACAAAAAAGCACTTAAATTTTTATTTGCATTATGTTAAATGTATAGATCAGTCTGAGAAGTGGTATATCCATACCATGCTGTCTTCCACTCCATAAACATGGTATTTCTCTCCATTTATTTAGATCTTTTATTGCTCCCATCGGCATTTTGTAGATCCTAGTATACAGATTTTGTACCTGTTTGGTTAAATTTATACCTACATATTTCATTTTTTCATTTTGGAGCTCTGATTACACACACACATATACTCACACAGAAACACATATATATCATGTCCTAATGTTTATACATATACATATATATACATACACATATACACATAAACACCCATATATGCACACACATATACATGTACATATTTAAAAATTTGGTTTCTGAGTATCCAATTCTAGTACATAAAAATACATTAGATTTTTGTGGGTTAATCTTATATTCTTTGATTCTGCTAACCTCATTTATTAGTTTTAGGAGTTTTTTCATACATGCCTTGATATTTTCTATGTAAACAATAATGTTTTCTGCAGAGACAGTTTTATTTCTTCCTTCATATTTGTTATGCCTTTCATTTAGTTTTCTCACCTAATTGCATATCTGGGATTATTTTTTCCTAAGAGGGATGGAGTGGACAGCCTTGCCTTGCTTCAGTCTGAGTCAGAAAGCATTCGTTTTTTCACCATTAAATGTGACATTAACTGCCTTTTTTCTTTTCAGTAGATGCTTGTTATCAGGTTAAAGCAGTTTCCACCTATTCACAGGCTTCTGAGAGTTTTTTAAACCATGAATAGATGGTGAATTTTGTCATAAGCTTTTTCTGCATCAGTTGACATGGTCAACATGCATTTTCTTTAGACTTTTAATGTATTTGATTGCATGGATTGATTTTCAAATATTGAACCAGCCTTTATTTCCTGAGATAAGCCCCACTTGATTCTCTTCTGTTATTCGTATATTTCTCAATTCAATTTGCTAATACTTGTTTTTATGTTCATGAGAAATATTGGTGTATACGTTTTTTCTTTTAATTTTTTTCCTGTACTCCTTAGTTTGGTTTTTAGTATCGGTAAATCTAAGTATCCTTGACATTTGTTTTTTGAAAGATCTAATGTAAAATTTGTATTATTTCTTCTTTAATTAACCAATGAAACTTCTTTAACTTAATTTTTTCTTTAATTTACTAATGAAACATCCTAGTGCTGGAGATTTTATTTTTGGGTGATTTTAAAATAAAAACTCAAATTCTTTAATATTTAATAAGACTGCTCAGATTATCTATTTTATTTTGGATAAGTTTTGTTTGAGGATTTCAATGAACTGGTCCATTTAATCTAAACTGTCAAACTGATGCTCACAGAGCTATTTTTATTATTCCCTAATGATTATTTTAATGTCTGTGGGGTCTATAATGATATCTTCCCTTTCATTGCTGGTATCAGTAAACTGTTTCTACTTTCTATTTTTCTTTGTCATACTTGCTAGAGGTTTGAAATTTTACTCACAATTCCACAAAAAAATTTGTTTCCACTGATTTTCACTATTGCTATTCCATTTTGATTTCCCAGGAGCATAAATCAATAGGAACATAAATCAACAGGAGAACTGATTTAGGAGAATTCTTTTGGAGAGTCAATAGGAGAATTATCCGAAGAAATAGGGGAATTCTCCTACTGATTTATGCTCCTATTTTTACTACTTCTTTCCTTCTGGTTGATATGAGTGTGTTTTGTTTTGCTTATTCTACCTTTTCAGCCAGTTTAGGTAGATTCTTAGATTATTGATGTGAGATCTGTCCTTTTTTATAATAAGAACATTTAACCCTATACATTCCTCTCTAAGCATGGCTTTTTCTGCATCCTCCAATTTGTATGTTGTCTTTTCATGTTTGTTCAGTTCAAAACACTTAGTAATTTCCCTTGAAATGTTTCATTCAACCCATAAATTATTGAGAATTTGTTATTTTCCAAACATTTAGAGAACATTTTCCTGCTATCTTTTTGTAATTAATTTGAAGTTAAATTCCATTTTGCCCAGGAATATACTTTGTTTGATTTAAATTCCTTTAAATTGGTAAAGGTTTGCTTTATGAGCTAGAAAATGTTCCTTTCCCTTTGGAAAAATTTCCATGTCATTTGAAAGGCATGCATATTTTGCTATGGTTGGGTGGAGCAGTGTGTAAAGGTTAGCTAGCGGTGGTTTTCAATTTTTCTATATCACTGTTAAGTTCCTGTTTACTGGTTTTATCAATTACTTAGAGGAGTGTTGACATTTCAAATATAATTGTGCATTTGTCCATTTTTCCTGTTAGTTTGTCAGTTTTTGCTTCATGAGTTTTAAAGCTCTATTGTTAAGTGCTAAAACATTTAAACTACTATATCTTTTTGGTTAATTGATCCCTTAATATTATGTAATGTCCCTCTTAATTCTTGGTAATTTTCTTTGGTCTGAAATTTACATCATCTGATATAAATAGTCACTTGAGGGTTTTTTTGTTTTGTTTTTGTTTTTTACTTTTTACTACTTTTTCCACAGTATATCTTTTTCATCCTTTTACTCTTAACCTGTGTATTATAGTTGAAGTGAGTTTCTTTCAGATAGCAAAGATGGGGTCTTTGAATTGTTAATCAGTTCTGAAGAACTCCTTTTATTTGGCGTGTTCAAACTATTTATATCTAATGAATTATTGAAATGTGAAAATTTGGGCCTAACATTTTATTATTTTTTTTGTTGATGTTGTTTTTACTGTTATCCTTTCTTCTGTTATCCTTTCCTGACTTCTATTTTTTTTGAATATTTTTTCAATATTAAATGATTTGTTTAATTATTTATTTATTTAAGAGACAAGGTCTTGCTCTGTCACCCAGGCTGGAGTACAGTGGTGTCATCATAGCTCACTGTAACCTCAAACTCCTGGGTTCAAGTGATTCTTCCACCTCAGCCTGCTGAGTAGTTGAGATTACCAGAACACAATACCATGCCTGGCTAATTTTTAAACTTTTTTTGTGGCAACAAGGTCTCATTATGTTACCCAGGCTGGTCTCAAACTCCTGGCCTCAAGTGATCCACCAGCCTCAGCTTCCCAAAATGCTGGGCTTACAGGCATGAGTGACCATGCCCAGTGTATTTATTGTGTTTTTAATTTCATCCTTCTGTGTATATTTTTAGTGGTTGCTTCCCATAGGTTTTACATTACATAATATTCACCCTTAAAAGTCTACTTAGAATCAGTATTTTACCATTTCAAATGGAATATTGAAAGCTTAATTAACAACATGAAAGTCCCTTTATCCCCCCCCATGTATTACTGTTGTTGTCTTATGTATTAAATCTACTATACATCATGGACTCCAACAGACAATGTTACAATTTTTGCTTTCAAATATCAAGGCTATTTAAAATATTCTGGGGTTGAGAGTAGTCTATTTTATTTATCCAGATATTTGTCATTTCTTTTACTTTCTGCATTCCTGATGTTCCAAGTTTCCTTTAAGTATCATTTCCCTTCTGTTAGAACTACTTCCTTTGGCAATTCTCTTAAAGCAGCAATTTTGGCTATGAATTCTCTTAGTTTTTCTTCATTTTATAATGTCCTTATTTTACCTTTATGTCTGAAAAATATTTTTTGAAAATATAGAATTCTACATTGACAATCCTTTCTTTCATGGATTCTGGATTTCATGGTTTGTCATGAGAAATCGGCTGTCATTGGAATCACTGTTTCCTTATAAATAACAGCTTGTTTTTTGGTGTCATTTTTAGTTCGTCTTTAGCTTTCAGCAGTTTGATTATGATGTCTCCAGCTGTGCATTTCTCTGTGTATTTCTTGTGTGGAGTTGCTCAGATTCTTAAATCTGATGGTTTAAATTTTTTTCCAAATGTGAGAAGTCTTCAGTCATATTTTTTTTTTCTTCTCCTGGAGCCCATGATAACTACTGTGCCTCAGGAACCAGTGAGTTTCTGAGGCTCTGTTGGTATTGTTTTCCCAATCTTTTTTCTCTTCATTTATCAGATTGGATAGTTTCTTCTGATTTGTCTTAAAGTTCACTGACTCTTTTCTCAGTCAGCTCCATGCCGCTATTCAGCTTATCCAGAGAGATTTTATTCCAATTATTTTATTCTTAATTCTAAAACTTCAATTTGCTTTTTCTTTCTATTTATTTACTAAGACTTTCTACCCTTCCATTCATTTGAAATATGCTTGCCCTTACTTGTTAGATCATCTTTATAATAAATGCTTTAGTCTAGCAAGATAGTTCCAAAATCTGTGCCATCTCAGAATTGGCATCTGTTGGGTGTCTTTTCCCATGCAAATTGAGATTTTCATGTTTTTATATGTAAAATAATTTTGAATTGTGTTCTAGACATTTTACCTATAACATTAGGAGACTTATTTAAATCTTATGAAGAATGTTAATTTTTTTAGCATAAAATCAACCTAGTTTGGTTCATGCTATAAGTTCCAAACTTACAAGGCTTCTGCGTGTCTTGGTTAAATTGTCAATTTTCAAGGCCTTTGCATTGCTATTGTAATAGCTCTGTTCTCAAAGAAATTTTAGAGTCATATCCACACATACAAAGCTTAAGGTTGAGCACAAGTTGGTAAACAGCTTTGAGGTCACTTTCCTAAGCCCTTCCCTCTCCATGCTCTTTTTCGCACCTTCCACTTCCATGCAGTTCTCATTTCCTGCTTTCAGAAAGTATGGAGTTAGTTACCTCTCTGCTGTGTTCTCATAATTGTGTCTGTTTCCACGTACAAGCAGACGGAATCAAGAGATGAGAAGCAATGGCGTCTACCCCATCCTCATGGGATTAAAGCTGTTCAGATCAGAGAGGAAGATTTATCCAAATTTTTATGGCTCATCTTCCTGCCACTGTTACTACCCCTGCTGCTGCTATCATGGGATTGTAGAAGATGGGAGATGGGGCAGAAGAGAATGTAGACATTAAAGGAAGGGCTTCTCCTACTTTCTCTGAGCATCAGGGCCCCTTCCTGGTCCTTAATCCAGAATGGGAGGGCTTCTCCTAGTGTTTTATCTCTACAGGCCCTAATGACAACTTACAAGTGTGGGCTGTGTTGAATCCAAGATGGAGAATACAAAAAGAGAGAAAAATTATAAACTCACTGCTGGTTTGGTGGCACTTCAAATTCATATCTTCTTCCCAATCAGCCTGTTACTTTTACTTTTAAAAATCCTCAAACAGGTGTTCCATTCTCTCAAGTTTTATAGGTGCATTCAATGGGAGAGAGAAGGGTGGAGTGTGTTTACTCCAGTTTACCTGAAACTAGACAGAGATAGTTACTTCTCTGCAAAAAATAAAAATAATAAACCAACACTAGCATCTTATAACTCAAAGAAAACTACCTAGGGAATTATATTTTTTTTCTATGATGCAAATCAAACATTTCCATTATCTCAGCATTCTTTAGAGTTATTTCCACTGTCCAACTACTTAGAGGACAGGATTGGGAAGGACCTGGAAAATGCAGAGACAACTTTGGTATATCACTAGATTATTTACATATTAAAGTCCCAAAGCACTGCAATATTTGACAAAAGGATTTTCTTCTGTATGGGCTTATACAGTTTCTATATTTTGTCATGTAATAATTGATAATATTCTATACACCATAGTAGAACTAACCTACTAGACATCTGCTTTAAAATAATATAAATTGTATTAATATTATTAGCATACTAATGATTAAACAAAAAGGAAAAAAACAGATTTGCCAATTTTCCCCAATACTGTTGCTTAAAAAAATGCTAAGAAAAATTTCTACTGAGTTCAAAATAGAGTTTTCTGATCAAACCAACATCATTAAAATTTGATGGCAGACCTTTTTTCCCTTCACATCCAGATTTGGAAGAAAATACTAAGGCTTCTCTATGTTTAAGAGATATGTATCAATACATTTATTCTCGTAAGCTATGATAGAAAAAGATAAAATGTTGGCTCAGTATAAAAGGGAGACAAATAGGAAACTTTTTAGGTTATCTGGGCAACAATAATGAAAGGCTAGGAAAAAGGAAAACATTTAAAGAATATATAAATAGGATCATTTTAGGCACCACTCTATTTCTAGCATCTAGCACCTAACACAAACTTGGGCACAGAATAGGGGTTTCAAAATATTGGAGGAAATTGAATAAATGATAAGAAAGAGAAGTGAAAAGAAGATCATCTGAAATGCAAGAACCAATAAAAATTGAGGAAAATGGATACAGTAGCACATTTCATATTATCTTCAAAGTATATTTCCAGGCCTCTCAGATATGAGAATTTAGTACAAGATGAAGGTTATTACTCTCTGTGTATCGAATATATCTGAGACCCAGACCATCATAATGTGCCAATAGCCAATGCTTTGTGGCCATCTGGATTAAATGAAAACAAAGTTAAGAGAAATGGTATAGAATCAGCTTCTAATACATGTAGCAAATGCTCATAGGTTTATTCCTATTAAGTCTAATTATAATTATTGGGAGATTAAATAATGAAAAATCTAAATTATAGAAATAATTGTGATGGTTAATATCTCTGAAGTAAGTAATTTTAAATTTATTATTAAAAATTCTGATTAGTGTGTTTAATATCTTAAACATGTTCATCAACAATAGAGTGACCATAGGGCTACTTTGCCTAGGGCATCCCAACTTCTGCTTTTGTCTAAGCATAATTATGTCTCTTAACTTTTAAAAGTTCCTTGGTATGAACTACAAAATATATGTTTACCTTATATATAAATAAACCTCACAGGCCTTTTTATTTCAAAGCTAATGTCATGCCCAGGCCCAATCTGACTCCATTGGATTTTCTTAGCTTCTCTGCTGGAGGCCCAGAGACTTGCATTTCCTCTATTCCAAGCTGGCACCATCCAAATTACCTCCTTGAAGGACCAATTTTCCCGACCCCTTTCCTTTCTGTACCACAGTCAAGTGTTTAGAGCCATATCACCTTAATATGCTTTTGTTCATCACTGATGGGACAAGGGAAATGAATATTAAATATGGAGAAATTGGAATGATTACAGAATTGTATTAAGTCCTTCCAAAATCCTCGTAAAATCCTTTTGCTGTTTTACTGTCTCATCGGATATGATAAATGAAAATCTCTTCCAATTTCTCCCCTTAACTTTTATTTCTTAACAAACATTTTCTTCCTTCTTATTCTGTCCTCACCAAGGATCATGTATATACTTGCATCCAAGGTGGACTTGTTTTCTTCCCATATAAAAGCCCCCAATTAATATGAAATAATATGCATCCTTTAGTCAGAATGAGCTAGTTTTCTATTGCTTCGTAGCAAATTACCACTAATGTAACAGCTTAAAGTAACAGCCATTTATTATTCCACATTACTATAGGTCAGAAGTCTGGGTGGGCGTGACTGGGTTCTCTGCTTAAGGTCTCACAAGGCCAAAGTCAATATATCATTCAGGCTGTGCTCTTGTTTAAAGGTTTTGGAAAGTATCAGCTTACAAACTCATGCAGGTTTTTGCTACAATTCAGTGCCTTGCTTCTGCTTTAAGAGTTTCACCTGGAACGCTGTCTCTACTAAAAATACAAAAAATTAGCTGGGCATGGTGGCACATGCCTGTAATGCCAGCTAAGGGGGAGGCTGAGGCAGGCGAATCGCTTGAACCCAGGAGGCGGAGGTTCCAGTGAGCCGAGATTGCGCCACTGCACTCCAGCCTCGGTGACAAAGAGATACTACGTGTCAAAAAAAAAAAGTTTCACCTGGTTAGATCTCCATGTCTTAAAGTAAACTGAAAAACTTTAATTACCTCTGCAAAATTCCTTCACAGCAGTACTTAGATTAGCATTTGATTGAATAGCTAGAGGTCAGAAATCTTGGGATTGCCATATTTAGAATTCTGTCTACCACACTGAATATATTCTATTTGCATATCTGAAGCTTCCTGTGTTAATCACTGAGCAGTGCATTATAACAGCATATCTCTCACAAATGTGAAGACCTCTAAATATTCAAAAATTTTTCAAAAAATATTTTTTATAAAAGTTTACCCATTGAAGGTGGGCACAGGCTTCTAATATGCTTGCTAATTTCTTCTGCAAAAGTATATGTCCCACTAGACTGAGTGGGCAAAAATCTGATTGTCAACCTTGAATCCATCATAGAGCTTGATATTGGACTTTGAATATATAAATCCCCAATGAATGCATTGGAACTCCCTTGAATACTTAATTACACTACCAATTCAATTAGAAACTAAGATTTATGTAGACAAAAGTTAACCTATTCTTCGCCTAGTCCAAAGGCTTAAAAATATGTAATATATTAAACTAATAAGGCTTTTCAGTACAAACAATATAATTCTATCATAAAAGGTATTGAAGTAAAAAGATGACCTCAATAATTGCTTTAAGTATTTTAAGTCCCTGAAATTCTCTATGGTTGAGGTGCTATAATGCAAAAAAAAAAATGCCAAATTGCTGTTTAATAAAAATTAAGCTATTTTAAAATGAGCTTAACCTCTTCTCACCTGGCAAAAATGATTACTTCTGCTGAAATGTGGTATGAAGAATGTACTGATGTTTGGAAAGGGAAGGGTCTGGAGATTCTCACAGTACAGTGTTGACATAAAGGGCTATTTAAATATGTTTTAGTGTATGGATATGCTTCTTTTTGGCAGTTGCTTCCTGGGTGGTCTGTATACCTATTTGACAATATGTCAAGTACATAAAATCAGAATATTCAGAAGCATAGAGAAGAATAACCTGGATCATTCCAACCTGCTCAAAGACAGAAAAAAAAAAGTTAGGATGTTGAAGCAACTAAGTTTCCATAGAATGCCTGGAGAGTCAGAGCATCATAGAGCTGGGAACTTGGTGGTAAAGGATACACAGCCTCTCTCATCAACAAGTATTAGAGGAATATTCACAGCAGGAAACTTATTCAATCAGCATTTATCTTTGCCAGCTTTAAGTATTTACCAATTTTCTATATGTTAAAGTCCTTAAAAAGTCTCATGAAACACGTGTACACACACACACACGCACACACACACGTAAACACTGACTATCCCCATTGATTATCAATCATTCTCAGCTTATGGCAGAATTGCTCAAAGAGGGTTATGCAGAAACCTGGGATTCCATAAGACCCTTTCAGTGGGTCTTCTAAGACCTTTTCAAGAGGTATATACAAAGTTAAAACTGTGTTGACATTTGTAGTGATGGTGCCAAAGTAATGGTAGGTAAAATTGCCTAGTCAAGACAGTGGCACCAACTTCACTGTCAGTCATTTTATTCACTGCCGCTTACTCCCAGGAGGGGTACCATGACAATTTCACTTCAAAATTTCCAGATGTAGCAGTAACATTTATTCATTTTATCAAATCTCAACACTTGAGTATATACATTTAAAAAATATTTTTGTGTAACAAAAAGGAAGTATGGATAAAGCATTTCTGTTGCAGGCTAAAATATGATGTCTCAGTTAAAAGTACTGTGAGATTGTTTGAGTTATGAGCTGAGCCAGCTGTGCTTTTCATGAAGCATCATTTTTTCACTGAAATAATAAGTGACAAACAGTATTCAGACTTGGAAATCTGAGCAATACTTGCCTAAAAATGAACAAAGTGAACTTGTCACTCTATAAAAACCAACTGATGGTATTATGACTATTTTTCTTGCCAAGAATAAAATTCAAGTTTTCAAGTGAAAAATTAGAATATTGGAAAACTTTCATCTGTCACCATGAGCTTGACAGCTTCTCAAAACTTAAATACTTTTCTGATAATATAGATGGTGATATTAACAGATAGATTAGATAGATAGATAGATAGATAGATAGATAGATAGATAGATAGATAGTAGGGTGAAATGTGTCAACATTTAGAAGATCTGCCTGACTCAGTGAACTAATATATTCCAATCAATAGATAATTGATACTAAAAAGTCATGCAGGGTTAAAAGATCCATTTAAAGTGTAAGATATACCAATAGATATTAATATAATAGAGTGTGAAAGTTCATCCTATGCTTTCAGGTTCTACATTGTCCCATTCCACAAACTTTTAAAACACTACGACATGCGTTTTAGAAAACGCACAATAATCTGAAAATAGTCCTCCATTTTTCTTTTTTTTTTTTTTTTGAGACGGAGTCTCGCTCTGTCACCCAGGCCAGACTGCGGACTGCAGTGGCGCAATCTCGGCTCACTGCAAGCTCCGCTTCCCGGGTTCACGCCATTCTCCTGCCTCAGCCTCCCGAGTAGCTGGGACTACAGGCGCCCGCCACCGCGCCCGGCTAATTTTTTGTATTTTTAGTAGAGACGGGGTTTCACCTTGTTAGCCAGGAATTAGTCCTCCATTTTTCAACTTCATTCTGGGTAAGGCCACATTTTCCTCATACAGGTCAACCGTAATAACATACAGAAACATCTTACATGCAGAAGTAGATATGAAATTCAGCTGTCTTCTAGAACCCAAACAAAGAAACTCTCAAAAATATAAAACAAAGCCATGGCTTCTCACTATTTTTATTGTTCTAGATAATATAGCTAATTTTTGTAAAAATTATGAATGCATGTCCTTTATGCTAACATTTGATGTTTTATTAATTTTAAATAAATCAAAATGTTTTTAGAATTTATCTATTTTAATTTCTAATACAGCAATAATTGATAAATGTAACCTACATAAAAATCTATTTGGGATCTTAAATAATTCAAGAATGTAAAGGAGTACAAAGACCAAAAAGTTTAATAATTACTACCTTGAGGCATACAGACAATCTGAACATCTCTAAAACAGTTTCTAAAACTATTTTTTTAAAAAAACTTGCGGTGACATCTTAACTATAAAACCAATTATCCAAGTTAGTGTCACAACACATGTGAATGTTGAGCAAACTGAATTGTGTGACTAAATGTTGCTGCAAGATGTATAAACATATGTATGTATAAAAATACATACATAAAGTACAGTAGTACTTAAAAAGTTTTCCTTGAAATTCTACTTCCAGCAGTGAGAAAATTCTGGTTGCGAATCACCTGAACATATAAATGACGGAGTAAAAATAACAAAAATCATCTTAAATGCATAGCTGAGTTCACTCTTAAGGGAAATCCTTCCATGGGCTGAAGGAAAAGCAGGGAAGAGTTCTGAGCTGGCACTGATGTGCTGGTTGCCTATAGGCATTTGCCAATCTCAGATCCAAAATGTTCAGCCTTAGCCATCGCACTGGGACAAAGATAATGCCTGTTCAAGGTGAGGTCTCAGAACTGAAACTTCTAATTAAAGTGAGTGGGAGAAGATACCATCTTTCCCCACCCTCCCACACAAATAACTAAACTCAATGAAATGATAAGAAAAACAACCTGCTCCCTAAAAAAAAGTTATAGCATGAAAACTTGTCTACTTTAACCTAGACTCTGTTTTTGTTTTGTTTTTGTAGAACAAATGGCATTAAAATAAGTTAGACTGATAGCTAAATCCTCAAGAGCAACAATGGATGCCAAAGGACAGGTCAACTAAATCTTCAAAATGTGCTGAAAAAACAAAAATACCAAATAGGTATCCAGAATCCTGGGATTTTATACTCACTTAAAATATCTTTCAAGAATTGAAGTAAAATTAAGACATTTTCATACCAAATAAAACTTAAGTGTGTGTCCCCAGTAGACTTTTACTAAGGGAAATTCTAATAAATATTGCTTCAATAGGAGGAAAGTAAGATTAGGATAGAGAACTGGTTTGTAAGAAAGAATGAAGAACTAATAAAAACTAATAAAATAATAAATATGTGAATAAATCTAATTGAGCACTGACTGTAGAAAAACATAACATCTTGTGTGTTTTAAAAATCAAATAAGTTGTTTTAAAAAATGGTAACAGCCTACAATAAGGACAGGGGATGTAGAATGTTTTAAGAGCTTTATATTCCTGAGAGAAAAGAAAAGATAAACTTTGGACTTGGATATATGTTTGCATTTCTATCATAAACATGTCTTTAATGCATATAGGATTCTCTAAGGTGTATGTGTAAGAATGTAATTAATGACGTCAAGTTGTACAAATGCCAGTTTTACTAAATACCGCCCAAAGTTCTCCAAAATGATTACACCAATTTAAATTCACTCCTGAAGCACATTGTTTCCATAGATTCACATACTTGCCATCACTTTATAATGTAAGATTTTAATTTCATCAATCCCACTGGTAGAAATCTGCTTGTGATCTGAATGTTCATTTCCTTTACTACTAATGAAGTTGGGCATCTTACCATTTTATTTTTTTTTAATTCACCCTTGATGTATTATCTTCCAAAAATGGTCTTTGGAGTCTTTTGCCCTATTTGGCATGTCTACTTCCTTGTTTGTTTCTTACTTACTGATTTAGAAAAGTTGTTTTTATACTCTGGGTTCTAATACTTTGTTGGTTACATGTATTGGAAATACTATTAATATACATCAATAATTCTAAGATTCACCTCATTTCACATTGTAATGTCTTCAATAATATCTGAGAATTAAAATTAGTCATTGTCTTATTTATTTAGTGATACATAAAGTAATGGTATGTCTTGAAATCAATGAAAATTGAAGATACTTTAAAATCCATGAAATATGGTATCCTCTCCCTGACAGAAGCTTGCTTTTGTTCACTTTCATTACTATGTCTTTTAATATGCATACATTTTAAATATTAATATAGCTTCTTTATGATTAACATTTCTGTGTACTCTCTAAGAAATCTGTCTGTCTCTACATCAAAAATAGACTCCTGTTTTTGCAAATTTAAACCATATGAATTAATCTCAAATTTTTTTCATGTGAATAACCAACTTAACATAATGTATTGAACTATGCCTTACCCAGTGATCTGCAGTATACATCAATTTCCAAATACAGGCAACTGCATTTTCATATTTACTGTGTACTATATCTTGGTATCTGATAGCGCAGGTTTCCTTCCTTCCCATATTCTTTCTTCAACAGTACCTTGGCAATTTTCAGACCTATGTTCCTCTATACATCTAGAATCATCCTATCTAGTTCCTTCAAAACTCTCGTTAGAATTTTAATGGAATGCATTGTATTAATAGATCAGTTTGAGGGAAATGAACATTTGTATCATACTTAGTCTTTCAGACCATGAGTAGAGTGTATCTCTTCATCAAGGTCTTCTTTAATGAATTGTAATATAGTCTATAATATTGTCCATATGTCTTACATATTTGTCATTAGATATATTTCAATATATTTCATATTTTACATAAAATAAACAAGTTTTAATTTCTTACTGCCTATTACCAAAATAAAATGCAATTGGTTATTGCATATTGATTTGATATCTAACCACCAATTAAACTCTCCTACTATTTCTCATAATTTAATTCTATAATCTGTTTTTTCTTTATGTAGATAATACAATTATCTAGTTTATTGTAATGCCTAAAATTTTCAGTGCATTGTCGAATAGAAGTGGTGGTAGCAGAATTGTTTCCTTGTTTCTGATTCTAAAAGGAATGCTTTTAATGCTCCACTGTTTAAAAGGAAAGATATTTACAAGTTGTTTTGTAAGTGACTTCTACTGGTTAATAAAGTTCCTACTTTGCCAAGAGTTTTTATCATGAATGTGTTTTGAATCGTATGAAAGGCATTTTCTTTATCCAAACAAGATGATCATATGGTTTTTATCTTTAATTGGAATATATAGTTACATTTTAAAATGTTCTAATGTTAAACTACTCTTGCATTTCTGGAATAAACCTGCAATAAAATAACCGTACTTGGTTATTTAAAAAAAAAAAGCATTGTAAGATAATATCTGCTAATATTTGGTTTTGACTTTCTTAATTTCTTTCCTAATAAAGAAGGGCTTATCATTTTTCTATTTTACTCTGTCCTCTTAGGATTTAGTAAGACATTTATACAGTTTTAATCCCTCCATTTTCTATTTTCTAAAATAGTTTGTATAACATTGAAATAATCCATCTTTGGAACATAGAAATCAACTACAAAAATCATCAGAGCCTAGTATTTTTGTAGGTAGATTTTATTTTATTTTTATTTTATTATAAGTTTTTGTGAGACAGGGCCTCACTCTGTTGCCAAGGCTGGAGTGCAGTGCCACCATCTCGGCTCACTGCAACCTCTGCCTTTGGGTTCAAGCGATCATCCTGCCTCAGCCTCCCAAGTAGCTGGGATTACAGGTGCGTGTCACCATGCCCAGCTAATTTGTTTGTATTTTTAGTAGGGATAGAGATTCACCATGTTGTCCAGGCTTGTTTCGAACTCCTGGCCTGAAGCAATCTGCCTGCCTCAGCCTCCCAAAGAGCTGGGATTACAGGCAGGAGCCACTGTGCTTGGCCATGGGTAGCTTTTAAAGAATTGATTCAATTTATTTAATTGTTAAAAGAAGAGATAGGCTTCTTTTTGGCTAATCTCTCAGCTAGAAATAGTTAACTATAATTAATCATGTTTGTTAACAGAACCTGAGTTTGTTACTCCTTATATATATATTTATATATCATGGTACCAATTACTACTTTTTATCTAATCTCAAGCTCTTTACCAGTTCTCAAAACTAACCACAGAAACAGAATTGTTGATACCACAGTTTAAAGATTTGAAATCACCACGTTTCTTTATTCTTTCTCTAAATGATGGAGGCAACATTAACTTAGAAAGTGTTCTGGTTTTCCATGGCTGCTTGTAATATTGCAAATTCAGTGGCTTAAGGTATCCAAATTTATTTTCTTGCAGTTTTCTAGGTTAGAAGTTTGACACAGACCTCACTGGCTAAAATCAAGTGTTGAAAAGGCTGTTTGTGTTCACTTATGTCGGCTCTAGGGAAGATTCTATTTCCTTGTTTTTGCATGTTCTAGAAGCTGCTCACATTTCTTCACTAGTAACCCCCTCATTCTTCAAACCATCCATAATGAGTTGAATTCTTTTCATATTGTATCTCTGTCTTTCTTTAGTAATCATGTCTCTCTCTGACTCAGAACTTTTCTGCCTCACTCTCCCACTTTTAAGAACTCTTGTGACAACACTGGGCCTACCATGATAATACAGGATAATCTCCCTATTTCAAGGTCAGTTGATTGGCAGCCTTAATTCCATCCACTACCTTAATTCTTTGTTGCTTTGTAACCTAACATATTCATAAATTCCAGGGATTAGGGCAAATACACTCTTGAGGACCATTATTCTGCCTACCACAAAAATTAAGGCAACTTCATAATCAATAGCAGCAAAGAGATAGTTGCCACTTGCACAATGAAATATACTTTATTTCCCTTGAAATTTAAGTATACCACTATAGTTCATTCAATCTAAGATTTTAAAAACTTTGAATTAAATTCTGACAACCCTGGTAAGCCATTCATTGTGAAATGAATCCTAATTTCAGGGATTTAAAAGGAAAATGCACATATGTTTTTAAATTGATATTTTTATGGGTTAAAACATATAATAGCATGTATTTTCTTCCATGATCTACATACCTACCTACTGACCTACCAAACCATCTACATAACTATATCAACAGGAAAAAGTGTGTAATTGAGAAGGTGGTAAAAATTATTTTTACTTTTTATCCCCCATGTAGCTTTTCAAATATAAGCTTAGTAAATAACTATAATTTATCAACGGAAGCACTTGCTTAATAATATTCTGTAACATTAACATAGCCTAACTCATTTAAAATGCACAAACCTTTTGACTCAGCGAATGAGCACAATATTCTATTGTTTTAAAGTTGAAATATTGGTAAATAAAATTATTTCTAAGTTTGTGTTTGTCATTTCCAATTTAATTCTATATCTTCATCTGAAGACAGTGTTCTCACATTCAGTTTTCTAGTTGTATTTTTATCTATTGTATAAAAATACAATGTTATAAAAGAAAGGTGACAGTACAGTCAGAAGATCTGAGGTAGAGTCTAGCACTATCATTTACTATCAGTGATTCTGGGAAAATCTGTAACCTCTCCATGGGGAATAACAGGATGTGATAGAAACTGGTGTAGATAAAATGCCAGTTAACTAGCTGCTTTGCGACTGTCACAGTTTCACAGCATTCTGTGAGATAGAAGATGTAGCCTCTATTTTAAAGGTGAGGAATCCAAGCTTTCGAGATATTAGTGTGCCTAAATTCACATAGTCAATAAGTAGCATAGCCCTGATTTAAATCTAGACATCTGACTTCAAAATCTATGATCCTTTTGTTTTTCAGGGCTTTCTTCATCTGTAAAATAATAATGATAACAAAACTAGGGAGTTCAGATTTTGAGGGAATTAAATGAGATAATGTCCATGAAAATACTGTTTGAATTACAGTGCAAAGCATAAATCTTACCATTGCTTTGAAAATACAAGCATTCCTCTCCATTTATAACTCACATTAATAATATAAATTCAAATCCTGTAAGTGCTGTTCTTTCCTCTTACTATACCTAGGAGAATAGGGAGAAGCATCTTAAAGTTATCATTCAACCCTATATGATCCAAACTAATAAATACTAAATCCACTTCTTCCCTTTCTCTTTCCTCTTTCCATATTTTCATTACAGAAAAAAAAAGTAAAATGGCTGACTTCACATCGGTTATAGATAAAAGAGAAAAGAAGTAAACAATGACTTAAAAGCATCTGTCAAAAAATATATCCCTTTGGATTACATGAGGAGATTTTAAAATGTGTACGAATAAACATTTTATTGATATTAACCCTAAATCACTTTGGCTTTGTTTTACTAGAGAGTGATAGCTGTTAAGATGATTGATAAGCTATATATATGCTCATTTAATTTTTTAACAAGTCACAGAGCAGTTTACCAGCATTTTCTCTTAATAACAATAGAGAGGTTATTAATATTGCGCCATATTTTTCTTGCCCTGTAAATGAAAATATGAACATCAGGGAATATTTTTATGCCTTAGGCTACAAGTAACGTAAAAGTCTTAAACTGGCTTAGTAATAAGGATATACTGACTCACATATTCAGAAACCCAAACATTAGACTGGGCTCCAGGGTTGGAGGATTCAACAATATCATCCAGGAGAAAGAAACCTTCCATCTCTTCATTCTGCAGTATATGATGTCAGATTCATCCTAAGGATGGTTTCCTTCCTGATTATAGTGATCAGGGTTGCATTCTTCCTTCTTTATATCCAGTGGAGGCATATATGATCAAGCTCTAACCATCAAAAATTCTACCTTTTTCAGCTTGTTGAGGCAAATATAGGGAATAGATCATATGTCTCAACTAGGGCAATGGCATGTGCTGACTGGCTTAGGCCTAGGGTCCTGAAACAATCCCCATGAGAGGCCTAGACTAATCATAACCCAACCCCATAGGGTTACCCTTTCCTAACATAGCATTGCAGCTACACAGTGGTAGATGCATGGATGATGAGGTGGCAACCACAATGTATATGTCTCACAAATATCTTTATAAATCTTATAAATATACAGTTATCCCTTTGTATCCATGGGGGATTGGTTCCAAAATCCATAGATGCTCAATTCCTTTTTATATGATGGAGTGGTATTTGATTATAACCTATGCACATCCTCTCCTATACTTCGAATCATCTCTAGATTACCTTTAATACCTAATATAATACCTAGCACTTACAAGATAAGTGCTATGTAAATAGTGGTTATACTATATTACTTTTAATTTGCATTTTTTGTTATCGCTGCATTTTTACTTCTTATTTTTATTTAGACAAAATATTTTTGAACCACAAGTGGTTGAATCCATGGAGATGGAGTCCATAATACAGAAGGCTGACTGTATATGACTCCAGACATAGGCATAGGTAGTGTGACAAGAAGGTTTTTGTGGGGTTTGGGTGAAACAGATTAATTTGACTTGGTTGTTATAAGTTTTCATTTTACCTCTCTTGAAGAAATATTTCAGATTTTTACTCTGTCAAGACTGCATAGGGAAAGATCCCATCTATATTTGGGCTAAAGGAAAAAAATCTGCCATAAGATACGGAAGGGAGAACTAGGCTTTAGTGATGTCAGAGGTGCTGATGACAACCTAAGGAATCAGCAAAACAGAGAGAATTCAGGAAGGGCACTGGACTTTTCACACCCTATGCTGTAATATTTAAAACTGATTTATTTGAAGATCTTAATGAACAGGACAAACAGAGCCAAAGATTCAATAAATTGCTTTCCTGCCAAATCTTACATACTCTGATTATCAGAACACACTGAGGTACTCAATTATTCAAATGTGTTTTAAATTAGAAAATAAGATTTACATATACTATATCACAAATATACACACAATTTTGAATTAGCAGATTTAGCAAGATGTGAAGTTCTGTTGTCATCAAAACAGAAATTGGTTCTTCTTATTAGTAGCTGCTTACAGGCTATAAAGAGTCAGTTCGTGTGTATAGCTATGGAAGATGGCGCCTGAGTTGCTGATTTCTCACATGTGCTCAAGCAAGGCAAGATGTTGAGCTGTCCCTATCAAACAAGGCTTTTGGGGGCAACATTGCTGCTTACATGAAAGAAAAGGTTATTATTTTGAGACAAGCTTTACTGGTAATCAAAAGCTTCCATGGTTAGGGTAACAAAAACCAGATATAAAGTTTTAAATTCTGGAGATTCAGACAGGAAAAGAAGAAAACTGGGGGAAGCAGGCAAGAGAGTCAACAGTAGGAAGATGGTCCCTACATCAATTCCGCTTTTCCTTAGGTGCCCAGCTCTTTTCATGCCGACAATTCCTTCTGAACCAAATATTCCCTTGATTCCATCATCATCCACTTTACATTATTATAACTACTTTCCATCATAAGTTTTATGAATAATACATGTCAAAAATCCTTACATTATCTAAGATTTTAAACATATGAGGAGGTTGATGAAAAATTAGGTTAATGGAACTAGTTAGAATTATCTTTTAAAATACTAATATCCCTATGTTCTGTTTCTACACCCTTTTATTTATTATTCACTTTATAAAAAAACAAATGACACAACAAAATGGTCAAGTTAAAATACTGCTCATCCTGTAGAAATGAACCCTACATGATATGCCAAAATTAGATTACAATTCTTAAATGAACCTTACCAATAATATATTGTTACACACAGCTATGTAACTTAAAATTAAATATATATATTTATATATAAAGACTGGGGTATCTTTGGATAGATACATTTATATTTATATAGATACATTTTAAAACATGAACATATATGTGACCATTTTCTCAAAATTAGAAGAACAGTGGTTTCATGAATTCTGTTGGCTATCTGGTTCTGTTTTAGGCACTTTAGATATCTAATACAAATGGTGAAAAATTTGCCACTTCATGTAAGAAGAATCATACTGAATCTAGCAGTTTATTTCGACACAGTCTGCGAAGGTCTTTAAGCATACATAACTCAAAAAATAATCTGTTATCCTGCAAATTAGTCAAACATAATGTCATTAATATATTTTGTCTTTGGTTATTAATAATAATAAAATTTTATTGAACCCATGTGTGTATCTCTGAGAAAATAACAAAAAAGGACTAATTATAGCCTTAAAGCATCACTTAAAGATTGTCTCCAATATATATAGTTGATACATGTCTTTTACACTGAAGTGCTGACAAATGATTAAACATATAGGTAGAAAATATGTATGTCTGACATTTTGAAGTTATTCCTTTATAACCAGAACACAAATAATTTCCTATACTTAAACAAGTGATATGTTCAAGTTCTCCAGAACTCCAAAAGTGTGAGAATTTTCACACTTACCAACAGTATCACATGGTTCATCTTTGTGCACACAGAAATCTTTCCTAGAAAGAAAAATAGAAAACTGAAATAAAGATAAATTATTTTGTACAAACAAGACATCAAGTGACTCATTTTTAATAGTTATATGATTAATTGAAGCACATCTGTCATCTCCAAGAATCTAATAAAACTGTGAATAAGATTAATTTTTAATTCTAAGATATGGAAGATTAATTAAATTTTATAGCACATGATATAATTAATCCTCAGACATTAGACAGTTCCCATATGATGGACAATATTTCAAAAGTAAGATCCCATCTTGTTTTGAATTTTACAGTATTCTATTGTTTTATTACAAAAAAATCTGGTATTGGGACAAGGCTTTCCATTTGAAAAATTACTGGAAGATACCTACTTTATGTAACACAAAAATTATTTCCAGATCAAAGATTTAAATGTAAGAAATACAACTTAAAACAACATAATATTTTCTATCATAAGACTGGCAAAATTTTTAAAAGACTGATAATCATTTTATTAATGGTATAAGGAAATTATTATTTTACATAAATGGGATCTATGTATAATATTTTATAATTTTTACTCTTTATCTGAAATTATATCTTAGCATTCCTAAGAATGCTTCACTGTTGTTATCAATTATTCAGGATTTCATAGAGCAAAATTTAATAGACCTTAATAAGAGCTATGAGATTTGGGGGCAGAATATATGAAAGCAAAACTTTTAATCTACCTCTTACTAGCTATGTGATCTTAGGCAAATTATTTAACCTTGTTCCTCTGTCACCTCATCATAAAGATAGAGGTAGTAATAATATCTACCACCTAGGTTTATTGTTCAATTTAAATGATTTAACATGTATAAAACCTTAAAAACTTAGGTTACTGTGCAAGGGACATGAATTAACACATATAAGGTATTGAAAACAGCGCCACACACAAAGTAAGCTCTAAAAAGTTAGTTGTGATGTTTTGGTTGGGGATTTTTTTTATTGCTGCTATTAGTGTATCATAACATAAGCAACTTCTTAGCAATAAGCTTTTAGGTTCTATACAATTTTTACTATCACAAACAATATTACAATAGGCTTTTTGTGTGTACATAAATGAGAAATGTAAAATTATCCTTTTAAAAAAATTTCCTCTCTGTTACAGGATCTGAAAGCTGTATCTAAATGATAAAAAAAAGACTTAAAATTAAGCACAATACTTTTGCCTATTCACCAATGAAGTCACATTGATCTTTATAATGGTTAGCTTTCAATTCACATCTTGCTTGGCTCATCAGCAGCATTTGTGAGTTAATACATACATATATCTATATATGTATACATATGTATATATAGATATATGTATAGATGTATCTGTATATGTATATATATACAGATATGTATAGATACATGTATATGTATATCTAGATACATACATATACAGATACATGTATATGTATATCTAGATACATACATATACAGATACATGTATATGTATATCTAGATACATACATATACAGATACATGTATATGTATATCTAGATACATACATATACAGATACATGTATATGTATATCTAGATACATACATATACAGATACATGTATATGTATATCTAGATACATACATATACAGATACATGTATATGTATATCTAGATACATACATATACAGATACATGTATATGTATATCTAGATACATACATATACAGATACATGTATATGTATATCTAGATACATACATATACAGATACATGTATATGTATATCTAGATACATACATATACAGATACATGTATATGTATATCTAGATACATACATATACAGATACATGTATATGTATATCTAGATACATACATATACAGATACATGTATATGTATATCTAGATATACATATACATGTATATGTATATCTAGATACATATACAGATACATGTATATGTATATCTAGATACATACATATACAGATACATGTATATGTATATATAGATACATATATACATATACGGATACATGTATATGTATATATAGATACATATATACATATACGGATACATGTATATGTATATATAGATACATATATACATATACGGATACATGTATATGTATATATAGATATATGTATGTGTGTGTGTGTTGGTAAATGTTCCTTGCATATTAGAAATGTATATTTAATTTTTTGGAGTGCAGTTCCATATATGCTCATTACATTTAGCTCTTAAAAGCTCTGATATACAATTGTTAAGTAGAATAATCAATACTGGATTGATTTTTACATTGTACTGACAAAAGACTGTTAAAATTCCATTGTGCTTATAATTTTTTGATGTTTCCCTGTGATTCTAATTTTTGATTTGTTTATCTCAAAGTTTATTGTTTATTAAGTACTCGGTCTCTAAGTTTGTTTATTTTGAACTATTATTTTTATTATTGTGTAAAATCTATATGTTTACTTTGCTAAGGTGGATTGTGTCTGATACTAACAAATATTAATATACAGTACTGCACTAATATTTGCTTGTCCTATCTCTTTCATTTTGTTTTCAACATCCATTTTCTCTGAGTCTCTTATAAAGAACACATAGTGAAATTTTTAAAAGCTAGTTATATAATATCTTTTAAATGCATTTAATCCTTTTCTATTATTGATATGTTTGGATTTCTATTATTTATGATTTCTATTTACCAAGTTATATTTCTTTTTTTATTTTATTTATTTATTTATTTATTTTATTATTATTATACTTTAAGTTTTAGGGTACATGTGCACAATGTGCAGGTTTGTTACATATGTATACATGTGCCATGTTGCTGTGCTGCACCCATTAACTCGTCATTTAGCATTAGGTATATCTCCTAATGCTATCCCTCCCCCCTCCCCCCACCCCACAACAGTACTCGGAGTGTGATGCTCCCCTTCCTGTGTCCATGTGTTCTCATTGTTCAATTCCCATCTATGAGTGAGAACATGTGCTGTTTGGTTTTTTGTCCTTGCGATAGTTTGCTGAGAATGATGGTTTCCAGTTTCATCCATGTCCCTATAAAGGACATGAACTCAACATTTTTTATGGCTGCATAGTATTCTATGGTGTATATGTGCCACATTTTCTTAATCCAGTCTATCGTTGTTGGACATTTGGGTTGGTTCCAAGTCTTTGCTATTGTAAATAGTGCTGCAATGAACATACGTGTGCATGTGTCTTTATAGCAGCATGATTTATAATCTTTTGGGTATATACCCAGTAATGGGATGGCTGGGTCAAATGGTATTTCTAGTTCTAGATCCCTGAGGAATCGCCACACTGACTTCCACAATGTTTGAACTAGTTTACAGTCCCAACAACAGTGTAAAAGTGTTCCTATTTCTCCACATCCTCTCCAGCACCTGTTGTTTCCTGACTTTTTAATGATTGCCATTCTAACTGGTGTCAGATGGTATCTCATTGTGGTTTTGATTTGCATTTGTCTGATGGCCAGTGATGATGAGCATTTTTCATGTGTTTTTTGGCTGCATAAATGTCTTCTTTTGAGAAGTGTCTGTTCATATCCTTCACCCACTTTTTGATGGGGTTGTTTGTTTTTTTTTTTGTAAATTTGTTTGAATTCATTGTAGATTCTGGATATTAGCCCTTTGTCAGATGAGTAGGTTGTGAAAATTTTCTCCCATTTTGTAGGTTGCCTGTTCACTCTGATGGTAGTTTCTTTTGCTGTGCAGAAGCTCTTTAGTTTAATTAGATCCCATTTGTCAATTTTGGCTTTTGTTGCCATTGCTTTTGGTGTTTTAGACATGAAGTCTTTGCCCATGCCTATGTCCTGAATGGTATTGCCTAGGTTTTCTTCTAGGTTTTTTATGGTTTTAGTTCTAACGTTTAAGTCTTTAATCCATCTTGAATTAATTTTTGTATAAGGTGTAAGGAAGGGATCCAGTTTCAGCTTTCTACATATGGCTAGCCAGTTTTCCCAGCACCATTTATTAAATAGGAAATCCTTTCCCCATTGCTTGTTTTTGTCAGGTTTGTCAAAGATCAGATAGTTGTAGATATGTGGCATTATTTCTGAGGGCTCTGTTCTGTTCCATTGATCTGTATGTCTGTTTTGGTAGCAGTACCATGCTGTTTTGGTTTCTGTAGCCTTGTAGTGTAGTTTGAAGTCAGGTAGTGTGATGCCTCCAGCTTTGTTCTTTTGGCTTAGGATTGGCTTGGCAATGCGGGCTCTTTTTTGGTTCCATATGAACTTTAAAGTAGTTTTTTCCAATTCTGTGAAGAAAGTCATTGGTAGCTTGATGGGGATGGCATTGAATCTATTTATAGATTCAATGCCAAGTTATATTTCTTTGTTCTTCTTTTTCTCTTTCTTCCTTTTATTTTTCACTCACTTTTTTTGGCTACTTTGAAAGTAACATTAAATTGTGGTTGATGTATGATTCCTTTTACTTTCTAAAGTATGATATATTTGTTCTCTATTGCTGCTGTAAAAATTCCATAAATATGGTGACTTAAAACAACACAAAACTTTAACTTACAGTCTGAAGGCCCGAATTTTGAAATGGGCTTTACTGCACTAAAATCAATGTGTCAGCAGTATCATGTTCCCTCTGAAAGCTCTAGATGAGAATATGTTTCCTTGCCTTCACTAGCTTCCAGAGGCTACCCAGGTTTCTTGACTGAGGGCCTCCTTCTATTTTCAAGGTCAATGATTGCATCACTCTGCCCCCTGCTTCCATCCTCATATGACCCTCTCTGACTTTCCACTCTCTCTCTTTTCCTCACACCAGGATAATCTCGCCCCCTCAAGATCCTTAATACAATCACATCTGCACAGTCATTTCTTCCATATGGGATAACATATTTTCAGGTTCTGGAAATTAGAGCATAAACATCTTTGCAGGGGATGTTACTTTTCCTGCCTACCACATATCCTTAGAATGTCTAAAGCTCTTCCTCCTGAAAAAGGCAAGAATATAACATTCTTTTAATCCAATCTCTCCCTTCAATTTTTCATGTGTTTTTAATCTGAAATTATGGTTCCATCTTGATTTTTCAAATCTAAAATTAGACGGTTTCTTTTAAAAACCATCAGGGCTTATGTAGCAATTTGCCTATTTATTTAGCAATTTATTTTCTCAGTTATAATTTACTTTCTAGACATCTCACTATTCTTTTTCTTTAAGTACATTCTTCAGCATCTCTTCCAATGAGGATCTATCTATGAATGGTAAACTTTGCTTGTTTTTTCTTTTGCTTTCATTTTTATTATTTTGCATGTATTCATAACTGAATAGTAACTGAGTTGTTATAAAGTCAACTTTATTGACTCTCAACACACTGAAGATACCATTTCATTTTATTCCAGCATTCATAAATATTGATTAGAAGTCTCTGATTACAGTTTTTGCCTTTTTTTCATGCATTTGCTTTCTGCTTACTTTTTTAACACTCTTTCCGTCTTTATAATTCTACAGTCCCACGAAGATGGGTCAAGGTACTGATTTTGTTTTTATTTATCTTCTCTTTTTTTTAATTTTTTTTATTATACTTTAAGTTTTAGGGTACATGTGCACATTGTGCAGGTTAGTTACATATGTATACATGTGCCATGCTGGTGCGCTGCACCCACAAACTCGTCATCTAGCATTAGGTATATCTCCCAATGCTATCCCTCCCGCCTGCCCCCACCCCACCACAGTCCCCAGAGTGTGATATTCCCCTTCCTGTGTCCATGTGATCTCATTGTTCAATTCCCACCTGTGAGTGAGAATATGCGGTGTTTGGTTTTTTGTTCTTGCGATAGTTTACTGAGAATGATGATTTCCAATTTCATCCATGTCCCTACAAAGGACATGAACTCATCCTTTTTTATGGCTGCATAGTATTCCATGGTGTATATGTGCCACATTCTCTTAATCCAGTCTATCATTGTTGGACATTTGGGTTGGTTCCAAGTCTTTGCTATTGTGAATAGTGCCGCAATAAACATACGTGTGCATGTGTCTTTATAGCAGCATGATTTATAGTCCTTTGGGTATATACCCAGTAATGGGATGGCTGGGTCAGATGGTATTTCTAGTTCTAGATCCCTGAGGAATCGCCACACTGACTTCCACAATGGTTGAACTAGTTTACAGTCCCACCAACAGTGTAAAAGTGTTCTTATTTCTCCACATCCTCTCCAGCACCTGTTGTTGCCTGACTTTTTAATGATTGCCATTCTAACTGGTGTGAGATGGTATCTCATTGTGGTTTTGATTTGCATTTCTCTGATGGCCAGTGATGATGAGCATTTTTTCATGTGTTTTTTGGCTGCATAAATGTCTTCTTTTGAGAAGTGTCTGTTCATGTTTTTATTTATCTTCTTTGGTACTTGGTATATTTTCAACTTAAAGATCCATGAACCCTTAAAAATTCTTACCATTATCTATTTAGTTAATCCCTCCGACATTCCATTCTCTTCTCCTAGAACTTCTTTAGGAATATGATAATTCTTCTCATTCTGATGTCTGTAGTGCTCAGGCACCTTTGTGTATTTGCATCTCTTAACCACTCTATGTAGCCTGCTGGGAGAATCCCTCAGATCTATCATCCAATCCACTAATGCTCTCTTCAGATGGATCTAATCTGCTCTTCAATTTAGAAATTGAAATTTTAAGTATACATACCATATTCCATATTTCTTCCTGAGAACATTTATTTTCATCAGTTTTCAAATCAACTGTTTTCCCCCAAAACATCTTATTCTCATATTTTGAAATTTTTTATTTTTTTTAATTAGGTGGACATGCTTGTTTTATAATCCCTGTTAGTACTTTTTAAAAATTATTTTTCTTTAATATGCCTCTGGGTTCTTACAATGGAATATGTTATCATTGGTCATTTTGGAATTATATTATGAACTCAGTCAGTGGGATGTTAAGTGTGGTTGCCTCATGGTGTAAGTTGAAAGAGAGTCCCTTCAGAGCAGTTTTGCATATGCTTTCACTAAGTGCTTCAATTTTGAAATCAGATTCATGGTAATGAATACCCAGAGGAAGCATTTTTGTCCTAACCTGGGGTGATGGATGAGGCAGAATGTTTCTTTGTTCACAACCTGTGCTTGCTGGCAGAACTTTTACCAGTTCATACTTTTATTAAGGATCTAAGTATCTGCAAATTCTAGTTGTGTGTAATCATTTCAGTTCCACTTCCCCACTTTGCACAGACTCATTAAAACATAAAAACCTAGATTTTTTTAGTTCAAAAAACTCCCTCAGGGAAGCTACCACATTACCTTAGTTGCTTACTAAACTTGTTGCCAGAACTTGCTTTGTTTTTGGCTCATCTGTGCAAGTGAAAGTGCGCTTATTGTATTTTTTGCTATGGTTTATAGATGTTCATAATGGGAACATTTTCTGATTATCTAGACAGCCAGATTCTCACATAATTAAAAGAACTGGACTTAATCTGTGACCTACCATATAGGAATGAAGTGCAGTAAAATGATACATTAGTTTATTGTTAGCATTAGGTCTAAATATATATAGAAACAAGCCATAGGCCTTTTTTATTATTACATTTTATATCATGCAGCTACTTTCACCAAATGCTTTAAAAGACTGCAGAGCTGTCTCAATAAGATGTTCAGTTGATATTTAATAGTTTTTCAAAAATGTCTTTCAACAAGTGGGGATTATTTTACTTATAAATTATTGTAAAAAATAAGTGATTACTACAATATTGTTATTTTTCTTCCAAATGGTTGGAGATAGAAAAAAATATTTGTTGCTAGCCATGAGTATAAGATAGGGATGAAGTATTTTAATATCAACATTAATTATTAAAATTGTTCTCTGTTTCTCCTGGCAAATTCTGAAAGAGATGACTATGCAAAACAAATATAGACTCAATTACGAGAGTAATGTGGAAAAGGTAGAGCTAAAAGAGAGAAGATAAAACATAACCTTAAATAATATCTTTTCAATACAAGGCACAAAATGAACTTAATGTAAACTTAATTCATTTAAATCACACCCAAAATTTAGGAATACATTTACCATTCTCTAGTTATAAATAACAAAAATAATCCAAGTATGATAGGTTATCACATGAATTGCTTCATGAAGTATCAGTGGAAGATGTATTATTCCTGTGGTTCTCTTAGCTGAGAACACTTCTCCAGTATTTCATTAGGACTTAAGCAAGGCAAAGACTCAGGCCCGCTTGCATGTTATCCCTTCTCTCTTTCCTTACTTAATTAACTCCACCCTCAAATACTTGGCTTTAGTTTGTTTTAGTGGCCATGTTTCCCCTACCTCTGTTTGCCTTTATAATGCATCCAGAGGAAACTTTGCTCTAAAGAAGGCCTGCTGCCCACTGTAAAGCTCACCTCATTATACTGGCAAGGGAGCAGGTTTTCCCTAAAACACAGTAGACATAATGTAATGTTACACTGTGCTGTCTACTGATTACTGTATATTTCCAGACAACAGAAACAGTATAACATGTTTTTATCAGTTTGTACAAATTTTAGTGTTTTTCTCAAATATGCTATTATTTTTGTATTCTAGTAAATCCAAAAACTAGTTAATCCAGGCTGGGTGCAGTGGCTCACGCCTGTAATTCCAGCACTTTGGGAGGCCGAGGCGTGTGAATCACCTGAGGTCGGGAGTTCGAGACCAGCCTGACCAACATGGAGAAACCGTCTCTACTAAAAAAAATACAAAAAATTAGCCAGGTGTGGTGGCACATCCCTGTAATCCCAGCTACTGAAGAGGCTAAGGCAGGAGAATCACTTGAACCTGGGAGGCGGAGGTTGTGGTGAGCCAAGATCATGCCATTGCACTCCAGCCTGGGCAACAAGAGCAAAACTCCTTCTTAAATTAAAAAAAAAAAAACAAAACAACAACAACAACAAAAAAAAACAACAACAAAAACTAGTTAATCCATTCTTGATAATTTAAAGATGGCTGTTAGCACTTGGTACACTAATCTTCACTTCTTTTGTATATAGATGATATAATCCTATCAGGTTGCTTCCATACTCCTTAAAAGTCTACTGACCCAACAGAATGGATGTTGAAAAGTAGATGCATTTTTTGGTAAATTATTAAAAAGTCAATAGGAAAGAAAGCAAATAAATTTTGATGAAGTAAATAATTTGATTGTCAGTATTGGGAGTTTTAATATTTATAACTTTTACTGTAAATATATATATCTTTCTGAAAATATGTACCAAAATTAGAGGGAAAACTCTAGATAAATGAGGGAAGATACATCCAAATTTTATCTCATAAAACACAATCACTATAGCTGTCCTACCCTAAACTTTTCCCATGGTAAGCAGCATGCAACTACTTTTTCCAAGCAGTCACCATCCCCTTCAATATACAAGATACAAAACAGGAAACCTTGTAAGTCTGGGCAAGACAAGGCTGCTCTCAATCAGAACATTTATTCCCAGGGTTATAATGGAAGGTTTTTGTGAAGCCAAATGGTTCCTTCATAGTCCTGAGGTAAATCCTATCCTTCCCCAACTCTAGTCCCTAGCATCTTTCCACTGGGAAATCACCTTCTATTGCATCATATTTTCTGGTCAGTGTATTTCAGTGTATTCTAGTCATCAGCTTCCAATCATAGGATTATCCCCCCACATTGAAACCCATGTTTTCAGAGGATGGAAAAGAGATAATATAGTAAAATATGAATGGCTCTGAATCATCCAAACTCAGTAGATGAGATGCCTAGAGCTTTCCTCTTTGCTATCTTTCCTGACGCCTGATTCTTCAGTTCTTCCTTTGATTCTGAGAATATCGAATCAAAATAAGCCAACTATTTCTTCTGTTGCTCAACTTAGGCAAAGTTGGTCTCTGTGGCTCAAAACAAACAATATCCTAATGATAAAGGAAAATAATTTCTGCTGGCAGCAAAACATATTCAGAGTCTCAATATAACTATAGATGAAGATGAATGGAAAGGTTTTCTAGCATTATTATTATAAATAAATGACAAAATATCATTTATCTACATAGGAAACTATAGAAATCAAATATTTATGAGAACATCACGCCTGGTGGTAGAAGTTGTATACTGCATAATTCTATGGACACATTTATAATACACAACATAAATGGCTCCCTCTACTGTTGTGTAGTGTACTGCCTATACAACTGAATATTGTGGGATACATTAAGCGTCTCTAATATGCCATGTACTAAATAAGGGGAAGGACACAACAGAGATAAATAAAATAGGCTTCTACTTGAAAGGCACAGAAGTGGGTAAAACATATCACCTCTGTAACGTGGTAAGGGTCTCAGGAGCAGTGAGAAAGAAGTCTGGGGAGTTATATTAAATAATGAATAATTCTATTATTCAATTGCCTTTGCCAGCAAACAAATGGAGAAGGAAACACCCAAAACAGATGATACTGAATAAAATGGCAATGCAAAAAATTAAAGAACCACATAAAATCAAATCTTCACCTTAGGGTCAAGAATCACTAAGTATAAAGTATATTCAGATGTAGGGGGAAAGGGATTTGGGGTGATTTTTCTAAATATATAATACATCATATCATGATGCATGAACCTGCAACATGACTATTTGATTTACATAATGTGAAACATGGGACTTCATCTGTAACTAAACAACACGATAAAACTATGACAAATGCACTGCTTATCGTCAAGGGCATTTACAGTCCACCACGTAGCCAATTTCTGTTCACTTAGCAAACAAATGAAAAAAGCACATTACAAAAAAAAAAAAAAATCTAGTTATTTCATCCAGAAACACTAGAAGTACCTCTCACTAAAATTGAAAAATAAATTGTCAGCAGCATTATAAACCAAAGATCAGATGATAATTCTTAATCTTCAGTTCTCCAATAATCAACTTCTTTGCAGAAGACCAAAGTAATGTATTCCTAATTCAAAATATTCAAATATTTATTTTATGGGATGGGGATAGAGATTATTTGCTGACTAGACCTTTGATCATGTGGATTCAAATTCTCTCATTTTTGGCTCATGTAGACTGTGCACCCGAAGTCTGCATCACAGAGTTTCATTATGTGAATTTATAGAAATGACACTGTTAGACTTTGGCAACTGGGAAGGCCAATAAATTTTGCCTAAGTTCTGATTTATGTTGAAAAAAATGAAATGTAGCCTTTAATTTCCAAGAATGAAGATGCATCTGAGAATAAGTCTCACTGTAGAGTTTAATAGTGCCTGGGGATATACCTATAAGTGATTCATTCAAAAATTATTCTGTAATTTGTATTAAATCAAGTTACTTTTGCAATTCATATGTTTTATTAAATTTTCTCTTACTTGCCAATGGCATTAGTTTGAAACTAACTTTCACATGTATTATACGTAAACCAAAAGCATTTCTGCAAATAGGAAAGGCAAAGCTATCATTAATAAAATTGAATTTTAAAGAGTATTTTCAAAGGGCATAAAGATATATGCCTTCTCCATGATTTCAATAAGAAATGTGAAAATTGCACTAAGAAATCATAGAGTTGAGAGTTAAGAGAACATGTTTTGTGTTTTTGTTACTATGAACCCAGAAGCATAACTAGGTCAGCTTTAAACTATTTACTTTATTGTACTGCACAGGACAATTTGACAAATATATGACCTCAGATAGGTTTGGATTTGTAGAAGCATTATGCATTTTATGTGAGACCAAACTTGACCCCTGAGCTAAAATTTCTTCCTATTAATGTATGCACATAACCCCCAACATTTACTAGTTATCTACGATGAGCATTTACTAGAAACTGAGCCTGGTTCTGAGTTTACTCTGCCAAATATGGATAAGAACATGCAATCCAGGGAGATTAACATTTTTTCCAATGTTATTCTATTTTTCACAGCTTTCTTACAAAGCTAAATAGCTGATCATCTTTACCCTAACTAGAAAGGGATATTTTTTCCTTAACTACATGAAGCACTCATTTAATCTTTATTAACCAAATGGTACTAGGTCACTTAGGAATAAAATATTCTCTTTAGTGGGGTGATTTTTCACTATTATGGCACTGGAAACAAATATGGAGAAAGGGTGATCCTCCACAGAAGCCTTGTCCCACAAGTGAGTAAAGGGAGAACAGTTTGCCAGTATTCGTCAGTATTTTATATATGTGTACCCTTTGACAGAGCAAGTACTTTTTAATCTACCCTAAATAAATACTATTACAGCACATGTTTACAACCATATATAAACATATTTATAGAACATTTTCTCTAACAGCAAAAAATTAGAAAGTTCTATAAACAGATAAGTAGTTGAATAAATTAGGATACTTTTATGCAATATATAGTATGTCAGCTCCCCCTCACAAATGATGCAGACCGATATAGGAATGCATCAGTTTCCGATTGCTGCTATAACAGATTACCATGAACTTAGTGGCTTAAAACAACACAAATTTGTTATCTTGTCAGAAGTCAAGTGCAGGTCTTAATGGGACAAAATAAAAGTGCCATATAGCTGCATTCCTTCTAGAGGCACTAGGGTATAATCTATGTCCTGGCCTTTTCCAGCTTCTAGACATTGCTGGCATTCTTTGGCTTTTGACCTGTTTTTCTGTCTGCAAAACTGGGTTTATAGCATCTTCCAGTCCTTCTCTGACTTTGAACTTCTGCCTCCCTCTTCCTTATTTTAGGACTCTTGTGATTACACTGAACCACTCAAATATGCCAGGATAATCTGCCCATCTCAAGATCCTTAATCACATTTGCAAAGTCCCCTTGCCATGTAAGATGGCATATTCACTGGTTCTGGAGATTAGAACGTGAATATTTGGGGAGGAGGGACATTATTCTGCCTCCCACAATAAATAACATAAAAATACTTGCCAGACATAATCGTAAAGTGAAAAAGCAAACAAACAGAGAAAACTGTGTATAGCATGAAACAATGTTCTTTACATACACACCAACTCTTAACATTGATTACCTTAGGGTTGGAGAGCAGAGTAGAAGTTGGTAAAAGTTAATTTACTATGTAAACACTAAGGTGTTTCTTTTACTTTTACCATAAGAATATGCTTATAATATGACAATATATTTAAAAGTTATACTTAAACTTTTGCCATGAGAATATGCATTACTTGGAAAATAAAACCATATTAGGCTACATTTCCAAGAAAAGTATACAAAAATAAGCAATTGTTTGAAACAGACTTTTAAGGGAAAATATGGATTATAAAACAGTATGTAAGATGACTTCAACAACATAGATAACATTCTGTTTCCTAAGTGGAGGGGTAAACAGGTAGTTGTTAATTATGTTATTCTTTATGCTCTTTGTATATATGAAATATATCACACTATGCTTTCTTCTTTTCCTTTTAATAGAATTCTTGTGTTGCATAGCTAGGGAAAGCTAGCAACAAGGGAGGCAATAATGAAGAGTGGTCAGTTCAACATGCTAGTTTTAAGGTTTTTAACACTAAAAAAATTGGATGCAGAAAATTCTAAAGCTTTTTTTAGAGTTTTGAAAGAAAAAATGGCATTGGAAATAAGGAATAAAATTAATGCCACAATATATTTTGTTGGTGAGAAACAAAACTTGTATGTAGACTATGATCCCAATAATGTAACTCCATGTATTTAATTATATGCATACATAAGAAATACCACTGATGAAATATACTTTAAAATGTTAACTATACTTTTTCCTGTGTAGTGGGACTATAAGCTAATTTTTATCTTTATTCTTGTACTTATCAGTTTTCTGTAATATATATTGCATTTGTAATAAGAGAAAATTATAAATCAGTAATCAAATTATGATTATCGTCTTCTTTAGTCTCAGAAGCAATATTTCTCAAATCTATTACTGTTAAGAAGGAAGAAAGACTTGACCAATGCAAATGTTTAACCTAGACTCACCTCAAACCTTATAAGTCCCCTCTCCATCCATGCAAATCTTTCCATCCCTTCTACCAACTTCAATTTACTACTCTTTTTTTTCTTTTTTTGTGTATTTATTATCATTATTATTATTATACTTTAAGTTTTAGGGTACATGTGCACAACGTGCAGGTTTGCATACATATACATGTGCCATGTTGGTGTGCTGTACCCATTAACTCGTCATTTGGCATTAGGTATATCTCCTAATGCTATCCCTCCCCCCTTCCCCCATCCCACAACAGGCCCCAGTGTGTGATGTTCCCCTTCCTGTGTCCATGTGTTCTCATTGTTCAATTCCCACCTATGAGTGAGAACATGCGGTGTTTGGTTTTTTGTCCTTGCCATAGTTTGCTGAGAATGATGGTTTCCAGCTTCATCCATGTCCCTACAAAGGACATGAACTCAACATTTTTTATGGCTGCATAGTATTCCATGGTGTAGATGTGCCACATTTTCTTAATCCAGTCTATCATTGTTGGACATTTGGGTTGGTTCCAAGTCTTTGCTATTGTGAATAGTGCCGCAATAAACATACGTGTGCATGTGTCTTTATAGCAGCATGATTTAAAATCCTTTGGGTATATACCCAGTAATGGGATGGCTGGGTCAAATGGTATTTGTAGTTCTAGATCCCTGAGGAATCGCAACACCGACTTCCACAATGGTTGAACTAGTTTACAGTCCCACCAACAATGTAAACATGTTCCTATTTCTCCACATCCTCTCCAGCACCTGTTGTTTCCTGACCTTTTAATGATTGCCATTCTAACTGGTGTGAGATGGTATCTCATTGTGGTTTTGATTTGCATTTCTCTGATGGCCAGCGATGATGAGCATTTTTTCATGTGTCTGTTGGCTGCATAAATGTCTTCTTTTGAGAAGTGTCTGTTAATATCCTTCACCCACTTTTTGATGGGGTTGTTTTTTTCTTTTTTCTTTTTTTTAAATTATTATTATAATTTAAGTTTTAGGGTACATGTGCACAATGTGCAGCTTAGTTACATATGTATACATGTGCCATGCTGGTGCACTGCACCCATTAACTCATCATTTAGCATTAGGTATATCTCCTAATGCTATCCCTCCCCCGACCCGCCACCCCACAACAGTCCCCAGAGTGTGATGTTCCCCTTCCTGTGTCCATGTGTTCTCATTGTTCAATTCCCACCTATGAGTGAGAACATGCAGTGTTTGTTTTTGTCCTTGTGATAGTTTACTGAGAATGATGATTTCCAATTTCATCCATGTCCCTACAAAGGACATGAACTCTTCATTTTTTATGGCTGCATAGTATTCCATGTGTATATGTGCCACATTTTCTTAATCCAGTCTCTCATTGTTGGACATTTGGGTTGGTTCCAAGTCTTTGCTATTGTGAATAGTGCCGCAGTAAACATACATGTGCATGTGTCTTTATAGCAGCATGATTTACAGTCCTTTGGGTATATACCCAGTAATGGGAAGGCTGGTTCAAATGTTATTTCTAGTTCTAGATCCCTGAGGAATCGCCACACTGACTTCCACAATGGTTGAACTAGTTTACAGTCCCACCAACAGTGTAAAAGTGTTCCTATTTCTCCACATCCTCTCCAGCACCTGTTGTTTCCTAACTCTTTAATGATTGCCATTCTAACTGGTGTGAGATGGTATCTCATTGTGGTTTTGATTTGCATTTTTCTGATGGCCAGTGATGATGAGCATTTTTTCATGTGTCTTTTGGCTGCATAAATGTCTTCTTTTGAGAAGTGTCTGTTCATATACTTTGCCCACTTTTTGATGGGGTTGTTTGTTTTTTTCTTGTAAATCTGTTGGAGTTCATTGTAGATTCTGGATATTAGCCCTTTGTCAGATGAGTAGGTTGCAAAAATTTTCTCCATTGTGTAGGTTGCCTGTTCATTCCAATGGTAGTTTCTTTTGATGTGCAGAAGCTCTTTAGTTTAATTAGGTCCCATTTGTCAATTTTGGCTTTTGTTGCCATTGCTTTTGGTGTTTTAGACATGAAGTCCTTGCCCATGCCTGTGTCCTGAATGGTATTGCCTAGGTGTTCTTCTAGGGTTTTTATGGTTTTAGGTCTAACATGTAAGTCTTTAATCCATCTTGAATTAATTTTTGTATAAGGTGTAAGGAAGGGATCCAGTTTCAGCTTTCTACATATGGCTAGCCAGTTTTCCCAGCACCATTTATTAAATAGGGAATCCTTTCCCCATTGCTTGTCTTTGTCAGGTTTGTCAAAGATCATATAGTTGTAGATATATGGCATTATTTCTGAGGGCTCTGTTCTGTTCCATTGGTCTATATCTCTGTTTCGGTACCAGTACCATACTGTTTTGGTTACTGTAGCCTTGTAGTATAGTTTGAAGTCAGCTAGCGTGATGCCTCCAGCTTTGTTCTTTTGGCTTAGGATTGACTTGGCAATGCGGGCTCTTTTTTGGTTCCCTATGAACTTTAAAGTAGCTTTTTCCAATTCTGTGAAGAAAGTCATTGGTAGCTTGATGGGGATGGCATTGAATCTCTAAATTACCTTGGGCAGTATGGCCATTTTCAGGATACTGATTCTTCCTACCCATAAGCATGGAATGTTCTTCCATTTGTTTGTATTCTCTTTTATTTCATTGAGCAGTGGTTTGTAGTTCTCCTTGAAGAGGTCCTTCACACCCCTTGTAAGTTGGATTCCTAGGTATTTTATTCTCTTTCAAGCCAATTGTGAATGGGAGTTCACTCATGATTTGGCTGTTTGTCTGCTATTGGTGTATAAGAATGCTTGTGATTTTTGCACATTGATTTTGTATCCTGAGAATTTGCTGAAGTTGCTTATCAGCTTAAGGAGATTTTGGGCTGAGATGATGGGGTTTTCTAGATATACAATCATGTCATCTGCAAACAGGGACAATTTGACTTCCTCTTTTCCTAATTGAATGCCCTTTATTTCCTTCTCCTGCCTGACTGTCCTGGCCAGAACTTCCAACACTATGTTGAATAGGAGTGGTGAGAGAGGGCATCCCTGTCTTGTGCCAGTTTTCAAAGGGAATGCTTCCAGTTTTTGTCCATTCAGTATGATATTGGCTGTGGATTTGTCTCTTATTATTTTGATATACGCCCCATCAATAGCTAATTTATTAAGAGTTTTTAGCATGAAGGTTGTTGAATTTTGTCAAAGGCCTTTTCTGCATCTATTGAGATAATCATGTGGTTTTTGTCTTTGGTTCTGTTTATATGCTGGATTACGTTTATTGATTTTCGTATGTTGAACAAGCCTTGCATCTCAGGGATGAAGCCCACTTGATCATGGTGGATAAGCTTTTTGATGTGCTGCTGGATTCGGTTTGCCAGTATTTTATTGAGGATTTCTGCATCAATGTTCATCAAGGATATTGGTCTAAAATTCTCTTTTTTTGTTGTGTCTCTGCCAGGCTTTGGTATCAGGATGATGCTGGCCTCATAAAATGAGTTAGGGAGGATTCCCCCTTTTTCTATTGATTGGAATAGTTACAGAAGGAATGGTACCAGCTCCTCCTTGTACCTCTGGTAGAATTCGGCTGTGAATCCTTCTGGTCCTGGATTTTTTTGGTTGGTAAGCTATTAATTATTGCCTCAATTTCAGAGCCTGTTATTGGTCTATTCAGAGATTCAACTTCTTCCTGGTTTAGTCTTGGGAGAGTGTATGCGTCGAGGAATTTATCCATTTCTTCTAGATTTTCTAGTTTATTTGCGTAGAGGTGTTTACCCAATACAGGAGCACCCAGATTCATAAAGCACGTCCTTAGTGACCTACAAAGAGACTTAGACTCCCACACATTAATAATGGGAGACTTTAACACCCCACTGTCAACATTAGACAGATCAATGAGACAGGTAGTTAACAAGGATATCCAGGAATTGGACTCAGCTCTATACCAAGCAGACCTAATAGACATCTACAGAACTCTCCACCCCAAGTCAACAGAATATACATTCTTTTCAGCACCACACCACACCTGTTCCAAAATTGACCACAAATTGGAAGTAAAGCACTCCTCAGCAAATATAAAAGAACAGAAATTATAACAAACTGTCTCTCAGACCACAGTGCAATCAAACTAGAACTCAGGATTAAGAAACTCACTCAAAAACCGCTCAACTACATGGAAACTGAACAACCTGCTCCTGAATGACTACTGGGTACATAACGAAATGAAGGCAGAAATAAAGATGTTCTTTGCAACCAACGAGAACAAAGACACAACATACCAGAATCTCTGTTACACATTCAAAGCAGTGTGTAGAGGGAAATTTACAGCACTAAATGCCCACAAGAGAAAGCAGGAAAGATCTAAAATTGACACCCTAACATCACAATTAAAAGAACTAGAGAAGCAAGAGCAAACACATTCAAAAGCTAGCAGAAGGCAAGAAATAACTAAGATCAGAGCAGAACTGAAGGAAATAGAGACTCAAAAAAATCCTTCAAAAAATCAATGAATCCAGGAGCTGGGTTTTTGAAAAGACCAACAAAATTGATAGACCACTCGCAAGACTAATGAAGAAGAAAAGAGAGAAGAATCAAATAGACGCAATAAAAGATGACAAAGGGGATATCACCACCGATCCCACAGAAATACAAACTACCAATTTACTACTCTTAACCAACTTTATTATGGTAAAACTTACATAAAATATACACAAGTTAAATGAGAAGATTGGTGAATTTTGACAAATGTATAAACCCACATGTATCCAAAGCAATATATGCAATATTTCCAGCACTACAGAAAGTTCCTTCTGCCTTTTTGCAGTCAGTTTTCCCACCTAAAGGTGGGAACATTTGTCACACCACAGATGAATTCTGCCTATTTTCAAACTCTATATAAGTGGAATCATCTTCTGATCAGTTTCTAATTTGGCTTTTTCACTCAGTATAATTTTTTTTTTTGTGGTGGAGTCTCACTCTGTTGCCCAGGCTGGATTGCAGTGGTGCAGTCTCCACTCACTGCAACCTCCGCCTGCCAGGTTCAAGCAATTCTCCTGCCTCAGCCTCCCGAGTAGCCGGGATTACAGGCATAAGCCACCACGCCTGCCTAACTTTTGTATTTTTGGTAGAGACAGGGTTTTACCATGTTGACAAGGCTGATATTGAACTCCTGACCTCAAGTGATCTGCCTGCCTGCCTAGGCCTCCCAAATTGCTGGGATTACAGGCGTGAGCCACCACACCTGGCCTCAGTATAATGATATTCATATTCATCCATCCATGTGGTTGCATTTATTAGCAGTTTGATGAAGAGTATTCAATTGTATGATCACACAATACATCCATTCACCTGTAGATGAAAATTTATTTATAAGTTTTGGCAATTATGAAAAATTATGAAAAAAAATTATGAAAGCTTCTATAAATTTTCAAGTGCAATTTTTTATGTGAATAACATTTTTATTTTTCTTAAGTAAATATCTAAGAAGCGGATGTGGGCTAAATGGTAAGCAAATGTTTAACTTTATAAGAAACTACTCATTTTCCAGTGTGGTTGAACCATTTTATAATCCCACCAACAACTGAGGAGTGTTCCATATCCTCACCATCATTGAGTATTTTCAATTTTTATAACTGAAGCCTTTCAAGTGGGTGTGAATTTAATTTGCATTTTCCTGAGTACTAATGATGTTGAGTATCTCTTTATATGCTTATTGGAGATTCATATTTCTTCTTCTTATTTTTAAAAGGTTAACATGTTTTTGTATTTGTATATGTGTATATACACACATACGTAAACATTCTGGATACAAGTTCTTTGTTAGTATATGCATGACAACTATTTTCTCAAATTCACAAAAGGTGTAACATCTTTTGAATGGGAAATGGTTTTCATTTTTAAAAATTCCAGATGATTGTCAATATTTCTTGATTAGTACTTTTTTTTACCCTATCTAAGAAATCATTGCCCTCCTCTTGTTCATGAAGATGTTATTTTTTTTGCTACAATAGAGTTTTAGCTTTCATGTTTAATTCTGTGATCCTTTTTGAATTAATTTTACACATGTTAAATAGGACTGATACTCATTTTTTTCGCAAAGGTGTCCAGATATTCCATTTGTACCATTTGATGTATTCTAATACCATCTGCTGAATAGATTATTTTTATAACTGAATTATGTTGGTAGCTTTATTAAAAATCAATTGACCCTATATATCTGGGTTTATTTCTAGACCATTTATTTTGCTTCATTGATTTGCATGACTTTCTGCCAAAACCATACTATCTTGATTTCCAAACCTTTATAGTAAGTTTTGAAATCATATCGTGTAAGTCCATCCAATTTGTTCATATACATACATATATATATATAAACATTTTCATTCCTGTGACAGAATGGGAAGATTTTGGGGTTTTTTTGTTTGTTTGTTTGTTTGTTTGAGACAGAGTCTTGCTCAGTCGCCCAGGCTGGCGTGCAGTAGCGCAATCTTGGCTCACTGCAACCTCTGCCTCCCAGATTCAAGCAATTCTCGTGGCTCAGCCTCCCAGGTAGCTGGGACTACAGGCATGCACCACCATGCCCAGCTAATTTTTGTAATCTTAGTAGAGATGAGATTCTGTCATGTTAGGCAGGCTGGTCTTGAATCCCTGGCCTCAGGCAGTCTGCCCACCTCAGCCACCCAAAGTGCTGGGATTACAGGTGTGAGCCACCACACCTGGCCTCAATTTGTTCTTATTTTTCAAAACTGTTTTGATTCTTCTAGGTCCTCTGCCTTTACAAATTAGTACTGGAGTCAGCTTGTCAATTTCTACAAAACATGCCTGAAAAGGTTGTTTCATTGGGAGTATATTGAATCTATAAATCAATTTGGAGAAAACTGACATTTAATAATATTTAGTATTCCAATGAATTAATCTTTATTTAGATATTTAATTTCTCATAAGAGTGCTGTATAGTTCTCATTTTAGAGGTTGTACACATATTTTACTAAAATTCTTCTTAAGTATTTTATGGTTTTGGAAGTCACTATAAGTTTTTTTCCAATTGTTCACTTCCAGTATATATAAACATAATTGGTTTTTGAAAACTGATTTTACATGATGTGGCCTTGAAAACCCAGTTATAAATTCTAGCAAATTTTTGTTAGATTTCTTAAGATATTCTTTGTACCATTTCATATCATCTGTGAATAAGAGACATTTTTTCTTTTTATTCCAAATATGTATGCTTTTCCTTTTTTTTTTTTCCTGCTTTACTGCACTGGTTATGATCTTCAGTACGATATTGGATAGAAGTGGTAAGAGGGGACATCCTTACCTTGCTTTCAGTTGTAAGGAGAAAATGTTCAGTTTTCTCCTTTTGCTGTGATATTAGTTGTAGATATATGTTTCGATAGATACCCTTTCAGAGATTAAGATAGTACCTCAAGAACTCAATAAGTATTTTTGGTTGATAGGATTTCTTTATTTTACTTTCTTTCAATACATTAGAAATGTTGTTTCACTGTCTTTTGAACTTATGGTTTTTCGGATGTGAAGTCAGTCATTTATTTGAACATTGTTCCTCCTGTTCAATGTTCCCTCTGCTCCCCACAACGCTCAACCCACTGGCTGATGGAAATTTTTATGTTTTTCTTTGGTTTTCAGCAATTTTCCTATGATGTGCCTAGGTCCATATTTGTTGCCTTTCATCAAATTTGCAGAAATTTTTGCCATTATGTCTTCAAATAATTTTTCTTACCCATTCTTACTCTCTCCTTCGGAGACTCCAATTACAACAACATTAATCTGCTAAATCCAACATCTAGGCTATCTTGAGGTCAGTTTCTATTGACTAATTCTTCCCTGACCATGGGTCACATTTTCATGTTTCTTTGCTTGACTAATTTTTATTATACTCTGGACATTGTGGATGATATATTTTTAGAGATTTGCTATTCTGTTATCTTCCTCTGAAGAGTGCTTACAGCTGTTTTAGGAGGCAGTTCAATTACTGGCTCATCATCCTGCACTTGGATAAATTTGATTTTATTCTTTGGTAGGGGAGATCTATCAAAAATCCAAGATGATACCCAAGCCTCTGTAAATTGGTGGTATTCAACCTCCAAGCTCTGTCTCCCCTAAGGCTAAAAATGTTGATAAGGTGTCACAAGATTGTTCCACTCTTGTGCTTTGAATTTGCTTATTCCTCTTATCTTTTTAAATTCTGAACTCCATAGCAGCAATCCTATGGTAAATTTGGGGCAGTTTCCTCTATCTGTTTATCTTCAGACCAGCCCTTGCCAAGTTCTCACGTACAGTCAGCACACGTACTTCATGGCACCTCTCCATGCCTAAGACTTTTATCTATGGTGTCCTCAGCAGGATCACTGTGCTCTACCTAGATTCTAGCTTGCTACGCTAGTTAAGAATTTTTTCCCAAGGAAAAAGCTGGGTTGACTGCGATGTTTGCATAATAAATTTCCCTTCTTTCAGGAATTGCAGTCTTATGCTGTTCATTCTCCAATGACTAAAAGCAGTGACTTCTTATTTTCCAATGTTATGATTGCTTGTTGCAGAAACTCAGTAACAGTTTTACCTACTTAGCCGAAAGTAGAAGTCCAATTGTGTTCCTGCATAGAGATTTTTCAACCTTATGAATTATTTGCCTTTAGTATTAATTACAAGAAACTACAATGATTTCAATGATTTCATTTCAGAAAATCATGTGTAATTTACGCTACTGTGATGTGAAACGCTAACACTTTTGATGACTAAAATTAAATTGCTAGTTCACAATGAATTACTTATTTTTACCAGCTTTAAGCAAGACAAATTATGTATAATTATTAAATATAGTAATCATATAGAGCATATTGTTGCTCATTATTTCACTTACATTTATTTACATATTATACTTAATGCTATATTAAAAATATTTGTTAGTAGTACATTCACAATGTAGCTTATAATTAATCAGTCAGAGACTTAATTGAAATTGTTTCTCACATGGAGCCAGAAAGTTTTTCAATTGCTGAATTTAACATATTAGGTTACTTTATATGGTGATGACTGAAAAACATACAGTCTACGTTCATAATTTGGAACTTACAACAAAATTCACCATAGTTTTAGCTTATCATTATCAATGACTATGCCTTTGAGGTCAAAAATTTTGGGTAATTTTTTAGAATTAACTAACCAAATTTTTTGTCAATATGCCATCCAATATTTAGCTGTTTACAAATCAGTTATTATGATTTGAGGGAGATGACTAACATCATTATGCCAAAATCACTCTTGAAACACGAAATCTGAAATAAAAACATTATCTATTAAGGGATTAATGGGATCAACAGTGCAGTGATTGAATTAGGAATGCCATTTAATTGGCATTGGAAAATTTACCTTGTTATAAGTATAGCTGCATCCACTGAAGTCATGTCTTCCCCCCAGTTTGTTGACATCTCTAAATGTATATCATTCTTTTTGCCAAATTCTTCATGTTGCCACTTACAAAAACTCTCTAGCATTTTTTCTCCATGATGCCCAATATATAGTTCTGGCTGCAAAAGAACAGAGCTCATCACAAGGCATATTATTCTTAGGTATATACAAAACAACAACAACAACAACAATAACAAAGGCACTCTTGAATTACTAAAGCAAACTGCTGACCATAACATTAATTAGAACCTGGAAGACATGCAGGTTTAATTTACCCTGAGCTTAAAAGCTTAAAACTTGGTGAAGGTGTAATAATTACAAAATTTGTTTAATGGTATTCTGAAAAAGCAAAGAGGTTCAATTAAGAATATGGAACTTTTATACTTAAATAACTTGTTTCTACAATTTAAGAACAACATTTTCTATGTAGAACACCATTTTCTAAAGTGCCAGTTAAGCAGCATATCAAAATGATGTCACAGAATAGTTCCCATTTAAAATAAATAAAAAGTGTTAAAAGTAGACATCTAAATAATAGAATAAAACTGTCACTTAAAATGACTTCTTAAAATTATACTTTGGAAAGTTAAGATTTGTTTTCAGGATTCTTGGAAACTAACGACATCTTATTTTTTAAATAAGATCGGGGCATTAACCAAAACTAAAGGCCAGTTTTATGTATACTTTAAGTGATTCAGTGGATATTTCTGGATTTTTAAGCACATCCTTAACATTCCCTTTACTTAAAAGTTTCTGAACAAAATTTCTCCCCCATTTAATTTAATAAAAAACTCAAGACTTTCTTACTGGAGTTTCATGGAGCAGAATAAGCTTTATCACACGAAGATTGACCTGCACACTCAGACTCTTGTGTTGGAAAAGGTTAAATACCTAAAAACAAATAAAAATAAAAATCCTAAAATTAAACTGAAAATCATCTTAATTTTTCTCAAGGCCCATACATGGAGATGTCTCAATTTAGTTGAGACATCTTTTTTTTTTTTTAAAAAAAAAAAAAAAAAGCTTGTAAAGCAAAGTAATTTTTTATTTGTTACATTGAATTTAAAAGAAAACTTAGTATTGATTTAACTTGTATTAGAAAATATATAACTGACACACCAAACCCATGCTTTCAGAGATATTTCTACTTAGAAAAGACTGGTTGTTAGGCAGTGTTAATCTACCACATATCGCATTTTAGAGGAGTGCTCAGGAGGTAATGGAATATGGACAGAAATATCTAAAGTGTAAAAAAAAAAAAAACTCTGTTCCCCAGGAAAACAGCCAAATGATAGCAAAGATAGTAAAAAATGGGACTATATTTATCCTTACATCAGCCATTCTTAAATGGTAATTGACTTATAAATGGACATTTGCCTTGAACATTTATTTCTGTTTATTCTCATTGAAGAATCACTCTTCACTACAACCTTCTGATTCTTCCTTGAATGAGGTTTGCCCAACAGAGTACACAATTAAGTCAAAGGATTAATCTGGTAATAAGCATCCCTAACATGATAGATACTAGGATTTCTACAATCAGAAATCATCAACTCCAGTAGGCCACCTGTGATTTAGTTGGTTAAAATTTTAGCTCATCAACTAGAATCATATCTGACATCAAATTTTACATACGTATATAATAGGTCAGTGGATTACCAACATTCATTTTTATATCGCATCATAATTAACCTATGGTCCTTTTGTGGGGCCACATATATAAACATATATTAAAATATTTATGATAATTTCACCAAAAGTATACCTCTATCAAAATATCTTATGTACCCCATAAATATATACATCTACTATGTACCAAAAAAATAAATAAATAAATAAATACATGCATACATACAGACAGACATAAATACATACATAAAATGGGGCTAGAAACATTTTTTTAAAAAAGGAAAAGAACAGTACCAAAAAAAGAGAGAAAAGAGTAACATAGAAAGAGCTTTGCCACATCAAAATTAACAAGGGTTTACAAGATGTGAATTTTTATTTTGATATTGCTTTTGAGATGGATCAATTTTATATACCTAAGTATTTTTTTACTGATGACAATAAGAGAAAGGAATAGTAATGAGTTAATTTTAAAGAATTTCATTATAAATACTCACACATGTCTTCCTTAGAGTTTTCTTGAAAAAATTCCAAGCGCACTTTAAAGTTTGCCTACCATATTTAAGATGGTTAGAATGAATCTCCTGGCTGCATCTGCTCCATGATAGGAAACCATTGCTGGGTCTGCAACCACTACAGTCTCTATGTTGTATTCTTGAGGTAATTTGTATGAATATCGTTTCCCTCTTCCACTTTCTGCTATTTTTCTAGACCTAGGTCTTCCTTTATCTGCAACAGAGAATTGAATTTTTCAATGCACCTTCATATTGGCAAAGTGAATAATATTAAACATATTTAATAATGAGCAAACCCAAATAAGTTCCCGACACACATAAAATCTTAAAGGGCATTTGGCTTTGAAATATGACTTTAGAATGAGACAGACTGAACTTCTCCCACTTATTAGTTCTGCCATTTTAGCAAACTAACATCACTCAGTCAGCCTGAGTTTCCTTATCTGCAAAGTGGATAATGATAACACCTATCTTTCAGAGTTGTTGATGGCTTATAATAAGATCACATTAATTAGATTTCTAGCAAACAGCTCCAATATAAACAAAATAACTCAATAAATAAAAGATACTGCAATTTTCTTTTTGACATCAATGGCAAAATAAAGGTCTTGTTAGTTGAAAGAAGTGCCTGAAGTGACTGCCACCACACATCCTAATTTCAGGCAGGTGCTCCTGATTACTAAATTACTATGCATGAATTACAAAGGATTCAGCTCCACTTTCCATCAGGATCTTACAGAAGCTATAACTGCTTGGGAATATAGATTCCTCAAATGAAGCCAAATCAGAGCAGAAACAAAAATCATGTATAGGTTTGCCTACATAAAAAGTAAGAACTTCCGTTTATTAAAACATGTCCAAATGTTTTATTGTTCTATTAAATGTTTAATGTTCTATTAAAACATTTCCACTATCATAGTGGAAATCATGCCACCAAGTGACAGAAGATAGTTGCAATACTTTTCCAGAATAAAGAAATAAAGAGCTATTCTAAATCAATGACAGTCTAATTGAAAAATGGGCAGAACTTGAACAACCATTTCTCACAATAGGATATCTAAATGCCTAATAGCATGGGAAAATGTTTAACCTCACTGGTCTTCAGGCAAATACAAATTAAAACCAAAATACATTAAATAAATTAAAATCCCTGGAATAAGTTAAAATTAAAGACACTTACTATATCAAGTGCTGACAAGACTGTGGGGACAAATAGAAGCATCATATGCATACACGCTGAGAGATTAAACTGGGATAAACACTTTGTAAACCTAGTTTGCAGGGTCTACTAAAGTTGAATATTTGCATACCTATTAATCAATGATCTAAAACATACAGCCATCAGAAATGCATACAAATCGCATGTACAAACTACTCAGAGTGGCACTATTTTTAAAATTCAAATAATCATCAATAGTATATGGATAAAGAAATGTTAGAATAGTCATATAATGGAATACTATATAGCAATGAAAAGGAGCCAGCTGCTGTAACATGTGAAACTATGGAAGAATCTCACAAATAATGAGGTTCATCCACATAATACTGACGAAAAGAGGCCAAGTACAAAAGATTAGGTAGTATGATTCCATTTAAAGACACATCAAAGCCTGGGAAGAAATGCTCTTAAAAACCAACTCAGTGAATATCTTAGGGTAGGAGAAATTAGAGCCTGGGCATGGGCACAAGGGAGATATCTGTGGTGTTGATATTTTCTTTTCCTTCGTTTTTTTTTTTTCCCTTCAAGTTCTGGGATACATGTGCAGAACGTGCAGGTTTGTTACATAGGTGTACATGTGCTGTGCCACTTCACTGGCTGCATAAATGTCTTCTTTTGAGAAGTGTCTGTTCATATCTTTTGGCCACTTTTTGATGTTTTTTTTTTTTCTTGTAAATTTGTTTAAGTTCCTTATAGATTCTGGATATTAGCCCTTTGTCAGATGGATAGATTGCAAAACTTTTCTCCCATTCCATAGGCTGCCTGTTCACTTTGATGATAGTTTCTTTTGCTATGCAGAAGCTCTTCAGTTTAATTAGATCCCATTTGTCAATTTTGGCTTTTGTTGCAATTGCTTTTGGCGTTTTAGTCATGAAGTCTTTGCCCATGCCTATGTCCTGAATGGTGCTGCCTAAGTTTTCTTCTAGGGTTTTTATGGTTTGGGGCTTTACATTTAAGTCTTTAATCTATCTTGAGTGAATTTTTGTATAGTGTGTAAGGAAGGGGTCCAGTTTCTGTTTTCTGCGTATGGCTAGTTTTCCCAGCACCATTTATTAAATAGGGAATACTTTCACCACTGCTTGTTTTTGTCAGGTTTGTCGAAGATCAGATGGTTGTAGGTGTGTGGTGTTATTTTTGAGGTCTCTGTTCTGTTCCATTGGTCTATATACCTGTTTTGGTACCAGTACCATGCTATTTTGGTTACTATAGCCTTGTGGTAGTTTGAAGTCAGGTAGCATGATGCCCCCAGCTTTTTTCTTTTTGCTTAGGATTGTCTTGGCTATACGAGCTATTTTTGGTTCCATATGAAATTTACAGTAGTTTTTCTAATTCTGTGAAGAAAGTCAATGGAAGCTTGATAGGAATAGCACTGAATCTATAAATTACTTTGGGCAGTATGGCCATTTTCACAATATCGATTCTTCCTATCCATGAGCATGATTTTTTTTTCTCATTTGTTTGTGTCCTCTCTTATTTCCTTGAGCAGTAGTTTTCAATTCTCCTTGAAGAGGTCCTTCATGTCCCTTGCAAGTTGAATTCCTAGGTATTCTCTATAGTCTGATCCCAGTGGTAGTTATTGGTTATGTTCACACTGGGAAATTTCAGCAGTTGAACATACTGTTTCTGCAATTTCCTGTATGCACATGGTGCTTCAATAATAAATTTGCGATTATAACAGCTTTATTGAGGTGTAACTTACATGTCACATTATGCAGCCATTCATGTGTACAATCAAGTTTAAGAATTTTCTACAGTTGAAGAATAATCTCCATGGTATATTGTTAAATCAGCTACCACTTGCCCCTCTCCTTGTCATTTATCATATTCTGTTGATGTCTCTAAGCTGCTATCATCTTTCCACAACTTGCACTGTTGACTGGCACCTTTTATATTTCTTTACTATTTAATACAAATTCAGTGAAGTCTCTTCAAGAGTGGAGTGAAACATGTATATTCAATTAGTCATGATTCCCTGTATGTCTCTAACTGTGTTTTGAATTCAGGATATGTGTTCTCACAGTTCTAATCTATCTTTATGGTTTCTGATAAATTCCTTGAGTCTTATACCAGGTACCTGGGTTTTAGCTTGCCTATTCTATTCTATTATTCTCTTCTATTCTATCCTATTCTACTAACCACATATCCTACCTTGCTTTGACCTCTAACATATTTTCATTTTTACAGAATTAATTTATCTTCTCTTGGATTCTTTTTTTTTTTTTTTGAGATGGAGTCTCACTCTGCCGCCCAGGCTGGAGCGCAGTGTCGCGATCTCCGCTCACTTCAACCTCTGCCTCTGGGTTCTCGTGATTCTCCTGCCTCTGCCTCTCAAGTGGCTGGGATTACAGGCATGCACCACAATGCCCAGCTAATTTTTGTAGTTTTTGTAGAGACAGGGTTTCGCCATGTTGGTCAGTCTGGTCTCAAACTCCTGACCTCAGATGATCTGCCTGCCTTGGCCTCCCAAAGTGCTAGGATAACAGGTGTGAGCCACTGTTCCCAGCCTTATCTCTTGGATTCTTGAGTTACTGTTTCCTTTGTATTATGACTTCTATGCCCACCTGTCAGCTCTGTGATCTAATAAGAACCGGATCCCACCACTGTTGCTGGAAACTAATCTTATGTAGACTATCCCCATAAGTTACTGTTTCTCATTTTTTCTAGCAATGATGGAGATTTTAAAAATATGTAATAAATCCAGTTTTACTCAAATATCATGTATAATCAGTTAACAAAGTTAACTGAAGTGTTGTAACAATTAATGCAAATATTCCTTATTTATATCATATAACAAGTCAATGCAAGATGACAAAAACAATACTAGCCATCTGAATCAGAATCACTATAGTTAAAAGTAAACTTTATGGATCCAGATTCAGTACCAGCAGTTAATACCAAAGACCAAACTGATCATATATATATATATATATATATATATATATATATGTGTGTGTGTGTGTGTATATATATATATATATACACACACACACATACAACTACGCATACATATGTTGTTTATATATTATGTGTGTGTATATACTTACATTCTAACATATATACATATGTGTGTGTATATATATATATATTTTTTTTCAACATCACCTTTCTAGATGGATATATAATTGGCCTTCAAGGGAAATGAGAATCTGAGTATTATCCAGCACATATTCACCAACTGTGACAAGTGATAGCTTCTCACCAGTGTCAACTTCTGCCAAGTGAATGAGATTAATATGGATACATCCAATAACTAAAAAGAGACACCTCCTTCTACTTAGATACTTTTCCACATTTTCCTTACTTTCTTCCAGTTATCACCTTCCTGTCTTCATTGCTGGATGAGATGCTGTAGTAGAGACTATTAATTGTCTATCAGTATTCATTCTCCCTTTCTTACTTTTAGTAATAAAAAACTCCTTAACCACATCCCCACTCAACCACTGCTTTTTGGTTAGATGTGTGGCTATGCACCCAGAAACATTTCTCAGTCTACTGTTCAACTGAGTGTAATTATGTGACTGAGTAGTAAAACATGGAATTTGAACAGAACTAGTATGTAAAACTTTTGGGTCACCCTTTAAAGAAAATTGCTTGCTCCTACTTTCCTTCCTTCATCCTATAGGCTAGAAGCTAGACGAAGTATAGAGAGCTTAGGTGGACATTGGAAGATAACATTTCTGGGGGATGTTAAACCAATTCTTTGGGGTCAAAATGCATAGATAAAAATCTTGGATTTGCTACTTACTAGCTTTGGGACTGTGGGACAAAAACTTACTTTTCTACTTATTTGTTGTATAGATAAAAATTGTATATGAATAGGAATATGTGAGCATGTATATGTAACTTGCTTATTGCAATATCTAATTCATATATTAAATGTGAAATATGTTAGCTACTAGGATGACATTTTTAATATGGAAATGAATCTTCATATTTATTTGATCTCTAAATGGGAACATGCACACTTACATGGGTTTAAAGGTACACCTAGATGTATACTCTGTGCTCTCGGTAAAAATTTTGCTTTTAACAAACTATTACATTTTGATTATCAAATAAAATTTACTAAAACCTAGAGTAAATAATCACTGGTCATATTAAAACTATTTTTTGATAGTCAGAACTCAAGAAAATTCCTACAGCAACTATTTTGTTACTGCAATATTTAAGCAATCTAATAATGCCACAGCCCGCATGAAAATCTCTTCCTTCAAAGATGTTTTCCTTTGTAAAAGAGAAAACTGGATTCCATTCTAGAAGGCTATAAAATAGAAAGCTATAAGCATATAAAATATATCACTACAGTGACCATCTCATTCACAGTATCACTGGGAAAACCTCATGGAGTTCAGAGAAGAGACAAATTAGGGCATGGAGCTGGCATCACAGGAGATAGAAAAAAGGTGAGCTCTCATTCAGAGCTGAGACTTAGGGTCCTGAGCGATGAGCTTCAGCAGATAAGAGAAAACCATGCAGATTTAGAAAATGAGATAATAAAATACAACAATTTTACAACTTCAGACTCATTAGAAATCATGTAAATGAATCTCAGAATCATGGGTATCTACTCCAATTGGCAGAGAAATGACTCGTCCAAATACATACAACTGGATAGCAAAATATCTGGTGGAAAAAATGTATTTATCTCAACTCTTAACAGAGTAAGACTCTGAATAATTATTGTCCAAATAATAATAATTAGTGGAAACAAATTCTTCCTCAAGGTGTTTACAAACATTGTTTATCTTTCCTATCATTGAAATGTCATCTTACTCTCTTAGGTTTCACAAAGAAGATTGTGTCTTCCCATATTTTTGTCTTTAGAGGCTGACGTTACTCATATTTATGTGTCCAGGGTATGGCATGCAGTAAATAATATTTATGGAATTAACGTGAAGAAACTTTATATCCAGCATTTTACTAGGCTCCCTAGTGTGTAACACCACATGCACAAAATGCAATGGTAGCACTACAAAGCAATAGCTTGGAAAGGCTTAGGGAAAGTAGCATCCAGGGGGTTCAGAAGGACTTCCCTAAGGCACTAAGTCTTGGAGGATGAGAAGGTTAAAGGAAAAGAAGAGAAAGTTTTGAAGAAAACCAGGAGACTTAGAGGCAGGAAGGAGTATGGTACATAGGGATAGAAATGAAAGATCTCTATAAACTCAGATGTTTCTCTAAATATGCACAAAAATCACATTTCGGGGTCCATGTTTAAAATGCTGATTCTCTTGGGTCCCGGCCTCAGTAACTCTGACTTAGTGCATCTGGATGGGATCCAGAAATCTTCATTTTAACTTTGATCTCCAGGTGATTTTGGTGCACTTAATCTACTTACCATATTCAGGTTGTTGTGCGCCTAGCTGAAGAGTATGAATTTTACTCTGAAGTTGTGAAGAATCCCAGAAAATGCACCTTTTAGAAAAATTGGAAACTAGATTATGAGAGGGTTAGACGGAAATCAAGAAGACACAGAGAAGGCAATAAACTGCAGTAATCCAAGCAATATATAAATTGGCTGTAGAGTCAAGGGTCCAGGGTCTCCTGGTATGCAAAATGGCATAGTGGGAATCACATCATCCCTTGTGTATTTCTTAAAAATCTTTCCGCTTCCTGTCTCTTTTTTTTTTTTTCCTATAAAATGAGAATAGGGAGGGCAGCCTATAAACCTTGATACTGAGGCTACAGCACTCTGAGCCTCCAAGAAAACTTGAAAGGCAGGCTAGGCCATAAGGACTGCAACTCTTAGGCAAGTGCTAGAGACAGTGGACTAGGAGGTACACACAATATACTGAGACACCAGCTAGGATGGCCAAGGGAGTTCTGGCATCACCCCTCCCCTAACCTCAGGCTGCATAGCTGGTGGCTCCAAAGAGACTCCTTCCTTGTGCTTGAGGAGGGGAGAGGGAAACGTGTGGAAGACTTTGTCTTACATCTAGGATATGAGCACAACCACACAGGATAGGGTGCCAGTTAGAGTTGTGAGGCCTCCATTCCAGGTCCTAGCTCCCAAAAGACATTTCCAGACATCCCCTGGGCCAGAAGGGAACCCACTGCCTTGAAGAAAGGAACCCAGTCCTGGCAGTATTTGCCACCTACTAACTGAAAAGCGCTGAATAACCAGCAGTGACACCCAGGTACTACATCGAGGACTTTGGGTGAACCTTTGAGACTTACTGGCTTCAGGTACCAGCAGAGCCACAGAGTGATAGAACACCAAGTGAACTTGAAATAATTAAGAAGACTCAAGCAGGAATTCTGGAGTTGAAAAATGCAATTAGCATATTGAAGAGTGAATCACAGTCTTTTAATAGCAGAATTGAACAAACAAAAGAAAGAATTAGTGATCTTGAAGACAGGCTATTTGAAAACACACAGTCAGAAGAGACAAAACAAAAAAGAATAAAAAACAATGAAGCAAACCTACAGGATCTAGAAAATTGCCTCAAAAGGGCAAATATAAGAGTTATTGGCCTTAAAGAAGAGGTAGAAAAAGAGATAAAGGTAGAAAGTTTTTACAAAGAAATAACAGAGAACTTCCCAAACCTAGAAAAAGATACCGATATCCAAATACAAAAAGGTTATAGAACACCAAGCAGATTTAATTCAAAGAAGACTACCTCAAGGCATTTAATAATCAAAATCTCAAATGTTAAGGATAAGGAAAGAATCCTAAAACCAGCAAGAGAAAAGAAACAAAAAACATACAATTGAGCTCCAATACACTGGCAGCAGTGGAAAACTTACAAGCCAGGAGAGAGTAGCGTGTCATGTACTGTGCTGAAGTAAAAAAAAATTTCCCCTTGAATAGTATATCTGGCAAAAATACCCTTCTAACATGAAGGAAAAATAAACACTTTCCCAGACAAACAAAAACTGAGGGATTTCAGCAATACCAGACCTGTCCTACAAAAAATGCTTAAGGAGGTACTTCATTCAGAAAGAAAAGGACATTAATGAGTAATACATAATCATCTGAAGGTACAAAACTCACTGGTAATAGTAAGTACACAGAAAAACACAGAATATTATAACACTGTTACTGTGGTGTGCAAACTACTTTTGTCCTAAGTAAAAAGACTAAACAATGACACAATCAAAACTAATAACTATAAAAACTTTTCAAGACATAGTCAGTACAAAGATATAAATAGAAACAAAAAAAGTTTAAAAAGTTGGGGTACAAAGTTAAGGCAGAGAGTTTTTGTTGGATTTCTTTTTGCTTATTTGTTCGTGGAAATACTGTTAAGATGTTATCAGGTTAAAATAATGGTTTATAAGATAGTATTTGCAACCTCATGGTAACCTCAAACCCAAAAACATATGGTGAATACATAGAGAATAAAAAGCAAGAAACTAAATCATATAATCAGAGAAAATCACCTTTGCTAGAGGAATACAGGAAGAAAAGAAACAAGGAAGATACGACAACAAAACAACCAGAAAACAAATAACAAAATGGCAGGAGTATAAGTCCTTACTTATCAATAATAACATTAAATGTAAATGAACTAAACTATCTAATCAAAAGACATAAAATGGCTAAATAGATGAAAAAATAAGACCCATTGATCTGTTGCCTACAAGAAACACACTTCACCTATAAAGAGACATATAGACTGAAAATAAAATAATGGAAAGAGATATGCCAGGCCAATAAAAACCAAAAAAGAGCAGGAGTTGCTATATTTATATCAGACAAAATAGATTTCAAGACAAAAACTGTAAGGGACAAAGAAGGTCACTATATAATGATAAAGGAGTCCATTCAACAAGAGGATATAACAATTTTAAATATATATATGCAACCAACACTGGAGCACCCATATAAAGAAAGAAAACATTATTAGAGCTATTGAGAGAGAATAGGCCACAATACAATAATAGCTGAAGACTTCAACACCCCACTTTAAGCACTGGGCACATCTTCCAGACAGAAAATCAACCAAGAAATATCAGATTTAATCTGCACTATAGGCCAAATGACTCTAATAAAGATTTACAGAACATTATAACCAAGAGCTGCAGAATACCATTCTTTTCCTCAGCATGTGGATCATTCTCAAGGAAAGACCATATGCTACATCATAAAACAAGCATTAAACCATTCCAAAAATTGAAGTAATATAATATCAGGCATCTTCTCTAACCAAAATGGAATAAAACTAGAAATTGATAACAAGAGGGAATTTTGGAAATTATGCAAATACATGGAAATTAAACAATATGCTCCTGAAAGACCAGTGGGTCAATGAAGAAAGTGAGAAGGAAATTGGAAAATTTCTTGAAACAAAGATAATGGAAACAAAGCATACCAAAACCTTTGGGATTCAGCCAAAGCAGTACTCAGGGGGAAGTTTATAAGTGCCTACATCGAAAAAAAAAAAAAAAAAGGAAAAATCTCAAAAAACCTAACAAGAACTAGAATAGTAAGAACAAACCAAACTTAAACCTAGAATAAAAGAAATAATAAAGATCAGAGCAGAAATAAATGAAATTGAAATAAAAAATACAAAAAAAATCAATAAAACAGAAGGTTGCTTTATTTGAAAAGTTAAACAAAATTGATAAACCCTTAGCCAGACTAAGAGTAAAAGAGAGAAGGTCCAAACAAATAAAATCAGAAATGAAAAAGAAGACATTACAACCAATACTGCAGAAATTCAAAGGATCATTAGTAGCCACGATAAGCAACTATATGCCAATAAGTTGGAAAATGTAGAAGAAATGGACAAATTCCTAGATATATACAACCTACCAAGATTGAAACAGGAAGAAATCAAAAATCTGAACAGATAGCAAGTAACAAGATTGAAGCCATAATAAAATGTCTTCCCGTAAAGTCAAGTCCAGGACCCTATGGCTTCACTGCTGAATTCTGTCAAACATTTAAGGAAGAACTAATACCCATCCTAGTCAAACTATTCCAAAAAATATATAAGAGGAGGGAATACTTCCAAAGTCATTCTAGGAAGCCAGTATTACCCTGATACAAAAAAAAAAAAGAAAAGAAAAAAAGACACATAAATTAAAAAAAAAACTACAGGCTAATATTTCTGATGAATACTGATGCAAAAATCCTCAACAAAATACTAGCAAACTGAATGCAACAATACATTAGAAAGTTCATTCATCATGACAAGTTGGAAAATATCCCTGGGAGGCAAGGATGGTTCAACATTTGCAAATCAGTTGACATGATACATCTTATAAATAGAATGAAGGAGAAAACCATATGATCATGTCAATTGATGCTGAAAAAGCATTTCATAAAATTCAACATCTCTTCAGTATAAAAACTGTCAAAAAACTGGGGATAGAAGGAACATACATCAACATAATAAAAATCATACGCCACAGGCCTACAGCTAGTATCATACTAAAGGGGAAAAACAGAAAGACTTTTCTCTAAAATCGGTAACACTACAAGGATGCCCACTCTCTCCACTGTTATTCAATATATTACTGTAAGTCCTAGCTAGAACAATCAGTCAAGAGAAAAATATAAAGGGCATCTAAATTGGAAAGGAAGAAGTCAAATTATCCTTGTTTGCTGATAATGTAATCCTATATTTGGAAAAACCTAATGACTCCACAAGAAAACTATTAAAACAGATAAATTCAGTAAAGTTGCAGAATACAAAATCAACATGCAAAAATCATTAGCATTTCTATATGCCAACAGTGAACAATGTGAAAAAGAAATTTAAAAATATAACCCCATTTACAATAGCCACACATAAAATTAAATATCTAAGAATTAACCAAAGAAGTGAAAGACCTCTATAATGAAAACTATAAAACACTGATGAGGGAAATTGAAGAAGATACCAAAAAGTAGAAAGATATTCCATGTTCATGGGTTGGAAGAATCAATATTGCTAAAATGTCCATACTACTCAAAGCAATCTACAGATTCAATACAATCCCTATCAAAACACCAATGACATTCTTCACAGAATTAGAAAAAAAAAACAGTCCTAAAACTTATATGGAATCACTAAAAGACCCCAAACAGACAAAGCTATCCTCGGCAAAAAGAACAAAACTGGGGGAATCAAATTACCTGACTTCAAATTGTACTACAGAGCTACAGTAACCAAAACAGCATGGTAGTGGCATAAAAACAGGCACATAGACCAATGGAATATAACAGAAAGCAAAGAAACAAATCCACATACCTACAGTGAACTCATTTTTGAAAAAGGTGCCAAGAACATACACCGGGGAAAAGATAGTCTTGTTGATAAATGGTACTGGGAAAACTGAATATCCATTTGCAAAAGAATGAAACTTTATCCCTATCTCTCACCATATACAAAAATCAAATCAAAATGGATTAAAGATTTAAATCTAACACCTCAAACTATGAAACTATTACAAGAAAACTTTGGGGAAAATCTCCAGGACATTGGTCTCAGCAAAGATTTCTTGAGTAATACACTACAAGCACAGGCATCTAAAGCAAAAAATGAACAAATGGGATCACATCAAGTTAAAAAGCTTCTGCACGGCAAAGGATACAATTAACAAAGTGGAGACAACCCACAGAATGGGAGAAAATATTTGGAAACTATCCATCTGACAAAGATTTAATAACTAGAATATGTAAATAGCTCAAACAACTCTGTAGGAAAAAATCTCATAATCCAATCAAAAAATAGGCAAAATATTTGAATAGACATTTCTCAAAAGAAGACATACAAATGGCAAATAGGCACATGAAAAGGTGCTCAACATCATTGGTCACCAGAGAAATGCACATCAAAACTACAATGAGATATCATCTCACCCCAGTTAAAATGGCTTTTATTCAAAAGACAGGCAACAACAAATACTGGCAAGGATGTGAAGAAAAGGGAACCCTTGTACACTGTTAGTGGGAATGTAAATTAGTAAAACCACTATGGAGAACAGTTTGAAGGTTCCTCAAACATTAAAAAGAGAGCTACCATATGATCCAGCAATCCCACTGCTGGGTTTATACCCAAAAGAAAGGAAATCAGTGTATCTAAGAGATATCTGCACTTCTATGTTTGTTGCAGCACCGTTTACAATAGCTAAGATTTGGGAGCAATCCAAGTGTCCATCAGCAGATGAACTGATAAAGAAAATGTGGTACTTATACAAATGAAATATTATTCAGCCACAAAAAGAATGAGATACAGTCATTTGCAGCAACATGGATGGAACTGGAGATCATTATGTTAAGTGAAAGACGCCAGGCACAAAAAGACAAACATGGGATGGTCTCACTTATTTGTCGGATCTAAAAATCAAAACTATTGAACTCATGGATATAAACAGTAGAAGGATGGTTAGCAGAGGCTAGGAAAGGTAGTGAGGAGTTTGAGGGGAGGTGGGGATGGTTAATGGGTACAAAAAAGTTAGAAAAAATGAATAAGACCTACTATTTGATAGCACAATAGGTTAACTATAGTCAATAATAACTTAATTGTATATTTTTAAATAACTTAAATAATTTAATTAGATTATTTGTATCTCAACGCATAAGTGGTTGAGGGGATGGATACCCCATTTGCCATCATGTGCTTGTTTCACAATGCATGCCTATATGAAGACATTTCATGTGCCTGACAAATATATACACCTACTATGTACCCACAAAAAAATTTAAAAAAAATAAGAAATGAGGATACAAATACTATCTACCTCAAAGGATTATAGAAAACATAAAAATAAAATAACACATGTAACATAACTACATGAACTGGCACATGGTACATTTTATAGAAATGTGTTTTCTTTTTTTTTCTTTTAGAGATGAGATCGGGTCTCACTCTGTCACCCAAGCTGGAGTACAGTGGTGTGATCATGGCTCACTGCAGCCTCAAACTCCTGGGCACAGATGATCCTCCCACCTCAGGCTCCCAAGTAGCTAGGACTATAGGTACACCACTGTGACTGGCTAAATAAATGTTCTTATTATAATAATAACACAGAAGTGGTAGAAAGAGATGACAGGCAAAATATTAGGAGGTAGACAGCATCATGAGTAAACTCAATCAGACTTAGAGGAACAAAGACAGAAGGTTAGATTAATACTTTTTTTTTTTTTAGTTGTTACTTGTGTTTTGGTTGGGGGGTTTATTTTTAATTTTCAAGTGACTAGATAAATAGTCGAGGATATTGGAAGAGGCCTTTGGGAGGAGAGATGATGGGTTCAGTTTCAGAGTTATTAAATCTGAGATGCTTGATGACATCTGAATAGAAGTTACTATTACATATATATGGAAGTCAGGAGAAAAATTGAAATGGAGACACTTTGGAATTAATCAATGTAAAGCTGAACCCACATTGGCTTCGGATTATATCAACCTGGGAAAGTAGGTGGAACAGGAAGTAGAAAAAAAAGGGAAGTCCTGAGAAATGCCTGTATTCAGGGGTAAACAGATGGAAGAAGACATTCCCATAGAAGAGACAGAGATGGAGATGTAAGAAATGTAAAAGGAGGATAGTTTATAAAATGAGGGGGATAGTTTATAAAATGAGAGGCTTTTTATCTGTACCAAGAGTGGTAGATAGATCAGGTAAGAGAGAGTTAGAAAAGTATATTTCCCTCAGTGTCCCAGCTGGTGACAGCTGTGTTGGCCCCAATCTGTCAGTTTCCTGTGTCCTTATTTTCACTTAAATAGGCTACCTGGAAGATTCTAGGTTTCTAAAGAATCTCAACTTCACAGCTGACTCTGCCATATAAGTTATCCATTGTCTGTGAAAATCATGCATATTGAAGTAATCTTTTTATTAAGTTGCTCTCTTTGATGTTTTTATTATGTACAATTATGCAGAGCTCATTCTTCATCTCCTAAATCTTTAGACCATGTTGTATCCAAATGCATGTATAAAAACAACACAGTTGATACCGTACACTTCCAGTCAGAGAAGAAATGTAGAATTATTCACCAGTACTCAGTGTGTGTTCTCTCTAATGCCCTCCACAGATTGACAATAATCTCCACAATACTTATGGTTGGAGTATGGGAACTAGTTCAGTAGTGGCCTGGTTAAGTCAGCTCGAAGAATGGAGATAGATGATCTCTACATCCTGCCTAAACCTTTGTCTTCAGCTCTGTAAATCTCTTCTCTTTTCCTACTGAGTCTTAGACATACTCATGCGTTTATACTAAAATGTTAATACAAACTGATAATGTCACTTGAAGATAAAGTCCTTACCAGGGCACTCAAGTCCCTTCAGTTTCTGGTCCATGACCACTTTTCCAGGGCTGTGTCTTATCAAGTACAGAAACTTGGTTTCTGTTCCCTTGATGCCTTCTCATGCCTTTATACTTTTTCATGTGTTATTCCTTCTGCCTGAAATGTTCTTGACCCATTAACATGTAACAGCATGCACTAAAAACTTCATGTTTCTCACTTTTAATACATAATGTCACTTAATTCTGAGGACAGTCTTGAGGTTGAAGTATCACTATTCCCATTTTGTATATGATAAGTGAATCTTTTGAGAGAGAAAGTAAACTTCCCAAGATCACAGACAGATAGGGATATGAACACAGGCAGTCTGATCCCGAAGTCCATTATCTCAACCTGGACTCTGTTCCCTTTTCTCCCTCTAGTCTTAATAAGTTTTACCTGATCTTTGAGACTCAATTGTCCATTTTCAGGAGCTTGGGATCTTGTATGCTAAGTCTATTGTAGTTCTTATCACACTATGGTGTAATTGCTGAGTTACCAGTTTGTTAAAATAATATATTCTTCACCTCTTGAGAATAGAAACTGTGTCATTTATCTCCACATTCCTGTAAGGTGACTGGTTGTGCTTATATTACAAACAAAAAAGCTAAGTTTCAAAAGTTACATGAATTGCTCAAGATTACCTAGGCTGGAGTGAGACTAAAGCTGGGCCTTGAACCTGAGGCCTCTGACTCTAAAACTCATGTGCTTTCCCCTCCTTTACATTATGTTCTAGTACAATAACACAACAAAGTCATTTTAAAACAGGAAAATCCCTGTTTGGAAAAAAATATTCATGTAAGCAATACATATAAACATAATCTACCTAAAACCTTGAAAACACTAAGAGAGTACAAAGACCAAGTTGAAGACAAGCAAACTTAATAATCTCATTTTCCAGAGTCAAATACTGCAACATTATCAAAATTTGGACCATGTTATTAATTTGTTACTGTAACAGCCTGAAGTAAGAAGAGAAAGGCTACAATTGGACATGTCAGTACCCGTAAATAAATATTTTATTTCACAGATTCCTAATTTTTAAATGATTTTTAAAATTCTGAGCCCTCAAAAAGCATCTGAAAATAGGTAAGCTCAGTAAATCATTTAGCTGATGATAGCTTAGCACTCCTTACATGCAAGTTCTTGGCCCAAGTAGGTCAACATTTACATGTAACAATCATGCCTACTATATATATATATATATATATATCTCAGAAACTTTATGCACAACATTTGCCAAACATGAACTCTGTATTTATCCTTTATTAACCTATATAATTCAGAATTTTCTAGAAACCTTTTCTCTATGCATAATGGCATACAGAGCCTGCTTTGTGTCATCAGAGTACATGAGTAATTAGAACAGCTGGAACTTAACAATTATTCAAAAGTTACACAGTGCAGATTTTCAGTATAACTCGTACAAAGCAATCTCCTTAAATGGACTAAATCCAAACTATAGCTGTCGTTTTTATCATTTCCCAATACAGAAGCTTTTCTTTTGCTTGTTCGTAATGCTACACTTTTTGTTCAGCTGACTTTTTCTCCTTTATATCTACAGTGTTTGTAATAGAGAAGAGGGATATGTCTTATTTAAACTGGCTTGATTTTGTGGACATGGAATACTGTGACGTGGAGAGAGACTCAACTGCTTTTGATGATGATTCTTGTACAGACTGACATCATGACTTTTTACAAAAGAAAACAGAAGTAACAGATTAATTTGAGATAAAAATATATTCTAAATAGAAATATATTATAATATTTTTCTGAATCCGAACATCCTAGGCAATCGATGATATAGACATCCTCTGGTCTCTACAAATGTGATTTATTGTCACCATGCACATATCTAATCTGGCCTCAAGTATCATAATCAATTTTAGAATTGATATCTTGATACAAGCTACATTGACAATTAAAATCTGCAAGTCAAATTTTAAAGTCCTTACACTGAAAATTTTTCAATAAATTTATATTTCCTCAGATTCTAACTGGAAATATTTCTTAGATCAGTAAATACCCTGAGATGTCTGGATTCCATGTCTAAAAATTTTTCCTAGGAAAACTTTTAATTTTTTTCTGAATATTAGCTATGACTTTCAGATCCTACTTATGTAACAGAATTCATTCATTTTCCTCACCATACTTGCAAACACCACAGATCTCTGCCTAAGGGAAGTAAGAAAGTACATGAAACAGTCACCCTCATTTTGTTCCTGTAAAGAACTGGCAGACAAAAAGAGCCAAGGATTTGATGGTTGGGAATGTTTATGAGCCTCTGAAAAGTTCCAGACTTAAGGGATTTGAATACTGAGAACAAAATTCGAACGTATAAATCTTTACTCTTCTTCCTATTCTGCAGCTAATTTTAACCTCCAAAATGATTTTAGATGGGAAAAAGAAAGAGAAGATGAGGATGCTTCTAGTCCAAGAGATATCTATGATGCTTTCACAGAGGTGGACTAAATTAAGGCTTTGAGCTCACAGTATTCAGTTTCAGGGTATCTGGAATTATCTGTGTCATTTCTATTCCAGTAAAGTGAACAGTATCCCATGAGGAACACTTTACAATTCAAGAAAAGTATAGGATATATTATATGTTCATCTCTAAAGTCCTTTTGAGTTCTACTTTTTGATATTAAAATGTAGTGCTTCATAAAAAACTAAAAGATAATCCTATAATTGATACATTTAATTGTTACTAATTAAAAGATTCTACATTAAAAATAAGTAAAGCTAGTAAATAGACGAGAGAGTTTTTTTAAAGTAGTCATCTCACATTGAATATTTACTTAAAACTCTTTCAGGAGAAGGCATTTACCTGAAATGATACCACAGTAATGACTGTGAAGAGCTGACTTCTCTGTGACCTTTTCCTCCATGGACCTTTTCTGCCTATATACACGGTGTGGGTGACCTGTTATGGCCATTGTATCATTGAGTGGCTCAATAAATATGAAGTCCTCATTGAGCTGTATAAATCCCATCTGGAATATATAACACAAAAAGATATGTAAGAAATATCATTTGAAAAAATACTTTTAGATTCTTCCATTCATACATTCTGTTTTTGTTAACAAACATGCATACAGTCTTCTAGTGAAACTAACTTAGCAACCCCACTAGCAAGGTAACTATCTTCCCATTTTATTACTTCATCTTTATGTACTTTATTGCACTAACATAAACTTCATTTAGTTAGTCTTAATCCGTGTGGGTGGGAGGCTAGACGCCAGCAACAGATGCACAGTAAAAATTTTGGAATGTTAAAGGCTCACTTTGGGAGACCCATGGGGTCACTTAAATGTACAGCATGTACAGAAAGAGCAATACAGTTTTTAATTGCATACATGGCACAGTCCAAATTTTTGACAGTCATTATTTAATAAAGTAATTCATATAACATATTAAGACAAATGCAAGAGACAAATGCAAGAAGCATCAAATTAATATATAAAATATCCTTAAAGTCTTCTACTACGTATTTTAAAAGCCCTTGAAGAATAAGTTAGAGAAAAATGAAGCATTACTTACATAAACAAGTTTCATTTCACATAGTGACATGTTTTAAAAGTCATCCAATTGTGAGACAGAGGGTTGAAACTGTATAATACAGTTATGATCAATAAAAAGTACTTATAACAAGTAGGTATACTTGTAATATTTTGAGGCTAAGCCTAGTCATTTCTTCCTTTCCTTTTCTAGAATATAAATTTACATTATAACTAGGAAAGTATTCCACATGAAAGAACATGCTATGACTTGATCTTTTCCATTTTTAGTATTTAACTCTGTATAATTAATACATATAGATAGCATACATTCAACTATATTATCTCTTTAGCAAATAGTTTTGAATAAATCATATACTAAAACCTGTATTACTAATACCCAATCTGCTAATATCAAAGTTCTTAATTCTGTTTTGAATTATCAATATGAATTTTATGTATATTTCATTTCAATTTGATCCACTTATAAGTGGCACAATAATAATATAATTATTTTCTAAAGTGAAAATTAAACAAATACATATATCCTGAAGGAAATGCATGTTTTCTTTGGAAGTATAGCAGAATTTTTTTTAATTTGTTTGAATTATTAGTATTGCATCTTCCACTGCCAATATTCTACCTCATTGCATTCTGTACCAAATAAAGTAAATCGAGGGTAAATCTTAAAATCCTAATCAATCTCATTTTATTGAATGAGTTTTATCACTAAAAAATTATCAAGAACGAGAATAAGCAATTTTATCACCTCGATCTGTCCCCCTCCTCTCTCTCCCTTTCTTTCTCTCTCTGCCTCTATTGCTTTCCCTATGTCTCAATCTCTCTCTCTCTCTCTCTCTCTCGCTCTAGATCTCACTCTGGCTCTCGCACACACACACACACACACACACGTACACAGGCACACAAATATATTCAGGGGTAGGGATAATTAAGAAAGATTTACTCTAATGAACCTTTAAAATACTAGACACATATGTGGGCCAAATATTTGTATAATTTTAATATGCCTTCAAATAACTTCAAGTAAGTTCTTTCATTTTCCATACATATTTTACTTCTCTCAGTCTGAAACTAGCTTGAATTTTAAGGTAATTACATCAAATCCAGCAGTTTTTCCCTTGAGCTTAATTTAATGAGAAACAAGAAAATATTAAAGATAAAATTATTAAATAATAGCCATTAAAGATGTAGTACATCTACACATAAATTGAGAATAGGTGGTGTTGTGTTACACATTATTGATCTAGGCTAAAAATAAAGAAATATGTTATTCTTGTCTTATGGATTAGTGTAATTCTGAGAGTCATTAAGTTTTCAAGGTTGCCAATAAAATTGACAGTGAGGCTGATGATTAAAATAAGAATTATGCTGCTCAGCACAGCTCAGGCAAACATGCTCAGTTTCTGAAAATCATAAATTTGTGATTCTATACATCCTTTCAACCAGGTTATAAACATGGTTAGGTTTATAACAATAAACCTTATAAAATTTAATTGCACACTATCACATAAAATTTAATGACTCCAAGAAAAGATTCTGAACTGGGTTCATAACTTACTGCTAGCTGTGTAACTATGGGAAAGTTACAGCACCTTTATCCAAACCCCAACTTCATAGGGTTATTTGGAGGATAACTTTTTAAAAAATATATATATATTTTAAAAATACACATATCCTTCTAACTAATAAGTTAGAAGGAACAGAAAGCAATGCTCTTATCATGGGTAATGCTCTGATAATGGGTAACTAGTCAATAAATGTTTGCTGTTACTTTAATTTTAATAATAAGGACAATCATAATAAATATAAGCATCCAAACATTTGAGTACAGGCTGAAAAACTCACAAAGTCCAAAGGATCTAACTTTATTAAATTTTGTATCCCTGTTAGCAGGTAAATTAGTCTGAAATAAATTATATTGTTGTTTTGTTAGGATTTGGAAGCTTCTTCATTACATAACATTTTCTGTTGTATTAGAATTTTATCTACAGACACTTTTTGTTAAATGACGAGTTACTGGGTGCAGGACACCAACATGGCACACGTATACATATGTAACTAACCTGCACATTGTGCATATGTACCCTAAAACTTAAACTATAATAAAAAAAAAACAAGAAAGCTACTTTTAAAAACAAGAAAGCTACTTTTAAAAAGGAAAAAACAAGTTGGAATAATTATAAGTGGTGACTCATTCATTCAATACATGTTTATAGTCTGACCACTGTGTTCCAACTCAGTTCACTCTGGCATATTTAGCACCAAGAGTCATACCATGAACTTTCTTTCTGGGCCTAGAATACTATCCTATGGCACACAAAGTGCCCTAGCATGAATATGTGTCATTCAAGATACTGGCTCATATTAAAGCAGAATTATAGGAAATCTTGAGGTTTTCTGTGTCCCCGCAAAGGGCTCACTTCTTCCATTAACAAAATAAATTGTTTTATCTGCAATGTGATTTTACAAGCTATGAAAGAACATGAACCCATATTAACCTTTCTGCACAAGTGCCCCTGTGCTGGGCAATCCACAATTAGGCAGCCTTTGCTTTACTGCGAATATCGTCCTCTGAATTTTAGCAAGAAATAAGATTATATGAATTAATATGACACAATGCACTATCTAAAATAAATGCAGAGTATATAAGTGTTTTTCATATTTTCCTTTTTAAATTTTTCAAAATAATTTTAACTCGAGTCATTTCATGTAAATATCTGGATGTAAAATAAGGTTTAACAGTTGTTTTCTAATTTATTTCTATCTTCATAGGCATTTTCTTATATGATGACATCTGTTCTTTTGTCATTTAATGTTATTTGATTTCTCAATTTAGTAAGAATTTCCATATTTTGCAATTTAGCATTGCTTTTGTGAAAATAAGCTACCAGTCATTTCTTTTCTTACTGGTTGAAATTTCTTTTTCTCTATTTATGTGGCTCGGTGCTTTTTAAAATAACCATTAACTTTTATCTCCATGTAGATGTGCTGACACTAAAACCAACTTCTAATCAAAACATAAAATTTGATTTGGACAATGTACAGGGATGTTCATATATTGTTACTTTACCTCATTAATTATAAATGGTTCATTTATTCAAATTCAAGTTAACTATGGGCTATTAAATAGATAAACAGATCCTACAGCATATAAGAGCTAACTAAAAAGTTAGAAGGAACAGAAAGCAATATAACACTCTCCATTCTTTCCCCACTTCTATGGGGATGACTATTTCGCTTCAACTATCTCACTTCCAAATCACTGACATAACCAAAGTACTACTACAATTATCTGAAGTTTTCTCTTCATTCTTCCATGCTCATTTATTGCAATTTTCTTCATGTTCCTGAACCTCAGATTTTTAGATAAAGTTTCACTGAACTGGCTTAAGGTATGTTTTGAGGCTCAGTTGAACAAATACGTATTGAGAATTCATTAGGTACTTAATATTGTAACAGTCGTGATAAAATCCTATTTTTAAAAAACATGATCCAGCAATTCCACTTCTGGGTATATATTCAAAGGAAATGAAATCAGTATGTCAAAGAGAGATCTGCACCCTCATGTTTATTGCACCACTATTAACAACAGTCGATATGTGGAATCAACCTAAGTGTCCATTAACAGATGAATGGATTAAAAAATGGTGTGTGTGTGTGTGTGTGTGTGTGTGTGTGTCTGTGTGTGTGTAGACAGAATACTACTCAGACTTAATAAGGAAAATCCTGTCATTTGTGACAACATGGATGAATGTGAAGGGCATTATATTAAGTAGAATAAGCAAGGTACAGAAAGACAAATACTGCACAATCTCACATGTAAAATCTAAAAAAGTCAGACTGATAGAAGCAGAGAGTAGAATGGTGGTCAGCAGAAGGAGAGAAAGGGAGTTTGGGAAGATGTTGGTTAAAGGATCCAAAATTTCAGTTAGACAAGAGGAATAACTTCAAGAGATTTACTGCACGACATGGTGACTGTAATTAAAAATGATGCATTGTATATTTGAAAATTGTCAAGAGAGTAGATTTTAAATGTGGTCATCACAAAAAACTGATAAGTATGTGAGATAACAGACACATTAATTGATTTAATCTTTGCACAGTGTATACATATATCAAAACATTTTGCACACCAAAAATATGTGCATTTGTGATGTATGTATTTGTAATTTTTGTCATTTAAAGTAATTTAAAAATATATAGCATATCATAATAACTAAATGTCCTAAGTGCTCATGGACATGTGAAAGGTGATAGATCATTATAAATTTAAGATCTGAGAAAGGTCCTGAGAGACAGCAGGATTTGCATAAGACAAGTGCAAGGATGCTCCTTATAGAGGAGGCATTATGAGTGGGGGCAAATAGGATGGAGAGTCTAGGCAACAGGTGGAAGATGTCTGGTTTGAGCAAAGAAATGGGAAAATATAGCCAGAAAATAAAATAAACTCATATAATTGAAAAAATATGACAATGTTCTTGATAGGACAAGGAAAGCCAATGTCTTGAATATTGAATATCTTAGGATATAAGTCTATTGTCCCAATATAAAGTACATCCGAGAATTAGCGAGACACTCGAAGAAGCAGAAGTGTTTCGGTTGTAAACAGTGGTAAGAGAAGTTGCTTAAAGGCTTTAGAATCAGTATATGCTTGTAAAAACATGTTAGACAAATGTCTGATGCAGTACATGATCTGAACTTCTATGTAAGGTTCTTTTTTTTTTGAGATGGAGTGTCACTCTGTCACCCAGGCTGGAGTGCAATGGCATGATCTTGGCTCACTGGAACCTCCGCCTCCTGGGTTCTCGTGATTCTCCTGCCTCAGCCTCCCTAGTAGTTGGGATCACAGGCACCCACTACCACCCACATATTTTTAGTAGAGATGGAGTTTCTCCATGTTGGCCAGGCTGGTCTTGAACTCCTGACCTCAGGTGATCCGCATGCCTCAGCCTCCCAAAGTACTGGGACCACAGGCGTGAGCCATGGCACCCAGCCTGGCTTTATTTTCTTAAGTATTTTCTCATAAGGTTATAGTTTATTAATATATCTCATTATAAAGCATTATATAGTTCAAAGTGTAGGCATGACATATGGCTTGGCATAAATTATAATACCTCATGTTTTTCTTATGATATATTCAAATAAAATATCATTTCAGTATTACTGTAAATGGGAGTGATTTGTCATGCATTTGTGTATTCTATATCTACATATAAATCTGTATAAAACTACACTTCTGACACCATATCTATCCTATTGTCTTATCATCTTAAAACACTCTTCCTGATGATCCTTTCAATGTTTCCACAGTATGCTCAGAAAGATAAAATCCTTCATGAAGGTATACGAGGCCTATAAGGCTATGAGAATTGTATTGTCTGCCTCTCCAGTTTTACTTTTACTACTCAAACTTCATATATAACAATAACAGACAAGCTTTTACTATGTGAACAAACACATTTCAAAATAACCTTTAGTTGCATGATTACATCTTGGCATATTGCACATACTGCCTTCTCTTTCCAGAATGCCATTGTGCCTGTGAAGAGCTATCAATTCTTCAAAATCAAGCAGACCCTGTCCTTTCTCCAAAGTAACCACTGCCTTCCCTCTCTAATTCTACACCAGACATTTTCTGTTGTTGCACTAATATGTCTACTGTGGTTATAGTTTCATGTCTTTCTGATTAGACCATGAGCTACTTGAGGCTTTGGAATAGTGCTCATCTTCATGCCTTCAATACATAAGGTCTAATATATAACAGGTGCTCAAATGTAGTCTTCCTTCTTGAGATAACAGAAAATGTATCCATCACTGCTCTGAAGAGCAGGTATTCACTCCACCTGTGATTTCATAAGAGGAAATTAGAATTTTATTTCTTCCACTGGGCATTTCCAATGTTGGCTTCCTTGTGTGCCCAAGTTGTATCTTTAGGAAAACTTTTCAGATGATCACATTGTTAACCTCATTCCATTTTCTTTCCTAGCCAAAGGGCTCCAAAGAGAATCATAAAACTCCAATGATAGAAGGAAAGTTAGAAATCATCTGAGCATTACAGGAGTTTTAAAATAACGAAAATCAATCCTTAGAAATATTGCGTGGCTTGCCTAAAATTATACAGAGAGTTAATGTGAATGTCAGGCCTAGAGTGTAGGCTTCCCAATTTCCATGTTAATTTTTGGTTTTGACACATCACGCTATCTTTGCTTGCTACTTACACTCTACTTAAATTTTTACTTACATTCTAGTCCCCACCCCCAAATCACCAAACTTCAGAAATTTTTCTGAGGTTGCTCACAATTTCCTTTTTTATTCCCCTCTCTGCGGCATTTGATCCTTGCCCACTTTTCTCCTCCTTGAATTTCCACTGCCCTGGTCCTTTTCGTTTCTAGAAACTATTTCTGTTCCCTTAAACAGGTCATGTTTCTCATCCCAAGGCTGGTTTTTGATCAGCAATTGTTCTCTGCATCTATCACACTCAATGGTTTTATAACCTCCTTTATGGAGATGATTCCCCAACCCCCTCACTCATAGTCCACCGCCACCCTTCAAGATTAACTCTCCTCTCTCACTTCCCTTGTTTCACTTCAGTCATATCATTATTCTTTCCAAACTAGTGCCACCTCTCAAAGTTTGTATATCTGTTTATGGCTGTACCTTTTTTTAGTTACCCAAGCTAAAAATTATATGGACCTTTACTCTTTTTCAAGCCTATTTAAAACTATTTATAAGAAAACAATAATATAATAATAGGCCTGTTTACAAGGCATTTTATATGCATTATTTCATTTAATCTATAAATAAAGCCTTGGACACACGCTAATTTCATCCATTTTATAATTGAAAAAAAATAAGTCAGCTTCAAAAAGATTTATTATCTCCTAAGATCACAAATCAGTATGTAGTAAAGACAGGATTCAAATGAAAGGCTGTCTGGTTTCAAGCACATACTGCCTTTGTGAAACTTTCTGCAAAAGGGTAGGCCTGCCATATAAGTGTTATTTCAAAAAAAAATCCTCATCTTTAAAAAATTGTACACTAAGGGTTTGGACGTCAAGCATAACACCTCACAGATGGTAGCTATCCAAAATTTGATATCAATAGCCAGGCCAGGCCCCATCCCTCCCAAAGCAAAAGACAAAAATAGTACATTAAGGCTCTGAACTTTATCTTGAGCTGACTGTTCTATATGATCAGACTTCTTGGCTGCCAAAGGCACACTGGCTTTCTAAGTGGACTGAGTTTTCACCTCCAGGCTTCCTTCAGTGGTGGATGCCCCAACAATTCTCCCATGGCAGACTTGGTAGAATATTTCAAGGTTTTTGTTTTTCCTTTTCCTTTCTTTTAATTCTCTTTTCTATTTTCTTTCCTACAATCTTTTCTGATCATACAACCAGAATTTAAACGTAGTGGAACATAAAAATATGGTTTAAAAAATTCTTCTAAATCCTATCATACAGGATAATTACATATGAATGTATGTATATACTTCTAGTCAATTTAAATACACATATATATTTGTATTGTATATGTATCTGTGTGTGGGCATACGTTTGCATGTACACACAGGCATAGATATATTTTAGAATTTTATATTCTACTTTGTCCCATTTAAGAAAAGCTTGTTTCTTAATAGCATTATGCGATCTTTGTGTGTTTTTTAATTGCCAAATAATAGTTTATCCTCTAAATATATCATAATTTTATTACTTATTTTTTCATCCAACTCTTTATTCAATAAATGCTTATTAGTATCAACTTTGTACAGTTAGAGCTCAGGGAACAGTAGTGAACAAGGTGGTCAAGGCCCATCATCAACTTACACTCTAGGAAAGAAAATGATGCACCATTTATCCAGCTGGGTCAAAAAGATCTATATTTGCTTCATAATCTGTTGCTAAGCTTTATGTTGATTACTTGTAATCTTATTTCTGTCTGTGTTCTATTTTGCAATTAAAACAAAGATGAAAATATAGCCAGAAAGTATCCCAACAGATACCCAAAGACTAAGGCAGGCGTTGCAAGTGACTACCTGAGAAGATGAATTCACCATCCTCACAGGAAAAGACTGAGATCCCCAGAGACTGAGGAGCATCTCTGAAGAAAAGAGTCTCCCAAGAAGCCACAAATGTGACCCATGAAAGACTCTCCATTTAAAGCACTTGGCAAATGCGGAGCTCAGCAATAATATCCCAAAATGCCATCTGTCACCTAAGAACCTGCCCCTCCTTCTGGGTGTCCGTTAACAGTTCCAATGCTAGAGGAGCCAGAGAAAGCCCAGTGCACTGAATAGGAGGACTGAAAGTCATAGGTGCAGAAATGACAAGGACTCTGACTTCATTCTCCCTTTTTCACTGGATGTAATTTCTTCTAAGAAAGCCTGAATGCGGAGGGCATGTGGCTGATTCATTTTAACTTTATGTGAATTTTGACAGTTTGATGATTATATAATAAATACTTGAAAGATTAAATCCAGAATTTTGTGACTAAATTTACCAGAAGTCTTCTCAGAACCTACAAATAAACAACAGAGATAAAACTAGGAGGGGCGGGCAAGAGTTTTATTATGACCCTTGAGTCTTATTTACTTAATGAAAAGCTATACATGTATAATATGAATTCAAGTAGTGCCAAGTACTAGGAATGGGTTACAGAGTGATGTAGAAATGGCCTTTTAAATGAGGGGACCTCAGAGAAGAGACTTCATGTATGGGAAGTGGGAATGTGAAATGGTTATCAGAAAGAAACCCAGGGGCATTCCATAGCAGATTCACTTACTAGATTCATATTCAAAAACAATCCCTGATGAATGTCCCCTTTGTTTTTTAAACCATCTATATTTTCTTGGACACTGCTTACAAATTTTATCATGGTGTGCTTCATGAGGGCTTCTTGTGGTATATCTTTCAACACAGTCATATTTTACTTACATAATTACACAGGAACAAGTTCACTCCTACAAATGAAAAATATATGGCTGCTCTTCATTTTCTTGTAAACTGCTGGCCTTTTCTATCTTTTCCTTTGACATTTAATAGAGATAGAGATTTTAAAAGATTCAAAATGTGCCTTTTCAACTCTATCATATACAACATCACAAGTATGAGAATAAATAGAAGCTACTCTTTGGCCTCTGTGGTGAAGAAGTAAAAAGGAAGTGGTGAAGACTGGTCAAGTGGAAAATGAGTGCCCCATCCTCACATTTAGATATTCAAAATGACTGCTTTAGTTGTTGTTGCTCTTGTTCTGATAGTTATCTCATTTCTCATTGTATATTCTAATTTTTGCTCAATATCAACAGAAGCTATTTTCATATACTTTCTTGTATCCATTCACCTTACTGTAATCTTGTTACATGTAATAATTTGTAATTATTATTTTGGGCTATCTATGAATTCTTTAAATAGAGAAATAACATGTTAAATATAGGGAGCGAATTTATTTTAAAATCTACTTCTTAGTTGTTTACCAGTCTAGCCCAAATCTATTATGTTCCATTGTAACTTCCTGATGATTATTTAATGTTCATTATAAATATACCTATTAAATACCTGCCATGCAGCAGTAGGCAAGTAATTGAGGATTCAAAGATGAAAACAGAATGACCCCTGTCTTCATGGACTTTGTATATTTAGTGGGGATGATGAGGGAAGGACAGACAAAAATCAGGTATTCAGAAAAATACACTTAAGAAATTCTAAATTGTAAAAAGCAGTATTAAAGAAACAAAGAAAGATCAAAAAAAAAAAAAAATAGAGTGAATGCTAGAGAAGCCAGAAAGGGTAGCTCAATAACTAAGGAGATGGCATTTGAAGCAATAACTAAAGTGAAAGAAGGAGCCTGCCATATGAAAACGAACTTAAATTGGGAAAAGATGGTGTCCCAGGTGAGCGATGCCATAAACCAAGGCTGTAATTCTGGAAGATATGTGGGAGAAACTCAACAAATGTACTTTATGTTCACAAAGGTGTACACTTCTAATTATCATTTATAACAACATGTTTGTGTCCCATGTGTATATGTCACAGCAAAACATATTTCAAAAAGTAACAAATAAAGAATAAGTAATATAGCTATAATACTTAGTACCAGAAGAAACAGGATTGCTTTTATAAAGCTTTCATTTTTCAAAATGAAAAATAAAGAATAAATATAGCTAGAATACTTAGTACCACAAGAAATGGTATTGCTCCTGTAGGGCAGAAGTCAAAGATGGGGAGAAGGGGCAGGATATTTTCTTTCTTATAGTAAGCATTAGCTTTGTAAATGATGTACATATGACTTAGATTAATTTAAAAGAAAGATTGAAATGGAGAGACACAAGACTTGTTGGGAGGCTACTACAGTAATTAAAGCAATAAATAATGGTGTCATTAGTGTAAAGTCTATTAGGAAAACCTACATACAAGCCAAACTCAGTTAAAAACTGACAGGTGGTGTGGAGACTGAGGCAGTGATAGGAGTCATACATAAACAATGATGGCAGCAAAAACAGAGCAGACAGGTTGGCAGGACATGATTCATGTAGAGCTCTCAAGACCCTAAGCCATTTAGATTTTATTTGAAGTGTAATTGGAAGCAAATGATGGTGGATGGCATGATCTAATGTAAATCTGAAGAAAACCATTCTTGCTTTTTTTCAGAAAACAGATTCTAGGGTGACCAAAAGTAGAATGAGGGAGGCCAGTTTGAAGTCAGTTCCAATAATCCAGGTGCAAGATCACAGTGGCTAGGCTAAGGAGGCAACACAGGGTGACTGGACTAAGGATGTGGAAAAAAGTAAACAGATCTGACATTTATTTTGGATTCTCACCCAAACCAGATGGCAATCATCCAAATGCATTAATGGTGTGATATTGGGACATGGGGGAACAGTGGCACAGAAGAATTGAGGATTACTCCAAAGTTTCTAGCTTTAGTACTTAAGAAGGAAGAGACAGCTGCCTGTAATTGAGATATAAAAGTCAAATCATGGAGCTGAAACAGATTTTAGGGATAGAGAATCAAAGTTTCTGATGAGCACTTATCAGCTCTGATATATTTGTGAGACATCCAAAGGGAAAAGTCAAGTAGTTGGAGAATGAAGCTTAGTGGATAGTTTTATGCTAGAGACATCTATCTGGCAGTTGCCAAAATAATGATCATTTTTCAGTCCCTAAGACTGAATGATATTATTCAGTAAAAGAGGATAGAGAAAGAACAGAACAGGGCCTAAGATCAATCCCTGAGGACCCTAACACTGGGAAGAAGAGAAAGAAAAAGCAAAGGAGATTGTGGAGGAAGGGCTAGTGAGGTTAAAGAAAAAGTGAAAGCTTGTATAAGGTTGATTTTTTTTTCAAAAAACAAAATCAGAATTAATGCCTTCTCAGTTTGGCTTTGAAGAAAAGAAAAGAGTAAGCTCTCCTTTAGTTCACTCGGAGGAAGCTCCTGCCCGTGTCTAACCCACATTGCTCAGGCTTAAAATTTTAGTAGTGCTATGCAAGATGATCAAACACATGTGTTCATGCTGTTGTTAAATTCAATAGCAAGAGCTGAGCAAAGAAACATTTCCATGTCTTCATCCATCAGGATTCTCCAAAGTCATAACAACGTGGCTTCTTTTTGTTGCAAAAGAGAAAATTTTACATGTTCCATATTGTTGAGTTAAGAGAAGAATTTAAATCTATTAACTAACTTTGACCTATATTATTTCTTAACCAGAAAGGTGGCTTCCAAATCGCCACCCACCCTAGCACTTAATGAGTTGGTGTGTATTCAATTGTACACCTAGTTGTTAAAGGGTTAGTCACTCAGTGATTTTTTGGAGCCATTCACCATGGTGATGAGCCTTTGCAGCACTTATCTCATGCAATTCCAGCCTAGTTATGTGCTTTAAGTAGAAGAGAATGAGACCACTGAGAAAGCTGCACAGCTGTGATTTGGGGAAGCACTCATCACTGCCAGGTCTTACTGGTGACCTCACAATTGACAGAGATGTTGCCAACCTCCTACATACCCCTAGAGAGTAGATGCAAATTCATTTTACCATGGAAACAAGATTAGTGGAGCAAACTACTCAAGGACCATAGCACTGGTAGTCAGAGAAATGGAAAATCTGCTGCAACTTATTTTCATGATTCAATTAAAGGTCAAATGAATACAATAATGTATTCAACAATATTTACTGAGTGTATACTCTGTGTTAATGTTCCAGATGCAGGAAATATAGCAATGTGCAAAACAGTCATTTTAATACAGGCTGACAATCTTAAATATCTTTACAGTAATTAAGAAATTTACTTATTATGGATTTCATGTCCTCGTTACCACTTGCACCATCAGCAAAATGTGGTGATGGTGTTGTGTTTTTCCCCCACTTAGAACCCTTGGATAATTCTCCCCAATTCCCATTCTAAATGACATAAATAAAACCCAAGAAATTATAATTATGTGCCCCCCCTTAAAAGGAACAATGTACTTTGTACCAACAAAATTCTTTCTTTCATGGCCTGTTTCCCAATCATGACATTCCCAAATACAAATGTAGCTATGAAAGGAGAACTTAAAGAACACATTTGACCTTTTTTTCTTCCCAGCCTTTCCATACTCTCCCTTTTATACATATCCCACCAGTGAGAACAGAGGCTAAAAATCTATTGTAATCTCTTGCTGATTTATCAGAGGCTGCTATAGGAGATCATACACCTAAAGAGCTGATATAATATGGTATAAACCCTGAATCAATCCCAAAACACTCTGTGTATACCAGGCCACGTCAAGACTATTATGTCCATGCATGACCATGCATCACGTTTTAAGAAAGACAATTATAAACAGAAGAACATCAAAAGAAATTAGGGGTAAGTTGGTTCCAAATTCAACCCAAAGAAGGAACCATTCATCAATGTTACTGATAAATATTTAAAATTCTGTTTACTCCTTTCAGTCACCAGTAGAGTAATCACTACTCTGAGGCAATTCAACTCTCTACTAGACAGTGGTGACTATCCATTAAAGTTTTTATAAAAGGTCCAGAATGCTTCCTCACCATAACTATATACCCTGAGTTCTGATTCTGTATCTTAAGCACCTTTTTCTGCTTCAAATATATGACAAATATTCTCATGGTCCCGTTAGTATAACCATTTGTGATATGAGATGGGCTTATTGTCCTTCTTCATTCGTATTTTTCTTGGATGTTCTGTAGCGTATGAATGCTTTTCTTAGATTCAATTTCCTTTGATTCTAAATTAGGGCAATGAATGTTGAATGAAAAATGTCTCTGGAATGAAGAATGCGTTGAAATAAGAGACTATAAGCATGCCTTTAGGAGCCTGGTGCAGACTGGCACAGGATAACAAAATGGAAAGTGTTTTAATTTATTGTCTTTAATCATCCTTTATTAGGGAATTCCTCAAACCTTCAGAAATGTACAATAATAGAGTGCTCACATATCCACCCTCAGTATTTAACAAATATTAATAATTATTTGCTACAGATCTTTAAAAAAAATAAAAAACAATTTATTGATTCAGTTGAAGTGGACCCTATACAACTTCCCAAAGCCAATTATCTTTCTTATGGCTCAAAAGTAATTACTACACAGAAGATGGTGGTATTTTTTGCACCCATGGTTTTTTACTCTCACTACATATGCTTTGCCAAATGTTGCAATGAAAATGACTGGACTTATTTAAGAGTTCCCTCTGGTCAGTATCAAGATAAACTCTGAAGGTAGAACAAAAAGAATGAACCGATGTTTGGATGTGTAATTTGAAAGAAAGAAGAATTCACAATATGAGGATCACAATATAATTTTGGCCCATGTCAATATGGCCATCGATAATATAGAGAATAATGCGGGGAAAGCAGAATTGGAGATTGCAGGGGAAGAAGAGACCAATTCAGTTAAGAACATGTTAAACTTGGTGTGTCTATTAGATTTCATATTTAAATTTCATCTAGGTAGCTGGAAATACAATCACAGAGTTAAACAAAGAGGTCTGAACTAGAGTTATATGTTTTGAAGTCATTGGCAGATAGTTGGCATTCAGGCCATGAGACTGGATTAGATTACCAAGTGACTGTAGACAGAGAAGAAAAGAAGGCCTAAGACTGAGCACTAGTACATGCCAGTGTAAAGGATACACAGAGAAAACTAATAATCAATAAAACAATCTAAAAGGGAGGAGTCAGACATGTGGTGTCCAGGATGGCCAATGACAAAAACATGTATCAAGAACCAAGGCATGATCAGCTACTTCCAGTGTTACTGATGATAAGCTAAGCACTGAAAATCAGTAGCCCCACAGGAATACTTTTCCCCAGCAGCTCCATAGCCTCTATCCTTCATAATTAAGTATTTTGAAATATAGATATTTCTCTGTTTATAATTCAAATGAAAAAAGTAAATATAACTACCATTCCATTATTTATTTCATTAATACTAAAAGCAATATAATTTTTATGGAAGATGGGGAAAATATCCAACTTCAAAATTCATCATGCATACATACGGACTTTATAATTTTAATATTAATGGATAGAAGTTTTGTAATTTGAAAGGAAAATGAAATATAAAAAATAAAATATTTGAGAGCAATCCACCAAGAACAAACAGAAATGTAACTAGGGTGTGATTCTTATGAAATAGACAATATGTGAGTAATAGTCATCTCTGTCTTCCATCTTGGTTGTCATAAAGAATGAGTTCATCCATCCAAAGCTTTATTTAAACTAATGGTAGAACTTCTCTAGTATCCTTGCAAGTTTTAACTGCTATATGCAGCCAAGACGTTAAAAATATTTTTGATACTGATTTCTTCATTGAAGGAATTAATAACTATTCATAAATTATTTTTAGCATTTGTTAACAGAATTAGAAACATTAATGTTCTTATCTAAGAGACTGACTGAAATTATTGAACAGGTAGAGTCAAAGACAGAATCATGATGCTTCCTAGCAATCTCTTTCATAGTTGAGATTAAATCTTCATTAAATAGCTAGAAATCTACCAAATACTCTCATCCTATGTGATTAAACAGTTACTTTTTTAAAAAATTACAAAGCATCTTAGTTGAAAGTTATTCAAAATACTGAAAGGGGAATTAACAGATGAAATGCAAAATGAATTGAGAAAACATTTGGTATACATATGATTATAGCACACCTGTAGTAGCCAAATGAGTAAATGATATATATAATTCACAAAAAAATAAAAACAAGTAGAGAAACGGGCGTGGAATCATGATCATTCTTGGCCAGCAATTAAAAGAATGTAAATTCTAACAATCAGGCACAATTTCAATGTTTCAAATAGCAATTAAAAATAGCACATAAAATTATAACATATAGTTGATAAAAATGAAGTGAACCTGGGACCTTCAAACTTCACTGATGACTCATTAAATCAGTGCCCTCTGGGAAATCCTTGAAGAACCATGTTACTTACCACTCTGGGTTCACAAATTACACTTCTTGTAATTTATTCTTGGGTTAAATTCAAAATTAGACCTCCTTTGTTTGTTTTATGAAATTCAACAGTATAAAAGTATTACAGAAAAATATATAGAGAAGATCTGATTATGAGTTTGGAGTAGGGAAGTTCTTCTTAAAGAAGCACATAAAGCAGCAACTATATAGTGTAATATTCACTTTTCATAATTTTAAACAGAAACTATCTCAACATCCACAATTAAGAAAATGGTAAACTCTATTATGGCATGTTCGGGAAAAACACATTATATAGTCTAAATCTGGCTTTACTGAAGTTTATGTGGCAATACTGCGAAATGTGTGTGATAAGTTTCTTTAAAAATGGGAAAAGTTATATACACTATGATTTGAATTTATTTTAAAATAATACAGTCACAGGAAAACAGACTGGTATTTAAAGCAGTATAGCAAAATTCAAATAGTGATTATAGGTAATGAAAACATAAGCAAGTCCCTCTTTTTTTTCAAATTTATTATGTGGTGTGGTTACACTATTTTCATTACATACACACATACACGCACACATACATACATATATACACATACACACACACACACACACACACACACTGACCTTTAATTATACAAGCAATACATCAGTACTCTCTGTCAAAATGGTTTTTCAAATTTATCAGTAAGTTTAATAATCTCTTTGACCACCAGTCTCAATCTTAGACCCCTCCACTTATGATACAGTTTGGATCTGTGTCTCCACCCAAATCTCACCTTGAATTGTTATCCCCAGTGTTGGAGGTGGTGAGAGGCAACTGGATCATGGGGTCAGATTTCTCGTGCATGGTTTAGTACCCTCCCCTTGATACTGTTCTCACAATAATGAATGAGTTCTCAGGAGATCTGCCGCACATTTAAAAGTGTGTGGCACCTCCCCCATATCTCTTCTTGCTCCTGCTTTCGCCATGTGAGATGCATGCTGCCCTTCACCTTCTGCCATGATTGTAAGTTTCCTGAGACCTCCACAGAAGCAGATATTGCTAAGTTTCCTATACAGCCTGCAGAACCATAAGCCAATTAAACCTCTTTATAAATTACCTGGTCTCAGGTATTTCTTTACAGCAATGGAAGAACAGACGAATACAACTTATCTCCAAAAGTAATCATTATTATCAATTTGATGTGATTTCTTCCAGGCATGTTTATATCTTTATGCATACACATATAGGTACCCACAAGAAAATGCAAATATTGTGAGTTTTTTTAAATAATAATTAAGTAACATAATCTATGTATCACTCTGTAATTTGCTTTTTATTGAACCTCAGCAATACAAAAGTATTAAAAGAGAATAGTAGAGTGAGATTTGATTATGACTTTGGAGAAGAAAAACCTTCTTAAGGAATGCCAAAATGTGACAATCATATTGGATAGTGTTATCAAATTTGACCACATTAAAATGTAAAACTGTTTCATGACAAAACAGTCATAAATTTGGCAGACAGGAAGAAAATATGTACAATATATAACAAAGAAATATATTTGTAAAATAATTCTGATATACAAAGTTAATCGAGTAGAAGGATTCCAAATTAAATGATAGGAAATTCACAATAGAAGAAACCCTAATGGCTGATGACATGAAAAGATGGTCAACCTGACCAATAAGCAAGGAAATTAAAATGGAAACAATAACAGAATGCTTTTCACAGTCATCTACTTGGAAATAAAATGTAAAATTAGACAATTAATTAGAGGTAATTAGAAAAACAGGTACTCCGAAACATTATCAGTGGCATAAAGTGATAAAAACACTCAGGAGTGGCCCGGCCTGGTGGCTCACGCCTGTAATCTCAGCACTTTGGGATGCGGAGGTGAGTGGATCACAAGGTCAGGAGATCGAGACCATCCTGGCTGACATGGTGAAACCCTGTCTCTACTAAAAATACAAAAAAATTAGGTGGGCGTGGTGGTGGGCACCCGTAGTCCCAGCTACTTGGGAGGCTGAGGCAGAAGAATGGCGTGAACCTGGGAGGTGGAGCTTGCAGTGAGCTGAGATCGTGCCACACCACTGCACTCCAGCCTGGGCAACAGAGCGAGACTCCATCTCAGAAAAAACACTGAGGGGCAATTCCACATTATCTCTAACAACAATATATGTTTATTCATCAGCTTGGCAGTTTCACTGAAAATATTTGCACAAATGCGAAAGAGAACGAGGGAGTACAAAATTGGCAGTGCAAACTGTATCTCATAATTTACCAAAAAAAAAATCGAAAAACAACCTAAGCGACCTCTGACTGTGGCATTTTAATGAAGTCGTTATAAAATACCTGTTTTACAAAGATAACTGAGAGCAGTTCAGTGTTTACTCTGCAAATTCTCTTAGTAATCTGGGATAAACTGACACATCTGCACCAGAAAATGGGCTTATTTGAAGACTTAGGGTCTCTTGTCTCATTATTTACCTAGACTTTACTTTCCTTTGGCCAGTATTTATTCTATATTTCACAAGCAGGATAGTAGATGTATCAACTGAAAATAATTCTATATACCTTTGATTTTATTTGGTTCCTAGAAACAAATAGGAATTAGAGAGCTTTAGTTGCCTTTTATCACAATATTACAAATTAATTCTTATCTTATAATGTACTTAGCACAGCCCCTAGCAGGCTACCAATGCATATTCTTTTCTCACTTCTGTTTCCTACACATTCTTCTGATGTTTTGAAAAGCCACATAGGAAATTGGAGGTTATAGGAAAACAAGCCAATCAACCCATCATCTCATGGGTGTGCATTTTACAGTTGATCACTTGGCCATGGGAAGTTACTATATCACTTATCTGTAAGAGAATGGGGAAGCATTAGAGTCCTGTTAGAAATCAGTTCCTGGATGGCTTTTCAGCACTTAAAATTTGAAAAGAATTTTGGGAGGAGAACTGTAGTGACAAAACTTCATTCAACTGCTCAGCCAACCAACAGACATTTCCTGGAATGCCGGGAGTAATTCATTTCATACATTTTCTTTCAGATCTGCCTGAAAAATTAATGTACAAATTGCCCATGAGTACAATATTACTTGGGTTAATTAAATTTACTATTCTGCATTAATTTAATTAATTCCAAAGTACCTAATAGGTAGCATTTTGAAAGTTCAGAAAATTATTTAATGCATGGAAGGAAACATTTTCTATCTCTACTTCTCATTTTCATTTTAATTAACAAATATGTTTACAGGATTTGCAATGATGCCAGATACTGTTCTAAGTATCTTACTGATTCTTAATAGGAATAAACTGAAGCACTGGGAGGTTAAGCAAATTGCTTAAGGTTACATAGCAAGTTACTTGAGGAGCTTGGATTTGAAACTGCACACTCTGGCTGCTGAGCCCACACTCTTAATTTAAGAGAGCCCAGAGTACTCCAAAAGTAAACTTTTTTGCTCTGGCCTTTCATTTTCACACATTAATGTCTAAGTCTTTTTCCCCCTCAAACTTACTAATAGTAATGAACATTTTAAAAAATTGTTCAGTTTTAGCTATATGTAAAATGTACTTTTCCTAATTGGCAGTTTTTTGTTTTGTTTTGTTTGTAGGTTGTAGCATACAAATTTTGTTTTACTGTAGGTCAAATATTCATATATCAAGAATTTCATACAATTCAACTTAACCAGAGGAAACCTTATGCATAAAGGGAAAGGAAGAAGATGTGGCACTGGAAGACCAAACTCAGTATTTATTCTGTCACATGGGACCTGTATGTCTTTAAAGCAATAATATAACCACATTGGTCTTTATTTTTCTTATTGTTAACATGGGACTACTAAGACTTGTTGATCACTGCTATCTGAAAAATAAATAGTTTAATCTATAAAAAGTTCTCATCAACTATTATGTACAAAACACATACTATCTACTATTATCCCAAAGAACAGTGCCAAAGCCCTAATTACAAAAGATGGACACTTCTAAAACATTTACACAACTGATGATATGATTCCTAGTTCCTAGAAAATATAAAAACAAGCAATCTCAGGAAATTATAGCTAAATTGTTCACGCACCTAGAAAACTAAGAGCCAACTGTTCTTATTCTCATAAAAGATAAGATGGAAGATTTCAAATTATTAAGAAAGGAAAGGTTAAGTGTCTGCAGTTCTGTTTGAAAACTGAAGCCAATTGGGCCAATATATTTTTGAACAACATCAGCATCCCAACGTATGCTAAGATGAGATCACCTTAGGGACCATAAGGACCTTATGGACTAGCATGTTCCTATCAAGTGACAGATAAATACAAAAAACAGTGTAGAAAGTAGAAATTCCAAGTAACCCTTTTCTTCAGTAGTCATTATTTTCCTTTCACTTCCACCATGTCATTTTTCAGGTAATAATCTTTAAGATAAAAAGTGCCACAAATTGTTATAATCAAATGTATAAATCACATTTTACTTTTCATAATGGGCACTCAAGAAATGTGGGCCTTTGATGACAATGACTTCAGAATTATTTTCTATTGGCTTGGGTAGTAAACTGAGACTATAAAATACAGCTAAATAAGCTCAATTGTAACATTAAAAACCTGATCTTTACAGATCACTGAAGCTTTGTGGCATTTAAAAATATATTCTATACTTAGATTAATTTTCTTAAACACCACTCAACAATTTGAAAAAACCAAATTACTTTGTTTTTCAGCCTGAGGACCTGGGCTGATGTGTCGGCAAATATAAATGGGTGTGAGTGGTCTGTGTAAAGTTTAGTCAAGAAAAAGGTAACAATAAGACTGAAATTAAAGTGACTCTTTCCTATCTTACAAATAACAGCTTTTTGTTCGTGAAATGAAATGACATATGTGAACAATTTGTACAACTATAAATCTCTATAGAAAGTACATTATTTACAAGTACAAATTTACACTATTCTTGTTCTATCTCACAAAGCCCTGCACAAGTACTTTATCTCTGAATAATTAATATTTTCAATTCAACATAAAATCTCGGTGTATTTTCTTTGCTGTGAGTATTTATAGGGTCTCTTACACAAAAGAAGTAAAACCAGAGAGATAAAATCGTACCACACACACAATACAGAGTTACAACGTTACTTTCTTTTGATCTTGCAATTTATCTGTGATTTATTATTTATTCAACTTATCCCACATGTAGACTTCAAATCCATACATGGATATGAATCACTTCAGTTTAATTCAACAGCTACCCAAAGAAATATGTATATATGGCAATTCTCATTAATTCAATATGTACCAGAGTAAATTAATTTAGAATTGAAGACATATGTTTTGCTGAATTAGATTCTTAATTAGTAATGCCACAGACCTCTCCTACAGACAAACTGAAACTAATTATGTATAGAAAAAAGCACATCTAGAAAATATTACGCTATTTAGAGTTCAGTCCCTGAGTGCCAAGGAAACAGATCAACGTGTTCATTATCTTACATACATAAAAAGTAGAGAAACACAAAACCTCTAAATCCAGTTGCATTAATTAATTAGCACACATATATATGTACTATCATGATCCACAAATAGAACTCTGATATTTACAAGTGGATTATATATTATACAAAGTGGTAAGCCAGGATTTCCCTAATATTATTATAAAAATATGTTTATTATAAAACACACTTGTTAAATTTAAAAATAGACCTCAAAAGCCATTGAGTGAATAAAAGTATTTTTATTGAGGTGCTACAGAGTGTATTTTTGGGCAATATTATTAATTTTAGAAGTTTAAAATGGTAAGAGTTTTAAATTTATTGTCGAAATGCATTGTTGTTTACACAAAATATAGCATCATATATTGAAAAACTACCATCCTGCATTTTAAGCCCTGACTGAAATTTTTATCCATATCTTGGCAGTGCCCAAGTATTCCTTTGAAAAGAAGAAAATAAACTCTTCCATGCCTTAAAAATGTAAAAAAATAAATAAATAAAAAGACTAGGTTATATGGTCTTCTAAGGAAGAAATTATTCTGTTTTGGTTACCTCTAACTTTACCCTAATTGTTAAAAATTATTCTTGGAAAACATTTCTCATTCAAATTTCACATGTAGAAAGCTGAAATAGTATGTGAACCTGACAGGAAGGGGGTAAGAGGATGCCAGAAATAAAGGAGAGAAGGACTGTGATAAATGCATGTGCATGCACACTCAGTGGTTATTTCTGATGAACCGGCATTGCATCCTGTGACCTTGCTAAACTTGTTAGCTCTAGTTGCTATTTTAGATTACTTAATATTTTCTATGTACATGATCATGTTGTCTGCAAATAAGCACAATTTTACTTCTTTTCTTATCCTCCTGCTTCTGATTTTTAATTTATTTTACTGTATTTATTTATTTATTTATTTATTTTGCTTATTGTTGTGGCTAGAATCTTCATTGCAATGTTGAATAGAAGTGGTTAGAATGGACATCCTTGTCTTATTTCTCATAATAGGGGGAAGTAAGTGGCTTTTCAAAATTAAGAATGATGTTAACCATGGGTTTTTTGTAAATGTCCATTAACAGATAGAGATAGTTATGTCTATTCCTAGTTTGTTGACAGTTTTGATCATAAATGACTGCCGAATTTTGTCAAGTTATCTTTCTGCATGTAATTCACACTGTTATAATTTTTCTTTTTTATTTCATTTATGGTGGTGAATGACACTGTCAGATGTTTTTAGTATTAAACCACCCTTGCAGTGTTAGGATAAACTCTTTTTTTGTCATAATGTATTATTCTTTTTATCTACTGCTGGACTTGATTTGTTAATATTTGTTAAGGATTTTAGTGTCTATGTTCATGTAGAATTATAATGTAGATTTTTCTTATAATTAATCCATCTTTTTGGGTATCAGAATAATTCTGGCCTCATAAGTAATAATAGGGAGTGTTCCCTCCTTTCAAATTTCTTAAAGAATTTCTAGTACTTCTTCCTTAGATGTTTGACAAAGTTTACCAATGAAGTCATTTGGGTCTGGAATGTTCTGTGTGGGAGAAATTTTAATTAGAAATTCAATTATAGGCCAGGCGCGGTGGCTTACGTCTGTAATCCCAGCAGTTTGGGAGGGTGAGGCGAGCAGATCACTTGAGGTCAGGAGTTTGACACCAGCCTGGCCAACGTAGCGAAACCCTGTCCCTACTAAAAATACAAAAATTGTTCAGGCGTGGTGGTGGGCGTCTGTAATCCCAGCTACTCAGGAGGCAGAGGCAGGAGAATCACTTGAACCTGGAAGGTGGAGGTTGCAGTGAGCTCAGATCAACCACTGCATTCCAGCCTGGCAACAGAATGAGACTCCATCTCAAAATAAATAAATAAATAAATGAACACATTCAATTAGAGACAGCTCCACCATGTTCTACATTTTTAAAATTAATTTTTAATATGTATTTTTCAAAGAATTTGTCCCTTTTATCCAAAGTTGTAAACTTTCTCAACATAAAGGAGTTCAAATATTTACTTATTATTGTTTTAATTTCAAAGAAACTATAGTGATGTCTCCCTTTCATTAATAGTTTGTATTTTCTCTATTTTTCTTTGTTCAGTCTAGCTGGAAATTTATCAGTTTTATTGTTCATTACAGAATATTAATTTTTCTCTAGTGTTTTTCCAGGTTAAAAAAATTTCATTGATTTCTGCTCTTATCTATATTATTTCCTTTATTCTTTATATTTCAGGTTTAATTTCTTCTTTTTAAATTTAGGATGGACCCATCCTCTTTCCTAACAAAAGTATTTAATGCTATACATTTTCCCATAACCATTGTTTTAGCTGCATCCCACATGTTTAGAGACATTTTGCTCTCATTTTCATTAAGCTCAAATATTTTATAAGTTCTTTTGGGATTTCTTCTTTGTCTCATGTTATTTAGTAGCGCATTGTTTTATTTCTAAATTTGAAGTAATATTTAAGGATCTTTTTGTGATTCATTTCCATTAAATCTCCACTCCTGCCTAAGATTACACCAATGTGTTTTCAGTTATTTCAAGTTTGTTGAGACTAATTTAATGGCCCAGTATATAATCTATCTTGATAACTGTTCCATGTGTAATAGATATAAAATTTTCTTTAATTGTAAACTAGGTTAAGTAGGTTGATGGTATTGCTCTGTTTTCCCTGTTTAAATTTTGTTTTTGAGTTTCTGTTTGCTTGTTCTACCGATTACTGAGAGATGAGTAAAGATTAGAAGAAAAAATAATAGAGACTGAAAGTACCAGTAGTTGGTTGGTATGGATGTCAAAAACTAAACAGCTGGATGAAGTATTATAATCACCATGAAGAACAATTTGATGGCATTTAATAAATATGAAGATGTATATCTTCACAAGCCAAAATCTTACTGATAGCTATGACCCAAAGAGAAACTCTTGCACATGTACACTTAAGACTTACAACAGGATCATCATTATTATATTGCTTATAATCCCAAAAATTAAGAAAATGAGAAAAAATGAACCTCCATCAATAAGGTAATGAATAAAATATTCAAAAATTATATAAACACTGCAGTTTAAACCGTAGGCTAAAACTACACGCATCCACCTGAACAAACCTTAAAAATATGATTTGAATTTTAAAAGGCATTCTAAAAGGATTTGTAAAGTACAACTAAATTTGTGCAAATTTTAAAAACAAAACAATGCTATGTACATTTTTATGGCTGCATATATGCCTAACAAAATTATAAAAATATGAATGGAAATATATAGGCAAATTTGGAATCGTTGTTACATCTGGGGACCCAGATAAAAAATTGGTTGGAGAGAAGTACCCTGAGGGCTTCAACATGATGTGCAGAATTTAAAATAAAGGTCTTAAGCAAAAATAATAAAATAAAATGTTAACATTCATGAAATCTGGGTGTTACCTATATTTATATCTGTGCTTTTATTGTGTAATCTAATAGTTTTATAATTCGAGATCTGGGTACAGCATTTAAAGACTAAAAGATTAACAGAAACATATAAAAAGGATGATGAGGATGTAATGCACAAAAGAAAAAATGTAAATTGTGGAAATAAACATTAAAAATTCACGAAGTATGTTTAAATTTAATAACTGTGTTAATATTCACTATGGATAAAGATATGAGGAAAAAGGCACTCTTAACTACAGTTAGTGAGAGTGTAACTTGGTCTAGCATTTTTAGAAGTTGATTTGGCAGAATATATAAAACTTTTAATAACGCAAGCCCTGTGTCTCCCCACCCCCCATTCAAAGACATCATTTTCAGGAATATCTCTTGCAGGCATGCTCACACAGGCATGCAAAGATCTATGTAATTAGTTGTATATTATGAAATTATTGTTATTTGCCTTAGTGTAAAAATGACACAAACCTAAAAGCCTAGCAATATGGCCACCTTTCTTCATGGCCACAACCATGCACAACTGCAGCAAGAGCTACCCATAATGTAATCCATATGAAGAGCATCTTACAGATTTTGGCTGTGCCTATGTCCACTTTCATGTAGTAGTATATCTGACACTAGTTGCCAGGCCCTTCTCCAAAATATTGGTTCTCAACTGGGTGTGATTGTGCCTCCTTCTTCACACACACACATACCAGGGAGAAATCTGGCAATGTCTGCATACATTCTGGGCTGTCACAACTGAGCATCTAGGGGTAGAGGTCATAGATGCTGTTAAATAGCCTACAATGCATGGGACAGCCCCCTACAACAATTATCCTGCCCCAAAATATTATTAGTACTTAGGTTGAGAAACCCAGCTCTGGAATAATTTATTTGCATTATTTCTTTAATCTCACCTATAACCATATGAGGTAGAAAATACTTTTCCTCATTTTAAATATGAAGCAACAGAGACTCAGAGAGATTAAATATCTTATCCAAAGTAACACAGCTAATAGGAGGCAGAGCTTCTTGCTCTTAAAAAGGAAGTTACATAGGAAGCCTAGATAAATTATTGTGTTCTCATATGATGGATTATTATATGGCTGTTTAAAAAAGTAGATGTATACAAATATCATGAAATGATCTCTAGGTCACAGAGAAGATATTTGTAGTGTATACAGCTAATAAAAGATTAGTATTCAAGCTGTATAAAGATCTCTTACAAGTCAATAAACAAGTAAAAAAGTTATGGAACACATATAATATGTAATCCCATTTATATTATATGAGCAAAATTTTGTATGTGAAAAGATTTTGTTATTTATGACCCTATAATACCAAAATATAATAAGAATGGAAGTATCCTAAAAGGATAATTTTGTATAAGTATTCATTTAGAAACTCTCAACACAAAGATAACTGAAGAAATATGTGACATGGGACTGAGCATATGGTGATACTGTGAACATAGAAATGTGAATAAGAAGTTGGTAATAACTAGGAGAATGGCAGGGATGGTCATGGAGTGATATCATGGGACATTATTGATAGCACATGAATCATGACAGGTCTTGCTTGTTATAAGTTCTGTTGTGATATAAACAAGTGCTTAAAACACTTCACTGAATTTTGCAAACATGTATGATAACTCATCTTTGTAGCTCATTAATTTGTATAATTTAGATAATTGATTTTAAATGATTTGATTTTAGATATTTTGACTTTAGCTAATTAATTTGGGAATTAAGAAACCTATTTTCTGGTAGTTCCCTTAATTTGGAGAAAAACAGGTCCAAAATATTGCACATGAAATATCTTCTATTATAAAATATATGGAACAGCAAAAATCCAAAGAGGAAGGTGGTAATTCAAACTGACTCCTTATAAGAGAATTTCATTGACTGGAAGGCCCTTTTTTCTTCTGTATACCTTGACAGATTTGAGATGGAAAGTTTGTTGGGTGAGAGAAGTGAAGAGGTGAATAATTATGCGTGATAGAGGGTGAAGAATTCAGAATATCTGGAAACAACACTGAAAGAAAAGGGGGAGAGCACAGATGGACAGGGAGAAAGCATGGGAGAAAATGAAGTACTAGAAGGCTGAGGTCTTCCAATATATTGTATTTTCAAACACCCTAGTTCTTCATCAAAATTTCCTATAATTCCTAAAAATGACTGGTCTGAAACTATTTTTTGGGAAAGCAGTGAAGTCCTTAAATGTTCTATGCTAGCTGATGCAGAGGAAGCAAAGGCAATGCATGCAGGTGCAGAGTGAGGGAAGGAGCTCAGAAAGGATGTCCATGCTTTTTAACTCCTTACCCCAAGCTTGGATAGAAATCTTGATTCAAGGCCTTAGACACTCGTGGGCTTCAAGGAATTTCCTGGAGATCTTAGGGCAAAAAGGCCTTCAAGTAATACCTGCACTCTATTTATACGTAGTGTGTATAAAGACCTCCATGAAAACACATCAAGCTGCTATCTGAAGTCACCTTTGGGGAGGGTTCGGGAACTGGGGATTCTCTTTCTATACTTACTTCAGTGTTGTTTTACTATTTTACAAAACAATCCTTTAATGTTTTGATTTAAAAGAACTGTCAGACTAGGTGAAATGTGGGCTAAACAAGCAAAGATCACCTGAGATCGCACCACTAAAATGCATTGTTAAGAAATGTAACAGTGTTACTACAACTATTATCAGACTATACCTGTACCTCCAGGTTCAAAAAGATAGGAAACTGTTAAGGACACTTGCTTTTATCCTGGGAGCAAGAGTGTTAATCAGAGGATGGTTAGGTAATCAAGGGTTGCTATGGTTTGGCTCTGTGTCTCCACCCAAATCTCATCTCAAATTGTAATCCCCAGGTGTCAAGGGAGGGGCCTGGTGGGAGGTGATTAGATCATGGGGGGTGGTTTCCCCCACGCTGTTCTAGTGATAGTGAAGGCGTTCTCACAAGATATGATAATTTAAAAGTGGCAGTTTTCCCTGCACTTGCACTCTCGCACTCTCTGTCTCTCTCTCCTGCCACCTTGTGAAGAAGGTGCCTGTTCCCCCTTCACCTTCTGCCATGATTGTAAGTTTCCTGAGGCCTCCCCAGCCATGCTGAACCGTGAGTCAATTAAACCTCTTTTGTTTATAAATTAACTAGTCTCAGGTAGTATCTTTATAGCAGTGTGAGAACAGACTAATACAGGGGTAAAAGGCTGCACGTTGCTTTTCGTTTGTTTTGGCAAACATATACAGTCATGTAACAACCACTACAATTATTATATAAAATATTTTTATCACCCCTAGAGTTCCTGGTGCACTTTTATAATGAATTATTTTTCCTCATTACTTGGTTTTTGTCAATCACTGATCCACAGTTTTGTCCTTCCTTCTTAGAATCTCATACAAATAGAATAAAATATTATGTAATTTTTGGTGTTTAGCTTCCATCATTCATCCATTTTGCGGAATATATGAGTATTTTTGCTGAGTAGTACTCTACTGTAGGACAATAACACATTATTGTTTATTTTCCAGTTTGAGGCTGTTATGAAAAAATCTGCTGTGAATCTTTGAGAACTTTTATGTGGATATTCACCTTTATTTCTTTCTTAATGACTAATAATATTATCCATCTTTTTCACGAACTTTTTTTCCATCTGGTATCTTCTTTAGTGAACAGACTGCTCAAGCATTTTGCCTATTTTTCATGTTGTCTGCCTTCTTATTAATGAAGATAGTTCTTTACATATTCTGGTAACAAATGCTTTATCAGATATATCTTTTGCAAATATTTTCTCCCACTTTTTGTATTATGTTTTTATATCAGTGTCATTTGAAAAAGAGATGATTTTAATACTTAAGATGTCCAAATTATGTAATGTATTTTTCTTTTAAGGTTGTAGCTTTGTATCCTACCTAAAATATTTTTGGCTTATGTCAAAGTAGTGAAGGTTTTCTTCTAATGATTTATAGTTTATTCAAATTAATGTTTGTGGCTGTTGTGAGGCAGCTGTCAAGATTCATTCTTCCTATATTGATGTCAAATTCTTCCAGCACCATATGTCAAGGACTAGAATTCCTCCATTGAATTACATCGGTAACTTTCTTGAAAATCAACTAGCCATATTTAAGTAGAACTATTTCTGGATTCCGTCTTATGTTCCATATGCCTCTTTGTTCCAATATCAGATTATTTGGATTTTAAAGCTTTAACATTATCACTTCAATAAGATCATGTAAGTTCTCCAACTTTGTTCTTGTCGGAATTGTTTTGGCTTTTCTAAGTTCTCTGGAATTCCATAACTATAAACATATTTGTCAATTTCTACCCAAAAAGCTTGTTTTTTTAAAAAATGAGTGTACCAAATCTATAAATCAATTCAGAAATAATTGACATCTTAAAATTGAGTTTTCTAATTCATGAGCTTTGTATGTATCTCCATTTATGTAGATATTCCTTAATCTCTGTCAATATTTTATAATATTCAAGCAATATTTTACAGTTTTTGGTATACAGGTGCAGGGCATATTTTGTTAAATTTATGTTTAAGTGTCTCATGTTTTTATAGTATTGTAAATGTGCTTATAAAATTTTAATTTATAATCGTTCATTAGTACTATAAAAAAACTCGTATTTGTACATGAAACTTGTATCCCGCCATCTTGCTAAACCTCGCACGTTTGTTTTAGCAGGATTGTCTCTATAGACCATCATGTTTTCTGTGAATAAAAAACAGCTTTGCTTCTTCCTTTACAATCTGAATACCTTTTATTTATTTTCTTGCCTTAGTGAGTTCCTTGCTTCTAGAAGTACTGATGATATTGGACTGCGCCAGGATTATTTTTTAGGAAATCTCCCTAACGTGATAATTTCTTACTTAAAAATTTTAAATATACCAACATCAGAAAGGAAACAGAAAGAGAAAGAGAAGATAGATTACATTACAAATCAGCAAATTTCTATGTTAAATTCTACTATTTCTACTCCTATACTTATTCCACATCAATTTCTACCCCATATCTTGGATCAAAGGATTAAAATGATGTGAATGTGTTATATATCTCTGATAAATAATACTGAAGCAACAAAGTATCTTCATGACATATACAAACATACACACCACACACACATACGGCTTTAAATTTCACCTCTAGGCCTCATCAGCTTCCCCTCTAGGGTGACATTTAATCTCCCTCAGCTTCAGCATCCTTATCTATAAAACTGAGTGACTACACGTACCTTAGTGGGTTTCTGTGAAAAATTTGCCATACCTTATGGCAATATGTATATGGCATATAGCAGTGTTGAATAAACAGTGGCTATTATATTCTGGTCCTCTTTGTTTTTAAAAATCAATGCAAATGAAAACTACAGCGCCTCCATTCATTGATTTTCCTCTTGTGATTTGATTTTTACTAAAGGTAGAGGTGGCCAGGTGCAGTGGTTCATGCCTATAATCCCAGTACTCTGGGAGATGATAAGGAGGATCACTTGAGCTCAGCAGTTCAATACCAACCTGGGTAATACAGAGAGACCCCTCATCTGTACAAAAAAAAATGTAAAAACTAGCTGTGGCACACACCTGTAGTCTGGCAACTGGGGAGGCTGAAGTGGGAGGATTGCTCGAGCATGGGAGTTCGAGGTGGCAGTGAGCTATGATCACACCGCTGCACTCCAGACTGGATGACAGAGCAAGACCCTGTTTCTAAAAACAAACAAACAAAAAAAGGTAGGGGTTCCACTTTCTACGTATCCTTGTAGGTATGATTAAAAGGAGAATGTGGTACTTTTCCCATTCCTTGCAGATATGTTCCTTGCTATTTAAAATCCACCACTGACATAATATAGAAAGCTGTTTAATTATTTCATATATGTTTTAAATTTTAATAGCACCTTCAAAATGTCTAAGAGTATCCCACATTATTATTAAAAGATAAAATAAGCATGTGCAAACCAGATTTGTGCTAAGGAACTGATACTAAATTCTAGGTTATTATTTTATTAATGACAAAAAAATCACAATTGGTTTCCCTTACATAGCAACACCCTATAGAGCCCATAAAATATAATTTCATTTCTAAAAACTAGATTTACACACAAGCATTTGTTCAAGCCGGTCAGCTGTTTTCTACAAAGTATGTAACCTTACTACAGCCATAAGAATTTGTAAATACAGTTTATAATATACTTTAAAAACCTATGTTATCATCATGGTTATAACCATTTATATTATTGTGATGGTTCTCCGCTTTCTCTTTCACTTATATTGAATTTTTTTAACTCTCTAAGGCTAATTTATGGAAATCAATTTAAGAATACTGAGAATAGAAGGGGAAACAGGCACTGAACACATGGTTGAATGTGTATCTTCTACAGTGAGAGGTAATGGAAAGAAATGAGAGAAGGATTAAGTAGACAGTTGATTATGCAGTTCCAGTATAGAGTCTGATGTATTTTCTTACAATCCTATGCTGAGTTATTAATAGGTTCAGAACGTGAACATGTAAGACCATGTGACCAAGGACCCAAAAATTGGACACTGTGCACTTGTGAAGACTTCACAGCCAAAGGCAAGAGCAGCCAAGTTATTAGAACACTTACTAAAATACTACAACAGAGCTAACTATAGGCAAATGCTTTGGAGACCTTTTAAACCATATTAATGTGCAGTGTTAGGGTGTCCCCAAGGATGCTTTAGTATGTTACTCCAAAGCATTTCAAATGAAAATAGGGGTTTCCATATTCTTAAACTTAAAACACACTCTAAATACACATCAGTGGCTTTATTTTTCCTCTTTCATCTTTCCGCCCACTAACCTCCTTTATGATTGATTCTGCCTCCCTCATACGAAGGTTGTATCAATTCACACAAATTGTGTAATCTCTTGGGGCCTGACAAAAGAAGGAACTACAGAAATTGAAAATGCAAAATAAACAACCATGGACATTAAATTAGTAATGAAATCTATTTCTTTAATTTACTGTTTTATCAGCTAAGATTTGGAACTGACTTTCAAATGATACTTGGCTGTTTCCCTCTGACCATTCGAAAACATCTCTCCTGATAGAATTCCTAGTCATCATTTTATCCCTTAAAGCTCAAACTGAGTGTAAAACATACAGGAATAAAATTTTGATTTAATCTTCACCTACAGTCAACTTAAATAGAAGAAATTCAAGCATATTATTTAAAAGATTATAAAGATTTCCTGTGTATATCTATATATATTATTATTCTAAAGCAAAAGACTTAAATATAACCATTCAGATAGCATTCCCTTTTACTTCCTGAGCCAAGTGTTTCCAGGGCAACAGTTGCAACTAGAACTTTATAAATGTTCACTTCCAAAAATGATAGTGATTCCACATTTGCTTTCATATCAAATTTCATAACTCCAGGATGTCATTAGTGTCATAACACACCTCTATGTAAGAGCTACTAAAATGAGAAAATTTTCATTGGAATTAACTAAATACAGCATTTCTATCCTTTACTAAGTTTCTTTATCTCATTAATAAATTAATACTAATGGATTAACTATCTAAGGGTCTTTATTTCCCTAACATTTACTCAATCATAATTCCTGTGGTCTGGAGACAACTCTTGAAACTTACATTACCAGAGAGGAGATATTGGTTTGGTTTTTAATAAAAAGTACTGTACTGATATCCTTGGTTCTGTTTAACTAAACACATACAATAATTTTGTACAAGCTTACATTTAGAGAATAACTCTGAATGTTTGTGAGTGAAATCCACTTCCTGAAAAGATTAGTTTGGGTTTTGTTCATTTGTCCGTATTTGTTTGCTTGATTTGAACCCTGACCCTAACAACTTTGGTCTTTCTCATAGCAGTAGGACTGAAATAAGAGTGGAATCTGGAGTCTGAATCCTGGGTTCATGTCCTAATCCTGCAAAAACACTATCTGTGTGATTTCCTATTTTGTATTCCTTATTTGTATGCCTCCAAATGAGTAGCTTAGATTACTTGTTCTCATAAATCCTTTATGGAATTTAAATCTTGTTAGTGGTTTGAAATTGTTCATTTTAAATACTGTAATATGGACTACCAGTAGCTTATTTTGTTCTTTTTAATCAAGACTCCACTATTGTGTTTCAGGCCTACTGCTATGAAAAAGACCAAAGTTGTTAGGGTCAGGGTTCAAATCAAGCAAACAAATAAACAGCGTATTCAAAAACACACCCTACCAATTCTCTAGTAATAATCATTTTCACAGAGAAAAAAAAATAATCGGTTTTGCATTGTTTAAGATAAAATCTCTTCCAAAATGGAATTTCAGAAAACTGAATTTCAGATTAAGCTTAAACCCTCCTATCAAAGTCCAGGAAGTTTCTTTGAAGATACTGACAATCTGATCCTAAAATGTATATAGAAATATAAAGAGGCCAGAATGGCCAAAACAATTTATTTTTATTTTGAGATGGAGTCTCCTCTGTCTCCCAGGCTGAAGTGCAGTGGTACAATCTTGGCTTACTGCAACCTCTCCCTCCCAGCTTCAAGCAATTCTCATGCCTGAGTCTCCTGAGTAGCTGGGATTACAGGTGCCCACCACCCTGCTCTGCTAATTTTTGTATTTTTAGTACAGATGGGGTTTCGCCATGTAGGCCAGGCTGGTCTCAAACTCCTGACCCCAAGTGATCTGCCTGCCTCGGCCTCCCAAAGTGCTGGGATTACAGGCATGAACCACTGTGTCTGGCAGGCCACAACAATTTTGAAAAGAGAAAATTAAAATTAAAGGACTTAAATTTCCCAAATTCAAAAAATATTATAAGCTACATAAATCAATACAGTATGGTATTGACACGAAGATAAATATAGATCAAAACAACAGTATAAGTAGTTCAAAAATAAACTCGCACATTTGCGGTCAATTTACTTTTAACAAAAATGCTATGGCATTTCATGAGGAAAGTATGGTATTTTCAACAAATGGTGCTGAGATACCACTGGAGAAGTACATGCAAAGAGAAAAATTTACAGTCTCTTAACACCATACACAAAAGCTAATGAATCATAGGATTGAATGTAAAACTTTAAATTATGTAAATTATGGAAGAAAACAGGAGGAAGTCCTTGTGACTTTGGGTTAGACACTGAGTTCTTAGATACAACATCAAAAACATGTTCCATTAAAAAAAAAAAAGATAAACTAGATTTTTATCAAAAGTCTCAAAAATTGGCCTTAAAAGATACCATTAAGAAACTGAATAGATAGCGAGAGACTGGAAGAAAACATTAGCAAATCACTTGTCTGATAAAATATTTATATCCAGAGTATATAAAGAACTCTTAAAACTAAATAGTAGAAAAAAACTAATTAACAAGTTGGCAAAAGTTTTGAGTAGACATTTCACCAAAGATGACAAATATTACAATGGCTATGAACTGGCGCATGAACCTATGCTCAATATAATTAGTTACTAGGAAAACAGAATTAAAACCACATGAGATACCGCTGCACATCCACAAATGTAATCCAAAAGAGACAACAGAGGCACAAAGTAGATTAATGGTTGCCTGGGGCTGGAGATAAGAACAGAGTGACTCCAGATGGTTATAAAGGAGCCTTTGAGTTGATAGAAATGTTCCCAAACTAAGTTGTGGTGATGGTTGCACAATTCTGTAAATGTACTAAAAACCATTGAATTGTACACTTAAATTGGGAGATTTTTGTGGTATATAAACAAGTATTGTTGAGGATGTTGAGAAACTGGAATCCTCATACATTACTGGGGGGGAATATAAAATGATATAGTAATTTGAAAAAAAGTTTGGCAGTATCTTAAAATACTAAACAAATTTACTGTATGACCTAGTAATTGCAGTCCTAGGTATCTACCTAACAGGAGTGAAAATACCCATCTACACAAAGACATGTACACAAATATCTATAGTAGCATTATTCATAATAGCCAAAAAATGGAAACAATCCAAATGCCCACCAACTGATGAATGAATAAACAAAATGTGGTATTTCAGGACAGTGGAAATAATCCATGAAGAAAAAAAGAATGAACTACTGATACGTGCTACCACATGGATGAACCTCAAAAACATCATCATGCTAAGTGAATGAGGACAGACACAAATGACCAAATTTTATATGATTACATTTATATGAAAGACAAATCTATAGAGACACAGAGTAGATGAATGGTTGCCTGGGACTGTAGATAGGAACACAGTGACTGCAGATGGGGATGAGGGACCCTTCTAGTTGATGGAACTGTTCTAAAACTAAGTTGTGATGGTTGCACAATTCTGTAAATGAACTAAAAAACACTGAATTTTATGCTTAAACTGGGTGAATTTTAGGGTATGTAAATTATACCTCAAAAAAGATGTTGGAAAAAAGGGCATTCGCAATATCCTTTTTAGTTTGTTACATTTTAAATACTGATTTACCCTGAAAAAATCAGCCTGACATATCCATGAACGTATCTTACTAATGAGAGATAATTAGGGTGCACCTGGAAAAATTTCTACATAGGAACTTTCATTTTAAAATATCAATTCAATATATTTTAAAATATTACTAAATAGAACCACCTATTTTGAACTAACAAAATTTTAAGTGGCAATCTACAGAGAAATTATCCATGTTAGCAAACAAAATGGGGCACTAAATAATTAAATTTATGAACAGGCAGCTATTTTCACAATGAGTTACTCAACCTTTAAATGTGTCAATTATATTTATATACAAATATTATTTCCATGATGAATTACTCAAACTTTCTATCTTGTAATAAAAGTTTAAAGTTCTATTTACTTCATCTGTAAGAATATAACCAGAGTCAGACAACACAAACACCCTAGATATGTTAAGTATACACAATTTCCTCTGTCAGTAAGTTAATTGCCTATCTATAAATTGGGCAGACTAACATATTTGTTGGTAACATAATAATCTTATAATGGAAATGTACCTATCACATTTTACATAACATTCAAATCCCAATCATAATGGAGAAAGACCAAATGCATTAATCTGATTAGCTGATATAATCACCTGCCTGTCCACTGCTCTTGGCAGGTTAATTTTTTTTTTTTTTACTGTTTATTTTAATGAGTTTTACAGGACATTTGACATCCAAATACCTGGAATGTGAATGAGTAGAAAAGACCTGCTTTTTTATTTTTATTTTTATTTTTTTGTCATTTGAGAGAGTTTACCATTCAATTCTTATGCATTTTCAAGGTCCTTTTAACCTGAACATACTGCACTGCTATTCCAGGATAGATAACCTCTCACAAAGAGTTTACAATTTTCTCTTCACCACTGATTTTCTAATATCCCACTACAATGTGCCTCGGTCTTCCTTTATCCGCATCTGAACTTGGTAGTATGGTTGGTCCCTTTCAGTCTGAAGGTATATTTCTTCTTGTATTTCTGATAAATTTTATTATAACAAATATAATAATATAATGTATAGATAATACATAAATATAAAATTGTATTTAAGAAATATAATAACATAAATATATAACTATAATAATATTGTGAAACAGCTGGAGTAATTCTCCTGCTACAATTTTACTGATAAAATTGCTGATGACTGAAACTACTTACTTCTATTTAATATTTCCAGATTCTAGAATAGGAAGCAGATTTCAACTGTTGCTTTCTTTTTATTTGAAGAGTGGGAAAACACTTATGCTGGCATTAACGTTCCATTGTGTTATCTTCCAACTAGTTCACATGTATAACGTGTTGATTAATAATTTTAAATCCATAGAATCCTTTCTAGCTCACTAGCATCTGAGTCGGTTTCTGGGAGGATATTATTAAGTAAGGACAGGACGTATCTAATTTTACCATTACTGGAACTTTCCAAAAAGAGTATATACGGATTAAAATTCATGCAAGATCCTTAGGGTATGAAGTTTAGTGGATGCAAATCCAGTAGGAAAGAATCTTGAGCTCTGCTGTTTTCAGAGCCACTGGAGTGGCTGCCCTCAAATTTTAGCTTGCATAATGAGATACCATCTCACACCAGCCAGAATGGCTATTATTAAAAAGTCAAAAAATAGATCCTAGCAAGGTTGCAGAGAAAAACGAATGCTTATACACTGTTGATGGCAGTTTAAGTTAGTTCAACCATTGTGGAAGATAGTGAAGTGATTCCTCAAATACCTGAAAACAGAAATACCCCATTCAACCCACCAAGCCCATTACTGGGTATATACCCAAAGCAATACAAATTGTTCTATTATAAAGACACACACGTGTGTGAGTTCATTGCAGCACTATACATAATAGCAAATGCATGGAATCAACCTAACTTTCCATCAATGGTAGACTGAATAAAGAAAATGTGGTACATACACACTATAGAACACTGTGCAGCCCTAAAAGAATGATATCATGTCCTTTGCAGCAACCTGGATGGGGCTGGAGGCCATGATCCTTAGCAAAGTAACATAGGAACAGAAAATCAAAAACCACATGTTCTCACTTTTAAGTGGGAGCTAAATGATGAGAACACATGGACACATAGAGAGGAACTACAGACTCTGGGGCCTACTAGAGGGTGGAGGGTGGGAGGAGGGAAAGGATAAGAAAAAATAACTAATGGGTACTAGGTTTAATATCTGGGTGATGAAATAATTTGTAAAACAAATCCCCATCACACAAGTTCACCTACTTAACAAACCTGCACATGTACCCCTGAACTTGAAAGTTTAAAAAAAAAGTACCTTGTATTCTTTTTATTTATTTATTCATTTATTTAGAGACAGAGTCTTGCCTGCCTGCCTGCTTTCCTTCCTTCCTTCCTTCCTTCCTTCCTTCCTTCTTTTTCTTTCTTTCCTTCCTTTCTTTTCCTCCCTACCTCCTTCCCTCCCTATCCCTCTCTTTCTCTGTCTTTCTTTCATTCTTTTGAGACAGGGTCTCACTCTGTCACCCAGGCTGTAGTGCAGTGGTGCAATCACAGCTCACTGCAGCCTCTAACTCCTGGCTTCAGGTGATCCTCCCACCTTAACCTCCTGAGTAGCTGGAGCTGCAGGTATGTGCCACCACCCCAGGCTTATTTTTATCTTAGATTCTTTTTAACTTCATATTTTAGGTTTGTCATTCAGTCTGGAAGCCTTATTTTTAATAGAGACTTCCTCTACCAACTACCTCTACCTCACCAAACCACCCCCCACCACCCCCGCCCCCATACATCCCACCGCCTGATTTTGATCCTGATATCTACACACCACACTTGAAGAAACAGGACATCAAGGAGCATGGTCAAATGGCTGATGATGTAGCCTCACTGCAGAAGTGGTCTTATTTTAAGTAAAGCCAGGCTGAGGCTAGTAGACTACAAAAAGAGTTGAGGGCAAAATATCCTTATGTTTATCCTTTGAATGTGCTCAAGGAAAAAAAAACATATTTAGATTTCATTTATTTTAAACGGAAAACAATAGAAAAGCAGAAGCATTTGGTAATGCCCAAACTGGCCTGGGCTCACCAGCACCATTCCCTGATCATCTGAGTTAGAGTCTAAAGAGTTAATAATTTATTGCAGATATAGGCACATTAATTATGAGATGAAGTCAAGTTTCTCTCTCTGGAAAAGGCAGGCACTAAACTATCTAATCCCTAAGGTACTTCCCAACACCACCATGTAATAATTCTATAAAAATATCTGTGTAGCACTGGAATGGCTAAGCTCCCATTTTCTCACTTCTCTCAGTCTAGGGCTTGGCATCAGAATAATGATGAGATGGATGTGTTCACTATAGCTGCACCCTAAATGCACTCTGCATCAAATTATGGTTCTCACTTTGCTAAGAGAATCTTAAAACTTCCTTTCAGGAAACCTCCAAATCATAATTCAAGGGGGACTACTGGTTCTCCCACTGCTCCAAAACATATCCCACCTACCAGGAACCTGCAACTCCTCTGATTCTTCTTCATTTTGCAAATACAAAGACATAAAACCCTCTGGGTTAAAAATGTAATTGCAAATAAGTGGAAACATTCAATTGTGCATGAACTCAATAAATATGTGCTCTGTTTTAGTGTTGCATAAACATATTTTCAGGCTCTTATAAAGAATTTTGTTATTTAAAAGAATACTATATGATTCAGTTAACAAACTTCAAATAAATGCATACAATTATTTATTCATTATTAAATAAAGAAAATTTCTTCTCACAAAATTGGCCCATGTCTCAAATCTCTGAGAATGAAGACATAGGTTAATATATGATTAAATAGTTTATTTTTAATGTACGATGTAGCTTATTCGATCAGCATCACAATTCTGTTTATTCACTATGTAGCTTCCTTTAATGAAGACTGATGTATCTACATATTGCCCCTCTCATAATCCAGAAACTTCTCTCACATGTAACTATATTATCCATGCCACTCTAATGCTAAACTGGAAATCCACAGAATGCCATAAAGGTAGGTACACTTAAAAACCAGTTATTTTATTAATAAGGAGAGATTGAGTACTTACTAAATCGAATAACTGTGATGAACTCTAAAAGGATAAAAAGTTGAGACAAAGAAAATGGTTCCTTCAAAACTGTAAACACCTTGAAGCAAAGAACTGTTTCTTTTATCTTTTCATTCTCCTGGCCTTCAGCATAATATATAGATACAACTAGTCCATTACTGCTGAATATCTAGAGAGTTCTAAGTTCTGCAATGAATAGGTTTATACATAAACCTTTTGCACATATATAGATATTTCTCTAAAATTGACAACTATAAGCAGAATTGCTAAAAAGAAGGGTAAGCATATTTAATGTTCTAATAGATACTACACAAAAGTATATATTGACTCTACAAATTTACTCTCCTACAAGGTGTAAGATTAAATGTTCCCCAATTATGTCCACTAGATAGTCTCAATCTGCATAATTTGTGCCAATCTTATAAACCAAAAAAGATGTTTGAGAAAATTTGCTTTTTCTAGCTTACCAACAAATCTTCTGAAAATTGAGGTTTATTTTATATGTTTATGTCCTTTTCAGCATAAATACTAAAAAGTTAGTTGTCTATCTCTGGATGGTAAAATTACAGATTATTTATTTTATATATTTTCTAAATGTCCTATACTTAGAATATATTATTTTGTAATTAACATTTGTCTTTTTAAAATACTAATATATAAAGAACTTTGGAATTAGAAATAAAAATATATAATAGAAAAATAAGTAAAAGATGGCCTGGTGTGGTGACTCACACCTGTAATCCCAGCACTTTAGGAATCTGAGGTGGGCAGATCACCTGATGTCAGGAGTTTGAGACCAGCCTGGCCAACATGGCAAAACCCCACCTCTACTAAAAACACAAAAATTAGCTGGGTGTGGTGGCAGGCACCTGTAATTTCAGCTACTTCGGAGGCTGAGGCAGGAGAATGGCAGGAACCCAGGAGACGGAGGTTGCAGTGAGCCAAGATTGCCCCACTGCACTCTGGCCTGGCCGACAGAACAAGAATCCATCATTAAAATAATAATAATAATAAGTAAAAGATATGAATGGAAAGTCTACAGGAAAGGAAATGAGAATAAAAAATATAAAGACACTCAACCTCACCATAACAACAAAAAATGTAAATTACAACTATATTAAGATAACATCAATCTTTGGCCAGGCACAGTGGCTCACGCCTGCAATCCCAGCACTTTGGGAGGCCAAGGTGGGCGGATCATGAGGTCAAGAGATCGAGAAAATCCTGGGCAACACGGTGAAACCCCGTCTCTACTAAAAATACAAAAATTAGCTGGGCGTGGTGGTGCGCGCCTGTAGTCCCAGCTACTTAGGAGGCTGAGGCAGGAGAATTGCTTGAACCCGGGAGGCAGAAGCTGCAGTGAGCCGACATCGTGCCACTGCATTCCAGCCTGGCAAAAGAGTGAGACTCCGTCTCAAAAATAATAATAATAATAACATCTTTTATCTATTAGATTTCACAAAGGTCAAAAATTTTAATAATAACGTCCATACTGGTAACAGGACATGGGAAAGAGAAACTCTCCTACTCTCCTGGTCTGAGACTGTAAAGTAGCACCATCTCTATGGGGTACAATTAAGCAATCTCTCTCCGAATTACCAATACTCATGCCCTTTAACATAGATATACATTAGAGGCAAAACAGCTTTTCTACAGAATCCTATATATTTAGCCTTGTTCTTAATAGGAAAATATTGTATTCAATCAAATATCCAGGAACACCAAACTCATTAGGTAGATTACAAAAGATCCTTGCAATCAGATATAAGAGGACGTAAAAAAAGGGGAATCTCTTTACACACTCAATTGTGGTAATACCACGTGTGTGTGTGTAAATAGTATGGGTTTTTAAAAAGCTGTAAGTGTATACATGTATATATATTTGTCTATGCATAAACTACCTCCAGATCAGACACTATAAGCAGATAACCCTGGTTACCTCTAGGATGGAAAACTAAGTACTAACCGGGGAATAGGTATTTGAGGAAGATTTTTCATTGCATACCTTTTTGGAGATTCTGTGTGGTAACACCTGAGTCCTTATAATTTTGCAAATGATTTTACTTTGGCCTCAGATTTGAATGGTGTTTTGTGTGACCATATAATCCAGGATTTTAAATGACTCTTCCTCAGAATCCTGAAGTTACCTGATCCTCTGGCACCCAGTATTACTGATTCAATCCTCTAAAGTCAATCTGACACACATCCCACTGTAGATCATCTCTCCTCTATTAAATGCATACGATTTTCTCTTTCTCTTTGATTTTCTAATATTCTGTGAATGTATATCTAGATTTGGGTCCCTCTTATGCCATGCTGAGTTTTGTGGTTGGTCCTTCAATCTGAAGGTTTGTGTCTTATTTCTGATAAATTTGTTTCTGACGCTGAAAAAGGGGTCTCTTAACCTCTATCTAACTAACCTTGGTTATATCAACCAATTCAATTAGAACCACTGGTCTCTTAACCTCTCCCTAACTAATCTTGGTTATATCAACAAAATCAACTAGAATCGCTGACTTAATACGCCACACACCATCTGGAAAATATGTCACTGAGGCATACAGCATGCTGAATGCTCATAGCTAGCAGACGCTTCCTTTGTCTTACAGCATACAACCATTTCCACCAGTCAGCCTGTGACAAGAGTCAGCCATATTTGTCTGAACACAGGTAGGTACAACATTCTGTAATTGTATAATTTAATCAATATTTAAATATTAAATAATTAAATCTGAGTGCAAAATACGTTTTTGTTTCTGTGAACACTTTGGAAAAATAAGAAAGTTGTTTAAAAATTTTGCTATAATTTTGAAATGAAACAATTATAAAGAATAACAATTTTTAAAATCAAGCATTCTACACATAAACTGCTTTCCATGTCTTTATTTTTAATTCCAAATATGGAAACCTGTGTTGAAAATTGCTTTTGGTGTATGCTGAGCAAGGATCATCCAGAACACCACTTATCTCATCTACCCTCTACCCTCAAAGAAGTAATATCTGGCCTCACATCCAAAGTGTAACTGATAGGTAGCGTATAACGGCATGTATTTTTACAATTCAGTCTTTATACTGATTTTTTAAATGCATTCCTATTAGAGAAATATTTGATCTAGACCTATTAATCAATGGCTTACAACTATTTTATTATTATTATTTTATATTCATTTGGCCCTTGTATTGTGTTCTGGGATAATTTCTGGGTTTGATCTTCCATATCACAAATTTACCTATCAACTCATCTATTGAGTTTTTATTCTAACAAAAATATAATTTCAGTTCCATTGTATCTAACCTTTTTTTTATGGATAGCAGTTTGTTCCTATTTTTTTAATTTATTTTTTCCATGAATATATACCTGCTCTTTTTCTTCTGGGCATTAGATTTCTGTTATTCTATTTATTAATTTTTTGCTTCTTGTATTAATTAACAAGAGTTTGAGACTCTTAATATTATTTTCTTCAAAATGTAATATTCCTGGGTGTCAGCTCATCTTTTCTTGGTTTCCCTGCTCACCTATCTGTTGTAACTAGTTCAGTTTACTCAGCTCTCCTTGAGTTAGAGACAGATGGGACCTTTGACTCAGTGCAAGAAGCCAACAGCTCATCTTTTGAGAGTAGAGACTATTTCCTGGGTGTCACCCACAGGCCTGGGTAAGCTCTGCCTCTATTCTCTGTTCCTGTGTTAGCGACACATATGTGGCTTCCGGTGCTTGGCAGAATGGGATAACAGAAAAAAGAAATCCTGCTCTTGTTCTAGGTACGTTTCTGCTCACTGCATTGCCTTTCCCTGCATGTACAGCGGCACTTCTGGCATGGCTCCTGCAAGTCACAGATGTTTTCTAAAGTCTATATGTTTCCCTTAATCCAAGCCAAACTGTTTCAATCTTTCAGGAGATATTTGAAATATCTGATGTCCTGATGACATTCTCTTCTAATACTGCTTTATATTTATTTAGAATATCTTTTCTATCATTCCTAAGATTTTGCTTGAATGAAGAAAGTAGACATATGAGGTCAGTCTGTAATCTTAATTTTTTCATTTGGATGTTGACTGATTCCACTGGTTCTCCTCGTTATGTGTTTATTTCTCTTTACCCATTCCTGCCCTGACAGCAGCTTTCACACTGCTAACTGATATACTGCCTTGTCTAAATGGGAGTCACAAAAATATTTAATTGTTTAAAACTTTCCACAGAATACAATACTTTAATGCAAATAAGATAAAAAATAATTGAATTTACAAAAGGCTCCAGATTCTGTATCAAAAGCTAATCAAAAAGACTACTGTATAAAACTCTTAATTTAAGTAGGAAAAGGTGGCATTAGTTTTAGTATCTACACTTCATCATCTGGAAAAAATAATCTAAGTAGTCTGCCATGTCAATAGTCCATTAAAAAAAAAATAGGCCAGGTATATACTAATATAGCTTATTTTGGCCCAGCGCTTATAAGCATGTTTTTAGAAAAAAAAAAAAAAAAACATTGTGTTAACTTTGAGCAAAGATAATTGTTGCACAGTTTCATGGGATTTAATTTATTGCTTTTGTGTGTTTTAATTTTTAAAGATGATTTTAAAGTAGCATAAAGTACTTCATGTGTTGTATTTTATTATTCAGTGATTTTTATTGAGTGCCAACTAAAAAGTAAAGTGTTGGAAATGAAAAGAGATGAACAAGACAGTGTCATCAGATCACTCATGGTATAAGTGTATTTTCACGTATCTCAACCTATTGTATTTCCCTGTTTTCATTGGTAACTGGCAAGTTAGGTTGAGGGCCCTGTGAAATATATCGAGACTGCTTCATCTTCTTTTTGTATTCTCTATATCTGGAAAAGGCCTTAGTCATAAGAGTTGTTCAATAAATGTTTAATTGATTAGTGGTAGTATATTTGCATGCTTATAAGATCTAATATATGACTCAAATAAGACTGTTATTCAATAATACACTAATCAGAACAAACAAAAATAATAACACTTCACAGATCAATTGCTAGATATATAAGTACAATTTGTACATTTTATATAGAGAGAGATCCAGATATGAGATCCAGAAAGATTAAAAACTTTGAAGAGGCAGGCTTTGCCCCTGTATCCAAAATCTCCATTCTGGCACTTATCCTTTGATAACACAAGTTAGAGTAGTACCTGGAGAGTGAAATGGTCAATCTTATAAATGTTCACTTTACTGGATAGCTGATGTTCTATTTCCTTTGGTACAGACTTTTGGATCCTTTTAAATATTTAATAATCCAAAAGATATTGAAAAGTTCAGGTACCAGTAGGCAAAGCTTACTATCAAGAGAGGGTAAGGGAAGGTACAGTTAGTGAACTACCCTCTTCTCTGCAACTGACAATAAGAAAGCTTTCCCTGAGAAGAAAATAATTGTTGCAAACTCATGGCCATTGCATTTATAAATGATTCACCATCTCTATATAAAGGCATCATAATTCCTCACATTAGAATTACAGGATCACAGAATTCTTGAGATATAAAGGAAGAGGTAAGAAGTTCTATGACTATTCAGTTAGAAAAAGCCCATATTCTTGCAGACAAGGCTTTTGAAGTTTGATCTCTAGACATTTTAAGATCATTTCTCTCTATTGCATCTTCTGGCCTAGTCATAGGAGACATTCTTTATCATTCCCTTGACAGGTCCTGCATTTTCATGCCTGCACTCAGTCTCCTCCCTCTACCTACAACACTCCAGCTTTTTTTTCTGCCTGGTGAAATCCTCTCCATGTTTTAAAATCCAGTTCAACTTCTTCTGCTTTGGGAAGCATTCCCCACCTCTCCCAAGGGATTTTTACCTTAGCATAACATTTGATTCATCATGCTGGTCTGTCACTGTCTTGTGACTACTTGTGTCATTTCCACTTACAGGTGATATCTTTCTCTTAACTTGTGAGCCCCTAAAAGGCAGAACATTCTATCCCCTAAACAAGGGACCTATAATACATTAAATATCCAATAGAATTTTAATCCCATCATTCAATTTTTTAAATTAAATCATCTAATTCTCTAATTTTACTTATGGAAACTGAAGCCTAAAGAGATAAGGAGCTTGTCAATCATCAGGGAACAAACCTCTTCCAGAGTACAGATAACAGCTCACTCTTTCCTTATCCACCAGCTCATAAGGGAACAGGGCTGGCATGTTAGAGTCTAGAGTAACAAACCCACCCTTCTTGGCTATTTGCTTAACTTTTTTACTGAAAATCTAACTCCTAACACTGGCAATGGCAGTTTTCCTCAATAACAAAGACTTCCCAGTTTAGAACATATACATATGTAGCTAATAGGAACAGTGAGTAAAAGTCCAACATGATAAACAGGGATGTATGTCAAACTCCTATTCAGTCTATGAAAAACCTACTTATAATTCTTTTTTTATAAATACTTTAAGTTCTAGGGTACACGTGCACAACCTGCAGGTTTGTTACATACAAAAAACCTACTTATAATTCTAACTTTGCTTCCTTAAGTATGGAGAGAAGGAATAGGTCATTTGGAAAATCTGACCAAAAGTGCACATTTCAACACAGTGAAATTCTTTATCCCCCATTGCTACTACCACACCAGGAACTTTCTATATGTGATTATTTAATCCCCAGCCAAAAGCTAGTGGACAATGAAATCTCCACAAAATGTTTTCCCCAGTGAAATGTTCAAACATCAGTTCCACATAAAACCTTTTAATAAAAGCTTCTCATGTAATTTTTCCATGCCAATTTTTTTCAATTATGCCTAAAAATGCCCGTATTTGAATATTCATCATTATGAGTACTGTCCAACAGTTTACATCATTTGACTATGGGATCTTGGGTCAGGGGAGGTGGTAGTTTTGGGTGGCTTTGATTGTGCTGATATTTTCTGCTATCCACTGCTGTTGGATTTTCTCCAAATGAGCAGTTTGCTTCCATGCAAGTTCTTGTGGATTTCTCAGTGGCTCACTATGAACAGCAAAATGAAGCCACAAATCACAAGTGCATTTTTGATATTTTATGAGTTTTGTCTTAAACCAATTAATAGTAAAGCCTATGGTGGTGGCAACAACCATAAAGGACATGGTGGTGTTGCACAACAACGTGAATGTACTTAATGCCACGTACCTGTACATCTAGAAACAGTTAAAATAGTAAATTTTATGTTATGCATATTTGACCCCCCCACACACACACACACACAAAGGTCAACTTATAGAAGCTTGTCCCAACCCCTGAATCGTGACAGAGGGAGAAAAATCAAATGATGTTCTACATTGACAGAGCAAATGGCTTTTACTTTCCATCCCAACAGGCCTTTTAACAAGGCTCTCCACCTTGCTCCTTTCCTCCAAAAAGTGGAAAGAAGAAAAGGAACTACTGTCAAATGAAATGTAAATCACAGAACCATAACCCTTTGAACACAGATCGGATTCTAATGTCACCCGTTACTCAACCTCCAGTCTCTCAGTTGAGTCCCTCCCAACTCCTTTCACAAGAACAGTGAACAGGTGTCCAGTATGACTCTGGATGTGTTTAAATTCTAGACAACTGTCAGAGTAATCCCCTATAGAACTGTTCTTTCAACTTTGAAGTAGGTTATGAAAAAGCTCTAAGATAACAGATGAGGAACTGAGAGTGCGGCGCAAACACGAAGGAGATTCATCAGTGAGCCGACTGGTTGTCTTTCGAGTTCCTAAAAGACATCACGTGGAGCGCTTAGTTTGGAAAACTCTGGAGAACAGAAAGAAGTTGAGCCATTGGGAAGAAGTTACGAAAAGGCAGAGTTTCACGCAGTTTTGAAAGACACATAACCATCTGGAAGGAGAAGGCCATTTATCCACCCAATTAAACTTCCGATTTACACAACTGCCCTGGAGATGTTCCATGGGAGGCAAACGATGTAGACACCTGGGGGTGCAGTCTAGGGCCAAGCTCAAAAGGAGCACACTGAAAGGGGAGAAGGTGCATGCAAATCATCCTGACCTATGGGCAAGGAGAGGAGCAGCAGGGGAAAATGGAGAGCTAGGGAAAGAAGGCGCTTACCAGGCCACCTCCACAGGTGCTGAAAGAAGCCAGCGAGCCAGGGTGCCGCAGCACAGCTCCGGTGTAGAAGCAGCCTGCGTCTGGTGGCGCGGGAGGTTGCGGGGCGGATGCTGCCCCCGTGGGGCCGGGGCCGGGATTTGGCCGCTGTTCCACTGCGAAGCGCGGCGCCAGGAAGCGGCCGTCTCTCCGGAGCAGCAGGTACAGGTCCCGAGAGAAGGCCGGGATCCGCAGCAACACTTCGTCGCCATCCGGCTCGGCATGCTGGGCCGGGGGCGGGGACGGGGGCGGCTGCGGGGGAGGCGGCGGCTGCCACGAGGCCGGGGCGCCCGGGGACAAGGCGGCAGCCCCGCTGGATCCCCGCGGCAGCTCCTGCGACTCGAGCTCCTCGTCCTCCTCACCCTCCGACGGCGGCGGGGGCCGGAGCCGGGACTCTGATCGGCCCTCCACGGGCTCCTCCAAAGGCACCGGAGCCACAGAGCGCACCTCGCGTGAGCTGCCGGCAGCCTGCGCCCGGGCGCTTCCGCCGCCCCCAACGCCGCGCACCCAGCCCGGGTCCGCGCTGCCCCCGCTGCCGCCAGCCGGGTCCACCGGCTCCCGGCGCCAGAGCGCAGGAAACACGACTTCCCACTCCTCGCGGTCGGGGGCGAACTGCAGCTCTGCGGGCGGGGCAGACAGAAGTGCGGGGCTTAAAGTGCCGCGGTTCCAGTAGCACAAACATTTCCAAGCTCACAGTCCATAGATACAGGGCGCTCGCGTTGAATGCAATGGAGACCACCCGTCTAGACCCTGAAACTCTGCAACCCCAGAAGCCTTGCGATCAGATTACAGACCCCAGCATTTTCAGAGTAAAAGTACGATTATATTAGGGGCGGGGGAGGGGGAATCAAAGTTTGGTGACCGCACTTCATTGTTGAAAAGAAAACCGATGCAAAGACTCCAGCACGAGTAAACGATTTCTGAAGTGTATGCTAGAGCAGAGCGTTGCTATCAACTTAGGTACGTTCTAATTTTCCTCCAGGTGCTGTAAACGTACCTTTGCAAATATTATTGCTCTAATTAGAAGGAAACTATTCCACATACGGTTAAAACGAGGCCGGCAGAAGTGTGCTTCATTTCCGAACTTGACCCCTTAACCTGCACCTCAAGCTCATTTTTATTGCTACCCACTGAGCCCTGCTCTCCACGCACCGGTTGCACCAGCCCTGCCGACCCGTACGTTCGCGGTCTCCGCTGGGATGGCTGGAAAGGAAGCGAGAAAGTCACGGAAGAACTTACCTGAAACGATCCCATTCGACAGGAACCCCAGCTGGTAAAGGAGGCAGCAGCAGCAGATGTGAGTCAGGCGCATCTCGCGGTTCTTCCCCATACTGCGCTCCCGCGGCCGCGGCTTCTCGCCCGGCGCACGCCTCCAGCGCGATCCACTCCGGGGCGCAGCGGCCTCCCCGGAGCGCTAGGAGGCCGGGCGGCGAATTTGCCCAGGCCCTTTGTCTGCCGGGGGAGGGGGTGTTGGGGTGGGGGGGTAGGCTGTGTGACTCCGGGAGGCCGCCGAAGCCCTGGCGGGGGTGGGGTGGGGTCGGGTTGGGGGAGGAGCGGGGGAGGCAGCCCCGCGGCCCCGCAGCCCTCGAGCTCCCTGGCGAATTAGGAGATGAGTCTATTTTCTGTGTTCTGGACGCTGCAGGAGTTTCCGAGGCCGAGCAGGCTAGTGCTGGAGCCCCACAAGACAGACCCACAGCCAGCCGAGAGCCGGGAGTGCTGCCTCTGGACAGGCAGAGGACTGCCCGGCGCGGGCAGGAGAGCTGTGGTGTCCGAGCCGAGGCTCGCCGCCTGCACCCGCGCGGAACGGGCGGAGGCTGGTGTCACAGTCTCAGCAACTTGGTGTGCCAAGCTCCGCACACTCCTCACGCTCCTTAGGACGCACCGCTGAAGGCTCTCACCCGCAGCGGCGCGGGAGGGAATGAGTAGGGAGATGGGAAGACACGACTAGAGAGGTGGGTTGTAGAGCAGAAAAGAATCAAGCACATCTGACCAGAAAAAGGGACCAAGGGGTGCCCGCCAAGCGTGACTTTGCGGGACAAAGGTCCCAGAACACCGTGCACGTGCTCAAACGCCGGTTGGGATGGGGTGGGGACCCAAAATCCCTCACCTGACTATTGATTGGCCACTCGGGAAGGCCTGATTTGCATCCATCCCCTGCCCCCGTGTGCAGGTAGAGGTGCCTCCCCCTTCCCATCCCACTCCTCAATCCAGCGCCTCTTTTTGTCAAATTCGCACATCACACAAGGCAAAAATTAGTGCAGACTTGACCACAAAACTGAGGCCTCATTTATCAAAGGCCTTTGATTTGTCTTCCCATCTTTTTCGGAATTTTCTAAGCCCGGAGATAATGTAATTCGTCATGGAATATGCTTTAAAGTTTCCCAGGACAGTAGGCACCCTTAGGTTTCAGAGCCTCTTTTCCTTCCTTGTCTTTCTAGCTCCCCATTCATCAGTACTATCAGTTTCTCTCCTTCCCCTACCCCACCCCATTACACACACACACACACACACACACACACACACACACACACGAGTCCTAAAAGGAGTAAGAGTAAGGGAATCAACATTAAACATTATATTCTAAAGATCTCAGACCAGGTGAGATTATTTTGTCTTCTGTACTTTTTACTTGTACATAAAAAAATATGTTTTTGCTGTTTCTGTCCTCTTTGGGGCAATTCAACCCCATATATTTTTTTTTCCTTTGTTGCAATTCTCTTCATGGTACCTACTCCCCTTTCCACAACTCTCCCTCAGCCACATCAAAGCGTTCACATCCGATTTAAGGATGATTGATCTGAACTGCCATTTGCATCCTCTGGACTAGGCCAGACACCTAGAAATGATAATTAATGCAAATCAGTTTTTTTTTTTTTTAATTCCAGAACTGAGGTTGGTTCACCACTTCCTTTGTTATTTTACCTTCTGTTCCTTGTGTCAAAGGTGACTACTATGCCTTTAAGGGAAGCAGACGATCTTATTTCAAAGGAAAGCCATTGTTTGAATTAGCTGAGTCCTATAATACTTTCTTTGAGTTGTCCAGAGTTTAGAAACAAAGGCAAAAACACTCAAGGTGACTTTGTCAAGAGTGATCTGCCTCTAAACGCTGTCTTATAAAATCTCTAATGCTGGAGTAACTAACATGTGGGTTTCCAGATGCTCAAGAAATATCTGGGTTACTTAGAAACCTAAATGCTTTTTTTCATGAGACTCAATTTTACAGATTTAAAGCTAGGCAAAAAATCAGAGGCAGTTTATTTTTTGAGTATAGCAAGCTATTTAGATTGAAAGCTAATTTCAATGAAACACCTCCAGTAGGAGATGAGTCTTAACACGTTTCTCACACATATTTTAACAACAACAACAAAAAGCAGAACTGAAGGAATAATGCATATTAAATTGTATATATTTATTAGAGTACATTCATGATTTTTTAAAACCAAATGAGTTGTATAACTAAGTTAAATATACTCAGAAGCACAGCTTACCAATGTAAGTTTGCATTGCTGCCTTTTTTTCCCACTAATATATAATCTTTACCAATCCTTCATGGTAAAGGTTAATATTGTTATGGAAAGATTTGTCTAATTCCCAGATAACTCTTCTCTTTTTTCCCTTTTGAAATACTGTTATAATTTATTTACATATTTTAGAGACATTTATAAGTCATTTGGGTTTTAATGACTTATGTACTTATTTCTCCTACTAGACTATCAATGTTTTTGAAAGGTAGGAATGATTTCTTTTATATATCACCCTGACTAATTCAAGGATTTACACTGAATAGGTTCAGAAATTATCAGGAAATTCTCTCCAAGGTGCTTTAGAAAGTGATAGAAATTGATTTGTCTATGGTATTTTGTTCCAATTTGAATTCCTTGATCAGGAGTTGCAACACTAACTCTGCTGGTGATTAGCAACTATCAACATGACTTATCTGGTTTACAGAAGGAACAGGCCTAAGAGAGAAATGTGTGGGGAATTTTTGTGCTCTAGGAGAGACTTAGATATGCAAGTGAGAGCGTCCGTTAAAGTGAATTCAAGTACCTATGTATATAAAAGAAAGAACTAGCCTAATTTGGAATTGAGTAAACTGTGTGTGGTGAAATAGAGAAGAAAAGGCAGGACTGAGGCATGTGTGTGCATTACCAACCTTAGAGGAAAGAAAAGAGCAGCTGGGAAAAATATGTTGGTAAGACAGATCACTATATATGTCACCAGATGGTAGCTAGCACCAATAGAGCACTGCTTTTGTGTTCTCAGAATAAGGACAGAAGGAGAAGAGGTAAATGACAAAGCATCAGAGTAAGTGGAATCAACTGTTTTGGTGCTGATATTGCCATTTATAATCCAGGCTTCTCCATATAGAAAGTTGGCCTTGATGCTGTCAAATCTCCCTTATTCTCTTCACTCACTGGTACTAAGCCCCTCACAACCTAATCTTACCCTAGGTTAAAATTAACCTAAGCTAATCTTAAATCCACCCGCCCTCCCCCAACCAAATTCTTAAAATCTTGAGAAAATACAAAGAACCCTTTCACTGAGTTCCATGAAGATACCAACTCCCAGTAGAACTCACATCTAAATTGACATCAAGTCCTAAGCTAGTTCTGGCCATAATGGAATTACAGGGACCATAGTTAACTCTCACCTTAGGAAATTAGAAAACATAATAAAAGTTTTTAGACATTGGACAACAGGCAGCCTAGGGTTATGACTTAGGAGAGAAGAGAAGTAAATGAATTGATCACTACAATTTCCCCAGCTTACAACCTGGAGGCAGTTTCAGGACTTAACACAGAGAGAAGAAAGCCAAACAGAGCCCTGAAGACAAGCTGAGTTGAGGAGGCAGAGAAGGAGGCTAGAATTTATAGGGCAGAGTATCAGAAAGGAGGGAACTACACAGAGAGTGAATCAGTTATCTATTGCTACATAACAACCTTAGCAGTTTAAAACAACAAACAATTTATCATCTGACATAGTTTCTGAGAGTCAGGAATCGAAGCCTGGATAAGCCCAGGTATTTCTGATTAAGGCTGTCTCTCAAGTTTGCAGTCAAACTCTTGGCCAGAGCTATAATTTCAGCAGACTTAACTGGAAGAAGAGGTTCTGCTTTCAAACTCACTTGGTTATTGACAGGAAGCTCAGCATCTTGCTACACAGGTTTTCCCATAGGGGCTGCTCATTACATGCATTCCCCCAGAACAAGTGATCTGAGAGAGAGAGCACCCAAAATATAGCCATGGTCTTTTTAAACCTAATCTTGAAAGTGACATACCACCACTTCTATCATATTCTCATCATAAAAAACAAGTCACTAAGTCCAGCCAACATTCAAATGGGGAAATATCAAAGAATTTGTGGACATATTTTTAAAACCATCATTGTCTGCCTTGACCATAAATTACTAGAGAACTTCAAAAAGTATGTGGAAAATGGAAGTAAAAGGCAAAAATAAAAAAAATATAAACTTTATTTCTCAACATAAGCTCCATCAAGTTCAAGACACTTTTGTAAGCCATGATACTAGCCTCTTACCCCATCCCTGAAGAACTGAAAGCTGTGGGGTATTTACCCATGTCAATGCAGTCTTTTTTACATTATTAACTGAAGGAAATTGAATGCCTTTTGAAGATTAAGGTTAGAAAATAAAGTCAGAAGAAGCCAAATCAGGACTTGTAAGGTGGATACCTAATGATTTCTCATCAAAACTCTCACAAAATTGCCCTTGTTTGATGAGAGGACTGAGCAGGAGCATTGTCATTTGGAGAAGGACTCTGGTGAAGCTTTCCCAGAGATTTTCTGCTAAAGCTTTAGCTAGCTTTCTCAAAGTACCCTTATAATAAGCAGATGTTATTATTCTTTGGCCCTCCAGAAAGTCAACAAGCAAAATTCCTTGAGCATCTCAAAAACTGTTGCCATGACCTTTGCTCTTAATTGGTCTGCTTTTGCTTTGAATGGACCACTTCCCCCTCTTGGTAGCCATTGCTTTGATTGTGCTTTGTCTTCAGGATTTTACTGGGGAAGCCACATTCCATTTCCTTTTGCAATTCATCAAAGAAATGCTTCAGTGTTTTGGTACCACTGATTTAAAATTTCCATTGAAAGCCCTGCTATTGTTTGTAGCTGAGCTGGGTGCAATGGTTTTGGCAGCCATCAGGTGGAAAGTTTGATCAATTTTAATTTGTTTGGTCAGGATAATGTAAATTGAACCAATTGAGATGTCTCTAATATTCGCTATGACAAAGAGAGGAAGGGAGAATTCTGGATGTTTTCTGGAAGAACTTTGAATTAATTGTCTATGTTCTGATTTCTACATGTATGTGAAGAAACCACCTACAGCATAGGGTGAGTGGTGGGACGGGGAGGCATAAAGCGTTAAAGGCCAAAGAATACTCCAAATGTGATGAGTTCCAACTGGCTAGAGTGGAAGGTCATCATAATACAAGGGGTACTAGATAATGTTCTTAGAAAAGCATCTGCTTAGTAATAAAATTAAATTAGCCTTGTAATTAAGGTTTCATGTGGGCCTATCTCAACAAGGCTTAAAAGATAGCTGCAAAATGGTTCATCTGTTTCCTAGTAATTTAATTTCCTGCTAGAACAAGGTCCATTTTACTTAATAATTATTATTATATATATAGATATATACTTTTTCATTTAGACAGGGTCTCACTTCATTGCCCAGGCTGGAGTGCAGTGGCTCAATCATGGCTCACTGCAATCTTGACCTCCTGGGCTTAAGCAGTCCCTTCACCTCAGCATCCTGAGTAGCTGGGACTACAGGCATACACCACCATGCCTGATTAATTTTTGTATTTTTGGTAGAGATGGAGTTTTGCCATGTTGCCCAGGTCGGTCTCAAACTCCTGGACTCAAGCAATCCACCTGTCTCAGCCTCCCAAAGGGCTAGGGTACAGGCATGCGACACCGCACTTGGCTAGGAATAATAATATTTTAAAACAACAACAACAACAATGTAAAGTTTTCATTCTCTGGAAATCCAATTATAAATTCCAAGCATGGGAAAAAAATGACTCATAACAAGGAGAAAAGTCACTTAGTAAAAACAGATCCAGACATGACAGAAGTAATAAAATAAGCCAACAAAAACATTAAACAGCTATTACAGATATGCTGTAAATGTATATGAAGATAGAGGAAAGCATGAACCTGATCAAGAGTGACATAAAAAGACCCAATTTGAAATTATAGAGATGGAAAATACAATATTTTACATGAAAAATGTACTGGGTGGTATTGACAGCAGATTAGATACTGCCAAAAAAAGTATCTGTGAACTTGAAGACATAGCAAAAGAAACTAACTATCCAAAGTGAAGCACAGAAAGAAAAAGATAAGAGTTGACTTGAGTGTTGGTGAACTGTGGGATAATAACGAGATATCTAATATATAAGTACTTGGAGTTTTAGAAGAAGAGGAGAAATGGAAATGGGAAGAGAAACTATTTGAAAAAATAATGGCTGAAAATTTTCCAAATTTGATGAAAACTATAATGTATACATGCAAGCATAACATACTTAATAAAACTTTGCCAAGGCATATCTTAAGCAAATTGCTAAAAACAGAAAGGAAATAGAAAATGTGAAAAGCAGCCAGAGGAAAAAGACAGATTATCTATAGAAACAAAGTTAAGAATGACAGCAAACTTCTCCTCAAAACTTATGCAAACAAGAAGACATATACAGTCATGTACCTCATATAAGCATATTTTAGTCAACAGCAGAACACATATATGACAGTGGTCCCATAATATTATATCATATTTTTAATTCACCTTTCTCTGTAGGTATGTTTAGATAAACAAATACTTAGGATTATTTTACAATTGCCTACAGCGTTTAGTATAGTAATATGCTGTACAGGTTTATAGCAAAGGAGATATAGGCTATACCATACAGCCTAAGTGTGTCATAGAATACATCATGTAGGTTTGTATAAGAACACTCTATGATGTTTAAACAGCAATTAAATTACCTAATGATGCATTTCTCAAAATGTATCCTCTGCTGGGTGCCATGACTCATCCCTGTAATCCCAGCAATTTGAGAGGCCAAGATGGGTGGATCACCTGAGGTCAGGAGTTCAAGACCAGCCTGGCCAACATGGTGAAACCACGTCTCTACTAAAAATATAAAAAATTAGCCAGACATGGTGGCGGGTGCCTGTAATTCCAGCTACTTGGGAGGTGGAGGCAGGAGAATCGCTTGAACCTAGGAGGCAGAGCTTTCGGTGAGCTGACATCACGCCATTGCACTCCAGCCTGGACAACAAGAGCCAAACTTCATTTCAAAAAATAAATAAATAAAAATGTAATTTTTCATCAATAAGTGTTGCATGACTGTATGTAGATATTCTCAATAAAATCCTTTAACAGATACATAGTTTGTAAATATTTTGTCCTAGTTTGTAGCTTGCCCTTTATTTACTAAATGATATCTTAAAGAGCAAAAGTTTTTAATTTTGATGAAGTCCAATTTATTAATTTGTCCTTTATAGAATGTCTTTCTGGTTTTCTAAGAAGTGTTTCCTAAGCCAAGATCAAATCCTTTTCTCCTACTTTTTTTCTAGATCTAAAATTTTTACTCTTAATTTTAGGACTATTATCCATTTTGACCTAATTTTGATAAATGAGGTAGGATAAGCATCAAGGTTCATATTTTTGTATATAGATAGCCAACATTATTAGTAACTAGGACAATGCACGTTAAGTGCAAATTGAACCCACAAGGAGACAACACTACACACCTATTAGAGTGAATAAAAATTATCTACATTACCAAATGTTTGCAAGGGTGTGGAACACCTGAAACTCTCATGCATTGTTCATGTGAAAGCATTAGCATAGACACTTTGGAAAACAGTTTGACAGATTCTTATGATTCTTAAATATACATTTACCCAACAACTCACCAACACAATTCCTAGATATTTACCCAAGAAAAATTAATGTAGGTATACACAAGACTTTCATGTGAATTTTATGTCAGCTTTATTTATAATGGCCCCAAACTAAAAACCTATATGTCAATCAACTGATGAATAGATAGACAAATTGTAGTAGATTGCAGAACATAAGTCAGCAATGAAAAGAAAAGAACCATTGATGCATGCAAAAATGGATGAATTGCAAAAGCATTATTCTAAGTGAAAGAAGCTTCCCTTTATATGAAAGTGGAGAAAAGATAATACTGAAGTAATTAAAGCAGTTCAGTCCCAGGAGCTAGGGATGGTCTTGGGGGCAAAGAGGGAAAAGGGCTATGAGGGAACTATTTTAGGTGATAAAAATCTTCTTTATCACAATTAAGGTACTCATTACACAACTGTATATATTTTTCACAAATCATTCAAATAGTACACTTCACAATGGTTAAATGTTTTGTATATAAATTATATCTCGATGACTCTATTTACAGAAAGACTTAAGCTAAATATGTGACACTCTCAGTGTTTCATTTTTAGCCATTAGTGACTAAATGTTAAGGGAATAGGGACCTTCCTCAAGATTCCACAGGTAAGTGAGAGTCACTATCATCCACCCAAATGCTCGAACCATGAACCTAAGAAGCCGTCCTTGACTCATGCTTTTTTTTTTTTTTTTTTTTTTTTTGAGACGGAGTCTCACTCTGTTGCTTAGGCTGGAGTACAGTGGCGCAATCTTGGCTCACTGCAACCTCCACCTCCTGGGTTCAAGCAATTCTCTGCCTCAGCCTCCTGCGTAGCTGGGATTACAGGTGCCCACCACCACACCAGGCTAATTTTTGTATTTTTAGTAAAGATGGGGTTTCACCATCTTGGCCGGGCTTGTCTTAAACTCCTGACCTCAGGTGATCCACCTGCTTTGGCCTCCCAAAGTGCTGGGATTACAGGCGTGAGCCACTGCACCCGGCCAACTCATGCATCTTTTTATCACTCACATCCAACCAGTCAAGTCATGGGTTTTTTTTTTTTTTTTTTTTTTTTAAGTTCTGGGATTCATGTGTGGAATGTGTAGGTTTGTTACTTAGGTTTACGTGTGCCATTGTGGTTTGCTGCACCTATCAACCCATCATCTAGGGTTTAAGCTCCGCATGCATTAGATATTTTTCCTAATGCTCTCCCCTTGCCCCCCAACCCACAACTGGCCCGATGTGAATTGTTCCCCTCCCTGTGTCCGTGTGTTCTCTTTTTCTTTTCTTTAGCTCCTAAATTCCTCACCTCTCTCTAGTGCTTCTAGCACTAAGCTGATGCAGTCATCTTTCCGTGGTACCACTGCAACACTTTGTTAACCTTTCTCCTGCTTCCACTTTGCTCTACCACATTCCAATCTTTACTCTGTGGCCACAGTGATCATTTAAAATGAAAATAATATCCTCTGATTAAAATCCTCCAGTCATTCTCTAGTTACTCTCAGGACAAAATTCAAACTCCTTAACAAAATCTAAAGGCCCTGCGTGATCCCAGTCCTTTCGTATTTTCAGTCCCATCACATTCTATTCTTCCCTTTTGGATTTTTCTAAATTCTTATAGCATACTATAGTTTTTCCTGTCTCTGTGTATACATTACCATTTCCTCTAATGGAAACATGTCCCTTCTCATCCTGTAGATTAACAATGACAACTCCTCCTTATTCTTCACATACCTTTCTTCTTCGCAAGCATCAGAAGTACCAAGTTAGGTCTCATTGCTGCTTTATGTCATTATAGCACGTGGTGTTTCTATTCAGTCTTCACTGATATAGCATCTATTTATATTAGGCTGGTGCAAATGGCACCAAATGGCAAAAACTGCAATTACATTTGCACCAACCTAATAATTGTCATTTCAATATATGACTTTGTCCTACCCCCTCACCATCCCAAAATTCTGCTCCCTAGATGCAATCACTGTTTTGTGCCTTCCAGACTATTATGAAAGAAAAATGTATTGACGAGTGTCAGCATAATAATATATGACACACAAAATTAAAAGATAGAAATATATATAGGCTTCCCTCTCTTTTGCCTTCTAATGGACATGTTAAATCCCCCCTGCTCAGCACCTGGGCCAAGTAATGGGTGAAAAGAATGAAAGCTGGTCTTTCAAATCCTATTAGTATGAAGAGCAATATTTTTAAATGAAAATAAAAAAACTGGGAAGGAAGGAAAAAGAACAAGAAAGAAAATAGTCTGTGAAAACTGAGTTTTGAGAGTTTTATTGAAATTTTCGAGAAAGTAATACAAAATGTTGTAGGGGCAACCTCTATGCAGTGATAAAAGGGCTTTGGAAAAAGTGATAAATAAAAGAGATTATTACAAAGTTTTGTTATGAGTTATGCATATATGCATTTAAGGCATATGAAATTTATTTCTATTCTTATTGGGACAGGAGGAGGCATGTGGGACTTGTGTTTTATTTCTGAGCGTAGCACATGGCTGTCTCAGGTTTGTTTGGGTTACATATAAAACTCAATATAGGAATTTGTTCTGCCTAAATAGGTATTTAAGATCCTCTCAATAGTAAAAGAGGTCAAGATTAAAAATCTAAAAATGAGAATCCCCAACCTTCAAAACAATAAAGTATGTTATTCTCAAAGCAGTAAAGTATGTTATAATAAAGTTCTCTGGCTTTATGAAAATATAAGGCCATATTTTAGGCCTTTCCACATACCACTTAGATCTTATATACAGGAATTTCATTGCTACTGAAAGTTTCACTCATAATTTACACAGAACCGTTGAGACTCCAATTCCAAGATTAAGAAATACTGATCCAGGGCCAAGAGCTCCCTGCTTGGACTTTTCCATTGCATTCCTTTGAGCTGCATCCCACTGAGTACCAATGATCATCACTATAATGATCATTACCTGAAGACTTAAAATCACTGTGTCTGACACAAATCTTAAGCTTCTTGCATTATACAATGTGATACCTTTCTCCCAGTTAGCAAGATGCTTAATTCCAACACTATTTGTAGTGTCAAGTCTTAGAAGGAATGCCCTCATTTGCTAAATAATCAATAAATGTTTATTGGATAATTGAATGACTGAAACTAAAGACAATGCCATCCATATCCATGTCACTGTTTTCCCAGAGGTAAGAGGTTGACTCACATGAGACTGATATAGGCCTTTTTTGTTTACAGTTCTATGATTATTTCAGGTATTCAAAATGTGTATGTGTGTGTGTAAGAGACAGAGAAAGAAACAGAGACAGAGAGAGACAGAAGGGTGAGTAAAAATGGTTATCAGAATTATTCTTAGACAAAAAGGGGTCCATTGGCAAAGAAAAAAAGTTTGAACAGTACTCCCTTTATTTGTTGACTAGAGATGGGAAGGTAACCATTAGCATGAAATGAAAATAGAATTTAAAGTCGATAGGATATTGTGACATTTGATTTGTTAAGGTTTTGGCTGACCACTATTTGACCTCTTTTCTCATTATGTGAATCCCACAGATGAGAATTATGGGAATCCCCTTCCCATGTTATGTATTATAGGAATCCCACAGGTAAGAATTGTGCTGGTTTGGGGTGGTAAATGGGGATTGATTTCCACTAGAGTATTATAATAGTCTAGGTTTTCATTCTCATTATCTACTGGGGTACAGGTTTATGACCTCAGCTAATAGAATGTCCATAGGTGGCAAATCTGAAACAAGTAACACAAAGGTAAGAGCACTTTAGATTTCCTCTCAACAGAATTGTCCAGGGATTGTGGTGGTGATGGTGCCAGTAGTTTGTTTAGTATCCTGAGACAATGCACCAGCATCTTCACCAGCTGTTCCAGCGGCAGGGGCTTGGCTATAATGACAGCTTCCTGTGGTTTCTCCTTGTTTCACAGCTTGGTTTTTTTTAGCCTTCCATCAATTCTTTAATCTACACAATGACGTCATTCCATTAAACTGTTTTTTGCCAAGGTGAGCCGGAATCCAGTTCTGTTGCTACAAGTAAGAACCATGACTTAGACAAGTTAGTATCGGGGAGCAGGTTGCAGTCAAAGGGACCACAGAAAAATCCAGGGAGTTGTATGTAGTTAGAGTTGGAGGCCAAGAATATTGTTTATATTTATTACTGAGAATCTGTCAGTCCATGACACATCATGACAAAGATTTTCTTTAAATTATTGTCTGCGATCTCCTGGAATTAAATAATGCACTGAAAGCAGAATTATCTGCAACCATATATTTGCCATATAGAATATAAGAATTTTGGGGTCGGGTATCTACTTCTAATGGCCTTACAAAAGGCCAATGAGAGGCCCAAATTTCAAAGTTATCAGCTTAAAGCGCGTGCTGAAACTCACGGGCTTTCTATGAGTGGACTAAATAATCTCTAACTTCCATTCAGTTCAGAACTTCCTTGGTGTATTGGTGAAGAAAAAAATCAAAGGCCAGGAGATTGCGATGCTAGAGAGCATTGATCATATGAAATTTATGACTCTCAAGAAGGTCTAGAAACTACTCCTTTCTCCAAGGCCTTGAGAAATGACAGGAGTTGATGAGAGGCTTATCAGCATATTTAAAAATACACTAGTGGCTCCTCTTTGAGGCTGCCAGTGCTGATATGGGATGCAGTTGAAATGGTCTCCCTGACTCCAATGTGGCAATTAAAATCCTGGGTGACATAGCGGCACTTAATCTCAGAGGCAAAGTAGATTTGTTACTGGCAAGATAATCCAAATGGCCTGACCCACAGAGATTTGGGTGGTTGCTAATATATCATAGGCTTGTTAGAGGCAAAATGAACAGGCAGCTTCCTAGAGCCACCTATTTTTTCTGGGTTAAAAAAACATAAAAACAAAACAGAACAAGAAAACAAAAATATCCTCTAGGTCTGACCACCCATTATAAGAGAAGATAATCGTTTTATTACTGAATTCTCAAGCCTGGCTCAGTCAGATAGTCCACAGGCCCTTGAATGAAGGAAAACCTGGACGGCCCTGAGAAGACCTGATGATAATATTGTAAGTGAACCCTCCTCCTTGCCTGACAGAAGAGAACCTGGTACTACTAAGATCACTTTGCTTTGAGGAGTAGACTACTGCTCAGATCTTTTAGGCCTTATTGTTGCTTACTAGCTCCGAGCACACTAATACCTGAAGACTCAATATCCGTGGCAATTTACATGCTTGGGTGGGGACTTCTGAAAGTCAAAAATGTATTTTGATCTGAGTCTGATATGATAGGCCTAATGAAATCCTGAATCTATACTGTATTCATGATAGTAACAAATATAATCCTCAATATAGCTGAAACACAACAAAAATATATTTTCTGCATTCATTAGGCAATGGTAACAAACAATATAAAGTGGTTCAAACATCATAGAAATTTATTTCACAATTTTGTAACAAACCAGGCAATGTTCCTTATGCTTTAGGAACCAAGCTCCTTTCTTCTTAGGGTTTACTCATCTCCTATAATCTTGTTGTCTGCACCCAGCCTGTGGAAGGGGAAGGCACAAAAGGAAGTAGACCTGTTTTCAAAATACCTTAAAGTGGCACACATAATGGCGGCTCACATTCTTTTGGCAAAATCTGATTACATGGGAGGGTAGGAAATATAAACTAACATGTTCTCAAGGAGAAACGGGAAATGTATTTTGGTAAAAATGTTGCAATCTCTGTCACAATGCTATGTTTTTTCTCCAGTTGCTGAATGCGTACTATGAATAGAAATACTATGGAATTGGAAGATCAGGAGTTTTCCTGACATATAAGGTAAGAACTATTGTGATCAGACACCAAATGTAAACCATTAGAACTCCTTCTCCAAACCAAAATAATAAATCAAAGCAACCCTGAATTACTGAGGAAACCGCAGTGATTAGTGCCTCTGTAAAAGGCTTCAAAGATGCAAGAGTGTTGCCTTTTTTTTTCCACATTCCTACTTAACTCACCTGTGCAGATGACAGATGGCCCTGGAGAATAATAATGGAATGTTGTAAATGTAATCAAAGTTAATTGCTATTCTAGATGTGATTTTTTTTTTTACTTGGGCAAACAAGTATAGCCTCCAATAATTAATACGCAGCTATGGATTTGGGAATTTTTTCTCTTAAACTCTAAAAATCTACAGCAATAGAAACAATTCTGTTTATGGATTTCTCTGAAATTTGCTGTCTTCAACAAACCACTAGTGCGTTGTTGCAATGCTACAGCCGTGTCCAGGATAGTCCTGAAGATCCCCCACGGAATATCAAATCTACACCTTTTTTGTCCACCTGGCTGGAAAGAGGGTTGGTATGAAATAAGTTTCTATACTGATTAATGAACAGCGGTTTATGGTTTCCCAAGGTTGTAAGAAATTAAGAAGGAACCCAATCAAAGGATGCTGAGAAAGAAACCCACATAAGCATTATGCACCTGAACTTTGAAGTGGCCCTAGAGTAGAAGACATTTGTGCCCCATATGCATACTCCTTAAAAGTCCACTCAATAAGTGGACTAAATAATCTCTAACTTCCATTCATTCTAACTTCCCTCTGTTAAAGAGGTGCTCATTCTTAGGTTACAGAGGACAGTACTCTTTGAGGACATCTGCCAGCCTCTTTCTTCACTTATTTGTCTTTGATCAATGAGAGTGCGAGCAAATATCATGGGTGACAATGTATGGAAGCTATTCGTAAACTCTCAAATGTCAGCTTTCCTTACTAAAGTTTACACAGTCTCTATTATGGTGGATTCCCTAATATGCAAGTGACACAAATGTTACATTATCAGGGAATATTTGAATAATCTTTGGTTGGGAAAGCCTTCTGAAATAATATAGAAAAACTAAAAGTCATTAAAAAATATACTTCATTTTAAAAATGTGTGTATTATAACATATCACACTTGAAAAGTAAGAAAAACACATAAAACAAAGTATTAATATCTTTAATGTAAAAAGAGCTCTTATAAATTAGTTTTGAAAGAGCAGTAGTCAAAAAGGAAAGTGGGTAAAGGATAGAATAAGCCATTGAGGGAACAGGAAATGCATACATGAAATAATCACATGAAAAGTTTCCCAACTTCACCATGGAGAATAATATGGATTATAGCCAAAACATCTTGATTTGATTTTTTTTTCACCCATTGAAATAAAATGAATACAGGAGTCAGTGGAAATGAGGATGTGAGAGGTGGGAGTAGTCATACCTTGCTTCTGCAAGTGCGTGCTGAACCCCCTTGGGAAACGGAACTGGCCATCTTTAAAAAAATTAAATGACACATGCTGCTGATTCAGAAGTATTACCTGAAGAAACCCATCTTAGAGATACATAAGTCAGGGCACATAGGGATATTGTACAAGGATGTTTATTGCTCATTGTTCATAGTGGCATGAAACTAGAGGAAAACCACAATATTTGTCAGTAGGTGAATGAATAATTTATGGCTCACCTTATTATGAAAAATTCTCGATTACTTTTTAATAATGGACATTTTCTACTGATATGGAAAGGAGTATAAATTATATCACAATATTTTAATGAATTCACAATGCAGTACACATAGTATTTCCTTTGAGATGTGTGTGTATATGCTTGTATGAGTATGTAGAAAGGAATTGGGGAATAGACAACAAACTGTTGAAACACCTGAAAAGATGGGAATGTATGTTGGGCATCAAAGGGAGCTTGAGGGAGAGGAAAGCTTTTTAAATAATATTTTCTATCGTGTCATTTAATTCTCTATAACTTAAAAAAATCTAAAGAATTTTTAAAGGATAAAATCACAAAAGTGCTCAATGCATCTCTGTTTTTCTTTACTTTTACATAATCGACTCATTAATGTTTATTGAGTGAAAGTGCAAAGAGAAACTCAGTCATTCTAGAACAATTTCCTTGTAAGAGAAGACTTTAAATAATACCACAAATTGTTCAGGAAAAGCTCTTATTTTTTTCTACTATGATTTGGCTGTTAATTATTTGGGCATGTGTTTTAAACCTATGACTGATGATGCCCTTGAGGATTTTTTTTCAGCTTGGGAGACATTTGTTTTAAATTTTTACAATTTAACAAAAATATACTTGATCCATAGAAGAAACTACCCTGGCTGGAATACCTCTTACTACATTAAGGTCACATATGACTATTTAAATTAGAACCAGAAACGTGTGCTTTCCTATTTCTGGAAAGCCTTTCAAATGTTATCTCAGGATAAATAAGCTCATAAAAATTGAAGATAGATTATAAGCTGGATTTTCATCCTAGAAGCATACTTATATGTGCTAGATCTTGGTTTTTGTTTAAATGGCTTTGTGATGGTATAGTTCTCTTCTATGAAGGTAACAATGTATTTCTGTTTATCTAAACAGTAATTAACATCAAACTCATGATTTCCAAATGTTCAATGTCTAATTCTACTCTATATTTATGTGCTTAAATAAAAGATTTGTTTAAAATTATAAATATACATGTGTATGTTTGAGATTACTTCAAACAAAGACTTTAAAAATAACGTCTTAAGGCAAACTCACTTTAGAACAAAATCCACTTCAAATACAATACAGAAAACTTGTTAGGTGAAACAAAGATATCAACGACTGTGAACAAATAGTGTTGTTAACGGGTCTTATTTCCTTCTTTTCTTCTTTTTTGTTTTCCAACTATTATAAAATAGAACCCCTTTACTGACAATGAGATAGGATAATTTTAGTAATTAGTATATTTCATTATTTACCAATGTTTATGAATTTAATGTCAAATTCTTTCTGCAAAAAGTTGTCACGGAGTTTGAGCGATACCGCCTTAAACAATTGTAAAGGACTTTACATGTTATAAATTAGCTCATGAATTATTTAATGTAAACTAGCTATGAGAAACCTGAAAAAAATATACAGTAGGGTATTTATTTTATATAAGATGTTTTACAAGAATAAAGGGGAGGAAATGAAGAGAAAAGAAAGACAAATTTATAGACGGACCTAAGCCCCAAAGCCTAACATTAACTGGTATAGTTTATTCAACTTTCCTTGGCTGTCTAAGTTCTATATTATAGCGTCCCAGGGCAGGGGCTGTGCCTGCTCACTGTCAGCACTTAACAAATTACAAAGAGTATTATTAACAGCAGTACCTGTGGGCAAAACTTGCATGATTATTGTATTTTAACAGCACTATTCCACAGAACATTAATTGAATTGTCATCCAAGTTTTTCTTGATCTTGTCTTATGTGCACTCTGCTGAGTAGAAATGCTTAAACTGATCATTTATACTTTCCAAAATACAGCTTAATGAGAAAGCGATTTAGTAAATTTCTGGAGGCTGTTTTATATCACGTAGAGTATTGTGTTCTCACAGAACAACTTAATTTAACAGAATTCTCCAGGAAGTTTACCTTCGGCTGTAATAGAAAATTATTGCTGCCTGAAAGGTTGCATACTTCCGTGATATGCAGAAATTTATAGAATAAGTAACATTCTTAGTTTCAGACACAAAGGCCTTTCCCGTCTTTGCACCCCAACATGTCTACTCAAAATTGGGCTATATGAAGAAATTAATTCAGCTATTTTGATTAAATTTAATGAAGTTAAAAGGTACATTTTCATATTACACACACAAACACATACACATGTCTTAAACACAACTGAGTCAGTAAAATAACTTTATGGTGGATTTTCTTGTTTTTATTAATTTTATTACTCAAGCAATCCAAACGAGATACTAGTAAGTTAAAAACACTTGATAGGTCAAATCAGTCTGAACTTTCATATTGGTAGAAGTATGAAGTGCTAAATAACTAAATTTCATTTTTAGAGATCTGAAAATTGAAGTTCATAGAACACTTCATCTCTGTTACTGTGTTTTTTATTTCTAGTATTTACATTTGATTTGATTCTTTCCCCATAGTTTGCATCTCTCTGCTAAAATTACCCGTGTTTTCTTACATATTGTATAACTTTTCTATTAGGACCTTTAACATATTAATTATAGTTATTCTAAATTCCCTGTTGGTTATAGCATCTGGGTTACATCTGAGTCTTGTTCTGATAATTACTTTGTATCTTCAGGCTGTGTTTATTCTCAACTTGTCAAATGCCTTGTAATTTTGGTCGGAAGCCAGACATGTTCTATAGCAGAGCAGATTTTGAGGCAAGTGTATTTTATGCTTGGAGGTGAGCATACTTTTCCTTCCTCTACAGCTTTAGTGTGAAAGTTTGTAGTGATCTAGTCAAAAGTTGGGTTTGGGTTGAACTTTGATGTTGCTATGGTCATGCTCAGTGCTTAAAGGCTTTGTATGCCTTTAGTGATACCACATGTTTAGGTGTGGGCTAATTTATTGGAGAGTGCTTCTCAATGTCTGCTTCCTGATGAGAATCTGTCTCTTGCCACTCTCTCAGTTGTGTTCCACTGTGATTTTCACTCAATGTTTGTTACCTAGGTGGTGGGAAGCTGGGAAGGAAGGGTATTCTCTAATGTACTCGTTAAACCTTAGTCTTGGCAGTCTCTATGAGCTTGTGGAGTGTGGCCTTTGCAATCATTCTCATCCCTCTTCTAGCTGTAGTACTGGGACTAGCAAGTATTCCTGCCCCGCCTCCACGTAGAGCTTTTAATTTTATTTTTTAAATTCCCTTTTCCTAGTTGCAAGGGGTTTCTAGTGCCTTAAGGTGACAATTGTTCTTTCTGTTTCCCCTGAAGATTATGGCTTTTTTCTTTAAGGAAGATTGGTGAGATGGGTCTGTTTGGAATTTCTAAGAGGGGCAATTGTTCCTCTCCCCCAGGTGACTTTGCTAGGGAAGCTTTCTCAGGATTTCCCTTAATCTTCACCTTGAACACGTGCTGGGATTCAGGGAGGACAAGCTGCAGCTCCCAGAAGCTACACATTCTGATGCCAGCCATGTTTGGTCTTTGGCAATTTGTTAGAACATTTTCACTGCATCTTCTTATTACATTATATAGCATCTGGTTGTGTATGCGCCAGGTAAGCAAAGGCTTTTTTGCTCTTAAGTTGGTCATTTGGTCTTTTGCAGTATTTGGTGAGATCCTCTGCCAGTAGATTGATCACTCTGTATATCTTCAAACAGTGACGCTAGCTGAGACCCTGTATACAGGAAAGACAAACCCAAACTCTGAATGTCTATTCTTTTGATAACTAACTGCTAGCCTTTCCAAATTTGGTCAATAAGCCACCACCTGGTCAGTGGGCTCCTCAAGGAATGGTGCCAAAATGGGGATTCAATGTTGGTCTTCATTATTATCTGTTTGGACATTTGACATTGGCCTTAGGTAGGTCATCTAGTAGGAGCACATGCTGTTGGGCACAGAGATGGTCTCCACATCTGCCTTTCAGGCCACTTTGTGCATATGCCCATTGTGCCAGCACTGGAGTGACCAATGATATGGGCTGGCTGACACCACCAGCTGGATCCTTTTAAATTCATGCCTCTTTTATGGGGGATGTTCTGTCATGGGTGTTAACATATGATGTAACAATATTCACACTGTGCTGCTTCCATATGTCCATCCATATGCCTCTATCTCATACCTCCTGTAGCTTTCTTTCCAATCTTTTCCTTTCCTTTTTTTCCGTGTCAAACATCCAAAGCATTTTCCACTGCCAGTGAGTCTTCAGGCCTTTTTTTCTTTTTACACAGTGTAGATGACCAGACATATAATTTGAAGCTTTGTTAATTAACAAAGTTTTTCCTACCTATTGTCCCCACTGTCTCAGGGCACCCCTGCATTAGGCTGTAATTCAGCTACCATCCATTATGCACCCATACACTAAGTCAGCCCCCAAACAACCTTAGGCGTGATCTGAGGGAAAGCTGCTGGTACAACAGTGGTGGGTGCCAGGGGAATTGGGGCTACTTTTCATAAGCTTGTAGGATTTGTGGTGTTAACTTGACTAGGTTGAAGTTAAAATGAATAGGTTGAATTGTTTGTTTTCAATGTTTCAATAGGCACTGAGCCCATTCTGCTTCTGCTGAAAGGGAAACCCAGGTAGTTTTACTTTTGATTAGAATGATTAGACTGCCCCAGGTGTGTCTGTGAAGGTGTTTCCAGAGGAGATTGGTGCGTGTCAGTGGATTGAGTGAGGAAGATCCGCCCTCAATGTGGGCAGGCACCATCCAATTGGCTGGGGGACCAGATGGATTGGAGAGAGAGGAAGGGTGAGAATTTCTCGCACACTCTCTCCTAGAGCTTGGCAGTGCTTGTCTGTCCGTGGATGTCAGAGCTCTAGGTCTTCCACCTTTGTACTCTAGGACTCATACCAGCAGTTCCTAGGCTCTCCAGCCTTCAGCCTTGGACTGAGAATGTTACCACCAGCTTCCCTGATTCCCAGGCCTTCGGACTTGGTCTGAACCACACTACCGGCTTTCTTGGTTCTTCAGCTTCCAGATGGCCTATTGTGGGATTTCTCAGCCTCTGTAATTGTGTAAGTCAATTCCCCTAATAAGATCCTTTTCATAGATCTCTCACTGTATCCTATCGGTTCTGTCTCTCTGGAGAACACTGGTTAGAACAGATTGCTTTGGCTTCATATTGCTCAAGCTTGTTCCCAGATGTTGCACTTCAGAGTTATGATGAATTTTGCTGCAACTGCCCAACTTATAAGTGGGTGGGTCTGACAAGATCCAGCTCATGATGAGCTACTATGGCTGTGGGCTATTATTTACTTAATGTCCTATAGTCAGGTCCTCCATCTCTACCAGGAAGGACTTATATACCAGTGGTTGTTTCTGAAAATACATGTATAATTCTCATTGCAGATGGCACGTCCATGCCTACAGCCTCACAGGTCTTCACTAGTGTTCTCCCAAGGGGCTTTGCCACAAACTATACATAGCTTCTTTTTGCACCATGGATACCTCCAACACTATAGGGTCTGCTGGGTCATATGGCCTAAGCTTGAACCTGCTGTAGAAGCCTTTCCTTCTCTGAGCCTCATTCAAATTAAGCAGCCATTTGCATCACCTGGCATATGAGCTGGAGCTTTACCTCCAGGTGTGCTATTTGCAGCCTCTAAAGCTCCAAGGGGCCCACCAGGTGTTATGCTTCCTTCTTTGTGGTAGAACCTGCAAGAGTCAATTTATCTTTTTAACATGTTTAAAAGATGTCCTAGTATGCTCCTGATCAATGAACCCCTACAATTTTGCAAGTTTGTTAGGCATAGAGTTTATGTTCTGCTCTCTGGAGCTCACATGACTTACAAAAGATTCAGGAATACTGGTAACTTTTTGCTCGTCTGACCTGATCAACATGAATTATCACTGTAATAGATCAATGTGATGTTGTGGAGGATGTCCAGAAAAATTGAGACTTCTTTGTGATGTATTCTGACAGGGGGCTGGAGGGATAATACAGTTCTGGGGTAAAACTCTAAGTCCATATTGTTTATTTCATGTGAACACAAAGTGTTTATGATCTTTCTAATTGAAATAGAAAAGAACATATTTGCTCCTAGATTGTAGCTGAGAGGATCTGGAGCTGATAATCACGGCCTCTTCAAAAACTTCTGTGGGACAGAGGCTAGAAAACCTGTCCCATTGGCACAAATGGATGTGTCTCCCAGAAGTTCACTGTTTGTCAAGATTGCTCTCAGGCTGTAGCCAAGAGGGTGGAAGCTGAGCTTCAGGGCCCCTTAGGGATCTGCTGTGGAATGGAGGTTGGCATGCCTCTTATGGTGGCACAGATAGGTGAGTCCATCAGTTCTCTGGATGGGAGAGATTACTCGCAGCACAGAGCAGGTGAGTCTGATACCAGGCCCTTCAGGATCTGCTGTGAGACAGAGGCGGGGAAGCCTGCCTGGGGACTCAGTTGGGCAAATCTGGCAGATCTCTATACCTTCCTGATAGTTCCCAGACTGCAGCAACAGGGACTGGATCCAAGACAGGGCCATTTCAGGATGTGGGGTGAGATAGAGCAGCATATTGTCTTTGTGGCACAGAAGGGCAAATCTTTCTTGGGGTCCTTGTGTGAGTCGTACTAAGCTGGGACCACAGACAAAGGGGGCAAAAGTCAAGTTACACAGAAACTTTCAGGTCTGTTTCCAAGACTGAGGCATTAGTGTATGTGCTTTCTCCTGGACCCCTTGTGGATAGTGTTGGCAGCAGGCATAAGGCCAAACAGGGCATGGAATGGGGCCATTTTCAAGTCTGAACCCAGGAGCAGGATTAGTATGTCTGCCACCTGGATGCAGGTCTGCACTCTTTTTTGTTTTTGTGTTTTGAGATGAAGTCATTCTGTTGCCCAGGCTGGAGTGCAGTGGGACGATCTTGGTTCATTGCAACATCCACCTTGCAAGTTCAAGTGATTCTCCCGCCTCAGCAGCTAGGATTACAAGCATGTGCCACTATGCCTTTTTTTTTTTTTTTTTTTTTTTTATGGAGTAGAGACAGGATTTCACCACGCTGGCCAGGCTAGTCTAGAATTCCAGACTTCAAGTGATTCTCCCACCTCAGCCTTTCAAAGTGTTGGGATTTCAGGTGTGAACCACTGTGCCCAGCCAGGTCTCTACTCTTAAAATGACCCTCCTAGGTCTTGGGATCCACTGAGGTTTCATGATTTCTTACCTGAATCCCAGGCTCTCACAAAAGACTTGTTCATGCACCAAAGTAGACTTCTTATTGCTGTGGGGGTTATACAACCAAGTGACCTCCTATTCTGCCACCTTGCTCAAGAAGCCTGAAGTCTCCTTTTTTAAAAAAATAATAATACAGCTATATTCAATTTCTGCCTTGAGGTATATATTGTTTTCTTTTATATATATTTTTTATTTCTATATATTATATATATATACACATACATATAAAATATATATTTTTAAATCCCCTTAATTTCAATCTTTTGATTTAGAAGTAGCATATAGCTGAATTTAAAAATTATTATCTACAAGTTCAGTGTGTCTATCTTTTAACCAATAATTATTGATAAATTTTGACTTATTTTTACTGTCTTATTTTGAAATTTCAGTCATCAAATTTTTTCTTCTTTTCCTTCTTTCAAACTATATTGACTAAATATTTTAGTAACCCCTCTTATTGGTGGGAAGTTTCTCATTCTGGTTCTATTTTTTAATCTTTGTAATTTTAACATGCATGCATGACCTAATGTTTAAATGAATCAGCCTCTCCATTTAATACAGGGACTAAGGATTCAGTAATTTTTATTTCTCACAGTAGTGCATATTTGTCATGTTTTTGGCTCCCCACCAGCTCCAAACATATATTTAAGAAATGTTCTTTCTTTTGTCTATGTCCCCCCCAAGGTAGAAGTAAAAAACTCATTTGCTAGCCTTTCTTGTAGCTGGAGGACATGTAACCTATTGACAGTTGAAGTTAATAACACAAAGTGGCAAGTGCTACTCAGATTCCCCATTCTGCAATGTTCTCTATAGGCAATGTTCTGACTGCTGTGTTCAATAAGCAGTCTTAATCATGCAAGCTCTAATGTCTATCCGAGGTATAGCAAAAATGGGTTGCTAGTATGTCATTTCTCCATTGCTGATTTGGGTGTTGTAAAGCTTTAACAAAAGACATGTAGTATGTTTAGAAGAGTGGCTCAATGGAGATTAAGTATTACTGTTTAATAATTAGGAGAACATATCCATATGTTTTGTAATATGTTTAGTTTTAAACTAAACTAAAAAAGATACTGCATTAATACAGTTCAAAAGTTTTAGCAGTAAAGACAACAACTTTTCCATCAAAGACAAAACTTAGCTGCAAGTTAGAAATGGGGAAAATCACATTTCACATTGAGATTGAAAAAGATTAGATCAATTAGTACAATAGTGTTTTGAAGTTGAAAGAAGTGGGATGATAATTCTATTCCTTCGTTTTAGACATTAGGTAAATGGTATCTAGTTTAGTTCACTTCACTCAAGTAGTGAAGAGATATGTCTGAACTGGGCCCTCTTGTTCTTATATTTCCTCTCTATTCATTATATTTTTCTTAATACAAATGAAAGTGCAAGATGCAACAGGATATTTCTAAAATGAGTATTGAAAGGACTATGTAACTAATCAAGCAGGAAAATTAGGAATAGCCTTGCCATAGAGCAAAAAAGTAAAAATAAACTCAAAATATTTAAATTCAACATAAAACCATTGTTTTTCACAGCAGTTATGAGGCTATCAGATACAACTTTAGATTGACTGTTCTTCCTAGTATTAACAAATCATTAATACTAAACAAATTATTTAATATTAGGAAAAGTAGTCAAAGTTTGATAGCTTTACAATAGGCACTTTCACTTTTTGGTGAGATTTTGATCTAGTCCTAACTATGCATGCTTTATCCTGACCTTCCAGAATTCTGTCCTTAAGAAGTAGAAATCTAGCCATTTAAATTGTGTAAGTTATTGGAGCCTTCTCTTACCTGCAGTTTATGGGAAAGACGTGCCATATTCAACGGACCTTAACTAATGGCCATGTTTCATGGTGATATCATTACCAATGAATGGAGAGGAGGGTTTGTCATAGCTTCATATGTTTCACCAATGGTTTTACAATAATTATAATGCCTATTAGAGTTGCATTAGTATATCACTGTATTTTTACCAAAGAAGTTTTTCAGTATTTTTTCTTCCAATACGATGATATTCATATCTTGACCTTTTTTTAAAAAAAAAAAAAGGCCATTAAAGAAACATGATTATAAAACCTCAATGAAAAAAGTATTGGATCATTTTAAGGATGGAGTATATGGTAGGAGGAATTTAACAGTACCCAATGATGTCTATATTTTAACCCTGGAACCTATATAAATGCTACCTCTCAGAAAAGGGACTTTATAAATACCACTATATTAAGAACCTTGAACTGGGCAGATTATCTTAGATTAGCAGGGTAGACCCAAAGTGAAGACTTGGTTTTATAAAAGGGGAGACCCTTTCCCCAATTAGGAAGATGTGACAATGAAAAAAATAAGGGTCAGAGAGATATAAGATTGCTGGCTTTGAAAGTGGTAGAAGGTGGTGCCTTAACACTGGAAAAGACAAGGAAATAAAATCTCCCTTTGAACCTCCAGAAAGGAACAGAGCTCTGATGAAACCTTGATTTTGGCTCCATGAGAATTATGTTGGACTTTTAACCTATAGAACTCTAAAATAATAAATGTATTGTTACAAGCCACTACAATTGTGGTAATTTTTTATGGCATCAATAGAAAACTAATACAGAGTATAAAGAAAGTATAGGAAGTAATTCAAATATAAATTCCAACTCTACAATTCCAACTGCAGGTTACACTAGAATAATTAAAACAAAGTCAGGAGATATTCTGCTAATCCATGTTCTTTTTAAACTCCCTGTAGGGCCTTCAGAGTGACAGTTCTATGGACAGGGGTTTACTCCTATTTACCATGGAAATATTGAGCTAGATGTACATTAAATCCCTTTCTACTTGAACAATGAGTTATTACATAAATGTTTTATGGATACAGTCTGATACCATTGATAGAACAAGGACTATTGTTTCTTCCAAATGTTACCAATGAAAATTACAAAGATATAAAATGAATTTCTTCCAGCAGTTTAGGAGCTAAGGTGAGCAGACTGCTTGAGCCCAGTAGTTGGAGACCAGCCTGAGTCTCAACAAAAAATTTGAAAATTAGCTGAGTATAGTGCTGAGTGCTTGTAGTCCCAGCTACATGGGAGGCTGAAATGAAAGAATCACCCGAGCCCAAGAAGTTGAGGCTGAATGGACTGTGATCACGCCTCTGCACTCTAGTCTGTGCGATGGAGTGAGAACCAATCTCAAAAAAAAAAAAAAAGACAAAATGAATTTCAATCATATCAATTTTTACTATGTTGGGATGGTGAAAGCAATTGGGTTTCTCAGGCAAATTTGACTAGAGTAATAATATAGCTGAGGTATAATATTTTGTAGAATGCAAATACTGATGGATTTGCATTAAATCAATAATGGAAAGATCCTGATTAGAAGCTATATTATTCTTAGTAACAAAATATAAAACATAAATACAACTAGCTATTAAACATAGAACCCTATGAGGGTATTTTTTTTACTTCATACTAAAAAGAATACAAAGAGGTGAACGTTAAGTTCCCTTCTTATACTTGATCTTAGCCAAAAGGCCAAGGAGCAATAAAATTCCCTTCTTTCCAAGGCTCTCCCTCTGGTTTCTAGTATACTATTGTTTTATATCCTTTTTATACTCCACTTGGGTGATATTAAGCAACAAACCTAAAATAAAGATGTCTTATTTATGAGTCTTGGGAAAATCAAATGTCATGTGGGAAATTACCTTAATGCAATGGTAACCTCCAAGTAAAGTACCAGGAAAGTGAACTCAGAGGTCACAGAACAGAAAGGCTCACAAACGAATGTTCTCGAATCATATTTAGAACACTAACAGGAAGAAAGAGCAAAGAGACAGAGGTAGTTAATACATATAGGATAGCATACGTGGGGTGAGAGGACCACATTTCCTGAATCTTGGGGTATGTTATGTTCGTATGTCCTGCCTTTCTCTCTTCTACCTTCCGCCCTGATGGTGTGGTTACTGGTAAGTTTAGATGTGAGAAAGAGGGCCCACAAATGGAAGGTGGCCCAGGCCAATGACATAAACTTTCTCTTATGAGAGAAACACAGGGACAGTACCTGTCAGATCTGTAGCTTGTCAATAGCCTGCTGAACAGTTTTGAGTTTCATTTGAATTTCTTGGGCAGGGGTGATATGAGGCCAGAATGAGGGGGTCTCCAATCGGTGACCAACTAATTACTCAAGAATATTGAGTGTTTCATATGCTTCATGCATATTTACTACATTCTCAATATTTAGTATATCCTAAATCTTTTGTACACAAGGACCTTATGAATATTATGTATCTTCTGATCTGTCCATTATTTTCTGTGTTCAACATTTATATTCTAATCCCTTATATTTAATACCGCCTATGATTTCTACCTATGTCTAACAAGGTCTTTGCTTATAAGCTAGTTTTTAAATACTTAAAACATGAAAAATTTTTATATTTTACAAACTGTAGACCTATTCACGTTTCGTAACAGAATTGAGTATTCTGAAAAGTACGTGTACATTACACCTAGCCTCAGAATTTCCTTTTGTGTAAGTTGACATGACATTGTTACAAGGCTGCCATCGCTGTGGTTAAATGTGATTACATTAGATTTGGCCTGTAAATCAAGAGCAGTTAGTTATCAGTGTAAAAACTGCATAAGGACTACACATCTTCTTTTTCTTAGCAATCTGAACTGTAAGTAGCCAGAAGTCGTTTGCTTGTGATATGCCGTGGCTGTGTCCCCACCCAAATCTCATCTTGAATTGCAGCTCGCATAATTCCCATGTGTCATGAGAGGGACTTGGTAGGAGGTAATTGAATCATGGGGACAGGTCTTTCCCATGCTGTTCTTTTGATAGTGAGTAAGTCTCACAAGATCTGATGGTTTTCTAAAGGAGAGTTCCCCTGCACATGCTCTCTCTTGCCTGGTGCAATGTAAGATGGCTTTTGCTTTCTGCCATGATTGTGAGGCCTCCCTGGCCATGTGTAACTGTGAATCCATTAAACCTCTTTTTCTTTATAAATTACTCAGTCTTGGGTATGTCTTTATTAGCAGCATGAGAACAGACTACTACAACCTGGTAGTGGGAATAGATAGTGATGAGAGGGAAAAAGAGACCATGAAGTAGCAGTGGACAGGAGTAAACAGAATCTGTGTATAAGTACAAGCCAAAAACACCTTTACAGAAAAGAGTGATATTGGTTTGGTAGCAGCAATATAAGCCAAAGATGGAGATATACAATGTGAAGAAACAAATAAAGTAGCCGATAACTATGAACAAAATGGGTATTGGTAGGTTTCTGATTCTGAGGAGATAGTTGGTAGGGTTACTTTGGATGTTGAAAAACTAGCCAGTCCCCAGATTTTCTGAGGCCTGGCTATTCTATGACTCCGGTAATTTTCATGATAGCTAGTTTAGGGGCTTTTTCTATATTGGCATGAGACATAGTCCAATGATTAATATTCCTGTTGGCTAATTTTGTATATATACTATATTGAAAGAACTTAACTTTTTCGAGATGTATGCAAATAATGACCTGAGTATTTGCATAGTAAGAATTCTCTCAACTTTGTTAGCTGCAGTGTTATTACAATGTACCACATAAGTCCATATAAATTTTTAAAAAGCATCAAGCAATATTTGTCATATAGATTGTTTATATGTTTTTTAAGATTAGTATTACACCAAGATGAATCAAGCTACTGTCATATTTTCTTGAATCCTTCAATATGGCGTTAGTCTTAGGAAATTATCTATGAACATAGAAGTGTGGCAAAAATGCTGGATGGCTGCTTAACAGTTTGCTGAATTATGATATCCAGAAAGGGAGAGAAAAACTGAATTGTAGAGGAATAAAGAGGCTCAGACCAATCAATCTTTTGTTTAAAGACTATGCCCTGTTTTGTTTACACTATTATCTCCTGTTGTACCTTTCTTCTACTTTTTTTCCTGATCACCCATAGCTACTTGTCTAGCTACCCTTCCATTAAAGGCCAGCCTAATTGTTATCTACTAAAGGAGTCTTGTTAGATTTCCTAAGGTAATAATTACCTCTCCTTTCCAGGTGTTTTCCTAGGGCTCTTAAATACTTCCATTATGGCATTTATTATAGGTAACTGAAATCCATTATTTGTTATGTGTGTATCTTCCACTGACTAGGGGCTTTTAAACAGAGGTGAGCATGTTTTTTTAAATTCTTATGTCTATAATAGCTCGAATATGATCTCACAGAATATATTTTAATAAAATAGGTATAACTGAAATAATATATGGGATATGTTTGCTTTAATTGAGGAGAATGAACAAATGAAATATACACCACAATTACAACTATTCTTTATTTGCTCTATATTTAAGCTGTACATTTTAGAACTCTGCTAATGGAAACTACTGATTCTTGGGTTAATCAGATATTTTCTTCTTGGAAGATGATGTAAAAAGTTAGGGATGTAACTGATCAGATATAAAATTTAAGAAACCCAAGTTTTGAACATATCCTTGCCATTTCTTTAAGCTTGAAGTTAATGTTATCAAAATGTTTACCAAATGTGTCAGGATTATAAATGCAGTCAAATGTCAAAGTTTGTATGTTGCTCCTATCCCTTTCATTCCATATAAGAAAGATGCTGTTTAAAAAGCTTTTCAGTTTACATTTCTAAATGACTTCAGTATTTTTAAACACTAGTTGCATAAATTGCTTTCAGACTATAAAACTTTGCATTCCAGCTCAGTGACCATAGTTGCATATCTGCTTTATGATAGAAGGATGTTTATATCAAGATCAAATAATCTGTTACCCTTTTCAAAATTGCTAACCAGAGTGCCATTAGTATGTCTTTGTCATTTCCTTTCTCTCTCCCCTTCTTTGTTGTTCACTTTCTTGTTTTTTGTCTCCCAAGTCAGCAAATCAAATATACATAATTTTGTGATCACTTTCCTGAATCAATTTAAATCTTACCTGGGAATCAAAAGCATGAAATAAAACCCAGCAGAAAATATTTTATTTAACTATTGAGTTGTTTTATATTTGTGTCTATTTCTAATATTTGGAAAATTTAGCATCTTAAGTGTTTGTTACAATTCTTTTTATTATCCCCACTAGAGATTGCTGGATGAAAATGGCTAATTTAATACATATCGTTAGAACTCAAGATCACTATTATGTGCCTTCAAAATTCATAAATGTTTATTTGGGATAACCCATTTCATATAAACTGAATTAAACACAAAATTTATTTTTAGTGTCTATCAATTCAAACAATCAGCGTATGAACAAAAAGTATATTCTTTACCTTTTATCTAATTGCCCCTTTCAGAAGAAACAAAAAAACTATAAAGACTAAATTGCTTAAATTATTTTAAAGTGAGACACATTTCCATGAAAAAATAAAGTAGTTCTTTAAGTGAAAAAAATGAAATCCAATTTTTATTTCTTAAATATAAGTAGAAAGTATTTGATATCTTACAGTTGAGAATACTGAGCTATAAAATATCTCATTTTACTATATGATTTTGTGCAATTCTACATAACTTCTTTAAAGCATCATGCCAATAATATTAAATTTATAAAACGAGGGGTTCCAACTATCACATGACTTACTTCAGCTATTTGAACCATATCCCATTAGCTAAAACTGCACAAAATAGGAATTTACCTATAAGCTAGATAGTATTATATACTCTTAAATCTGAAGATGAATGAAGATATCAATTGTCTAAAGTCATACATTTTATAACTAGCAGAACTAGGATTCAATCCTAAGTAATCTAGCTCCACAACATCTTGGGGTAGCTTTTGATTATTATGAATTCAAAAGTTCCTTTGAGCTCATGAAACTTGAACTTGTATTAATGAAAGTACTTTCTCATTTCACAGTTTCTAAGAAATAAGTTGGAGCATGGAGCTCCTAGGTAGTTCAGTAAAGTGATGCTAAAGTAGACAATTTTTCTTCATATACAATGAAATTCACCACTTTGAAGTGTAAAATTTGGTGGTTTTAGTGTATTAACAGAGTTATGCAAATATCACCACAATCCAACCTTAGAACATTTTTATCACCCTGTAAAGCAACCCAAGGAAGTACTCAACTTCAGTAGTTGAGTACTTCCCATTCCCTCTTTCTACACCTCCTAGCCCCAGCTACCCCTTAGTCTACTTCCTGTCTCTCTAGATTTGCACATTCTAGACTTCTTATATAAATGAATCATATACTATGTAGTTTCCAGTGACTGGTTATTTCACCCAACATGATATAGCACATATATTGCTTCATTTCTTTCTATTCCCAAATATTTCATTTTATAGGTATACCATGTTTTGTTTGTCCATTTATCATTTGATGGATGTTTAGGTTGTGTCCACTCTTTGACTAGTATGAATAATGCTATGACTATTTGTGTACAAGTTTTTGTGTGGATGCATGTTTTCATTTGGGTAGCCAGATTAATCTAAGAATTTTAAGAAGAGTGTCCATGATTATAATTCCCACTTTATTTCCTTCTTTGTTAGGAATGGCATGAACATCGTCACAAGGGGGGAAAGCATTACAAAACTTAAATCATTTTTGTACTTGACTTGATTTTTTTTTTTTTTTTTTTTTTGAGACGGAGTCTCGCTCTGTCGCCCAGGCTGGAGTGCAGTGGCGGGATCTCGGCTCACTGCAAGCTCCGCCTGCCGGGTTCACGCCATTCTCCTGCCTCAGCCTCCCAAGTAGCTGGGACTACAGGCGCCCGCCACTACGCCCGGCTAATTTTTTGTATTTTTAGTAGAGACGGGGTTTCACCGTTTTAGCCGGGATGGTCTCGATCTCCTGACCTCGTGATCCGCCCGCCTCGGCCTCCCAAAGTGCTGGGATTACAGGCGTGAGCCACCGCGCCCGGCCACTTGACTTGATTTCTTGATTTTGATGCCGTATATAAAATCTGAAATCCTGTGTAGTCAGTAAAACTGTCATTGTTCTAATGATAGTGTAGTAATTTGGTTTTATCATTAAGGAGAAGATACAGTTCGAAAGGAGCAAAGAACAAAGCATGTAGATTAAGTGACAATGTATTGCCCTAGTTTTTTTTTTTTTTTTAATGAGCAGTAACCTGGAGTTATAATATGATTGTCTGGAATCAGAAACAATGTCATGATAATATTGGTTGAAATATATCTCCAAAATATTAGTAATACTAATAAAATTAGCACAACAAAGAAGGACAAAGATCAGAAATAGAACATGGCTGGTTCAAATGGGAAAACTTAATATGTGAAGTGATGTGATCCAGAGTTGATCTGAGACAACCGTGGGAGACCTGGGACCAGTTCTGCCATTGCTTCTTCTGCTGCTGTGTTCTTGGCCAATAGCAATTTCCTCATCATTCTTGGTTGCCATTTCCTCTCCAAAATGAAGACAATAGATTAGAAAATTTTTATTTATTTATTTATTTATTTATTTATTTATTTATTTATTTGAGACAGAGTTTCGCTCTGTCGCCCAGGCTGCAGTGCAGTGTCGCAATCTCAGCTCACTGCAACCTCCACCTCCTGGGTTCAAGTGATTCTCCTGCCTCAGCCTCCCATGTAGCTGGAATTACAGGCGTGCACCACCATGCCTGGCTGATTTTTGCATTTTTAGTAGAGATGGCATTTCACCATGTTGCCCAGGCTGATCTTGAACTCCTGACCTCAAATGATCTGCCTGCCTCAACCTCCCAAACTGCTGGGATTACAGGCGTGAGCCACTGCGCCTGGCCCTAGAAAACTTTTAAATAGTCAAGTGTTGTACACACCAAAAGTCTTTACAGTAATGTGTTTAGATTTTCTGAATCAGTATTCAGAATATAGAGTATTAAAGGATATTTCAAACAGACAATTGTGTTCCCTACTTTAATAAATTTTCTCCACTTCTCTTTCTCAATACATTAAAAAAACTATAGTGTATAGTATAACTATATACATTATGTACTATATTATTATGTATTATTGTGTGTATATGTATGTGTGTGTGCGTAAATATACACACACATAATCTGTAGTTAGTAATTCAGTTAATTTGTTTTTCAACTCCTAAACACAGGATCAGAGATTTTTAGAGCTGGAATGAATCTCAGAGATCATTTGGTGAATGCAACTCTCTCATTTTAGAGACTGCAAAGAATGGTTATAACCTGTGCAAGGACATATCCTAGGGAGCAGGGTTTCCCCGACTAGAATTGGGGCTCTTGGTTCTTTCAACTCACGCCACTTTTTTCTCATAGTTCCTGGGAAACCCACTGACTCAAATATCTGTAGTTGTGATACAGTTGAATCCTATATAGAAGAGAGGGAAGTTTAGTTTTCCAAAATGGAAACCAAAAATCATTACCTGCAAAAAACTAAAAGTTGCTGACACATGAGGAGGGTTTCAGAAACAATTATCACTTGATAAAGCTTCTTCCTTTTTCCATAGCACCTGCAGCATCAATCAGTGTGTAATTCTGCCCCTCACATACATACACACACAGACATGCACATGCACACACATAAACACTTGTACATATTTCCTTCCAAGAAAGCCTCAAATATTCCCTCTTGGTGCTACTGCTGTTGAAAACAATACCAATAAGAAATTATTTGGCTGTCAGTAGTTGCCTTCTAGTTACTCTCTGCCACATCACAGTGTTTATTTCCTTCATAATAAGTTTTACAGTTTGTAATGATCATAGATATTCATTCACCTGTTTACTATTTATTTATTTATATATCTGTTTCTTCAACTATAATGTTCATTGGGTAGCAAGAGCCCTTCTTGCCTTGTTTATTGGGCATTAGGAAGGCTTAGCACATTTCCTGACCCACAATCAATAAATATTTGCTGAATGAAAGAAATAAACTTTATCCTAGTAAGGAATATGCATAGCAAAAAGTGAGGAACCCCATAATTTTCTGCATTTCAACGCATGTCTGAATATGTTTAGACATGAATATCGACATCCAAATATTTTAGGTGCTTATGTTTCAGCACAGTGAGATGAATTGTGTTGCTATTGCTAACCTCTTTTTAAAGATGCCATTGTTGACATTTGACTAATTATTAACAGCATAAACTTGTGGAACTTTAACGTTAATGCATGAAGTATGTCTTTATTGAATGCTGTAGGTTCAAGGACATAAACCTTCAAGTTAGGTCTGTATTCAAATTTAGCTCTGCCACTTCCCACCTGTGTAAACTGGGATGTGTAGATTCACCTCAATGAGTCTCTGAATTTATCTATAAATATGGATATCACATGTAAGATTTTCTACAAGTTCTGGTATAAGAATATTCAACATGTTGGTACATTTCTTCATTTACTATAAGCAATTAACATTAATGTTGTTACAAAATGGGTGATAATAAGCATTGAATAGAGTAGGTGTTCAAAAAATGTTTTGATTTTTATTATTACAGATCTGTGGCAACCTCAACAATTTACACCGTATTAACAAAACGTGGTCATGCCAAGCTGGTCATCCTGTGATGATGTGTACGTCAGTGTGGGAAGCATGCAGATTTTTTAATCTTTTTTAGAGCTCCTTTTGCCCTGCTGCCAAGGGCTACCCATGGTCATGTAGGACCTTCATGGTGTGGTATAATCTTTTGCCAGGCTTTACCCAGCCCAGAAGAATAGATTTGAAAGTAGTGCAGAGACTGGCTTTCAGACTCCTATTATCAGCCTTATTGGTTTTCATGTTTTGCCAAATACAGCCTAAGCAGTGAGAGATGTATTGAGTTCCTCACAACAGAACATGTTGAAACATAAGCTACACATTTAATTGGAAGAAGGCAATATAGACAGGATTCAGCCTTTACTGCTTTGCTTTTAAGCTCAAATAATAGTGGTATTTGGAAAACATCACAAAGCTCTGCAGTTATTTTCCATAGATGTTGACTTTTTTTTTTCCTAGAAGTGATTATAATATTGCCAGTTGATCCTGAGATTACGCATGTGTTGAGGAAATACTAATCAGAAGTATGTCAGTCCTTCTTGCTTCACAAAGCTTCTGTATCACTAAGGTTTATACTGGCTTTATCTCTGACTACTCTCATTACTTTAAAGTTTCCATCAAAGTGTGTAGTGTAGTATCTTGCCAGATTCTGCCAAGGAGAATCTTTGAAGTATTTTGGTCTTCTTAGGAACTTACTGATCATTTACTTAGGAGAGTGATGACAGACTGCTCTGTTATTCTTCAGTGCTATCTCACTAACTCTGAATAAAGTGAACCACTCTGGTGGTTTTCATGTTAGATGATGATAATGACAGTTGGTTTGCCCAGGATGATAGAGAGCTCTGCATTCTGGCGGTAATTTTCAATCTTCTGTTCTCTGTCAGCCCTAACAACCCACTCACTTTTCATACATTTATTCTTACATAACAAGCAAAATACCTGTTATAGGTCACAGTTCCTTACTACAGACTATTATAACTGTTAATGTATTAGGAAAATGACAAATAGTCATGATATTTGTAATAGATATTGCAGGACATAGAACTAAGTAAAAGTAGGGCATAAGGGAATAAGTAGTCATCTCTGTCTGCATGGGCAAAGGATCATTTCATGGAGGATTGATTTACAAAGTGAAAAATTGGCTACAGTTCTCCACATGAGGATGAGGGCCAGAAGCTCAGCTATTACTGAGGCCTGAGCTTTACCAGCTTCCTCTAGAGGCAAACAGATGGAGGTCTTGGGCACAACAGGTTGGGGTGCCTGAGCCGGGTAATAATACTGGCAAGACAGGGTAGATTGTTTAAGTCTCAAGAATTATGCAAGCTAGTTGATTAACATAGCCATTATTAGAGATCATATTAAACTTATAATTAAGCAAATTAAAAACAAAGGTAATAAATATTCAAAACTTATAACTTCCCAATGATTTTAACTATACTGTACTCTTTGTATGCTTGTGAGGTTATTTCTACTTGACTAGAGTAATAGAAATACTATATAATTCTGTACTACTATGCATCTTTCCAATTCCTCCTATAGTGACATCATGTTGATAGCTTGAAATTGGCTATGGAGAGGCCAGGAAAAATCATGCCAGGAAAAAATCAGCAAACTCTACAAATCAGCTTTTTATTTGTTGTTTTGTTGATTGGTTGTCTGGGCCTAAGAAAGTGGTGGAGAAAATGTTAATAATTCAGATTACACTTAAGTGTGCTGTATCTAAAGTTTTTATATTGTGAGTAGTACAAAAATTGAAATATGCTATATGTATTTGAAAACTGTTGTCTGATTCAGTTGCCATTAATGAGTGAAGTTCTAACATACGTCACTGTTCATTTTCATCATACCCATAAATATAACTGAAAATATTAACATTCATGTCAGAAACTACAGTTGCTTATGAACTATATTTTTGTTCCAGATACATCAGTTTGGCAAAAATCAACAAAAAATCTGTTAGAATTCATTGGCAATATGGAATTTACAAGAAAGGGTAATGCATATGTTGTTACTTATAAATTATGTGCTGTGCACTCTTTATATCAGTAAAACATAATAAACTTATACATGTATGTGTCTGTATATACTTTTTATCATGGAAAGCAGGTTGTTAAACACTTATAGACTCACCAATATGCGTACCCATTATTGTGCCCAACACACTGAATAGGAAGCTCTCCCATGGTAGGGAGAGCCATTTAGTGATTTAAAGCAGAAAATTACATGATTTTATATGCAGTTTGGAAAAATCGTTTTAGTTTAAGGACAAGGAAACAATGTAGGAGATGGTTTATTTAGCTCAGGTAATAAATATTGAGTCCTTTATGTTTAAATGGGAAGAAAATGAAGGGACACATCTGTGAGATGTTCTAGTCACAAATGTAAAAATATCATGGCTGATGAACTATGAAAGAGAGGCAATAGGAAGATGGTGCTCAGATGTATGGCTCAGAAGAATTGCTAGAGAGCAAAGTAAATAGGTAAAGTAATCATCGCTTTAAAATAGCACAGTTTTCTGGAGATGATTTAGTAGCTTAATTTAGAACCATGTTTGAAATATTGAGACATTTAAAGTTTCGAAAATGCGTAATCAGAGGTAACAAATACAGTAGAGAAATCATAGCAAAAGCAGATTCACAGAAGGTAGTGGGGCTGAAGTTAGATTATTTGCTATGCCAACTGTAACACGATTCTGTTTCAGTCATTAGTTTGTACATAACAAACTACCCCCAAATTTAGCAGCTTCAAACAGCCATGATTTGTTACCTCTCATGATTCCTAAAGTTGGCTGGGTTCATCTGGGAAGTTCTTCAGCTGAACCTGGAATATGCTAGCAAGTCTAAGATGGCTTCACTGATGTGTCTGTGGCCTCACTTGAGATGGCTGAAGTAACTGGGACAGTCTTGGTCTCTCTTCCCCCTCCCCCCATGCCCCGCTCCCCGCTTTAGAGTCTCAGCCTTTAGGGAGCCAGACTTCTGCAAATGGCAGATGGGTTTCAAGACAGCAAAAGGGGACTGTCCAAGGGCTCTCAAGTTCTGGGCTCAGAAGTCCCAGAACATTCTTTCTGCCCATTCTATTTGACTGAAGTAAATCACACAGCCAGCCTCAGTTCAAGGAATGGGGCCATATACCTCACTACTTGATAGAAGTCACGGCATGCATGAATGAACAAGGATGGGAGAAATTATTGCTGACCACCTTTGTAGACCACTTACCCATATGTTCTTCTTTTGTGCCACTTGAGTGCTTTTAAGAGCTGGCCTCTTTCTTATTTCAGTCCAAGCAGCTCCAGGATTACCATCATTCTCCACAGGTCCCATTTACATACAACAACAACAAAAATGATTCAGTATCTAAAATCCATGAAGAGATCCCACCCAAGTGCTGGTCTCAGGAGTCAAGGAAATGCGTAACTATACCTGACAGCAAAATCTGGATTAGGATGTGGGAAAGTGGCCAAGGGAAAATGAGCCCACTACAGATCCTTATCTATAAGAAGCTGTAAGAAGCAGAACTTATTTAACTTTCCACTCAAAAGTCTGAGTACAAATGTCAGAACAGCTTCTTTCCATTTATTTGCTTCAGCACCCAGACATCTTTAGATCACTTATAGCCACGAGGTATCAGATAACATGGGAAAGGGGGGGTGCTTTTTTTGTATTAACAACTAGCTCTTTGTTCACTTTTGAATGTGCCAGAGCAATACCTTAGTATGCAGAGAAATACTGTAAACAGGGAAACCTTTTGCAAGACAAGTTTTCAGGAAACATGCTGGCCTCATTAAACCTCTATGGCATGTCACATAGCCTTGTTTGAGTGGATGATTCTTCTTGCTGGTTACGTACAAAGAAATGGCCAGACATTTGTGTTATTCTTCATGGTGTTCCGAAGTAAGCTCTGATTCTCTACTTAGATAACTTTTATTAAGCATAATTTTATTTTTATTTTTTGCTTTCAACTGTACACACATAGTCTGATTCTGGTATTTTAGAATTAATTATTAGACAACTAATTTCTACAAAAACCAAGTCCATAATACAAATGATTCATATATGTAAGAACTACATAATGTATGAATGGAAACAGATTGAAATTTTTGCTAATATTTCATAATTGTAATAATTTAATTGCAGTGGCCTAATTGTAGAAGTCTCTATTTATAGTGATGTAATATCATCTAGCTGGGTGTGAAATATCAAGCTAGTCATTTTAGGATTATTTCCTAGAACTAACAAATGACTTAAGCAAACAAGAACTATTTATACATTGAACATGAATATTGACTAGTTTGTGTAAATTTATAACTTGAATTTTAGTGGAAAGGTTACTAGTTTGGCCGCTGAATGAATCTACTATAGCTAGATGTGAAACTTTGAGCTAGTAATTTAACTACTTTAAAATACATTTTCACAATTTTCCATTGTTAAGAGAATAGGACTAGATTACTGTAACAGTTCATCTCCAGCTCTAAAATTCTATTATTCATTGGTTTTGATAATGAGTTAGAAGTTACTAACAAAGTCCAGTACAATTCTTCAGAACAGTTGAATCTTTCTACAACTTATGTAGCTAAATCATTTAAGAGGCTTCAGAGGATCAAATTGTCAGCATTAAAAGATTAGAATCTGATCTCCAAATGAGTCTCTTCCCCATTTCAATGAATCTTCCCTTGTGATTCCAAGACATCTCACTTTTTTAAATAGGGATATTAAGTGGCAAACTAACTATCCAACCCTTTAATTGAAGACAGTGGGAAATAATGGTTTTTCAGAGGAAATGTTTCCATTATATTTACACTTAACCTGCTTATAAATCTAAACTTCTTTAAATTTAAAACTGCAAAGTTAGTCTAAGTTTAGCTTGATTTTTATTTTATAAAGACTTTAATTCTACTCTTATTGATGCTTATGGCTTTCACTATTTTTTGACAAATACCAACATGACTTTTTAAATGAAGTTGTATGCAACAAAAAACATGTTTGGAGACTAGTGAAAACAACAAACAACTGGTCACAGGAGGTGGTCTTCTGTTGAACAGCCTCCAAATCTGAAGCAACCTGTTTACTATAGCATGCAGACTAACAGCCTTAATGGACTTTGGAATTATGTAGACCTAGGTTCGAATCCTATCCACACTTCTTCTTAGCTACGTGCCTTTGGGAGAATCACTTCATAACTCCAAACCTCATTTTCTTTTTGGGATGGCATTAGCAGCATATCATACACTATTATTAGAATTAAGCAATAAAATACATCTAAGGAGCCTAGGACTGAACTTGATATATAGTTTTTGCCCAAATACTTATTATTATTTGGGCAAATTTATATCATTGAAGCAAGGCTCCAATGGATCTTTCACTAAAAAGCCAATGTAAATGAAATCTCATGAATGCCAACACGATATCTTTATGTTTAGACTCATTATTATAAAAATTATTATAAAAATTTTTTGCTAATGTTTGTAGACATGAAATAGAGGGAAGATATTGGGCTTAACTACTTTCAAGGCATCGATAAGATAAATTATTACATATATTAGAGATATATGTTATACCAATAAGCCAAAGACTTTATTTTATATGGAAGAAAAAAATGGCTAATGTGAGTGAAGTGAATATTAGCGATGTCTGAATAGGAAGAATCATCACTATTTTCTTTAGTGAAGAAAACCTGGCCAGACAAGGTGGCTCACACCTAATCCCAGCACTTTGGGAGGCTGAGGCGGGTGGATCATAAGGTCAGGAGTTTGAGACCAGCCTGGCTAACATGATGAAACCCTGTCTCTACTACAAATACAAAAATTAGCTGGGCGCAGTGGTGCCCAGCTACTCAGGAGGCTGAAGCAGGTAGGAATTGCTTGAACCCAGGAGGCAGAGGTTACAGTGAGCCAAGATTGCACCATTGCACTCCAGCCTGGGTGACAGAGCAACACTGTCTCAGGAAAAAAAAAAAAAAAGAAAAAAAGAGAAAACCTAACAGGGATTAGACAAGCCTTTTATTTACGTACTTAAATTTTCTTATTATGAATGTAATATATTATAAATAATTTTAATACAAAAAGACATACACAATCAAATATTTTAAAATCCACTATCTAGAGATTACTGCTATGAATACTAATTCCACATAGTTAGTATTTTCAGCTCTTATTTTAATGTTATAAATAGTTGTTTGTTTGTTTGTTTTACATGTATACACTTAAATATGCTGTTTGGTTTTCTATCATGACAATGTATCAAAATCTTATTTAGTAGTTGATATATAGCTAATGTTTTATTAATCACATGTTGAAAAACATTCATGCTGATTAAATTACATGCATAACTATTTCTCTTAAATTCCTTTAAAAATGGCATTCATGAGACAAACAGTTGATCATATTTAGGGCTGTAGATAATGTATAACAGGGCTGTTCAGAAGATTCTTTGAATTATTAAAACAATAATCTTGGGATTATTGATCTAGGTTTTTGTTTTATTGTTGACAATTATATATATTTATGGGCTACAATGTGATGTTTCTATCCATGTATACATTGTGGAATGTTCAAATCTGGCTAATTAGCATATATCTTTTACCTCAAGTATTTATTTGTGATGAGGATATTTAAAATACTCTCTTTTAGCTAATTTGAAATATATAATACATTATTATTAACTGTGGTTTCTGTCCTGTACAATAGAACACCAGAACTTATTTCTTCTAACTGACCAACGTCTCTCCTTTCCCCATTTGTTCCCCACCCCCTACAGCCTCTGCTAACCCCCAATCTACACACCCCTTCTATGAGTTAGACTTTTAGATTCCACATATTAGAGAGTTCATACCTTATTGGTCTATCTGTGTGTGGCTTATTTTGCTTAATATCATGGCTTTTAGGTTCATCCATGTCAAAATGACAGAATTTTCTTCTTTTTTTAAGGCTGAATAGTATTTTATTGTGTATATATAACAAAATTTTAAAATCCAATCATCTGTTGATGGACACTACAGTTGTTTCTAAGTATTGGCCATTGTTAACGCTGGAACAAACACAGGATTGCAGACATTCCTTCGACATACTGATTTCAATTCCTTTGGGTATATACCCAGTATTGGAATTAATCCTATGGTAATTCCATTTTTTTGTGTTTTGAGGAATCTCCATATGGTTTTCCAAATGGCTGTACTAATTTACAATACCACCCACAGTGTATATAAGGGTTCCCTTTTCTTCACATTCTCACCAACACTTATCTTTCATTTTTTGATAGTAACCAATCTAACAGGTGTGAGGTGATATCTCATTGTGGCTTTAATATGTATTTCTATAATTATTAGAGATATTGCGCAATTTTTTATATATTTGTAGGCCATTTGTAATTCTTCTTTTAAAAATATCTGCTCAAGTCCTTTGTCCATTTAAAAAAGGGTTATTTATTATTTGAGTAGTTTGAGTTCTTTGTACATTTTGGATGTTAGCCCATCCAATGTGTGATTTACAAGTATTTTTCCCAATCCGTGGGTTGTCTATTCGAGTATTGTTTTCTTTGCTGTGCAGAATATTTTTAGCTTGATACAATCCCACTTGTCTATTTTTGCTTTTGTTGCCTGTTATTATAGTATCATATTCAAGTCACTGCCCTGACCAATGTCACGGAACTTTCATCTATGTTACTTCTAGTGTTCTTATAGGTCCAAATCTCATGTTTAAGTCTTTAATTCATTTTGAGTTCATTCTTCTATACGAGGTGAAGTAAGGGTCTATCGTCATTCTTCTGCATGTAGATATCCAGTTTTCCCAACACCATTAACTAAAGAGATTGTCCTTTCTCCATTGTGTGTTCTTAGCACCTTTGGTGAAAATCAGTCAACCATAAATGTGTGGGTTTATTTCTGCCCTCTCTTCTATTCTGTTGATTGATGTGTCTGTTTTTATGCAAGCATCATGCTGTTTGATTACTATAGCTTTGTAATAGATTTTGAGATCAGCCACTGTGATGACATATGAATTTTAGCATTGCTGTTTCTGGGAAGAATAATCTTGAAATTTTGATAGAAATTGCATTGAATCTGTAGATTGCTTTGGGTAGCATTAATATTTTAACAAGATTCTTCCAATTCATGAACACAGAATACCTTTACATTTATTTGTGTAATGTTCAATTTCTTTCCTTAATGTTTTCTAGTTTTCAGCATACAGAACTTTCTTGGTTAAGTTTATTCCTAAGCATTTTATATTTTCAACTTCTATTGAAATTGAGATTTTCTTAATTTCTTTTTCAAAAAATTTGTTAGTGTAGAGAAAACTACTGATTTTTGTAAGCTGATTTTTATATACTGCAACTTTACAGATTTTATCAGTCCTAACAGGTTTTTTATTGTGGAGTCTTTAGGATTTTCTATATATAACATCATGTTGTCAGCAAACAGATAATTTTACCTCATCCTTTCCTATCTGGATGCCTTTTATTTCTTTCTCTTTCCTAATTGCTCTCAGTAGAACTTCTAGGACTATGTTGAACAGAAGTCATGAGACTGGGAATAATTGTCTTGTTCTGAATATTAGTAGAAAAACCTTTCTCCTCACTGGTGAGTGTGATGCTAATTGTGAGCTTTTAATATATGACTTGTTGTCTAGAGGTACACTCCTTCAGTACCTAATTTATTGAGAGTTTTTATCATGAAAGAATGCTGAATTTTGTCAAATACCTTTTCTACAACTATTGAGATGATTGTAAGATTTTTTTTTTCATTCTGTTGTGGTGAATTACATACATTGATTTGGGTATGTTAAACGAAACTTGCATTCCTGGAATAAATCCCAACAATGATGAATGATCCTTTTAATGTTCTGTTGAATAGGGTTTGCTAGTATTTTGTTGAAGATTTTTGCATCTATGCTCATCAGGGATATTGGCCTATAATTTTCTTTCCTTGTAGTGTCTTTACCTAGGTTTGGTATCAGTGTAATGCTGGCCTCAAAGAACGAGTTTGGGAAGTGTTCCTTCCTCTTCAGTTTTTTGGAAGAGTTTGAGAAAAATTAGTATTTTTTTTTTTAAATGTTTGATAGGATTCATCTGGTTCTGGGCCTTCTTTGATGGGAGATTTTTAAAATTTTTCATTCAATCTCCTTACTTATTTTTGGCCTTTTCAGATTTTTAGTTTCTTTATGATTCAGTCTTGGTAGGTTGTATTTTCCTAGAAATATTTCATCTTCTAGGTTGTCTAAATTGTTGGTATGTTGTTGTTCCTAGTTGTCTCTTATGATCTTTTGTATTTCTGTTATCAGTTTTAATGTCTCCTCTTTCGTTTCTGATTTTGAATCTTTTCTCTTTTTTTTTTCTTAGTTTAACTAAGGGTTGTAAATTTTGTTGCTTTTCAAAAAACAAACTCTGTTTCATTAATCTTCTTTATTGTTTTGTAGTCACTGTTTCATTTATTTTTTCTCTTTTCTTTATTATTTTCTCCTTCTTCTAACTTTGAGCCTAGCTTTGTCTTTTCCTAGTTTCTTGAGGCATAACTTTAGGTTGTTTACTTGAGATCTACCTTCTTTTTTGGTGGAGGCATTTATGGCTATAAAATTCCTCCTTAGAATGTGTTTGCTGAATTTCATACATTTTGGTGTGTTGTGCTTCTATCTTCATTTGTCTCGAAATTTTAAAATTTCCCCTTTAATTTCTTCTTTGATCCAATAGTTGTTTAGAAGTACATTGTTCAATTTCCATATATTTGTTAATTTTTTGTGACCTAACACAAACTGTCCTGGAAAATGTTTCATGTGCACTTAAGAATATGTATTCTGTTGCTGTTTAGTGGAATGTTCTGTATATGTCTGTGAGGCTACTTCGGTCTAAAGTATAGTTCAAGTGCAGCATTTCCTTATTAATTTTTTTGTCTGGATGATCTAATGTTGAAAGTGGGGTATTGAAATTCCCTGCTATTACTGTGTTGCAGTCTATGTCTCTTTTCAGATCTCTTAACGTTTATATACATAGGTTCTCCAATATTGGGTATGTATATAGTTGTTACATCCTCTTGATAAATTAAACTTTTATTAGTGTATAGTAACCTTCTTTGTCTCTTTCTACAGTTTTGATCTGAAGTCTATTTTGTCTGATGTAAATATAGCATTCTTTTTTTGTTTCCATTTACATGGAATATATTTTTCCATCACTTTACTTTTAGTCTGTGTGGGTCCCTAACAGTGAAGTGAGTCCATTGTAGACAGCATATAGTTTGGTCTTATGCATTATCCCTTTGTCTACTCTATGCATTTAGTTTGGAAGATTTAATCAACTTATATTCAAAGTAATTATTGATAGCTAATAACTGAATTGCACTATTTTGTTAACCATCTTCTGGTGGTTTAGTAGTTCTTTTATTTCTTCCTTTGTTGCTTTTTCATGGTTTGATGGCTTTCTATAGTGGCTTTTGCTTTTTTCTTTTTATCTTTTATGTGTCCATTATAAGCTTTTGTTTTGTGGTTATCCTGAGGCTTACCTAAAACATCTTATAACTGGCTATTTTAAACTGATAACAACTTAACTTTGATCACATATGAACTCCACACTTCTAGTTCCTCTTCTCCCATGCTTTGTTTTTGATGTTACAATATACATTTTTAAAATAATTTGTATCCTTAACAAATTATTGTCACAATGATTGTTTTTAATAGTTTGCCTTTTGACCTATATACAAGAGATATAATTGATTTGTCGATGGCTATTACAGAGTTAGACTGCTTGAGATTTGAAAATGTTCTTATTTTACCAGTGAGGTTTGTAGTTTCATGAGTTTTTATGTTACTATTTCACATCCTCTTCCCTCAGCTTGAAGAACTCACTTTAGAATTTTTGTACGGTGGGTCTACTTCTGATAATTCTGTCAGCTTTTGTTCATCTGAGAAAGTCTATTTCATCCCTTCTCTTTTTAAATACAGGGTTGCTGGGCATAGTATTCTTGGTTAACATGTTTGTCTCAGGATTTTGGATATAACACTGCATTCCCTTCTGGCCTGTAAGGTTTTGCTAAAAAATCCACTGATAATCTTATGAGGAGTCCCCTGATGTAGCAATTTTCTTTTCTTTTGCTGCTTTCAAAACTCTTTAATTTTTGACAATTTCATTTTGATGTGTCTTTATGTGAGCCTCTTTGGATTCATCTTATTTGGTGTCTTTTGTGCTTATTGGATCCAGATTTCTGTTTTCTTCCTCAGGCTTGAACTTTTCTGCCACTATTTCTTTGAATATATTTTCTGTTCCTTTCCCTTTCTCCTCTCCTTCTGATACACAAATTATATATATGTTGTTAGGCTTGATGATGTTCCATGTCTCTTAAACTATTTACTTTTTTTTCATTCTTTTTACATTTTTTCTTCTCAGATTATATGATTTCCATTACCTCTTTTTGAGTTCATTGATCTTTTCTTGTACTTGATCTATTCTGCTGGAAAACCCTTCTATTGAATTTTTTAGTTGAGCTATATTATTCTTCAGCTCTGTTTTCTGTTTGGTACTGTTCTTTTCTTTTCTTTCTTTCTTTTTTTTTTTTTGAGATGGAGTCTCACTCTGTCATCCTGGCTGGAGTGCAGTGTCATGATCTTGGCTGACTACAACCTCTGCCTCCTGGGTTCAAGTGATTCTCCTGCCTCAGCTTCCCAAATGGCTGGGACTACAAGCAAGTTCCACCCCACCCAGCTAATTTTTGTAATTTTAGTAGGGATGTGGTTTCACCATGTTGGCCAGGCTGGTCTCGAACTCCTGACCTCAAGTGAGCCACCCGCCTTAGTCTCCCATATTGCTGGGATTACAGGTATGAGCCACCACACCCGACCTTGTTTGGTATGTTTTAATGCCTTCTCTTTGTTGAGATTTTCACTTTGTTTTTGTATTGTTCCCCTAACTTCAGTGAGCAGCTTTATGGCCATTGTTTTGAATTTTCTGTTGGGTAAATCACATATCTTTACTTTACTCAGGTCTATCCCTGGAGATTTATCTTATTCTTTTATTTGAATATATATTGCTTTGTTTCTTCATTTTCCTTAACTCTCTGTTGGTTTTTGCATATTATGTAATATAACTGTCTCTCCCAGTCTTGACAGACTGGCCTTCTTTAGGAGAAGGATCTCACTCATCTGTCCAGCCAGAGATTTTTAAGTGTCTCTCAAATCTTTGGGTTTGTCCAGACTGCTGTATCTGTTTCTGGTGACTCCTTATCCTCCAGGTGTGCCATGTCCTGTTCGTACTGAGACTGGTAAGGTAGGAACCAAACTATTATAATAAATGTAACTGGAAATGGTAATATGCTGCACGTGTGTCCCCGTTTCTTATATCTTCATGGTGAAGTTAAGCACAGGTGTTTATCTTTACATTCTCTGTACTAGGCCAGGGAAAGGATCTGTGGCAAATACCTGTACTAATGTTCCACTGTGTGCTCTGACCCTGGGGAGATAGATGCTGACAGTGTGCCTGTTGTGTGTCCACCTCTTTGTTTTCTGTGGTCTATGGCTAATCAGAAATGCAAATCATTGTTGACTCCCAGGTCTGGGTCAATAAGGAGATAGTGCCTTGGGTGGGAGTTATAGAAGTTGTGGCATTTGTTAATGGCCAAACTCCTCCCAGGAGCTGGGGTTATTCGATGTGTGAACAACATGGGTAGAACTGGATTTATCATTGGGATAAGCTGACGGAAAGGCTCATGAAGTGTCAAGTTTCATTCTGGCTGCTGAAGGGCTACTATATATTGAGCTTTTTCACTCTGCAATGCAAGTTTGATAGAAGTTTGGTTCATGCCCAAGTGTGTCTCTACTTTTCCTACCCCTTCAATATGGACATTTTCTCAATTGCTGAAGGTGTAGTTTTTCCACTGGTCTCTGACTTTCTCCCAAAGGGAATTTATCTATGAACAGATGTTTACTTGGTATATCAGTGGGTAGAGGAAAAGATAAGAGCTTCCAGTTTCATCATTTTCAGAAAAATAGTGTAACTACGTCAAGTGCTGCTGAGAATCTCCACAATATGAGTAAAAATCTAATGGAATTTGGAAAAGTGGAGGTCACTGACAAGAACAGTTTTGTTAGTAAGCTGGAGATAGAAGCCAAATTGGAATGAACTGAAGCTTGGATGGGTAGTTAGGAAATAGAGGCAAGATATATTAATGTGTTTTCCATAAAATTTTGCTATTAAGGGAAGAGAAATAAATGAAAATCTAAAGTAAAAGGAAGTGGGTCAAGGGGACTTTTTTAAAAATAAGATGTGCGTTGTTAGAGTTAACGTTTCTTTTTCTTTTCTTTTTTTTTTTTTTTTTTGAGACACAGCCTCACACTGTGGCCGGAGCTGGAGTGCAATGATGCAATCTTGGCTCGCTGCAACCTCTGCCTCCCAGGAGTTCAAGCAATTCTCCTGCCTCAACCTCCCAAATAGCCAGAATTATAGGCGCCCACCACCAGGCCCAGCTAATTTTTTGTATTTTTAGTAGAGATGGGGTTTCACTATGTTGGCCAGGCTGGTCTCAAACTCCTGACCTCATAATCTGCCTGCCTCGGTAGAGTTAGCTTTTCTACAGGAAACAATGATTTGTAGGAAGGGAGATAAATGAATCAGAAGTGGGAGGTGGTAAACAGTGAATGAAGTTCTAGAGACATTGAGGAGAGGAGAACAGTAGTTTTGCTTTGACATACTCAAACAGCACTGCTATCGAGTAATAATAATAAAACAGGCTTTTCAACCACAGAAATTTGCTAATTTCTCCCTAGTTTCTCCTAAAATCCTTGATGTAAAAGTTGGTGAAGCTAACTTAGAGCACATAGTTGAGGTGGTGTCTGCAAATACCACTTGTGAGAATGTGAACATGTATAAGACTCAGCAGAAGTGTGGTGATAAAGATCAAAGTAGAAACAGTACTGTTAATAACATGCATACCTTTTTTACTGTTTCTGGAGAAATCACAGAATCATCTAGGATAAACGTGAAGCAATCCTAAGCAGACTTCAGGGCTACAGGCTGAGAGTAAGCAAAACAAATGTCCTTTATATCAAGATAATGTGAAGTACTATAGACACAGAACAGATGTGAAACAAATTCGCTTTGTTTCAGGATGTGTGGCAACTATACCTATTCAAATAATCAGGCCAAATCTTTCTATGAACACAATCCATGAAAATATATTTATTCACATTTACTGACATTGCATGTTAACCCAAACCAGGCCTTTAGTGGTTTCAAAAACTCCAACAAACTTCCCTTTTATTTGTGCTATTGAGAGAGGTATGGGGTATGTATGTGTGTGCCATTTAAAAACTTAAAATTAGGCCTGGTGTGGAGGCTTGTAACTGTAATTCAAGCACTTTGGGAGGTGTCGGTGGGAGGATTGCTTGATGCCAGGAGTTTGAGACCAGCCTGGACAACATAGTGACACTCTATCCCTACAATTTTTTTTTAATTAGCCAGGAGTAGTGTTGAATGCTTGTAGTCCCAGCTACGGGGAGGCTCAAACAGAAGATCACTTGAGCCCCCAGGAGTTCAAGGCTTCAGTGAGCTGTGATCGTGCCACTGTACTCCAGCCTGGGAGACAGAGCAAGATGCCATCTCCAAAAATAATAAAAATTAAAAACTAAAAATGAATGGAGATTACATGTGTGAAAATATGTAAGCCAAAGCCTAGTGTATAGCAGACATTTAACAATACACTAAATCCAAACCTTTACCTCAAGGGACATGAGGCAAGGAAAAAGGGGACTGTGAAATTTGAGTCTTTGTGAGAACTTAGATGGTTAGGATCCTCGTTAAAAATCTGTCATTTGATTTTAGTTCATCTGATTTATCAAGAAGAGCAAATATTAAGTACACCTCATAGTGTCATAATGCTGGGGTTGAGGGGTGTGAATCCACAAAATGAAACCTTTCATAGACTTGAATGTGAGCTCATTTTTGAGCCCATTCCATTTTGTATGTAATATTGTTTTTGTTTAGGTTAAATGCTAAGTGATATTCAGTGTGCCTGATTTATAGAATTAACTCTATAGGAATAATTGTTTATTCAGAGTATTTTTTAAATTCTGGATATTTTGACTCACCTTATAGGAATGTGAGTTGAAGTACTAATGAGAGAAGCATGAATCCCTGTAAACTATTAATAGTACTTTGAAAAAGTATTTAATCAACTTTTCCTTAATGAAAGTGAATGAGTAGCTTCCTTATACATTCAGAAATAGAATGTTAGTAGGCAGTGTTTAAAAGCAGCCTTGGCTGTCACTAAAATTTTATGAATGAATTTAATGCATACTCAAGTTGTATGTAAGATAGAGTTATCTTAAATATGTGTTTCTAACTCTTAAAGTACACAGCAAGAATTAAAGATTTTAGGGTTTTAATGAAAACCTAAAGCCTATCTTTAAGTTGAATATGTGCTTTGAGTTATGGCTTTTATACCAGAGATTATTTTTTTCCAAATTCTTCTTTCATTGCTATGACATAATCTATATTATATCACTGACTGTAGGTTATATTAATCCTAAATCACAAAAATATGACTATGATTATTTTGATGATTCTAATATTTTAGAAAAGTGAGAGAAAAGCTTATGGATGCATCATGAGCCAAGGATTTACCTGCTAGTTTTGATGCATAGTGAGGAGACTGAGGGGAATAGTAGGGTGCATGGAGTGTGAAAGGGCAAAATCTTGGGAATTCAGTCCTCCCATTTGCTCTGCCTCAAGAATATTCAATGAGTCTGCCAAAGCAGGTGACAATATATCCATCACTCTGACTCTGCTATAGAAAGACATATGTAGCTTCATTTAAAAAAAAAATGCTTACAAGACAATGTCAAGTCTTGAGATTCCAAAACTTTCAAAACACTAACAGGGTTATATAGACAACTTGTGTTCTGAGATATTATGCCACCGTTTCTTAGACATCTCTTATAAATTCTCATATTAGCAATGGTACCTAGATACATGACATAACTTAGAAATCACTGTGTTAAGTCTATTCTGCAGTCACAAAGGATAGGAATCACTGAGCGCATAACACTTGAGCTCCCTGTCTTGCAGCTGCCAACCTGCTGTGACGAGCCAATGACATCTTCTTTGAAGTTATCACTTCATCAGCATTCAGTGGCTGAAGCTTTCCTGGTGTGCCCTATGCTCTCACTTAAGCTCACACCGAGAGGGGAGGCACTTGATGTAAATGAAACGGCTGAAGGATCTTCTTTAGATGTGACAATATGAAAAGAATGTTTGTGGACGTGGTTAGGGAGTAACCTCAAGGGCAAATTCCAACAAAATTTACTCTAACACAATTAGAGGCAAAGATGTTTTGAACAAAGTTAAGTGACCATGGATTTGGATATCCTAAAAGAATTTAAGAAATTGTCTATTATTTTTAGGGAAGTTTGGTTACTTTTTATAATTGTAGGAAAGTACAGTGGAAAGATTACATATTCCATCTTCAATTTCCTCTACTGTGAAGAAAATCTCTTAGCAAATCATAAATTTTAAAAATCTCACATCTGAAAGATTTGACCTAACTGGTGAATTAAGCTATTAGAGGGAAAAATGATCTAAACTTTATGGTATTTAATGCTATAGGGACAATCAGCTCAAGAAGAAATCAAATATTCCTATATTCCCTAACATGTTTGCCCAGAGATAGGTAAGAGTACCTCTGAGTGAAAATGTGGAAGATTCTCATGAAGCCCATATCTTAGAGCAGCCCCACTTGTCCTTTCTCTGAAAATTTATGGTTTTAGGCGAAAACTAAACAACAAACTTAGTGGTTTTCTCAGGTGTTATTTCAATGTGCAAAGCATACATATTCACTTATCTAACAGAAGTTAGTCACATGGTGTTTAAATTACAACATATACTTTATAACTAATTGTCAAACATTCTCATCAGGTTTAGTAATTATTTCCACTTTTCAATAATATAGAAAAACTTCACCCCTACAGTGTCAGTTTTGAAAATTCTAGGATATTTGGATGATATAAAAAGTCATCAAATTCTCCCCGACCTTCTTCTCCAGCCCATCTCTGATTATGACCTTTGGCATCTATGCTCTTTACTGTTCAGCAGCATTCAGCCCCCGGCCATTATCCAAGCGTGCTTAGTCTCTCTTTCATCAGAAACTTAGCAAACCTATTGTTTCTGCCCAGAACATTTTCTCCAGTTAGCTGGATAACCCCAATACACCTTCTATCACCCCTCCCAAACTTTTATTCTTGCCATCACTTTTCGTAGAGTTCTTTAGACAGGGCTCATCATTTTTTCCCTTTAACTCTCTTAAAACCTCATGCCTTTATTAGAGTATTTATCACATCCCATTCTAATTATTAGTGGCAAGGTCAACCATCATGTTATTTGCATCTCTTCTTGGGGCTGTCATTATTTCAATAGTGATACCATGGGGTCATGTGGTGCCGAGAGGCAACTGGTCTTATGGGATCAGAATCTGCAAGATGCCATCTCCTCCCTCCTCACATTTCAGGGGAATATTATCTAAATCATCCCCTTGAAGCCACATCACTATTTCGAGGTGAGGGGAAAGTGTGGGGCCCTCTGATGGGGCCAGGGATGGGAAATTTTGTAGCATTCCAACACACCTCTACTAAGATGTTCTCTCTTGCCTTCTTCAATTGCAGAATCAAAATCTCTCCTTTTGTATTTTCTTTCTGGATATCATCACAAAAATAGGGGTATGTTCACATCCTTAGTAAGCCCTAAATGAGTACCATACTTGGTTTCAAAGTCTGCACATAGTTGCTACCAATATTTTTTGCTTTTAACCTTCGAGGGCTTCATCTAAAGCTGAGACAGAAAGTTATTTAGAGAACTATAGTGCTCCCAGGCAAAAGAATTCTGGAGAAAGGACCCTATGTCTTCCATTTAACTTGAGTGGAATTTGGAGGCATACAGAATGCAATGTGACCCAATTGGGCAGAAAAAACTAGTGCACTTGCACAGTGTCTCTCTGGCAAGGAGATGCACATAAGAAGGGTATGGGCTAGACAGTCCTTAAGACTGATTGCAAGAAGAAATGCTTACATCTCAGTGGGTCACCCATAGTAGTACAAGCTGGGTCAGTGCACACACACACAGAATTGAGGGTCAATTCAGAACCTAAACTGATCTATATAGTGACATCATTTGGGCCAGGAAAGTGCCCTTTGGGGGACAGTTTAGGAAAAGGCCACCACCTCTGGATTGATGTCTCCATGTAGGGCACAGGCTGGAAGCAGAGTTCAGGTTATCTTGCAGCCCAGACTTTTCTGGGCAGTGTTGTGTGATTATTTTTTAAAATTTCCTTCTGTCAACATACTGAGAGAACTGTAATAATGTATTCCTAGAACACTTTTTTATAATAGAAGCAGGACCTCACTGTTACCCAGGCTGGAGCGTAGTGGCTTGATCATCACTCACTGCAGCCTCGAACTCTTGGGCTCAAGCAATCTGCCCACCTCAGCCTCTGGAGTAGCTCAGACTACAGATGTGTGCCACCACACCTGGCTAATTTACTTTACTTATTTTAGAGACATGGTCTTGTTGTGTTGCCCAGGTTGGTCTCAAACTTCTGGGCTCAAGCAATCCTCCTGCCTCAGCCCCCTGAGTAGCTTGCCTAGAACACTTTTTAACCATCTAGGATAAGATTTTACAAATAAAAATATAACCAAACATCACTTTATTTTAAATACTCATTAAAGTTAATCATCAGCAAGGGAGATGTATTAGTCTGTTTTCACACTGCTGCTAAGAGACTGGGAAGAAAAAGGTTTAATTGGATTTACAGTTCCACATGGCTAGGGAGGCCTCAGAATTATGGTGGGAGGTGAAAGTCACCTCTTACATGGTGGTGGGAGGTGAAAGTCACCTCTTACATGGTGGTGGGAGGTGAAAGGCACCTCTTACATGGTGGTGGGAGGTGAAAGGCACCTCTTACATGGTGGTGGCAAGAGAAACATGAGGAAGAAGAAAAGCAGAAACCCCTGATAAACCCATCAGATCTCATGAGACTTATTCACTATCATGAGAATAGCACGGTTAAGACCTGCCCCACGATTCAATTACCTCCCACTGAGTCCCTTCCACAAAATGTGGGAATTCTGGGAGATAGAATTCAAGTTGAGATTTGGGTGGGGACACAGCCAAACTATATTAGGAGAAAACATTGAGAATACATCCTCAACTCCATGCTATCCAAAAAGATGAATCATAGTGTCATAGAGATGTTCGAATTTAAGGATTTCAGGCTAGGGCCACAAAATAGACATCCCTCATAAAGCCACAAGTGGCTAGCTGCTTAAATGAAAGATGAAGAATAAACTGTCATAAAAAGCATTTCTATTAGTGATCTGTACCATATGTTTCTAAAATAAGAGTCCTTTTGAAGTTGATACTTCTTACTAGAGAGGCATTCTTAAGAGCATAGTTAAAAAATTGATTACTGTGTCCATTTATATCCTGAAGCAGTAGGGCTAGCATGATTTTCATACCTGAGGGGTGCTGCCTTATTCCTTATGTGTAAATATATTAAACCTAGAATTATTATTATTAGACCTATAGGTCATTTTAGTGTGGGCATATCTTAGGTTGTTATATTTATATCAAATTCCAAGGAGGCTTTTCCTTTGACAATCTCTAAATTCTTTATAATTGCGACTCTGGTAACCATGAGAAATTGGGATATAGTCAGAGGAAACTGGATGGATTTTAATTGTTCACCCACAGCTTCTGTACACTTTTGAAATAACTCACAGAATTTCAAACAAAAATACACATTTTGATATGTCCCCATTTCTTATAAAATTACCAGGTAAATTACTACGTTGTCCTATAAGTACAGTTACAGAAGTATTAATGTTATAGTATTTATTCAACATTGTAACTTTAACATTTTTATAATCCCTTGATATTCCCAATAAGTTTTTTCATCAACTCATTACAGAGCAAGCACTAGTCAACTAGGTAACTATTACCTATGTCAAAGCAAGCTATTACAAAGCAAACACTAGTCAATAGGTAACTACTACCTATGTCAAAAAAGAGACCATATTCTATTCCCAGAAGCTCTCTCCTCCCAGATGTTACCTTTTCCATCACTGTCAAAGAAACTATAATCTTGACTTCTAGCACTTTAGTTCTGCCTATTTTTTTGAACTATGTGTAACTAGAGCCTTAAAGTATGTTCTTATCTTTATATGGTTTATGTTGCTCAACACTGCTTTTGAGACTCAACCATGTTGTCTGCAGCTTGTTTATTCATTCACATATTCCATTATATGACTCCATAAAAACTTATTAAGCTATTTTATTATAAATAATGCTGCTATAAACATTTTACACACTGTTCTTGCTGCTCATATGTATGTTATTCTTAAGTATGTATATAAGAGTGAAATATATTTGCAATATGTAGAACTAACAAAAATACCTCTTTGGGTTAGTTTTGTTTTTGTTAATCCTTCTGGTCTGGGAACTTCCTTGTTGCTTTCCTAATAATATTTTTTGATAAACAGAAGTTCTTAATTTTATTCTTGTCCTATTTATCAAGCTTTTTGTTTACAGTTAGTGGGCTTTTTTGAGTCTTGTTTATAGATTACATGTGATTTGATATCTTATAATCTTTGCATGTGTGTGCATAAATTTTACCAGCCTACATAAAAATCGCCAGAGTTTGGCGACCATGGTTTTATCAATGTGATGAAACCAGGGAACTATTCCTGGTTTTCTATTCTCCAGATGATATTTTGTAAATTTTTGTTACTTTTTACTAGAATGCTTGGAAATAGTTAAGGGTCTATTCATTTTTTTTCTATCTCTTCTTGTGCCAGTTTTCTAAAGTTTTATTTTTCAGGAAAGTTTTTCACTTAATCCAAATGTTTAGATGTGTTGTCATGAAGTTTTTCATAATCTTTTCTAATTATGTCTTTTTTTTTCTATGCGGGTTCTCTGGTTATATCACTATTTTTATTCCTGACTCAGGTTATCTATGCCTCTATCACTCTCAGTAGGGATTTAGTTCACTAGCCTTTCTAAAAGACAATTTTGGCTGTGTAGTTGGTTGGCTTAAAATATTTATCTTTATCTAATTTCCTTTCTTCTATCTTAACATTTAATTGGCTCTTTTTTTCATGCTTTTTGAGTGCACTTTAGATCATTTATTTTTGCATTTATTCTTATACATTTTTATTATACTTTAAGTTTTAGGGTACATGTGCACAATGTGCAGGTTTGTTACATATGTATACATGTGCCATGTTGGTGTGCTGCACCCATTAACTCGTCATTTAGCATTAGGTATATCTCCTAATGCTATTCTTATACATTTAAAGTTAGGCATTTCTCAGCATGGTTATTGCTGTCTCTCACTTGTGTTGGCATGTAATATTTTCCTTATTAATCACTTCAAGACATTTTTCATTTTTATTGTGACTTCTTTATTGCCCCATAGTTTATTTAGAAGTGTGTATCTTGATCTCTGAATGTGTATATCAAATTCCAAAGAGGCTTTTCCTTTCACGACCTCTAAATTCCTTATAATTGTGACTCTGGTGACTATGAGAAATTGGGATATAGTCAGAGGAAACTGGATGGATTTTAATTGTTCACCCATAGCTTCTGTATACTTTTGAAATAATTCACAGAATTATTAGACATCAGAGAACCTGTTCTCTGTGTTTTCCATCCTTTAGAAATGGTTGAGACTTCACTACATGGAAAATATATTCTTAACTGTTTTATGTATTTGAATAAAATGTCTATTTTGCAGTTGTTCTTCCACACAACTAAAAACTCTGTCAGGCTTTCCTGTCCCTATGCAGCCACTTTCTATTCTGCTTCTCAGCCTCTTTGTTGATAATATTTGCAAATGCCTTCAGAGAAAAAATGTATAATCTGGTTGCTCAAGTCCTGCCTGAGACTTCTCCAAATCCTTCAAACATATTTTAAAAATCCTTCTAGATTTTCTAGTTGTTCTCAACTGGAAAATTGGTCTCCTCCAAGTTAATCTGTCATAGAGGAAGTGGTCCACATGTATATTTTTCCTAATATTTGTCTATAAATTATGTTATTGAAGGAGGTGTTTACAATATTTTCTTTATAAACATTCATGTGTGTTTATATGTGTGCAAAAATGTCCCCTAAATTCACCACTTATTTTGAAGGTACTCTATCTGCCTTTTTTCTTTTCTTTTGAAACATTTCAAATACAGAAAAGTTACAAGGTCAGTAAAGAGAACATTTTTTCCTGATCCATTTAAGAATTAGTTACACCCAGGTGTGGTGGCTCACGCCTGTAATCCCAACACTTTGGGAGGCTGCAGCAGGCCGATCTCTTGAGTTGAGAAGTTCCAGACCAGTTCCAGACCAGCCTAAGCAACATGGTGAAACCCTGTTTCTACAACAGTAACAATAAAATAATACAAAAATTAGCCAAGTGTGGTGGTGCGTGCCTGTAGTCCCAGCTACTTAGGGGGCTGAGGTAGGAGGATGGCTTGAGTCCGGGAGTTAAGGCTGCAGTGAGCCATGTTTGTGCCACCGCCCTTCAGCCCTGACAAAGGGAAAAATAAAAAAAAATAAAAAAAAAAGAATTACAGACATAATGCCCCCTCACCCCTGAATACGTTCTTGTGTATTTCTACGAACAAAAACATTCTTCTGTATAATCACATTACAATCATCAAAATCAGAAAAATCAACATTGACACATAATTGCTTTATAATCCTCAGGCTCCAAGTTTTTTCAGTCATCCCTAATAATGCCCTTTATTACAAAAAGAACCATTTCAAAATCATGCATTGCATTTGACTATCATTTTTCTTTTTTTTTCCTTTTTGAGACAGAGTCTCGCTCTGTCACCCAGATTGGAGTGACAACTCCAACTTCCAATTTATGTGCTTTTTTTCTCTTAGTAATTATAAATAAACTAAAAATTTTTATTATATATAACAATATATTACTAAATTATATAAGCACACATACAAAATATAAACCACAATAATTATCATTTCATACCATTCAACTTTATTTAGATTTACTCATTTTTAGCATTTTTCTGTCTCTTCCTACCATCATGAATCTCTAATTTTTCATGAGATCTTATGTATTCCTTCTGAAGAGGTATTTTTCTTAACAATAGTAGATTCTACTAGTGATAATTCTTTCAGAATTTGTTCACCTAAAAATATTTTTTTCACCTTAATTTTTAAAGGCATATTTGCTGTACATCAAATTCTGGTTGGCAGTTGTTTTCTTCAGCACTTTGAAAATATCAGTGAGCTGTCTTGTTTTGTATTGTAGATATAGTACTCAGGTTTTAAATTAACTGTAACATATTAAAATATGAACCCTAGGGTTTTTTTTAAACCTTCCAATTGCTTTACAGTTTTGTCTTTGTTTTTAGCTTTCAGCAGTTACTGATATAATTGTGGATTTTTTTGTATTTATCTGGCTTGTTATCACAGTCTTTTGGAAAATGATTTTATGTCTTTCATCTATTCAAATGTATTTCTGTTCCATTTCTCTTCTGTACTTTAGGATTACAAATACCATTATGTTAAACATTCTTATTCATCCCTTCATATCTTTTACCATTTCTTGTTTATTTTATTTTTGTCTTTTTGTATGATATCTCCCCTTAGTTCTTTCACTGAACAAATTCTCACCTGCTTTTAAAATCCATTGAGACCTCCATTACAACTGTTTTATTTTTCACTGCTAGAATTTCCATTTGTTTTTATAGTTTGTAATTTTCTTCTGGAAATTTCAATCCTGGTTATTATTACTTCACACAAGTAGTATAATTATTCCAAAATTTGTGGCTGATATTTGGAGTCCTTGTAGATCTGTTTCTATGTTTTATTCTTGCTGCTGGCTTTCAGTCATGCTGCCTTAACTCCTTGTGCATCTGGTTATGATTTTGGGTAGTTTAAAAATTTTGTTTGAAATTTGTTTGGAGAAATCATTTGAGAATGAACATGTTATCTTGTTCCCAAGTCTTTTTATTGTGCTTCTGCTAGCTATGCGGGGGCAGTAGAAATCTGGGGTTGCCTCAATCCAATCTGAGGGATTGAGATTAGTTGAACATGAACTCTATTCTCCAGAAGAATCTTTCTATATAGAAATCACTCTTACCCTGGAGTGGGGCTCTTTGGAGTCCCAAACTTAAGTGAAAGTGATTCTATAATTCCTCTCCTTTTGAAGGTCCCTATACTCCAATTATTAGCTTCCTGTCTATGCCAGACTGTAAAAATGCACACTTCATCTCTGAGTTTCTTGGCTTTGCTGTTCAGTAATGGCAAATACTTTTGGGGGGAAACAACCCCAAGTCTCAGGCTTACCTCAGTAGATCTCTATCGTTTCTTCCTCAGATTCTGGTTTAGCAAATGTTAACTATCTTTTCCACTCTCCAGTGTTTTCAGAACACATTATTTTTTCCCCCAGGTTTTCCAGTTATCCTCATGAAAGTTTTGGTCCAAATTACCTAATCTACTTTACTAGGAGTAGAGGGGCTTCCAACAATTTGAATTATTATATCATTTAAATATCACTTGTGATTGCCCCACTTTGAATTTCTGATCCTTAATCAATTTTAAATTTGTTGTCTTATAAAACACACCCTTAATTCCAATGCAAGGTATTAGCACATTAAAAAATCAAATTTCTGTCTTTATTTGCAAAACTGTGATCAAATATAGATGTACTTTTTAATGAAAATTCATTGTATTTTTAATTCACCATCCATAAAATCTGTTAATTGGAAGTGTTCGTGAGGGTCAGCCTAATACAAATGTCTGTTAACATTAATCCATATCTTTCTATACATTAGATGAGTGACTTTGGGCATGTTTTCACTTACGTGTACTTTATTTTTCTCATAGATAATGTATAATAATGATACTTCTCTTACTGTTTAATTGTTAAAATGTAAATATGTTTTCCACAAAGTAAGTAGTCAACAAGTCTTTTTCTTTTTCCAAGACTGGAAGATTAGGGTTTTTTCCTTTCTATAATTATTTGTCCATATTTTTGGATTGTTAGAGGAAGTGATACAAATTTCTACTTGAGGCATCATCAAAATGTGTGTTCAAATTGTTGCCTATCTAAGTGAACCATTAGAGGGAAAAATGTACATGAACATTTTAATCCTGGTTTCAAGCTAATTCTGTCATTATTTTTACATGTTGAAAAATGAAAATGTATGGTATGCACATCAATTGACTAGTTATCTTTATTCTTCTTGGGTTATATCAATATCATCAGTTCCCTAAGGTGTTGCTGCAACTTCCCATTTTTCTCTTTTCTAATCTAACATATATAAACTGCTTTATTAAATCTACCGTTTTCTTGCAGGTTCTCTCTTATTGTATTGAGACATATTTTTCATAGAAGTAAGAAGGAAGCGAAATTTGTGTGTAACAAGTAATCAAACTCTTTTATATTTAGGAGTGAATTTTGGTAATCCATCAGTTATTTTATTTTATTATTATTTTAGAGACGGTGTATTGCTATGTTGCCCAGGCTGGTCTCAAACTCCTCGGCTCAAGTGATCCTCCTGCCTCAGCCTCCTGAGTAGCTGGAACTACAGGCATATACCACTGTGCCCCAGCTAATCCATCATTTCTTAAAGGAACAGAAGCTAGTTACAAAAATGCCTGTGGCTATGAGTGTAATACAGATACATATGTTTATACTTCTAGATTTTAGAAACTTGAATTCAGTACATGGTGATGAGTCTTGGTAGGCACATTTATGAACCCTTTCTTGAATTTGAATGGATCTAATTTTTCACAAGACATTAATATTTACCTAAATTTAAAATAATTAGAAAATATTTCAAAATGCTTATGACTTTGTCATTTCATATTTTTTATTTTAAATCTATAAACCACTTGGAAACATATTCCTAGTTAATGAAATTCTTACCCACTCTTATTAATAAGATTATACATTTGAATGGCAATATAAGCAACAAAAAATGCTTTCTACGACAACTAGTAACACAAAATTAACATATATTTAGTGCTAATTATACACCAGGCACTAACGGCACTTTTACATGTATTATATCACTTGATCCCCGATACAAATCTGACGTATCTGAGTTGTGAGCTGCCAAATGTATAGGCAAATAAACAAATACAGACAACTCCCAGATATAGCTTTTTTGTTTTCTTTTTTAAATCAACTTTCCTGGCTCTCCTCTAGTTTTTTTGTTCGAGTCAGTTATATGCCACCTAGTGATATTATAAAGAAATACAACTTATTTAGTAATATAATACATTTTCCTTTGATGGATACTTTTCCTGTAACACCTTTCCATTCTTTCTCTCCCTTCCCTCCCTTTCTCCCATTTCTTTTTTCACATATGGAAAGTCAGTTAATTATATGGTAGGAATGTAATACTTAACCATTTATGTTTGCTTGCCCCAGGCAACTCTAACATCAGAAGTTTAAGCTACTAATTAACAGATAAAAATCTCAGCTTTATAGTCATAAAGAAAAAGGAAATGAGAAGAAAAGAGGTCAAGGGAAAAATTTAAGTAAATATATTGAATGTCAATCACAGTCAGATATAACACAAAAGAAAAGTACTTTTAATTCAGTGTATTTTTAATCTCACTGAATGTATAATACATAGCATTATATCTTGTGTTACATTTCCTGTCCCTTTAAGAAATCCTAATTATTAAAATTCTTAAGTATAAAAATTTTCTCAAAGGAATAGAAAAACCTTAATTTCTTTTTAAAATGTCATTTGACCAGGCTATTTCAAAAGTTAGCTGCCTTATCTACATCTTCCTTTTTCATGTTTTCAAAAGAGAAAATTTATCTAATTACAGATTGAAAGAAAAAAATGTTATTGTTGTGATGTCCATATAATGTAATGAACCTGCCACGTATATTTCTCTATATGTTCCTTTTTGCCTCTATTTAAAAATGAGTTGATCCTGCTTCGAGCCAGGTCACTTATCACATAAAATAAATGAGGACAAGACTTAAGGCTGTGTATTCAAGGCCTGAAACAAAACTACAGTAGCAGCCTCAGGGTACAAGATCTTGAGTTACTTTCCAAAGGAACAATGTCTTCATTGCATATTACATACAAGTGTTGCATGAGACATCATCTGTGATAGGTTATTTGGGAAAGTGTCTTTGCCACCCAAAATATCCATCTAACATGCTAGCTAGACTCTCAGATTTTTTTCATTTAGAAATTCAGTTTGAAGTGATACAATTAAAAGAGAGTTCACTGTTTAAATGAGCCCAGAAGAAGTAACAGGTAATGCATACATACAAAAAATGAGTGTATATATAAAAAATGAGTGTCTGCCCACCAGCAGCACATCCTTTCCTCAAGGCTCATTTCGTAGCAGGTCCTAGAGTCTGAAATAATATGGGAAGAGGGAGAACATGCCAGAAAAACATATTTGCCTATTTGGTATTTTTCCTCGAATGGCTATAACCTCTTACATACTTAAGAATTTAAGCCTGCAGCAAAGCTTCCAGGCTTCAGGCATGCGCTAGGTGAAGAAAGGACTACAGAAAAAAGCCAGCTTCTGTCTAAAAGCTGAGTGACAGGGGGAAGAATTGGGAGGTGCCAAAGTCATGTGACAGCTCTTTGTGGAGGGCAGGTATGAGGAGAAAGGTAACAGCATCAGACCACATACTATCTGAGGTATGAGTGCTGTTAGCCTCAGATCCTGGCTTTAAATTAATGTAATTAAATTCCTTAGGGCACTGTCCTTAGAATAACAATATATCACAACCTTTGAAAGAAGGAATGCATATAGACCAGGAAGAGAGAAGCAGATCTAAATATCATACTAAAGAAGAAGAAGTATTAACACCAATTTCATGACTGTTCATGTTATTCCATATAAAACCAGTTTCCATACAATTTTTTTAAATCAGGCTCAAGTTGTCTCCATGAAGATGAGCAACAGTTTATGCCAACGATGTAGGTATTTTACAGATGTGTATGAGTTTCAAAAGATGTTCAGCCTCCAAATGGTAAAACATTATGTGCGCTAGTAAAATATGCCACTTTAATCAACAATAGTGAAATGATGAATTTTTTATATATAAATTATATAATAAGGAAATTAAGTTGCTTATCTCGTTTGTGATGTTTCCATAAAATTGAAACTTTTCTAAGTCTATCTCTCTTGCATACACATAAACATCATGCACACATATTTCCTTTTTCATCTTGAATTTCTTCTAAATATGCAGACTTCACAGGCCTGGTCTTGATGCCAAAATGAACCCCTTTCATTTGCTGATTGAGATCTGGCTCAACAGCCAATGTTTCCCGCTGGGTCCTTACAGAGGGTGCATTCACATTTTATCCTAATTTATTCATTATCAAACATCAAACCTTAGGAGGATAAAACAAAAAGCTAGTGAACAATGCAGGGAGAATGTGTTGGTTTGTTTTCATCTTCACTCTCAGATGAAAGAATTCTTCAGTAGCATTGCCTATTCTACCAATACATCATCCAGGTAATTGGGGGGCTTGAGGGGGGAATGACAGGCTGGGCCAAATCAACCTTCTGCATCCACTGGCACACACAATAACCTCCAACATCAAAAGTATCTAATGAGAACTTGAGAATCCAGGGCTTTATATTAGTTGACCCAATCTTGTAATTAAGTATCAAAACTCCCCATGCTTTTTGTGAACATTTACAAGCTGCATGGCAAGATCTCAACATATACAAAACAAAAGACCTTAGTCATACTTTCCTTCTAGGAGGAAAGCTTTAATGACAGCTCTGCACAAACACCAGATTTCTGTATCAAAGACCCCAGTTTCTATGTTGGTTTTGCTGCTTTGAGGTTGAATAATGAATAAGCCACATATTTTCATTTGTTAGAAGAAATATTACCTTCCTTTGGGGTGTTTAAGAAGGTGGATAAAATCGTAACATGAAAGTTGCTTTGTAAAATGTGAAGTATCTTACAAATGTTCAGTCTGTGTATTATTATGACAAATGGTGATACTATTGCTTATACTTATCAGATAAAGCAGCAAAGGCAGTAACATTTTCTATCATAATTGGCCCCACATAGAAACGGTTGCAAACTTGTCATTATTTGACAGTACTGTGGTGATACAGTTTGGCTTTGTGCCCCTACCCAAATCTCATCTCTAATTGTAATCCCCAGGTGTTGAGGGAGGGACGTGGTGGGAGGTGTTTGGATCATGGGTGGGGTGGGGGAGGTCGGCGTCAGTTTCCCCCATGCCCTTCTCATGATAGTAAGTTCTCACAAGGTATGACAAGGTATGACGGTTTTGTAAGGGGCTCTTCCCCCTTTGCTTGGTTCACATGTTCTCTTACCTGCTGGCATGTAAGACGTGCCTGCTTCCCCTTCTGCCATGATTGCAAACTTCCTGAGGCCTCCCTAGCCATGTGGAACTGTGAGTCAAACCTCTTTTCTTTATAAATTACCCAGTCTCAAGCAGTTCTTTATAGCAGTGTGAGAACAGACTAATACACTTGGTAGAGCAAATATGTAGATTTTCTGCCCTACTTAAAATTCCAACATTAGACATTCTCTGGTTTAAGACACTGAATAATGTCAAAGGTACCATGACACTATGAAGAAGAGATAAACAAACGAATGTTGTCATCTCTTCTGATTCACCTTGATAAGAATTAACAGACAACTCTCACAGAGAGGCACTGTTTTTTGCCCATAGTGGTTGTGAATTTACCTTCTCCTCTTTGCAGTGATAAAGGAGGTAAATTCACAACCACTGTGGGCAGAAACCAGGTGAATCTTCAGAACCTTGCTGGATAGAGGTTTGCTGCGTTGTCTCACCAGTGTTGACCCCAGTTTTAGGCAACAACATTGCTGTTCCTGTTCCTGTCTAATCAGCTAACTGCAGACACAGCATTGAGGTTCTTGAAGCTAATCTTGTGTCATATTTTTGGCTTTCTTGACCTTTTGCTTTAATAATGCGTGTTTTACTGCAAAGGCAGCTCAACAATGGCCTGGCCGTCAAATCATTCAGTGGATTCCCCATTCTCCTCTACCACCTACTGGTATCTGGGATTCTTGAACATTGGAACAGGTTTTAAATATCAACTCAAAAAGATTTCTGACTCTACCTCTCTCACTTTCTACTGATCCTCATAGTTTCATAAAGCAGTTTGTTTACTTAATGTGGCTGTTTACAAAAAGGGATAATCTCCTCTGGCCACTTCCTGGCTAAAAAAAAAATCAGGAAGAAATGAGGGTTTTATTAATTTATTTGGGATGTTCAAGATTCTGATCTATTTCTGGATATGATGATTTTCTCTTTCCCCTAACAGCAACCCCAGACCCAGTTGGTTGGTACAATCTCCAGATGGTAGTCTGGCCAAAAGAGTACCTAAGGAATTTAAATTTAATTCTGGTTTGGTTACCTGGCTTCTCATGTTGGACTGACATGCTTCTAGATGATAAGTACAATGACAACTTAGTTGAGACTGCTGCACACCAAGTGGCTACATGTGGCTGATTTGTGACAAAATGGGATAATACGGTTATCTATTTTATAGAAGTGCCTCTGTTTCTCTATACCTGTTCCTTCTGGACAAAAGATCTGTTTGTGGTGATATCTGGAAAATAGGTGAAGTTACAGCAACTAGAATTGGACACTCTGATTTTGTGACAGTAGAGGGATAATAACAACTTTGGAACCTGGAGTTTACTCAAACTCCAGGAGTAAATAGGGAAGTAAGGATATGTAAGACAATACAATAATAATAAGGCAAAAAGATTTATGATAATATCTTGAGCCATGATAATGCATGGGAAATTTTTAAATGCTTATTTCTGTGAGTTAACTCTAAGAACACTCTGGAATGCAGTAGGTAACAATTTTAAAAAGCTAAGAAAATAAAAATTGAGACACTTGGATGACCCTGGGTCATAGCAGTACGTTAGAGCTACTGCTAACCATCGTGGCTTTACATATGGGACAGGTACTCTGCAACATACTTGGAGAAGTCAATTCAAAAATATAGAAAAACAGGGAAGAGATTTCTTACCACACATACAGTTCTTTGCTCTTTTAATTTTGTTGACAAACTCTAAAATATTTAAAGAGGCTTATTCTGAGCCAATATGAGTGATCTCAAGAGGTCCTGAGAAAGTGTGCCTGAGGCAGTTGGATTACAGTTTGATTCTATACATTTTAGGGAGATAGGAGTGATAGGCAAAGATATAAATCAATACATGTAAGATACGCATTGGTTTAGCCCAGAAAAGCAGGACATCTCAAAGTGGGGGCCTACAGGTTATACGTGGATTCAAAGATTTTCTCATCGGCAATTGGTTGACAGTTAAGCTTTGTCTAAAGACTTGAAGTCATAGAAAGAAATGCCTGAGCTAAGATAAGGGGGGTTGTGGAAGCTAAGATCTTTGTTATGTAGATGAAGCCTCTAGGTTGTAGGCTTTAGAGAGAAGAGAGAGCCTTTAGAGATAATAGATGGCAAATGTCTATTTTCACACCTTAAAAGGTATCACACTCTTATTTTTTATTTATTTATTTTTGAGACTGAGTCTTGCACTGTCGCCTGGGCTGGAGTGCAGTGGCGCGATCTTGGCTCACTGCAATCTCCACCTCTCAGGTTCAAGCAATCTCCTGCCTCAGCCTCCCAAGTAGCTGGGATTACAGGTACCTGCCACCACACTTAGCTAATTTTTTGTATTTTTTGTAAAGACAGGGTTTCACCATGTTGGTCAGGCTGGTCTCGAACTCCTGACCTGGTGATTCCCCCACCTCAGTCTCCCAAAGTGCTGAGATAAGCCCCTTTCCCCCGCCGGTATCACACTCTTAATCTCTCCTAGATCCATGACAGGTCTGGCTACATGAATGGTAATTCTGTACAGATAAAAATTTCTCCCAGGGCCATTTCAAAATATGTCAAAGAAATATTTTGGGGTAAAATATTTCAAATTTATTCAGAGTATGCTATTTGTCACATGAAGCTATACCAGCATCAAGCTCGAGTTTGTTCGGTCAGTCGTACGGTTTTTTTGTTGTTGTTTTTTTGAGATGGAGTCTCGCTCTGACACCCAGGCTAGAGTGCAGTGGCGTGATCTCGGCTCATGCAAGCTCCGCCTCCCGGGTTCACGCCATTCTCCTGCCTCAGCCCTCCGAGTAGCTGGGACTACAGGCACCTGCCACCACGCCCGGCTAATTTTTTGAGTTTTTAGTTAAGACGGGGTTTCACCGTGTTATCCAGGATCTCCTGACCTCGTGATCCGCCAGCCTCGGCCTCTCAAAATGCTGGGATTACGGGCATGAGCCACTGCGCCCAGCCGACCTCTGTTTTAATGTTAATGTTGGTCAATTTTGTACTAACTCCAAAGGAATGGGATATAATGAGGCATGTCTGATGTCCCTTCTAGTCATGGGTAGGAATTCAGTTTTTCAGGTTTCTCTGAGGTTCCCTTGGCACAGAGCGAGTCTGTTCAGCCACCTGGGGAGACTTAGGGTTTCATTTTTGGCTTATAATTCTTTTAGCCCTCTGGAATTAGCTTATGTTAAACAGATGTCAGCTTTAAGAGGAAATCAATTTAATATTCATTTAGAGATTAAGTTGATTTTCTTTTTTAATGTGGATAAAAGAAGGTAATGATCCTTTGGCCTTAAAAAGAGGAAGGAGTTCTGGACAATTGAAGAATTCCCTATAGTTGACTAAAAAGTCATAAAAATACATCTTAGTTTTTTTTTCTTCTGTGTTTTAAAAATTTAGAGCAGTATAGATCCTTATATAGACATGTTTGTATTTCTGTGCATTCACACATATATGCATATATGTACGTACACAAATATACCCCCATTTACTTTAAATTATTGACTGAAATAATGATATTTTAATATATTTTATTTTAAACATACTTCAACAACTAGAAATTTCGTACTTTATTTCCATGTTTAAGATTAACCAGAAATTTAATGATATGTATTTTAAATATGTCACACTGGAAAAATATAGCCATGTAATTACTATATAAGACCAGAATGTGCTAAAATAGTGGATTTAAAATTGTTTTTATGTTTAAAAAGCAGTTTGAAAACAACTGTTACAGAGTATAGTGTATAGGATCATTGCTACCTTTTAGGTCTTCATCTTATTTCACGAATTAGCCTGTCCATAATTTTTGTCTGAAAACATTATAGTATGATATCCTTGTATTATCTCTTAATACACGATGTACCACCAGTTCGTTTTACTTGTTTCCTTCCCTCTTCTCTTCCCTCTTTCTTCTAAGAGTTAGCAAAGCTCTTCCTATGCCATTGAGAAATACTTTTTCTTATACAAATCACAAAATATTCCTTATAAAAATGATTCCATAGTTAATGCAGAATGTCAATCCAGGCACTATAAAGACCAAAAGATTAAATAACTTTCAAATATTTATAGAGGAAATGCTTTAAGAATTTTATAGGATTTTACTTCTTTTTCTTGGGACCACAGGTTGATTCTTAACCTATTGCTTTTCAATTAATTTTCTCTACTTTTAGACATTCAACAGGTATAGAACTTTTGGTTCAATGGTTGTAAACAGCTGTAAATATAACAGAAGTGTATAAGCTAGACATCAGTGGCATACGTACAAAAATAAGAAAATAGGAAAGCAAAATTTACTGAGTTGGGAGCATCTAAAAAAAAATCAGTCTCTTTGCTGGAGACTTCCAGGTTTAACATCATTTTATTTCCTGAAAAAATACTTTTAATAAGAATGAGCTTTTAGATAGAATAGCTTCCCATACAGTTCTAAATAAAGTTTTGGATATTTGTGAATATACCGGGTCTTACTTAAAATCATTACAAAAATTCATGCCACAAAATCTGCCCACTGATGGTTAAGTACTTTAGCATGACTCACATTATATCACCACTGTTCCTTTGGGAAGAAATGCTTAAACTTTGGCAAAATATCCAAAGCATTTAAATATTTATAATACGAGGGTCAAGCTGTGCCCCATATCTGATGAAAAACTTCAATGGAGTGTTAAGTTACTACTCAATTTTCAGCTACTCATTCAGATCACGTTTCCGTTACTTTCTGTTACTGTTGAAATTGATGAACGATTCTATGCAAAGGAAGCCTTTCTGAAGAACTCTGGAGGTTTTCACGTCTTTCCCTTCTGTTTCTTCATTAAGGTAGTTTCTTCTGAAACCTAATGAAGCAAGCACATTTAGGAGAAAAAAAAGACTAAATTACTTAAGCCTAACACTTTCACTCGAGGATCCAGAGTATAGTTCTCTTTCTTAAAAAATGGCTGATATAAAAACTGAGCTTCATCTGGAATTACAGGACACTTCTTCACAATAGGATAAAAAAAGACTGGATGCAATGAAAGTGTAACATTCTCATACTTGCCATACTGCCTTTTAAGAAAGAAAATTCTGTGACAAAATCAAAACCCCAGGACTCAGGAGTTCAGAGTTCCTATTACTGGTTTAAAGGAGTCTTTAAAAATATTAATATTTATTCAAGGAATCTTAGTTTACCAGCACAGTGATCATATATCTTTCTGTACACATGGATAGCATCATGAAATTATAAAACTTAGATTATACAAATGCTTTTTCTTACACATAATACTCTTAAAACAACTAAATTTAAGAATTCTAAAGAAGTTTTAGGAAAATTCCTTCTTTGAATTTAAAATATTACATTGCATGAAAATAACCACAACACTATGGAAAATAATAATTTACTTTTTCTCTTCCCCAACTCTGAACATGATTCTCTACTGTAAACTTTTATTATAAGTTTATTGAAAAGTTATAGTGTGTAGTTCCACAGATTTTGATTTATATATAAATAAATGGCTTTATCCCATACCAAAATAACATTCACGAGCTTTCACATTGCTCACCAATGGCCTATGCTTTCCTAAATTCAATGTATATTTTCAGTACCATTTCACATGGCTTTTTTCAATAGCATGGACCTTTGCTGAAATTTATTTATTTGAAATATCTTCATCTTCCATTACCTGGATTATTTTTGCCTATAACATTAACCCACTCCTCCCCCAATGTTATCTATTCCCAGATAGAGGATCACATTCTCAAAACCTGTCATTCGTTTCTTTAAAAAACCTATTAAAGTGATAAGCTTACATTTGTTAATGAAGTTATTTGATTAGGAATCCTTCACCACAGCAGCATAGAGGAGGAAAATGTATATATGCTTTGAGCTAAGTTGTCTTCTTAGCAAGTGGCAGGGTATCTTCCCTGAATTTAGCAAGAATTTAATGCATCTTCATTATGTGAATAAATGAATGAGTAAAAATCTCTTTAACAGAAATCAGAGGACATGGATAATACTATTCGGAACCTTGTACTATTCTCTTCATTACACATTTTGAAGATATTTTTAAACTTACTAGCAGCTTGTTTGAAACATCTTATCTTTCCCTAAGAGCTTCACTTTGAGGGCTAGATATTGCTGGTTTGTATTTAATCTATTGCTTGAGGGTGGGCATGAGGACATTCACTTTGGGCTAGGATAGGTGCCAACTTAAAGAGACTCTTTCTGGTAATTGTAACCATTTGGGCTTCAACAAAGAGTAATGATAGTAAATCATTACAATATAGCTTATGAAAATGGTTGGGTTCATGACGATAGTCAATGAAAAAAGAATCATCTCTATTAAACAAAACTATTAAATCAACTTTCCTTTGAAATTTGGTAATTTAAGAGAAGGAATAAAGAATTTATTCTTCATTTAAATAGCAACTATATTTTAGGGTACTAAGTAGCTTTGTTTAATAAGAGAAAGCTAGATAATTCTATAACATAAGTAGGAGGAATAATCAATTTTTACAAATCCTGATGACTACAGATTGTAGTAACAATTATCAATTGGTGTTGAAACCGTAAGATGAAAAGTTTGACAGAAACTGGATATTTGTGTAGCACCAATGTCATAACACAGAAATCTATTTTTTTTTTTACTTGCATGAGGAAAAACTTGACTATACAATAGTCCTTAAGATAAAGAAGCAGTAAATTAAATTCATGGTGGTGTTTCTGTCTCTTGTTTTGGACATTTTGAGACTATTAGAAAAACTTGAATAAGGGATGATAATATATTAAAAATTATTTTAAGTGAGATGAAAATATTTTGGCTATATAGGAAAATATATATATATTTTTAGGAGACGGGGGTCTTCTGTCACCCAGGCTGGAGTAGGCGGCACAATTGTCTCACTGAAGCTTTGAACTCCTGGGCTTAAGCTGGAGGCTGCTCTGTCAGCCTCCTGGAAAATACTCTTATTTTTAAAAAATGCATACAACAGTTAAACAAGAAGAAAAGCAAAATAAAGGTATTTTCTGATATACTTAAATTGAAGTTTATTACTAGCAGATCATAATATAAAGCAGAAAGAAAAATGACCCCCAAAGAACTGTACGAGGCACAAAGAGTGAAGAATGGAGATAGAGAAAAGCTACAAATCAAACTTGACTTATAAAGTAATAAGAGTAATGGCTAGACTGGTTAAAGAGATGAAAGTCAGAAATCAAATAAACAATAGTAAATTGGAAATTTTAGTTAGAATGAAGGATGAAAGGAATTATGGGGCTCTAAAGCCTTGTTTCTTAAACTCTATTCCACGGAGCAGGAGAGTCAGATTCGCCTGTGAGGTAACTAGAATTCAGTCTCTCAGGTCTACCCCAGACCTACTAAATCAGAGTCAGAAGTCTAACAAATTCTTTCAGCGTTTTGTATGGATATTAAATTTGAGAATCATTGGTCTAAACTCTGGAAGAGGATAGAGATATTCCTAATATATACTTAAACAATGCTTGTAGAAATTATTAATGTAGTCACTTTATGAATAAAATATATCTTAATTTTCAAAATAGAGGGAGGAAAATGAAAATAATAATTTAAAAGCCAAGGAATGTATGAAAAAATATAGATTAGCAAGATGAATAGAAAACAAAAACCATGATAGACAATATATACTCAAATATATGAGCGTAAGCCATAGGTCTTTACAAATTCTTTTCATCCCTCCGAGTTTGGAGAGGCACTTATGGCTCATAACTGAATGGTGAGAGTTAGAGTTTTTCTCAGAATTGTGTCCATTCACTTTATCCCTGTATTCCTACCTGCTGATTTGAGGAAGACAGAAATCTCAGAGTAAAGGTCATGGTTGATTTCTGAATTCTTTAGTCTCCTCTTCTTGCAGTACACTATGGACTGATGATGAACCTCCTCCTTCACTCAATAGCTGCTTTGTTTGGCATAGCTTTTAGTATTTACTCATTTGGGGTAAATTTGTAGATTTTGGAGGTAGTAGAGATTGGGGAAATTTTAAGCTTTCTTTCGTTTTACCCCAGAATTCCACATTTGGTTTTAGATAATAATTGTGTGTGTGGGTGTATATGTGTATACTTATTATACAACAATGGGGGGTAACATATATATATAGCGGCACATATATATGTTATCCATCATACATTTTATATACATATATAATATATGACATATATATATATATATATATAAGTTATTCATTGTTGCATAATAAATTACCCCAAAGTTTAGAAGCTTGAGAGAGAAAACATTTATCTCACAATTCCTCAGGGTCAAGGATCAGGGTACAGCTAAACTGGGTGGTTCTGGCTCAGGGTCTTGCATCAGATTTCTGTCAAGATGTTGGCCAGAAATGGGATCATCTCAAGGTTTGGAGCTTAAGGATCCACTTCCAAGCCCACTCTTCTGACTGTTGTCAGGCCTCAGTTCCTCATCACATGGGTCTCCTCACAGGGGAGCTAACAACATGGCAGATTATTTCTCCTGTGGTGAATGATGAGAGAGAAACAGACAGAAATAATCAAAACTCAGAAGGGACACATATTTCAGACATATTCTATTTGTTAGAAGTCACTAGGTCTAACACATACTCCAGGCTAGAGAAATTAAGTGTTCCTATTGAAGCCAGGAATATTAAAAAATGTATAGACAGTTTTAAAAGTAGCACAATGTATATAAAGGACTATGATGATGATGACTAGTATTCTGGGTTTTATTAACTGAGGATAAAATAAGATAATGCAGTTATTACAGTGTAAGAATTATAAATCCAAAGTGCCAGGTATGTTCCTTCAACAATTTTATCTTCTTATTACAAAAGAGATTCATGTTTATTATATTGAAAAGCACAAGAACATAGAAACAAGAACATGATATCTGTATTTTGACCATTATGGTATCTTTTCTACCACATATTTTTTATATGCATAATATGTGTTAGCAAGTGTCGCCCTCCCCCAATCCATACCTCTATTCTCAGTCTGTCTTCCCAGAGTCTTATAATTTTACATACTTTCACATCCATGGCTTCTAGTAAACATAAATCTAAAAGATATAAGAGTTAAATAAAAACAACAACACTTGATTAATCTCCAATGGCATTGCTTTTCTTGTTAAAGATGAATAAATATGAGCTGATGTGTAATTTTGGCTTTTTATACAGTAGGTTAAATGGCAGATTTTCTTATTTTTCATTCTAGTTTGGATTTAATTAAGACAAGCATGTCAAAGAAAGCCAGAAAAAACAACCAAAGATAGCACCTAATCATCATCTATCATAATTACGCTTACGACAGTGCTAATCTTCTGGAACACTTGGGGCCTGGCAGTGACTGAGCCTCACTGAGCCCTCTCAGTTGTACTTTGCCCATTGTTCTGACACTTCCCAGCATAAATCTCCAGAGAAGACATTTTTAGATACTTATTTTTTTCTTGGCACTTAGATGAATCCATTTCAAGGTTTGAAAGAAAAGTATTTTATAACAAATATTATCAGATCTGTAGATGTTAAGTAATAGTCATAGTAAAAATATATAGATTGCCCAACTTCTCAATATTGTTATCACAGACTCATTTGTTTGCATGTAACTAGCAGATATATACATATACTGGTATAGAAGATAAAATAAGATAATGAGGTTATTACAGTGTAAGAATTATAAATCCAAAGTGCCAGGTATACCATTTTCATTCAATATGTTCCTTCAATGATTTTTTTTCTTTTTACAAGAGATTCATGTTTATTATATTGAAAAGTACAAGAAAAATACAAAATTAGCCAGGTGTGGTGGTGCATGCCTGTAATTACAACTACTAGGGAGACTGAGGCAGGAGACTCACTTGAACAGGGGAGGCAGAGGTTGCAGTGAGCTGAGATCACGCCATTGCACTCCAGCCTGGGCAACAATTGCGAAACTTAGTCTCAAAAAAAAAAAAAAAAGGTCTACTTGAAAAGTACAAGAAAATAGAAACAAAATGATATAAATAATATCTGTATTTTGGTAATTATGGTACCTTTTCTACCAAATATTTTTAAATACACATTTTTATATGCATGTGTATATATGTATGTTATTGCTATTTTCTGATTATGGGAAAGAAAGATACAATTTTATATGCCTATTTTAGGAAGGGTAATAAATGCTAGGAATTGTATTGAGCTCTTGTTGTAGATACTTCAAAAATAATAGTGGCTTAAACTTGATTTCAGAACATCTCTTTTTCTCACATAACATGAATTGCTATGGTGGCTCCATAAAGTTATCAGGACCCAGGTTGCTAACATCTTTTTGCTCTATCATCTGTAATGTGTGGCTTCCATCCTCAAATTTACCTCATGCTCACAAGATGGTTATTGGATTTCCACTATCATTACTGAAGTCCGGATAAGAACATGGTGAAAAGTGAAAGATCCCCTACCAGTTCCAGATTTCTTAAGGAGTTTTCCCCAAAGCTCGCACAACAGCTTCTTCTAACATATCAGTGGCCACATTCATAAGCAAGGGCAGCTAGAGAAATGCAATTTTTTAGATGAGCACATTGCTGCATCCAACAATATAGAGATCCTGAAAAGTTTCGGGAAGCAGAGAATAGATATTAAGTAGGCATCTCTAGGTCATGGGGACTGAAGGGAACAAACTGGGATTGAGTGAGAGTAGAGTCTAATTTTACATCACCTAGTCAGGAGTTAGGGAGGGTGAGCACTAATATTCTTTAGATGGCACCATCTGTAATAGATGCTTGATGGCCATGACTTCACATAAAACTCCATCCACTTAAATGTTGAGGTTAATGATAAATTATGAAAACATTAAAATAGCAAACATCTTAAAATTGAAATGTCTTATAAAGACACAGCATTGGCATGTTTTCTTTTATTTTAATATGATTTTATGTAAGTTTCTGATATGTAAAGGTGTCCAAGCTGTTCAAATGAGCCTGGCTATTTGGTTGTTAACAACAGTCATTTTTTTGCAATCTACTATTCTTCCAGAATTATTGAAATTTTTTTTTTTTTTTTGAGACAGTCTCGCCCTGTCACCTAGGCTGGAGTGAAGTGGCGCAATCTCACTCACTGCAACCTCCTCCTCCGAGGTTCAAGCATTTCTTCTGTCTCAGCCTCCCAAGTAGCTGGGACTACAGGTGCATGCCACCACACCTGGCTAAGTTTTCTATTTTTAGTAGAGACAGGGTTTCACCATTTTGGTCAGGTTGGTCTCGAACTCCTGACCTCAGGTGATCCACCAGCCTCAGCCTCCCAAAGTGCTGGGATTACAGGTGTGAGCCACCGTGCCTGGCTTCAGACTTCCTTGAAGATTTCTGAAATTGGTTTCTGGAAAAGAGTAACCAGCAGAGGACACTTATTGAAGAGGGAGTGAAATCCCAGCACCATTTTACATTTACATAAAATTTTAAACTAAAAACAAACAAGTTATGTATATTTTTTGAGATGGAGTCTCGCTCTGTTGCCCAGGCTGGAGTGCAGTGGTGCGACCTCGGCTCACTGCAACCTCTGCCTCCTGGGTTCAAGCGATTCTCCTACCTCAGCCTCTGGAGTAGCTAGGATTACAGGTGCATGCTACCATGCCTGGCTAATTTTCTGTATTTTTAGTAGAGATGGGGTTTCACCATATTAGCCAGGATGGTCTCAATCTCCTGACCTCGTGATCTGCCTGCCTTGGCCTCCCAAAGTGCTGGGATTACAGGCGTGAGCCACCTCACCTGGCCTATGTATATTATTTTTCAAAACACATAACACTTCTGCTATACAAAGAGGTAATTTATACTTATTATATTGATAAGAAAAAGTTTACCGTAGAATTGTAAGCAACTTGTATAATAACAGCATCAAATACATTCATGGGATAGTTGGTTTCTCAATGTAGATCTTCCAACTGCGTGATTCTCACCAGTGATAATAAGGAACCTGAATCATTTTCTCTCAGAAAATGAAACTCAAGACAAAGTCAAGGCACCTAAATTCATAGGAACTAAAGAGCAACAACATCATCATGAAAGCTGAGGCTCATTAATTAAGAGAAAACTGAGCTCTCTATATTGACTGGCCTGGGGTTACATAAGAGAGCAGGTTGGACCTCCTTGAGCCATGTGACTCCTCCAGTGTCAATAATCATTTAGAATATGTATGTTGATGGTACAGACACTGACTATTGGTGGCAGAGGTGGGAAGAGCTACTCAAACAGAAAATAACAAGGACAACATTATGACTTAAGTTATATTTTCATTTTGTAATATGGAAGTCTCTGGAAAGAGAGCCTTTTATACTCAAATTTTCATTTGATTGATTGAAATTTAACTAAACTGGTCATACAAAAAAAGCAACATTTTTCAGTGCATCTGAACATTTAGAAGGCAATAGTGTAAAAAGACAGCATAGTGAAATTACTATCTGGTTACTTCTTTCAATAGGCTGAAAGCAAACTCTTAACATCTGCACTTAAATTGTAGAATTCAGCTATCCATCATAGTTTTATTGTTCATATCATAAACAGACCTAATGTAATTAGTCAAGAAAATGACTCATCAGTGGCCACAAATCAGTCATGGGCTGCCACTGTTAAAATGCAAACATAATACATATTCATGCATAAACAGGAAGGTAGACGACATCATTGCTTTGTTAGACTACTTTTTATAATGAAGGCTTGACAAATGTTATAAACATCTTTATACAATACATCACCATTTTCTGCTGAAGGGAACTTGGAAGGAGCACAGTGGAAACCATAATAATGATTTTAGCCCTTTTTGAAGGGCTAAAAAGGCTGATAAATGATATACGACTGAAATATTTAGTTTTAAGAATAAATGATCCAAGGGTACCTAAGTGCATATCTTGAAGTAAATTATATGATTATAGATTTTTGAACATATGTTTTAATTAATGAAAGGAGGAAATACACATAAGACATATTTAAACAGATATAAAATTATAAAACTACAAAAGCTATTAATGTGTATAGTTGCCAATAAGTATAGTTGCAGAGTTTGCTTTCTTAGCTTACCTTATAAATAGGATAAATATTCACCAAAGAAGAGCTTGGCGGGTGAATAATTAACTTTGCACTGTGATAAGAGTGTAGAATAGCTGCAGTAGAGTGACGAAAGATGTAGTTGGGATCCATATTGTAAATGGCCATGTAATACAAGCTATGTGGTTTGGAAACTATTCTGTACGCAATGCAAAAGTTGGAAGATAAATTAGAGAAGGACATGATTAGTCTTCTTTAAGACAATAACTTCAACGGAAACTTAATCATTTATTTTATGGGATATAAATTTCATTACATTTATAATATTGTATTTTTTAAATTTATGAGTCTGTGTTTTTTAAAGATACATAAAGTTAATATATCCAGGGGCATTCAGCTGGAAATTATTGGTTTTTATTTTTTAATTTATTATTATTTTTCTTGAGGTGGAGTCTCACTCTGTTGCCCAGGCTGGAGTTCAGTGGTGCGATCTTGGCTCACTACAACCTCCGCCTCCTGGGTTCAAGTGATTCTCTTGCCTCAGCTTCCCGAGTACTACAGGCACACACCACCACACCTGGCTAATTTTTGTGTTTTTAGTAGAGATGAGTTTCACCATGTTGGCCAGGATGGTCTTGAACTCCTGACCTCAAGTTATCCACCTGCCTCAGTCTCCCAAAGTGCTGGGATTACAGGCATGAGCCACCGTGCCAGGACTATTGGTTTTTAAAATACTAAAACATGTGTTAATTGTTAGTTAAATACAGTTGGCCCTCTGTATCTGTTAAGTTCTGCATTCACAGATTCAACCAATTGCTGATTGAAAATATTCAGAAAAAAATGGCATCTGTAGTGAACATGTACAGACTTGTCATTCCCTAAACAATAAAGTATAACAAATGACTTACATAGCATTCAGATTGTATTAGGTATTTCAAGTAATCTAGAGATGAGTCAAAATATATCAGAGGATGTGCATAGATTATATGCAAATGCTACACTATTTCATATCAGGGACTTGAGAATCTGCAGATTTTGCCATCTGCAGGAGTTCCTGGAACCAATCCCCCCAGCATACAGAGGGATGACTGCATTTCCTGTCCTTTTACTTAAAAAAAAACAACAACAGTTTTCCTCCTCTATGATACCATGCCAAGCAACTTAATCATAATAGGTTTCATACATAAATGGAATTGCCAGCTTAAGAGAGCCCCAGAAAGTCTTTCTCAGTCTCCTACTTATAATCCAGTTACAGTTAATTTGGACACAGGTTTACTTTATGTTTAAATCAACCTTATAAACTTTAGATCTCTGCAAGATACCAGATTCCCATGGGTCAAGAATTCTATTCATACTGGCAGGATTATTGAAGCTAAACCCATCACGTTCAGAGTGATTCATCTAAACATTTACCAAAAGCTGCACACCACCACTTGAAATCAGAATAACAGAAATAAGACCTTTCTGGAAAGACTAACAGAAAAGAGACCTATACTTTGAAGTAGGTTTTCTAATACTCTCTAACCTGTCTTTTAAGATGCCATCAGAAATTCATTCACAGTCATAGGGCTGTCAATAGGATATACTCTGCTCTCCATTGGTACTAAATCTAAATACTATTCTCTTTTCAACTCCACCTGAAACCTATTTTATAGTTTTGGATTGAGGTTCTGCTTTCTTTGGCATATATTTACATTTGAACAGTTCATACTTGTTTACCTTGAGAGAATCAAATATATGCAGACTGTCATACCTCAGATATTGAATGAGGCTCTGTCTTATTTTTCATAAGTTTTTAATCAGGATCTCAAGGACCTCACGTTCTCCAGTAATGGTATTCTCATCCAATATGTGGATTATTTATTGCAAAACTCTGAAGATAACGCAAGCTCTAAAAGCTACCTTCTCCCCAAAAAGGAACATAACGTGTCAAGAAAAAAAAACCTGTTTCTCACCTTACTTGTGTCATGACATGTCTTGTGGAGGTAAGTCTCTTACCTCTAATTGACTATAAGTCATGGAAAAGTTCCCTAGGTAGGTAACTAAAAGACAACTCTGCAGAATTCCAGTTCTCATCAGCTTTTGTAAGACATTGAATTTCTGCCTTCTCTGAAATCACTTTACCTATTTATGGTCATAACATGAGACTGCATTTTGCAAACTCATGTCAACTCCCTACAGTAAGTTTGCTTAACTGCATAAACTTTTCTCTCTGAGTAAACCAGCCAGTCAGCCTTACAGCTAATTAGTCTCTCGATATGAGCTAACCCATCTTTCTTCAAGGCTGTAGAGGCTTCTGCAAAACACATGAAGTTTCTGCTGACATAATTTTAGGGTCTTGCATACATCTAATGATCCCCTGACAGAACACGTTTTGCTGCTTAATGAAAAATACTTATTTCATCACAAGATGGCTTACATTCCACGAAGTGTTATTATATTCTCCTTTCAATGTTACATCAAGTTTTGCAAATATATTTTATAAGAAATCCACAATATTACTTTGAATAGAACTATAGTTTCTAAAAATAAATTTGAACATAGTACTTTTCATTTGGGTCTTCTACTTTTGTTATCTATTGATCAAGAAATGTGGTTTATGATGATCCTATTTTATTATCTGTGTTTCATGAGCACTTGAAAAACTAATGTTGAAATGTATTAAGACATGTAAAACATATAGAAACACATAGCATATGGTATATTATATACAGTCTCTTAAATTTTCTATTTATTGACTACATCCTTTTATTATTTGTCGTATCCTGATAAAGGGAAAATAAAATCTCTACTCTTATGTGTCTCCTACTCTTCATAGCTTTATGACAAGTTATGTTTTGTCATTTTGTAAACAAATATTCATGACATAATACAAAGCAAATTATATTATTTTTCATTATAAAGGGTTCTTTATCATTTTTCTAATATTTTTCCATGAATTAAATATTTCTGATATTTCTAACTTCTGCTTTTACACTCATCTGTCTAGATTTGTTCATCATTTAACTTTCTACAGTCCTTAAACATTTTGTTCCAGATGAATTTCTTGTTTATAGAAAATAGCAGGGTTGCTGTGTGATCGAAGCTTCCAATCTAGTAACTTTCTCTTTCTGCATTAAAGAGTACACTTATTGTCTCTTTGTTTGTTTATTTATATGATAGATATGCTTGCTATTAGTTTTGCATCATATTTGAGGAAATGCTGTCTAATGCTAAAATACATTTTGATAGATGGCTTGTGTTCTTGTTGGGTTTTGGTGTATTGTTTTCTATTCTGTGGTTCTTCTGCAGCTTATCTGTAGAACATAAACCAATCTGCTTCACTAGAATATTGAGTAAATTGGAATACAACACTCATATTGTTTCTCCTTACTTCCTGATTTTTGTCAGTTGTTTTATATTTTCTATGATGTCAATGTTTATGAAGGTTTTTGTTTTCTTCTTTAAATATAATATTCATTATTTCTTAGCATTAGTTCTATATTTAAATGGACTCAGTGCTTATTATCAATGCTCATACTGTGTTTATTTAACTTTAGGCAGGCCACAATTTATTCTCATGAGGATTTTTAATAGTATTGAATGCTATATTATGGGGTTGTTCTAGTATATTTTTAAAATGTAAGACTGTTGTCTATAATAAATGAGAACTTGGCTTAAAATTTAAAATGTGTTTTCACACTGAAAATATACTTTGATCTATAATATCCATATATTTTCAACTCCTTATTGTAAAATTTTTAAATTTTTCTCAAAACCAGAGGGACCAGTATAACAAACATATGGAATATTGAATGTGGAAAACTTTAACTTCAGCTTAATTATTTTTCCCGTAAGTATTTTTTGTTTTTTTGTCCCAAAGTTATTTTTTAATTGCTTTTTCCTGAGGCACTCAACATCATTTAGTCTGCATATTTAAATATACCTTTATTTTAGGGAGGTTTCTTACATCATATTTGAAATAAGTTTTTTTAATTGGTTCTAGTCCTGTTCTCAGACATCAACATTTAATGTGCTGAAATTTTCTGTCTTTTAAAAACAATTTTCTTTTATATAATACAAATTTTTATAGCTATTTTTTCTTTTCATCATACCTACTTTCTTTAGGCATCATTTATAAGTATAGGCTAATGAATAACAACATGAGCTCATCCATACATAAGCATTGATGTATGCATTTTGTTTTATTGGCAAAGGGCAAATAATGAGAAATATAAGTTTTTTCATAATTAAAATAATTGTATGCCATGCTCTACATTCTAAATGCAGAAAACTCAATCACAAAAGGATAGCCTTCATGTTTTATTTATTTAAAGGCATAGCCTCTTTTGTTCTCCTGACCTAATACTGTAACTCCCTTTCTTTCAAACGTATATCTGAATCGCCTTTCAGCTATTACTTTACCTTGTTAACTGGGGTAGCCTTTATTTTCAAAATATGTGGTTGAATTACTTCAGATATTAATAAAAGACATTGATGTATCACTCATGCAAGGAATAAGTATTTAGAAGAAAGTTGATTTTGTTTGAAGTAATATTAACTGTTGAATAACTTCATTTCTTTAATACATTAGGTCTTAAAGTAAAAAAAGTTTCCTTTGATCCACACAACATCCGTCGGTTTAAGGAGTCTAGCACTGTGTTTTTCCTTTCTTATCTTTGTATAGACCCCATGCTAATTTCTTTCTGGTTAATACAAGGAGGCCTTTTTTCTTGCCAGTTGTTTCTTAAAAGATGGTGTGAGAAACAAGTTAGGCAGGGGAATGAGCTGGGTCAGCAGATAGGAAACTACAGATGGAAACTTGAGCTATCACTTTTCTACTGAACATTTACCCAACGGACTGTGGCTCAGTCCGTTCCAGGCTGGCAGGAAAACACTGGGCCCCAGGGAAGATGACCAAGTTTGGTGTGGTGATTTGGCAGTAACTTCTCTTCCTGTGGTCAAAACCAGAAACTATAGAGCTGCTTGCTGTGCTTTCCTCAGACTCTTTGACACACAGTCAACCTGCGCACTGCCTCAGTCATCTTTATCTCATCTTCATCTCATCTTCTTCTCTCATATGCCAAATACGAGTCAGGAAGGCTTCCCTCAACTACCATTTGAAGTGAGGGTTCATTGGACCCTCAGATTATGGAATATATGTTGAAGGGCTTTGCAAGATGTTAATGATCTGCATCTGCCTTTGAATTTATATTACCACCAACCTCATTTTTCACTGCACTTGTATCCTCTCCTTGATTAGTCGTACCTGCTTTCTAGGTTCATCAGAAACAATAACTAGCATATGTTGAATGGTTACTTAGTGCCAGGCACTGTTCTGAACCTTTACCCTCTGATGTAATGACATAATCAATCTCAAAGAGATTAAGGAAATTGGCCCATATCACACAGCTAGTAAAGGATGCATTAAGAATTTGAATTCCGGCAGTTTGCCTCCAGAGACTCTGCTGTTAATCACTATATATTCTACAATTTCTTGCACTTGTTTGTTTTTATTTGTTTTAGGAGGAATATCAGGACATAGATGTCTTTATTTGAGAAGTTGTTTTTACTAGATACCCTCTTAGATCTTAAAGAATGAACGTCCTTTAAAGTTTTCAATGTCCTGGATATGAAAAAATGGATGAGACATTCAGAATATCAATCTACAATTATATTCTACTTATTTCCATAATCCTAGACTCTTAAGGTAAACTCCAGGCTAGGAAATGTTTAGTGGTTCCATAGTTTTTATTTTCTTTATTTGTAATATAATATTTTTTGTAGAGTGTGAAATAGTTTCAAATAATTCAATACGGTCAAGTTAAGAGACTAAGGAAAGGAAAATTGGTTAAAAGTAGACAGATTCTAATATACAACTTATACTTTTATATAAAATACATATTTATAACACTAAGACATGCTTAGTAAAATGATTTATGGCCTTTTCACGCAATGGAATATAGTACACATTTTAAAAGGAATATCACTTATATTAACCACAAGATCTCTAAGACTGATTGTGGGTTGCAAGGAATAATTTGCAAAAACATGGGTACTATGACCTGATCTGTATAAAGGTGTTTGTATAGAATACAGTCAAATGAGAATATTTTCATAGAGAAAGATTGAGAACTACATGAAATACAATATTGATTGTAATTATGCCTTGGGGAGATTTCAGATTTTTTTATTTTTTATATTTTAAAATTTCTGTGAATTATTTATATTAGCAGAAAAGATTGATGTAATTAGGATACTACTTTGAAAACACTGGATTTAACTCAAGCCACAGGCAAGGAAAAGTCAGTACATTGAATAGAAAACTCTCGCCTACACAGGAGACAGATGGAAGTATTTCTAAGGACAAAAGGGAAGACAATATTCAGAGAGAGTGATATAGGGAGCAAATAGTCAGATGTACTTTTATTACCCAGTGTGGGCATGGGTAATGGTTGGAAAAGTCCAATAAATTTAAGAGAATCTCAGAGCAGTCAGTCTCATTTTTCACTGTCCTAAAAACAGAATGGAAAATTTAAATCCATTTTTAAAAGTCTGTATACAGCGTGTACTAGCAGAAGAGTGGGCTGCAAGTGGCTGAGGGAGGAGCTTTCTACTAATTCTCAAAAGTTCTGATGTCCTCTCAGTGGGGATGTGAAAAACAGCTATCGACTAGGCCAGTGGTTCTGCCTTGAGGCTGCCAGGGTGAGGGATGATTGATGAGAGAATTCTACTTGAGTTGTCCATGGAAGGTACTGATAAGGCTTAGGAGTGTCTGTAGTAAAAGAAAGATCAAAGAGAGGGCCAGGTGTGCAGGAAGAATTACTGGAAGCCAGCCAAGACAAGTGAATGAGTCTTGAGCTTACCACACCACACAGCAGTGGCAGGTGTCATTTGCACGTTCAGTGATAAGGCAGAGAGAAAACTGCCACAGAAACTCGTAATGATTCAGGGGACAGCACAAATCATAATACCTATACACTTAAGCACCATCTTAAGGAGAAGAAAGGAAACTAAGTGATACAAACAATGAAAATCTACCCCAAAGAGGATGATTTATCCTGAGATTCTGTGAACAGGAAGTGTCTGCAACAGCCTCAACTGGGAACATAAATCCTCTGGGTCTTTATTTTCAAGGAAGTAATGGCTGAAGAGCAAATCTAGAGCAATTACAGAAGTCAAAACAGCTATAGTTTATTCATAAAGTAGTACTATAAAATATTGACAATTATGCAGTCTTAGAAAATTTTTTCTTTTTCATAGAATATCTAAATGATAAGTGATCAAGACTGATAACAAGAGATTAAACCCTTCCAAAGTAATAGATACAAGTATCCCAGAGGTGAAAATAACCGACATTCTAAACAGCTACCATAGGCTAGGTTTTGAAGTAGGAAGGGCTGAGGGTCAGGCTCTGGTGCTTGGTTAGACCTAATTCATAATGGTCAACTCTAGTAAATGATATTGGTCAAGGAAAACTAACCAATTCTCCTGTGAAGGAGAGTTGAAGAGCATTACTATCTCTCACTAATCGGAGAACCAGGCCTCAAAATTGGATAATTGGCAATTTCGGAAACTAATATGACTGAGTGCCTTAGATCAAGGTGTAGGGTAAGATTTCCAGAAAACAGACCTGGAGATCTCAAGGAAACAAGAAGTAATTCAGGCTAACAAAGGCCTGAAATGTTAGGACTCCTTTGGAACCCAGAGATAAGAACAGATTTCATAGGATGTAAATTTTAATAACACAGTTCAGTATGTGACCAGAGGTCCCAAAGACAGAAATATTGTGGATATGCATAAGATTTAAATATATTCATAGTTTTCCAGATGCAGTAATGTTTCTATTGGAGTTGAGCACTGTATACTCTGAACTAGAATTGTATAACTTTAACATGCCAATTGAGCAATATTTATCCAGTCAAACATTTATTTGCTTGTAACTTGACTTACTTCATTTTTAACTTCACTTTTTATCTGAGTAGATAGTTGCTGAATTAAAGACTTTAATTTCCATCCCCAATGCAGAGAGAAATATCAGTGCAAAGTGATCAGAAGGAAAGTGTGTAACTTGATAATTTCAATGTGTTCATTCTACTGTTAGGAATATCCATTGGTATTCCTCTTGCTGAACTACTTATTTTCAGAGGAAAAGTTTGAAAAGTACTGTTTTAGAAAATTTTGCTGTACAAGTTCAAAGATTTTAAACAATGAAACCTAGTTCATTAATCCTTTAGCTGGGAGAGACAGTTAATGATGATCACATTTTTGTGCCATCATTTTTTCATTTTTACATTCAGTGTATATAACTTTTCCTTGTTAAGAAATAGGCACATCCATTTATTGAGAATGCAAGAATAATGCATTGTTTTGCAAATATTTAAATAGATATTAAGTTTTATGGCAGGTCATATAGTGTTATACTTATTTTACAGAAAAGAACTGAGTTTTGGAAAGCGAAGAAATTGACCAAAGAGTAAGCGAAGCATTGAAAAGTACATATTTGAAATTGTCAAGCTTTAAAATTATGTAACTGGAAAAAAAGGTTTACTTAAAATGGAAAGAGAATATTTTGTTCTCGTGTTTTCCCAAAGGAAAGTAAACCACTATCATAACCATCCAATACAGAGAACTTCATCAAAACTGGTAAAAATTTCCAATATCAATCCATTATTGATATTGGAAATGTATTATGAAACAACCTTTCAAACTCTCATATAAACTGTCATACAACAAAACAAACACTTGCATTTTAGAAGTAATACGCAACCCTTCCCAGAAATATTCACATATACTTAGACACTGCTTTGTTTTACCAACTATCACAAAAACTTAAAATAGGCAAAACTTTTGTTGAGTCTTTAGATTATTCATCATATACAAGGTCAGGTAAATTTATAGCATGGTATGATCTTGCCAACTAGCCTGTGAAGTTGAAACTCTTATTCCTATCTTAAGAAGTTCAGCATAGAAGGATTAAGTAATTTGCCCAAGGATGCTCACCTAAACAAAGTTGAGATGTAAATTAATTCCAAACCAATTTTTGAAAATCTGCACTAAGATTATACAATTCCAAAAGAATTGTTGACTATTGTTGACAACATGCAGGATTTAATTGTATTGGCTTAGACTTAATTCATCTCGTCTTGGCTTAGTTTTATATCCTTGGGTAACAAATTTAGTCCTTCTAAGTTTAACATCTATAAAATAGGAATCTAGTTCCAACTTCATTAGGTTATGGGCAATATTAATTATGATAATGTATGTTTGTAAAGTATGGGTACCTGAATATACCAATAAGTGGTAAAAGGTTATCAATGTTATTAATTTGACCTGACTTTTGAAGTAATAATTCAGTTATCTACTTGAAAATATGGACAAGTTTTCCAAGGGAGAAATGTCAAAGAAAAGATTGTATTTTAAAATAAACTAAAAAACTTCCATATTAATGCATAAGGACCAATAGCTTCAGGGTCCAGGAAAGCAGATATTCTGTCTTTTGCTAAGTATTACATCTTTGTTCATTGTTTATCACAGTACCTGCCACATGGTAAGCACTCAATAAAGATTTATTAAATTGACTGATCTCATGAAAAGGAAAAGAAAAAGGCAGAAACTATATATGTTAATAAAACTTACGATAGTTTTTTAACATGTAGGAATATAATCACTGGCTTTTCCTACAGGAAATTATTAAGGCAATATGAAGGCAAATTAAACAATAGGAAACTCACTAGAAATCTTACAGGAATTTTAATCTATGACACTCCCTTTTTGAGAATATTACTGGGCTAATTGAAGAAAGCTGAATCCTGAAAGCTCAGCTAACTTTGAAAATTTGTCAATGTTAATTTTCCAGTATTCCATACTATTGATATTACCTTTCTTAATGTTCACAAACACTATGAACTATAGAACAATTTTTTTCAAAAAGAGGTCTTCTTGAAGCATAGTACATACTTTTCCATAAGTATCACAGAAACCTAGAAGCTATACTCATAGGTGCATTTTATCCCATAAGAATTAAAATTTTATTATTCATAAACTTAGAGAAACCTACTAGAAATAAATTAGAAAGGACAAACAGCAAACTGGCAAAAATATTTTGTTACATAGATAATAATCAAGGGGCTTTTTGTTGTTGCTGCTGCTGTTGCTGTTTTAGCCTAGCAGGTGCCAAGGACCCAAGAGGAATATTGGCATAGACGTTGTTCATGAGAAGTTCTTCACAGAATGAGAAAAGTAAAGGCCACCAACTTATGAAATGATATTCAAACATATTCTTAGGACATTTAAAGCGAGCCCACAGTAAAATGCCTTTTATTAGTGGTCTGGCAAAACATAAGATAGGTAGTGAAATAGCCTTTGACAGGGTGTGAGAAAGTAGTCCTTTTTTTTTTTCTTTTGGAGATGGAGTCTCACTCTGTCACCCAGGCTGGAGTGTGGAGTGCAGTGGCACGATCTTGGCTCACTGCAACCTTCAACTCCCGGGTTCGAGCCATTCTCCTGCCTCAGCCTCCCGAGTAGCTAGGACTACAGGCGCACGTGGCCACTCCCGACTAATTTTTTTTTTTTTTTGAATTTTTAGTAGAGACGGGGTTTCACTGTGTTGCCCAGGCTGGTCTCGAACCCCTGAGCTCAGGCAATCCGCCCTCCTCGGCCTCCCAAAGTGCTAGGATTACAGGCATGAGCCACCATGCTCGGCTGTCCTTTTTATATATTGTTGATGAAATAGGACAACTTTTTGAGGGGCAAAACGGAATATAAAAAATTTGGAATGTCCCCAAACTGGCCAAGGAATTTTATTTCTAAGAATTTACCATACAAATAGCCTAAGACAAATATTCATATAGGTAATTTGCAGTGCTTCTGCAAAAGAAGGAAATAGTCCTGGAAATAGAACTAGTTGAATAAATCATAATATCTCTATACCATTTTATACTTTGTAGCCAATACAATAAATGTCGTAGCTATGAAAAGTTTACAATATTTGTTAGGTGACCATAGATAGAAAGTTTCTAAGTATTGCATGTAGCATGATTCTATTGGTAGATCTGGAAGGATGTAAAATAAAATAAGACCATGGGGAGTAGTGGAGAATAAGACGGAGAATTTTTAATATTTATGCAATACCTACTTGTAGTGTTACCTTTTATTCACAAAGGCAGTTATTAACAAAGGCAGTTACCACTTGTATTTTTTTTTTTAAGAATGAAAGCCATCTGTCAAATTAAACTGGAAAATTATATTCTGTTTTTAAAGTATATAATCTTTTATAATTTTAAGATGATGCTTTTTTTTCTTTCAGCAGGGAGTAAATTTAGCAAGGGTTTAATCTGAAGCCAATGTTCTTACAAAAGTAAATGTACTATTCTGAATTCACACAGTGACCTGAAAATAGTATGTAGTATGGGTATTTATAATTATTATTTATGACATTCAATATAGGAATTTTTTCAAGGTGAAAAATTCTTCAGTGAAAGCTAATTTGAAACACATATTTCCTAACACCTGTAAGAAATCTAAAATTTGTGTCATCTTTCTTCAAAGAAAGATCTGAGATCTTGCGAAAATGTGAAAAACTAATAGAACATTTTCCCTTTGCCCTAAATTGCTAATTTATTTGAAATGTTAGATTTTTCTTTATGTAATAGAGATATAAATAATCACAGTAGTATTCAAAGTTATCCATGTTTTAATTCAAAAGTCATTATGTATTATTTCTTCTGCAGAAAGGACATCCTGATAAATGAATTCAACATGATAGCACATGAAATCAGTCCTTCCAAAACTATTGGTTTTGCTTACTTACTATGTAGCCTTCCTGTTATAAAATTATTTACATTTTTCAACTGAAAACATATTTTAAACATGCAATATTGACATAGCAATGAATTTTATAATAGTATAAAACACCTATCTAAAAATCTCAAACATAAAATGATTAAAATTAATACCCTTCTATTTTAAAATTTGTATACTTCCATTGGCATAGGCTAACACATAGCAGGACAATATAATATACTGTAGCATCAAACATTTTCAATGAATTCCAGAACAAAACAAGGAAAAAATATTTTTTCAATGATGGAAAACACATTAAAAATGTTTGCTGTTTTTAAGGGGTTTTTTTTGCCCCCAAAGAAACATTTCAATTTAAGCTTCTTAGATATACTGAAAGTATAATATCCAATGTTATTTCCTCATGTTTGTAACTCAGGCACTCTAATTATCTTGCCTGAGGCAGTCACACATCCTTTCCGAACCTTCAGAAGGATGAGAAATGGAGCCAGATGCCATTTCCCTTCTCTTTATTCCACTTGTCTTATTTGCTTGGAGCTCCTTTTGAAGCTAAGAAGGAGTAAGAATCTGGCCCTTTGTTTCTGTATGGATAGTTAATCCCCCTTAAAGAAATTCCTCTGATCAACCCGCTTCTAATTAAGATTGGACCTTTTCTTCCTGCTTCAGAACTTTTCCATGGGACTTAGGAAGTCTGGTGAATATTATACACTAAGAATAAACACACGGTGTTGATGTAATTGGCATTACAAAACAGCTTCTCCAATTAACATTTCCTTCAATTTTTGAAAATTGCAGAAAACTTCAAAATCATTTTTTGTTATGGCTGTGATTTTTTTTCTTCCTCTGTATAAATAAAGCCCCATCTCTGAAAAAGCAGAGCCTCCTTAATTATCCTAGTGGAAAATTAAGAACAATAGTGTTACATTTGATTGGTGGGTTTACTGGATGTGACCAAAATCCAGTTAGATGAGTTCCAATTAGATCTGATCCCAGAATAATTATATTATAAATGTTTACATATAAAATAGAATGTCCACACTGTTTTAAACAGGGGAAACAGGCATATAGTTAGGCAACAAGACAAGACTTTATGAGTTTTTTTTTAATCATGTGAACTGATATCTAATGAAAGATTTACTGGGCTTGGGTTTAGAGTCATGAGTTCTAAACCTGGATCTATTAGTTATCTCCGCTGGCCAGATATCATCTCTGTGTTATAATTACTTTTTCAGTCAACAAATTTATTCAATGTACGTGGATTAAGCTGGCATACAGTAGGTCAGTAAATGGTAGTTTGTTTTCCTTCTTGTGAGTGTGGGGTCTCTTTCTCTTCACTCCCATACACTACTACACTACCACTTTTAAAACAGATTTGATCACACTTCTGTTTGCTTATCTAAATGCATCAAAGTACTGTGAGCTCTTAGGCCCAGGGACTATGGCTTGTGACATTTTCATATCCTGACCACTGGAACCCAGGAGACTTGTATACTTATTGATCTGAATAAAATTGCATTGATTAATTGTCAAATACTCTTTTTGTCTACACAGGAACCATTCCCTTTTTTACCTTCCCAACAGAACCCTGCTTTTGTTTGAGTACCAATGTGCCTAGCCTCAGAGTCCAAGCCAATTATTTTGGTATCATTGGCAGTAGTTGCTGTAGACACATTCCTCACCAGTAAAATATAAAGGGGAGTCTCCTGGAAAAGAGCTCCTGGAAAAGAAATAAAAGGCCAGATTGAAGCAAAGAGCACAACCCTAAATCCTGCTCTGCTCCTTCTTAATTGAGATGTTATGTAAGGATATAATTCTTAAAGGTGCAGTGTCCATGCTGTGACCATGAGAGAGCACATTGCTGCAATACAGAGATTGGCAGATGAGAAAGCTATAAAATATGTGGTTCCCTATTTACCCCATTACACAAATATATCAAACCTGAGACTGCCTCTGAATGTCTTCACAATGAATGTTATTTGGCTGAAGCTGCTATGTTTTCTGTTATGAACTGCAGAGTGCATTTGTCTGAAAATATGAATGATCACGCTGACATGGATATGGAGATTAAGGCTGGTATCTGCACCAGGCTGTTTGACCTTTGTCCTTGGATACACCAGAAACACTGTATTACTCAATTTATACAAAATGAAGTGCCCATCCTCCCCAGAAGCCCACCTTTTCTACACCATTTGAAAGTATTTCCTGTTTCATTCATTGTAGCAAGGAACCTGGGTAGTATCATAGATCCCACCCTATCAATAATCCTCATCAAATTCTGAGGGTTCTGCTTCCGGAATTCCTCTTGAATGTGATTTCTGCTCATTCCACCTGTCACTATCATTGTTGAGATAATTATAATCATGTTTATTTTCTCTCCAAATCCTGTCTCACACAGGGCCTTCTTTTACATGTATAAGTGTTTTCTCTCTGTCCAAAATGCACATTAATCTTCTGAAGATACTGACCAGTGAAGCCATTTGAACCTTGGCTTTTCTTTGTGGGAAGATTTATAATTATTGTTTCTTTACTCATTTTTCACCTATTTAGATTCTCTGTTTCTTGAGCAATTTTAAAGTCATTTTTGTCTTTCTAGGAATTTGTCTTCTAAATGTCTATTGACATGAAGTTGTACATTACTGTATTTCTGTAGGATCAGAAGTGAATTGTTTGCTTTCATTCTTAACTTCAATAATCGGTATCTTCTCCATTTTTTTTGGTCAATCTTACTAAGGTTTGCCATACTAGTTTTCTCCCCCAAATAACCAACTTTTGGCTTCATTGATTTTTTTCTTTTTTCTTTTTCATTGATATGCATTTTAATAACTTTTTTCTATTTTTATCTTAATTTATTTTCTTTCTGCTTGCTTTGATTTGATTTGCTCTTTTTCTTTTAGTTTGAAAGTTCTGGTTATTGAATTGAGATATTTTCCTATTCTAACTCATGGTATTCAATAACTAAAATACTAAAAAATCCAATAAACATATTCACAATTACAATGTATTGAAAAACTGATTTTTTATAAATGGATTGTCATTCTTTTTTCACAAATTGATTTAATGAAATGTTCATTTATGATTAAAAATATTTTAAGGAAAAACCCATCTTTTAATTCTATCTAGAAGAAGATTCTGCCTAATTGTTAACAGAAAACATCACAAATAAGTAAATATCATTACATTTTCACATAGAAATGTTTTCTGGTATCAGGTAGAAGCATAAACATTTAAGAATAAAAAAATAGAAAGTTTAAAGATGGTGCTTTATATAAATAACATTCAAGTACAACTTCAGGTGCAAATTTTTGAACAGTTGTGTCAGGGTCCTTAAGCCCAATCTCAAGCTCAATGCTTCTCTTAAAGGACATATGGTTATTGTTTATTACCATAAAATAATACAGATTAAAATGGGTAAAGGCAAAATGCACATAGGGCAGAGGCGGGGAGAGACCAGAAATAACCTTGCAGTTATCTTCTCCCAGTGGAGTCATCCAGACAACACTTAATTATCTCAGCAATGATGTGTGACATCATATAAAGAGCATGGCCACCCAGAGGAGCTCACCTAAACGTTGGTGTTCAGGGCTTTTATTGAGGGTCAGTTACATAGGCATGGAGAGCCCATGAGACTGACTTTAGCTACCCAATCTATAGCCAACACCCAGAGGTAAAACTGACACAGTGTGGCCCAGAGCCCCAGGAATACAAAGACACTCTTACCAGGTGGGATACTCCTTATCCCTTACACAGCTTATCTCCTAGAAGCCAGTCAAGGGTCAGCCCGTCCTTTGGAATATGAGGGTTTGAACACCCCAAATCTTCTGAGTTAACACTTTAGTTCACACTTGTAAGAGATACGTCTATGCTTTTATGAATATGAGAATATTAAAACCATTAGTGTCTGTGACACACCCGAAACCAATTCAGGGCACTTCAGGGCCTGTTGGGGAAACTAAGCTTATTAATTTTTTAGCATTTCTGCTTTTCTATGAATCATTTTTGGCTTAAATTTTTTTTCCCAATAACCAAAAGTAATTTTCATCTCATAAATTGGATATGTACTTTTTTGTTATTCAGTTGTATGTAATTTTTAAATTTCTGTGATAAATTCTATTTGACTCATACATTGTTTTAATGTATCCTTTTTGACTTTCTAAATGTGCAGATTTTTACTAGGGTTATTATTATTACAAGGAATTCAACAATTTATTTGTCATTCCTCAGAACCTGATCTGTCTTTTCCCTCTTTTTGCTTTTCAATAAAATGTAATGTTATTGCTTTTGTTGTTGCTGTTCCATAGCCTCACTACAATGTATCTATCTTTCTTGAGATACAGTGGGATCCATGAATCTGAGAATGGGTATAAAATGTCTCAGCTAATATATGCTCAAATATTGTTCCTTAACTAGTCTCTATATTTGCTCCATCTTCAGCTAAATATTAAATGAATGTTTGGCCTTCATAGTTTTTGTTCCAATTCAAACTTTTTAAAAAATTTAGATGTTTAAAGAGATAATTGACATGACACAAATCCACCCATTTAAAGTGTACAATTCAACAATTTTTATTCACAAAGTTGTGTAAGCACCATCACAATCTATATTTAGAACAATTTCATCACCCTCAAAGAAACCACAAACCCTTTAGCAGTGATAACAATCCTCCCTCAAATCCCAACGTAGGGTTCTCTTTACAATGATGACACATTTTTCTTAAGCTGATTTCAAGATTTTCTCTTTATCTTTGGCTTTCAAACATTTTAATTGTTATGTGTCTAGATGTGGATCTTTTTGAATTTTTTTCCCACTTGGAGTTCACTGAGCTTCTTAAATATGTAGATTGGAGTTCTTCATCAAATTTAACAAGTTTTAAGCCATTATTTCTTCCAGTACTTTCCTGCCCCTTTCCCTCTCTCCTCCCTGGCACTCTGTGTGTTTGTTGGCACACTTAACGGTATCTCATATTTCACTGATGCTCCTCATTCTTCTTTCTTAATGTTCATCAGATTTGCATACTTTCTACTGATGTATCTTCAAGTCACTGATTCTTTCATTTAGAGCTTACGTTTACCCTCAAGTCTCTCTCTCTCTCTCTCTCTCTCTTCTTTTTTTTTTTTTTTTTCAGATAGACAGAGTCTAACTCTGTCGCCCAGGCTGGAGTGCAGTGGCACAATCTTGGCATCTTGGCTCACCGCAACCTCCACCTTCCAGGTTTAAGCGATTCTCCTGCCTCAGCCTCCCAAGTAGCTGGGATTAAGGCACCCACCACCACGCCTGGCTAGTTTTTTTTTTACTTTTTAGTAGAGATGAGGTTTCACCATGTTGGCCGGGCTGGTGTCAAATTCCTGACCTCAGGTGATCCACCCGCCTTGGCCTCCCAAAGTGCTGGGATTACAGGCGTGAGCCACCGTGCCCAGCCTCTCTGGTCTCTCTAATAAAGTTTTTAGTTCAGAGATTTTACTTCGAAAACATTTCTTTTATTTTTTTTGAGATGGAGTTTCACTCTTGTTGCCAAGGCTGGAGTGCAATGACATGATCTCACTCACCGCAACCTCCGCCTCCTGGGTTTAAGCGATTCTCCTGCCTCAGCACCCCCCAGTGCTGGGATTACAGGCATGGGCCACCACGCCCGGCTAACTACGTATTTTTAGTAGAGACGGGGCTTCTCCATGTTGGGTTAGGCTGGTCTGGAACTCCCAACCTCAGGTGACCCGCTCGCCTCGCCTCCCAAAGTGCTGGGATTACAGATGTAAGCTACCACGCCCAGCCCCAATTTTTAAAAAATAATTTCTTTCTCTTTATTGATACTCTTTATTTGATGAGGCATTGTTTTAAAACCTTTCTCAAATTGTTTACACGTGGTTTCCTTTAGTTTTTGAAACATATTTTTAAAAGTATAAATTTCTTCTGAAAATTGAGCATCTTGGATTCATGGTGCCACTTTTAACACTGATTCCCCCAGTTGCGTTCATGTTGTTGTTGTTGTTGTTTGCTTGGTCAATTGTTTGTTTAGAGACTTTGGCTAAACGAATTGTGTGAAGTCCATTTTCCCTGCAGTGTGCCGCCTTTGATGTCCCTGCTCAGATGTTATTTTTTTTTCTTTTTCTATTTTAAGTCTATATAGAGGTGGTTCTTCAGTCAGCATAAGCCACTTTTTGGCCAAGTGTTGTGCTTAAGCTACTTTGGCCAGTTAGACTTTACCTTTTATCTATAGATGGCTATGTGGCTCTGAGGCTGCTATCACAGTTCAAAGAGTTTACATTATTGTGAAACATTCTGTTGGGACAAGATACCTGGATTTTCTCTCCAAGTTTCTAACGGTACTAACTTATATTCCTACCAACAGTGTATAAAAAGCCTTTCTCCATATCCATATCTATTTTTTGCCTTTTTAATAACCATTGTAATTGAGATGATTTCTCGCTGTGGTTTTGATTTGCATTTTCCCAAATATTAGTGGTGTTAGGCATTTTTTCATATACCTGTCAGCCATTTGCATATCTATCTTTCAGAACTGTCTATTCAGATATTTTGCCCTTTTAAAAATTAGATTATTTGGTTTTTGTTGCTGTTGAGTTGTTTGAGTCCCTCATATATTCTGATTATTAACTTCTTGTCAGATGGATAGTTTACAAATATTTTCTCTGGTGCTGTGTTTCTTCACTCTGTTGATTGTTCTCTTTGCTGGGCAGAAGTTTTTTAGTTTGATGTAATTCCATTTATCCATTTTTGTTTTAGTTACTTGTGCTTTTGAGGTCTTACCCAAAAAAATTTTTACCCAAACCAATGTCCTGAAGCACTTCCCCAATATTTGCTTCCAGTAGTTTCATAGTCTCAGGTCTTACATTTAAGTCTTTAATCCATTTTGATTTGATTTTTGTGCAAAGATAGGAATCAAGTGTCATTCTTCTACATAAGAATAAACACTTTCCCATCACCATTTATTAAAGAGACCGTCCTTTCCCCAGTACAAGTTATTGGTGCCTTTGTAGAAAATGAGTTGGCTGTAAAAGTGTGGACTTTTTCTGTGTTTTTGATTTTGTTCCATTGGTCTATGTATTTTTATGCTAGTACCATGCTGTTTTGGTTGTTGTAGCTTTGTAGTATACTTTGAAGTCAGTTTGTTTGATCCTCCAGCTTTGTTCTTTTTGCTAAGAATTTCTTTGATGATTCAGGATCCCTCATGGTTCCATACAAATTTTAGGATTATTTTCCCATTTCTGTGAAGAATGCAATCATTGATTTCATTATATCTATAGGCCCTATAGGCCACTTTAGATAGTATTGATATTTTAACAATATTCTTCCAATCCGTGAACATGGAATATCTACATTTTTTGTGTGTGCTCTTCAATTTCTTTTATCAGAATTTTATAGGTTTCATTGTAAAGATTTTTCACTTCTTTGGTTAAATTTATTCTTAGGTATTTTTTTTATATAGCTATTGTAAATGGGGTTGCTTTCTTGATTTCCTTCTCAGAATGTTTGCTGTTGTATAGAAGTGCTATTAATTTTTGTATGTTGATTTTGTATCCTAGAACCTCACTCAATTAATATATTCGTTCTAACAGTTTTTTGGTGGGGTCTAGGTTTTTCTAAATAGATGATCATGTCTGGAACCAGGGACAATTTGAACTTCTTTTCAGTTTTGATATCCTTTATTTCTCTTGCTTAATTGAGCTGGTTAAGACTTCCATCACTACGTTGAATAAAAATGGTATGTTCTAACTCATATGCGGAAGCTAAAGAAAAGTTGATCTCATGGAATAAAGTATAAAATGGTAGTTACTGGAGGCTGGGAAGGGCATGTGTTTTGGGGGAAGGAATGAAGAGAGTTTGTTTAATGGGTACAAACATACAGTTAAATTGAAGGAATAAATTCTAATGTTCAACAGCAGAGAAGGATGACTGAAGTTAAGAACAATATGTACTATATATTACAGGTATGCATTATGCATTTATACTTAAGGTTGTATACATACAACCAAGTTTAATATCATTTACAAGGTGACTTTTGATTATCTGATTTTTTTTGTACTGATTTTTAGAAAAACCCTTTGATTGTCTATAGTTACAATAGAAAATATTTAGTTAATTCCAGTGGTTGGTTAAGAAAGGTGCAGTATATGTGAAGACATTTACAGGGTCATAGTTTTGTGTATGTGCATTGCCATATATAAGATAAAGTACATATGTACGATATGAAAGAGATAATACTGTGCTTCTCCTTTAGCTCTACGTTTTTACTAGAGTTAATCATAATACTGATGAATATGACTTTTTTTGTAATTTTAGTTGTCTGGAGAACATGGTGTTTTAAAAACTTAAGCTTTTTGCTTATCCATATACCTTTCTCACTCTTACAGACACATATTTAAATACATACATAAAAATCCACAGAAACAACACACCTACAGTTTAAAAACACACCTCTGTATTCTAAGTCTTAAAGTTTAAGTCACCAGGAAATTTGATGAGAAAAAAAGATATTCCAAGAAATGTAAATAGAAAATATAATATGCATGGTATGGAATGAAGGAGGGCAGGTTTGGGATGTTTCTGATACATGATGAATGCCTTTCTTTAAGTATACTTCTCCTTAAAATTTTATTTGACCCCTTAGGGATAGAAACAGAGCCCCATACACTTTACATTCATAACCCCAGCACATTTTGTAATACATCATGTCCAAGAAGTGTTTCAAAATTATTTTTAAAATCTTCCTGTGAATAAATTACTGATAAACCTGAAATATTGCCTAACATTTAAAAAATTAAATATGTCTAAATTTCCTCTCCATAATTAGGTCTTTATAAAATTACTAGAAAACATAGCCTATGCTCATATTTAAAGCTTACATTGGCCATGCAAAAAAATGATTTATAATTATTCAATGTATTAATGATGCAGTATGAGATATTAAAAATTTGCATAAGTTTGGTATGCATTATAGTTTTTGCCTACTCAACACATGATTTTCATTAAATTAAGAGGTATATTAATCACATAGTAAAGTATGCATGATTTTTACTGAAAAAAAATGTCCTCAGATAAAACAGCAGCCACAGGTGTTTTGAAATAAGTTGGCCAGTTTAAGTACACCTAGGAATCATCTCTTCAGAGGCTTTCTAACTTTTTGCCAACATATGAATTATATTCTCCAAAATGGACTACAGTTGAATTTTAAGGAAAAAAAGGAAGAGATTGTTTTCAACATAGCATGGTCTGACTTGGAAGAATTTTTTTCTTAAATATAAAGCTCTGCCTGAGTTGAGAAATATCTAGTCCTAAATCTTAATTCATCTCTTCTAGAAGGACTCTCAAGCTGGTAAATGTATTATTTTTAGCTAAACTATTTTGGATTTTAACTTTGTACTGATTTCCACTGTGTTTTCTAGAATTATCTTGTCAAACTGCTTTCCTAAAAGCACACTAAGTAGAAATAGAAAGATGGTTTTCATCAAATTTTTTCCTTTTAAAAAGCCAATCCGCTCGTGCACAGACTGTATGTTCTTACCATATAGAATTACAAATTAAAGTGAAATATTCAAATAATGTTAGTATAACAGTTATTCTTGGGATTAGTATGTTTTCATATTAGATTTTGGAATTTAAAAAAAATTTATTCGATTGACTCGCTAATGATGTAGTTTAGTCTACCTAAAGAAATTGTATACAATTTCTAAAAAAAACTTGTATATAGTTTCTGGAAGATTGTAGGGGTCCAACTAATTTAACAGAGTAACACTGCTTCCAGTTATACTTCATTATACTCCATGCACTTAAAATAGGAAAACGATGGCAACAATATTAGTGTTTGTTTTTCCCACATGATAAAGATTAGGTGGCTTTAAGAGCTAGTGAGGTAAATTCCATTTGTTTTATTTATTAAGCAGAGTTTTAGTTGTGATTCCTCATTCCTTCTTACTCTAAAAGAGGAGAAAATAGTACAGGGTGCCCCTCAAGCTATTAGTCAAGTGACCTAGTTTCAGTTATCCCTTTTCTGGGTTGGGCCAACACTGATTTTTCCCAGATGACCATATTTTCTTTTATTCCCATACAGGCATTCCTAGAGTTTTAAAAAGAAAGTGTGGAGTTCCTCCAAAATCTGTGGTCAGAACACAAATATTTTGAAATAGTCTCCTTCCTAGCCTGCTGTAGCTATCAGCATCACCAGTAGTCCTTTTAAAAAGAGAATCTTTGAAAGATCATTAAGAAGAATTAAAAAAAAAAACACAAAGTTTTATAATCCATAAATCTCTTTCACAGGACAATCAATTATACACAATTCACATGCTTTCAAATATTTTTCCTATGACTTTAGAAGTCTAAGCCTGTTGCTGGTGACACTCAAAATAACTATGATTTAATGATAAAGTCACTTGAATATCCAAATGATGTAGAAATAGAAAAAATATTTTAAAAAGGATAAAACTACTTTATTTATAGGAAATAAAGTGCCTATCTTTTCCCTACTGGGAGAGGAAGAAACACGTAGGTCATTTTAAACTTCTGGTGGATTTGACATTAGAAGGGAGATGGCCAGGACTGGTGAAATTCTTTTTGCCTCAAAAGGAAAAGTGGAAAGGAAAAGAAAGCTATGGGTTTTTTCCTAATTAATAAGCTCTGGGCTAAAATCCCATACAGACTAAGTATTATACATACACATCTATAAATATTACTAATTACTTTTTTCTTCATTCTTTCCTCTTATATAGTAAAGTGGTGATGAACAACATTACAATTTGGTGTTTGAATTACAGAGCATTCAGGTGGAGAATGTAACTAAATTAGAGGTGCTGAGATATGGATACAATGCCTTGGAGATTTTTGTATCTCTCCTCTTTGAATAGATCATGACAGCATTTTTTTTTTTTTGGTATAAAGGATGCTTCATATTGCATGGAAGCATATATCTGTTGTTTTTTTACAAGGTCTAACATGTAGAAAGTTGGGAATGACTAAATTGCATTAAAGTGTCTTGCAAATGTTTTTGCTTAAAGTCCATATTTTCATACTGTTATAAATTTCTTAAATATTTTCCCACCCATTTCAAGGATAAGTTGAAAATATGGCTCCCCCTACTGACTAAACTCAATATGTTCTTCCATCACTGATGCAAACAATCTTAACTTTTATCTCAGTAGTTTGCAGGTACCTGCTTTGTAAACTCAGAGACTGATGCCAATGGAAAGTCTAATGATGTTCCACAAAAGTGACGCTGTAATAGAAGACTTGCAAGGTACCCAACACCACAGCTAGATACATCCCTTTGAGGATAATTGATGGCTTATTTCTGGGATCTGGTGGAGAGATCTCCCATCACTGAAGAAAAATACTTCTGAAAACTGAAATAACTAGTATGCTATGGATAATGTCAGATACTCCCATAAAGCTAGAGCCACTCATCAGAGTCTACTGATAAAATGGTACACATAGGAATATGTTCTCAAATTGGGCTGTGTGTGTGTGTTGGGGGTTGGGAGTAGTGGTCAGGGCATTGTTAGAGAGATCATTGTATCCATGAGCAGTTTCCAGCCCTCTTTTGGGAACTAATGATACAATCTCTAGAACTGTTGGCTCCTGAACCCTAAAATTTGTCTCTTGCTAAAGTAAAGCAAGCTTCCTGGTGTGTTCCTAAATTCAGGAATGCAGTTTATTTTGGAAATATGCCAATATCTTTCCTGTGTTTGATAAAGACCTTAGGCAAGGTTCCCCCCACCCCGCCCCCCCACCAAGAGTAAAGCTATAGAATGGGCAGCATTGAGATCAACATATCTGAAAGTGCAAAGAGCACTGGGCTCTTCCTCAGAAAAAATGTTTTACATTTTATGAACTCATGGGTGGTGGCCATTGCTTTGCTTTGCCATGTGTTCAGGCAAATGAGCCCTAGATGATCATATAATTAAGAATAAATCTGTGTAGGGAATGTAGTTTTGGAAATCCTGTAGGAATTCCAAGAAAAAATTAAAGGGGTGCCGTGTACCTACTAAACAGAAAAAATCAGCTACTGGCTCAGAAGGGGACTAGAATGCAAAAGCTGACAGCTTCGTTTGGATCTTAGAAGTAGCTATATCTGGCCAGGCGCAGTGGCTCATGCCTGTAATCCCGGAACTTTGGGAGGCCAAGGCAGATGGACCATGAGGTCAGGAGTTTGAGACCAGCCTGGCCAACATGGTGAAACCTCGTCTCTACTAAAAATACAAAAATTAGCCGGGCATGATGGTGTGTGCCTGTAGTCCCAGCTATTCGGGAGGCTGAGGCAGGAGTATCGCTTGAACCTGGGAAGGTGGAGGTTGCAGTGAGCTGAGATTGTGTCACTACAGTCCAGCCTGGGCAACAAGAGCGAGACTCCGTCTCAAAAAAAAAAAAAAAAAAAAAAAAGGTAGCTACTTCTATATCTCAAGTAGACTGCGAAGTGCTCAAGCTATGAAACACTGCAAAGAGTAATTACATATTTATCATATTATGAAGCTGCTAATGTGGTAAAAGATGTACAGAATACAAACAGGAAATAAATATGTGTAAGATTTCTTCAAGACAATAGTTGACTGTAGCTGGCAGGCTACGTAGGATCCTTGCCAGTAGCTATAAATGGCTTCAAATATGTTCTGACTAGAATGGGCATATATTTGCTTTTGGACTCCCTTTATCCTGTAAAGGACGCAATAGCTGAGATACCATAAAAATTTTGTAGCGGAATGTTTATAAATGTGGCCAGGCTATACTTCATTAAATAATACGTATTTTACTAAGAAGCATAACATAATATGAACTTATGTCTCTTTTCATGCTCAAAGTAACAGTTTACTTGAGAACTAGATTCGGCAATTAAAAGTGAGGTTAATGATAAGTGGGGGTTGTGTGAAGGGAAGGCTGGCTTGATTGGATGAATGTATATTTCACCTGAATGACCAAAAGTGAAGAGAGAGGAACTTTAAGGTTTCTCCTGTGTAAAATGGAATGAGGGGTAGGAGATGATACAGCCACAAACTCTACCTTTCACACCTTGCAAATTCTTTTTTCTTGTCAGATCCAGGTGTACTGTGTCTGAGACTGCCCATGCATGTCACAACAAGAGAGGCATTGCTGTGCTAATTCACTTCCTCGAAACTTTAAGGAAATGACAGACTGGATATAGTCTTCACCATATGCGTTTAAACTAAGATGAACTGTAGATATTGGACACACTTCTAGTTATTGGAATTGTTCCATTGTTTTTTAATCTGTGCCAGGATGAAAAAAAAAATTCTGAGAAGGCTTTATCTGTCCTGTGGGTGGTTGTGTAGAGATTCCACCCAGCATGGCTGAGCCTGGACTAACACAGGTAATGAGTAAAAGAAAGAAAAAGGAAAATTTTGGCAGAAGAGAAGTGATACTTAAACAGGTAATGATGTATGAAAAAAAAGAACATCTAATTTTCTTAGCTGTTTTTTCAGATGTAGTGTCAAGTGATGGCCACTGCTGAAAGAAATATCTGGATTTTTTTTTCTGCTGAGAAGGGTATTTGAATGAAGCTGAACCCTAAGACTTACCCAAGAAGTTGCTGTGGGTGGTTTGGGGAAGATATCAACCAGCATCCCTTGATGATGATGATACTCTTAGCTGAAGACTTGCCTGAGTAACAGTGGTTTGTAATTACCATTTGGACTGTGTTTTTTTGTTTTGATTTTGGTTTTCTTACTTTTACACTGAACTGGACTTACTGTTCCTGGCAGTTAGCAACTGATGTACTGGATTGCTGTAAACCAGGATGTGGCCTGTTAAGGTAACTAGCTGAGTATGAGTATGAAGGGAAGCATATATCATTATCACCTGCTTTGTATCCTTAAAAAACTTTAAGGTGTGAATGTATATGGAATACTACACAAACAGTAGCTCAATTAATTAGATATGAAAAATGGTAAATATTGTCATTATACGGCAGTCACATATCACTGGTGATTTGCCCCAGGAACATTCAAGGTGGCAATTGTGGAAGCCTATGGTACACATACAAACGGAATGACAATAAGAAATAGTATATGCTTACTGACAGTGTCCTGAGGCACTTCATACTTCTGGGAATACCAAATATACTTGATTTTTTGTTAGAATTTCTATTTCTCTACTCATCTGTTCTTGCATGTTGTCTTTTCCCATTACAATCCTTGCACTTGTAGTTGTTTTAAATTCAGTCTGATAATTCTAACATTCCTGCTGTATCTAACTCTAGTTTTGATGCTGTATTTTTTGCCTTTTAGTAGGTCTTGTAATTTTTTGTTGAAAGCTAGACTTGTACTGGGTTGAAGGAACTCCAGTAAATGAACCTTTAGTGATCTATGGTGGTAAGATGTGGAGGCAGGGGAAGTGTTCTGTCATCCTGATTAGTCTCAGTCTTTTAGTGAACCTGTGTCTGTGACTATCACAAGTGCTTAGCAGTGCCTCCCCACCCCCACCTTACGTTCCAAGGTGGCTGGAGGTGGCGGGAGTTGGTAATTCCTCTTCTCACACAAGGAAGGCTAGAGAGAACTGGAGTTGGGTATTCCCTTCCCCAAGGATACTTCGGCTGTGGTAAAATGCCAATAAGTTAGCCTTTGGTGACACAGTTTCTCCTGAGGGTATTTTTTTCTCTCTCATATTCACTGTGCATTACAGCAAAGCTCCAAGAGGTAATCAATCACAAAGGTAGAAGGGCTTCTTTGAGTTTTTAACTCATAGACTTGTCCACACTGAGCCTCCAGCAATTTGTCAATTATGATTCAGGTTATCCTACTCTGGTTCTGGTTTCCACAGAAGTTTCTGCTCATTGGTGTCTGCTAGAGTATGCTGTGATTCTCTGTATCCACCTGTCCACCAAACAGGAAGTCCTCCACAATATTCTTGAATTATACCTGTACGATAAGTACTCAGAAGCAAACACTGATGGTATTTTACTCAACACTGGCCCTAACATACTGACAGGAAACTGGGGTTTCGGAAATTGGTGTTTTAAATCCCAGGGAGTGAATTAAGGAGGAAAGTTAGCTTTAGGAAAGTTGCATATGCAGGTGAATATGTCTGTCCAAACCTTTAAAAAGCTATGACTAATTGAGGCTACCTTGGGTAAAGGTATAGTCTAATTTATAGAGAAATATTCAATAAATTTGAATATCCAGAAATTTGTGAAACTGTATAATCGCAGTTAATGTGTGTTTTTTTCCCAACTGTTCCTTGGATGATAGAGACCCTGGTAGTTGTTTTAGTATGTTTTCTTGCATGTCACAACATTGTAGAAGTTTCTGTGCTAAGAATTAAAAAGATGGAGGAAAAGTAACAAAGATATTGACAAGGACTGGCAAGAAACTGCAAGTTAGAGATCAACAGATGATTTCATGGTCTTTCCTCTAGCTTCAGGGATACTTGAGTTGACCTTTGGCTATATTGTCTTAGTAACACTAACTCATAGAATTAATAGAAGAATACCCCAAATTAATTGGAGATAAATCAGAATCTGTTTGAGGATAATGTCCCTTAATAAGTACCTACACCTCATTCTTGAGATTGTCATGTAATGGAGAATCAGTGTGTATAAGGTTCAGCTGCAATTGGAAACTGGGTAGTCATTATGTTCACCAGAGAATGGCATGTGTCTAGCAAGGTAACATCCTGAGGCAACCTCAGAATTGATGGCTTTCTTTAGCAGAGACTGTCCACGTCCACTTGGCCTCATGTATTCTAATGACACATGCCCTAAATATGGCAGGCATCACACATGCCCAGAGTCATGATATCCTCAGCTATGTTGTTGCTACATTGTTGCTTGTTCCACAGTCATTCTTAAAACTGGGTAAATTTGGCACTATGTGAAAACTAATGTGTTTCATGAGTATGATCGTCCAAAGCCATTGTTGCTGAGAGAAAATTGGGACAGAAGGACACTGTAGTGGATATATTAAAAATTGTTACTTTTCTCCATGGGTGATGGAGTCATAGAACAGACAGGAATTAACGTGATATGCATTCTGCATCATGGATGCCTAAAAGTTTAGTTGTTCAATAACTCGCTGTTAGCTAAATACAAATTTATGTTACTGACCCAACCAATATTTATTGAGTACTTTCTATATGACATATATTGATGTAAGGTTGCAATGTGGAATTAAATTGATATGGTCTGTCCTAGTGAAACATTCACTAAAATAATAAGAATATGCAAATAAATAAAAGTTATATCTCACATTGTAATCAAGGTTTATCTAATAGGAAACAAAATCTTAATACAGCACATTTCAGAGTAGAATTTAATATTGAAATAAAAGACCCACTGTACTTAATTATGAAAAATAAATTTAAATAAGTTTTTTTGAAAAAAGGTAACTTGGCTGGGCGCAGTGGCTCACGCCTGTAATCCCAGCACTTTGGGAGGCCGAGGTGGGTGGGTTACCTGAGGTCAGGAGTTCGAGACCAGCTTGGCCAACACCGTGAAACCCAGTCTCTACTAAAAATACAAAAATTAACCGGGTGTGGTGGCGGATGCTTGTAATCCCAGCTACTTGGGAGGCTGAGACAGGAGAATCGCTTGAACCCAGGAGGAAGAAGTTTTAGTGAGCCAAGATGGCGCCACTGCACTCCAGCCAGGGTGACAGAGTGAGACTCTGTCTTAAAAAAAAAAAAAAAAAGGTATACTTCTCTTCTATAAAAGTGCTTGAGATGAAGAAGCAGAAAGGTTTGGATACTATGAAAGCGTAATGAATATGTAAACTTCAAGAACAATGTGCTTATCTACTTATGTTGAAAGTGCATATAACTTCTAACATAGCAGTTTTACACCTAGAAATATAATCTAGAAAACTATCTTATATAAACATTGTCATATAGCCATATAAGATGTTAGATTGGACATCATAAACTTGCCATATTTGACTACGTATTACTTGCATTAATATGCAACACTAGTTAAAATAAATGAAATCTACATGTCTTGACATAGATAAATGTAAAAAGCAAAACAGTAAAAAAAGATTACAAAAGAAATAAACAGTGTGATATATTTTAATTTAGAAAGAAAATGTAGAAAGCATACAAAGCAATACCATGTGGTGTTAATGATAGGTATGTATGTAGTAAAAGTATAAAAACCTGAATGGGTGAGATACACGTACTTTTTTAAAAAAAATAGTCAATGAATAAACTAGAGTGTTTGCCTTTTTGTGTATGTTTCAGAAAAGAAACTACAGGGATTTAAGTGGAGAGACAATAAAAGAAGAGGAGAAATATTCACAGATAAAGAGGAGGAAAAAGTACTAAAAATAAGTATAATATTGTCAAAATATATCTCGTACATAAAAATAATTCAACTCTCTCAGGTCAGGGTGACTTTGACACAGGTCTACAGGATCAGGAGAACAAAAGTAACACACAGTTTTGAAAGATCTTACTTAAATTTATTTTAAGAATATAAATCAGCAAGTCAAGATTTTATTGTATTGTTGAATTTTGAAAATGCTCTATTTATCTTCCTTGAATTTATTTTGACTTGCTAGCATATCTTTCTCTAAATTTTCTGAAATATTTCAGACTTTAATTTATAACTGTTTTCTTTTCTATTTCTTTTCCCTTCCTAGACTTTCTTTTATTCTGTTATGCTGTGAACTGTTTCATTTCTTAGACATTTTTACATGGCCATAAATTTTAGTTGGCATAGTACCAGTGACAAAATTATCTATATCTTGTATGCCATTTTTTTGTATAGCTATTTAATATCTACTGTATCTAACAGCTACCCAAGAAGAGGATGTATAAATAATATCAAAGACAGCAAAAACAAGATTTAATTTATCCTAAATCTAGTATTAAGATTTCTGGTTAAAACAATAAATTCATCTAGTTTTAGCCAAATCTCAGAATGACTCAGTTCATTAATTTCAGATACAACAGAAAACAAAATGCATTGCAAGTATAATGTAAAGGATGAAATCTTACTCATGACATGTTGAGGAAATTAAGATTATTGCATTTTAATGCTATAGTGAATTAATATACTTAATTTATTTTTATTATCTTAAAATTGCAAATTACGATTCTGATATTTTTAAAACTTTGTAAAAGTAAACAGGATTAATCTAAAATAGGTTAGAATTAGTACTAAATTTTTAAGCATACTTATGTTTTAATTAATAATTTATAGAATAAACTAAATTTTTTCTTTTTGTAAATTATAATTGCATATAGGAAGAATTCATTTCCAGACTCATAATTTATTATAACAGTGTATCCTTAGAAGTTATATGATTTAATGTCTCTGCATGGTGTAAGCATCATTGTACATTTAGTTTCAAGCAATCAAAAAAGTAGGATTAGAATTAGACGATGTATTAATACATGCTGCATTCTATAAAAATCCAAAAAAAAAAAAAAGAAATTTGAAAGACAAACCAAAAACTTGAAACAGAAAATGACAAAATAGGTACCTTGCAGCTGATGGACTTAGGCAATTGTGAAGCAAAAATAAAGTAGAATGTTGTACTAGAATAATGGTGGAGCATGTGTTAATTTGTTTGTAAGTAAAGTTTGTTTTTTTAAAAAATTTGTAGGTACATGCATGTTTTGATGCAGGCATATAATGCATAATTACCACTGGTAAATGGGGTACCCATCCCCTCAAATATTTATCCTTTGCATTGCAAACAATCCAATTATACCTTTAGTTATTTAAAAATGTACAATTATATTATTGAGTATTGTCACCTATTGCTATTGTGCTATCAAATACTAGACCTTACTCATTCATTCTATCTATTTTTTTGTACCCATTAACCATCCCCACCTCTCCCCCACCATCCTTCCCAGCCTGTGGTAACCACTCTTCTATTCTCTATGGGTTCAGTGTTTGTCTTCTTTTAAGAAATGTCTATTCAAATTGTTTGCCTATTTTTAAATTGGATTATTAGATTTTTTCCCTATAGATTTGTTTGAGCTCCTTATCTATTCTGGTTATTAATTCTGGTTATTAATTCCTTGTCAGATGGGTAGTTTGCAAATATTTTCTCCCATACTGTGGGTTGTTTTGTCACTTTGTTGATGGTTTCCTTTGCTGCGAAGAAGCTTTTCAGGTTGATGTGATCCCATTTGTCCATTTTTGCTGTGGATGCCTGTGCCTTTGGAGTATTGCTCAAGAAGTCTTTGCCCACTACAATGTCCTAGGGAGATTCCTCTAAGTTTTCTTGTAGTAGTTTCATAGTTTGAGGTCTTTAATTATGTAATTCATATTAATTTGATTTTTGTATATGGCAAGAGATAGGGGTCTAGTTTTATACTTCTGCATATGGATATCCAGTTTTTCCAACATTATTTGTCTTTTCTCCAGTGTATATTCCTGGCACCTTTGTCAAAAATGAATTCACTGTAGGTGTATGGATTTGTATTTGTGTACTCTATTCTGTTCTCTTGGTCAATGTGTCATTTTTTTTTTATGCCAATACCATGCTGTTTGGGTGACTACAGCTCTGGAGTATAATTTGAAGTCATGTAATGTGATTCCTCCAGTTTTGTTTCTTTTGCTTAGGGTAGTTGTAGCTATTCTGGGTCTTTTGCAGTTCCATATAAATTTTAAGGTAGTTATTTCTATTTTTGTGAAGAATGTTATTGGCATTTTGGTAGGGATTGCATTGAATCTATAGATAGCTTTGGGTAGTATGGACTTTTTTTTTTTTTTGAGACGGAGTCTTGCTCTCTTGCCCAGGCTGGAGTGCAGTGGTGCAATCTTGGCTCACTGCAAGCTCCGCCTCCCAGGTTCATGCAATTCTCCTGCCTCAGCCTCCTGAGTAGCTGGAACTACAGGTGCCTGCCATTGCACCCAGCTAATTTTTTTTTGTATTTTTAGTAGAGACGGGGTTTCACCGTGGTCTTGATCTCCTGACCTCAGGATCTGCCAGCCTCGGCCTCCCAAAGTGCTGGGATTACAGGCGTGAGCCACTGCACCCAGCCTAGTATGGATTTTTAACAATATTGATACTTCCAATCCATGAACACAGAATATTATCCTTTTAAATTTTTTGTCACCAGTGTTTTATAGTTTTCTTTAGAGATCTTTCACTTCTTTGGTTAATTCCTAGGTATTTAATTTTAATTGTGGCTATTGTAAATGGGATTTCTTTTTTAGATTGTTCACTTTTGGCATATAGAAATGCTACTGAGTTATGTGTGTTGATTTTGTAACCTGCAACTTTACTGGACTTTATCAGTTCTAATAGGTTTTTTTTTTTTTTTGTAGAGTCTTCAGGTTTTTCCATATATAACATCATATCATCTGCAAACAAGGACAATCTGACTTCTTCCTTTGTAAGCAAAATCTTTATAACTATGAAACAGCAGATGAGGAAATCATTATGCTAATCCTACAATCCTGCTTCTGCTTTTGATAAACTATCAAACTAAATAAATATGTTTTTAATCTTTAGGTTAATGAAACTTTTTGGTCTATTTTCACTAAATAATGTATTTTTGCTTTTATTAAGAAAAGGAAACTTTTCTTGCTTACTAGTTCATTAGCTAAATTTCTGCAAGTGATTTTTGAAAATAAATAAAATGTACCTGTTTCTAAATGACTTATTTATACTTTATCAGATGAACTTTGGAGAAGTTTCCTGTCTGTAAAAAGGAGTCTCCCATCAGCCTTTGCAGGGAATTTGTGAGTATTACAGATATTTTGGGCAAAGTTGTGGGTATATAGGAAAGTATTAAGTTTATCATGTTTATTAATAATTTATGGTATTATTTACATTATATTCAGACATATATGTTTTAAAAATCAAGTTGATCAAATGTTTGTTGACATGTTTTTACTTTCTTGGTGCTCTTTATTCTATTTTTCATGAAAGCCTATTTTTTTTCACATGTTAAGTTTGACCCCCTCATCATTTTACTAGCCAATGTTTCCTCATGTTTTTCTCTGTATTTTAATTGATTTTTATCTGTTACATCCTTCTCAATGCAAAAGCCATTCCCTTCCTTGTAATAAAATTCAACCTATTGTTGGGTTTTATTACTTAACACTTTTTCTGCTAACTACAATCCAATTAATATCTTCCATCTCTACTAGATATCCTTTACCTTATTTATGTCCTTTTGCTCTTTGTAAAGCTTTTAGTGGAAAAACTAAATATGTATATAATAATATAATGAACTTCCATATACCTATTGCCTATTTTCAAAATTGTTAGCACATTGCTAATATTATTTACTAATAAAACACATCAGAATCTACTGGAACGTAAGTGACCTCAACATAATTATAGGATACAAGATAAATATTTAAAAAATCAATTATATGTCTATATACTAACTATGAACAATTGAAAGGAATAATACCATTTACAATAGCATGTTAATCAAAATATTTGCAAGTTCTGCACTCTTGATACAAAAAAGTTTTTCATATTAAAGAAAACCTAAATGGGAAAAACAAGACTTTCTTTATAATTTGGAAGACTCAATATTGTTAAGATGTCAATTCTACCCAAGTTGATCAATATATCCAAAAATCCTAATTGCTTTTTGTAGAAATCGATATGCTGATTATAAAATGCCTATGGAAATACACGCGACCTAATAACCAAAATACCAAATACCTAAAAATCAAACTTTGAAAAAGAAAAACAATGTTTTGTAGTTAAAACACTAGTCTATAAGTCCTAGAAACAAGAACTTATAATACTTGGTTTCTAATGTTGCTATAAAGCTATTTTAATCAAAACAGTGATATTGGCATAATAATCATAGGTTAGTAGAAAATAATAAAATCCAGAAATAGACCTGCATGCATAAGGTAAATTGATTTTTGACAAAATTTCCAAGGCAGTTCCATAGGGAAATTAAAGTCTTTCAACAAATATTGCTGGAAAAAAAGTATTCATCCATACATATGATGGAAAAAAATAAATTTAAAAATACGTACCTGAGAATATATGCAAACTTTAACCCCAACTGGGTAGTAATAGCCCTTTTAATAAGAATATTATAAATAATTGAGCTAAAAAGGGGAAATTCCATGACTTTGGGTTAGGCAAAGATTTCTTAGTATAAAAAAGCATAATCACTAAAAGAAAACTATTGATAAACTCAATATCATAACAATTAAAATATTTTGCTCCTCAAAAGATTCTGTTTAAAAGTGAAGAGTTTAATCTGATAGAGTACTCTATATGCAAAAAACCTAAAACTAATAACTCATTAGTAAGAAAAAAGTTAAAAATGGACAAAATCAAAAAAAATAAATAGAAAATAAGTATGTGGAAAAATGTTCAATATCATCAGTCATCAGGGAAATGAAAATGAAAACAAAGGTAATGCAAATTACCATACTATAATACCATATATACCCACAATCACTGTCTACAATGTGAAAGTACCTGGCAATAAAATTGTTGGCGAAGATGTATGCACAATAAGCATACAATGCATGTGTCTATTTGAATATTCTAATTATTTCAGTATTCTAATTATATAACTGTTTTAAGGACTTGGCAAATTTCAAGAAAATTCAGAGAAACAAGGAAATAAGGAAGGCAATAGGTGAACAAAATAAGAAAATTAACAAGGAAATGGAAATAATTTTAAATATCAAACAAATTCTGGGGCTAAAGAATATAAAGAATGAAATAAAAAACTCAGTGGGAGCATTAACAACCAAATTGATCAAGAAAAGAATCTGAACTAAGGAATAGGTTATTTGAAAATAATCAGAGGAGAAAAAAATGAATGAAGAAAGCTTACAGGATTTATGGGACAGTATCAAAAGAGCAAATTTTCAAGTCACAGGTGTTAAAGGGGTAAAAAGCTTATTTGAGGAAATAGTAGAAACTTTCCAAACCTGGAGAAGCATATAAATATCCATGTAAAGGAAGATCTAAGGTCTAATCAGATCCAATTCAAATGGGACCATATCGATATATATTATAATCAAATAGTTAAAATTAGGAGAAAATAACATACAAGGAGGTACTAATATGACTAGCAACAGATTGCTCAGCAGAAAAGGCTATGAGAAAATAGGGTGATATCTAGTAGTTAAAATGTTGAAGAAAGTAAACTTGCAACCAAGAATATCATACCCAGCAAAGCTGTTCTTCAGAAACAAAGAAGAGGTAAAGATTTTCCCAAGCAAAAAGCAAAGGAATTTAATCACCACAAGACCTGTCTTGCTAAATGCTAAATGGAGTTCTTCAAGCTGAAAGAAAAAGATTCAAAGTATAACACTCACTGGTAAGTACACTATCAAATTATAATACTCTTGTACTGTAAGGGTGGTGTGTAAATCATTTATATCTTTAGTATAAATATTAAAAGACAAAACTAATAGCTACAATAATTTCTTGAGATATTCAATGTAAAAATATGGAAATCGAGACACTGAAAATTCAAAATGTTCAGAGAGGAGCGAAGTAAAAGTATAAAGTCTCTTCTTTGGTATTAAAATTTTTATCAGATTAAAATAACCTGCTATAACTGTAAAAAATTTTTGTAAGCTTCATAGTAACCACAAAGTGAAAAATCTATTAGTAGATACACAGAAAAAAAAAGTAATGAATCAAAGAATAGCACTAGAGAAAATTACTTAACCACAAAAGACAATAAGAGAAGAAATGGAAAACAAGAGCAAACTAAGCACAAAGTTCATAGGAAGAAGGAAATAATAAAGGTGAGAAAAGAAAAAAATAAACACTAGAAAGTTAATATAATAAATCAATAAAACTAACAGTTTTTTGCAAAGATAAACGTTTAGCTAGACCAAAAGAAAAAGAAGACTCAAATTCCAAAAATCCAAAAGGAGACATTAAAACTGATACAACAGGGGAAAAAATCACAAGAGACCATTATGAACAATTATATATCAACAAACTGAATAACCTAGAAGAAATGGGAAAATTCCTAGAGATATGCAACCTACCAAGATTAAATTGCGAAGAAATAGAAAATCTGAACAGACTAATAATGAGTAAGGGTATTGAATCAATAATAACATGTCTCCCAACAAAGAAAAGAATGGGAACTGATGGTTTCACTGCTAAATTCTATTAAACATTTAAAGAAGAGCTAATACCAGTGCTGTTCAAATTGTTTCAAAAAATTGAAAAGGAGGAAATAATTCAAAACTGATTTTATGAGGCTAGCATTATACTGGTACCAAAGTCAGACAAGGACACTGTGAAAAAAGATAACTGATAAACATAGATGCAGACATCCTCAACAAAATATGAACAAACTGAATTCAACAGCACATTAAAAAGATCATTCATTATGATCAAGTGAGATTCATCCTAGAAATGCAAGAACAGTTCAACATATCCATATCTATAAATGTGATACATCACATCAACAAAATGAAGGACAAAAAATAAACAATCCTTTCAACAGAGGCAAAAAAAGACTTGGACAAAATAGAATATACTTTCATGATAAGGAAAAACTCAACAAATTAGATATAGACGGAATGTACCTCAACACAATAAAGACCACATGTGACAAACCCACAACTACCATACTTACTGTGAAAAAGTTAAAAGCTTTTCCTCTAAGATTCAAAACAAGTCACAGATGTTCGGTCTTGCCACTTCTATTCAACATAGTCTTAGAAGTCTGAGCCACAGCAATTAGACAAGAGAAAGAAATAAAAGCACTCAAATAGAATTGGATGAGGTAAAATTGTCTGTTTGCAACAACGTGATATTATATATAGAAAAACCTAAAGATTTTACCAGAAAAACCTGTTAGAATAACAATTTCAGTGAAGTTTCAGGATACAAAATCAACATACAAAAGTAGGTAACATTTCTATACAACAATACTAACTATCTGAAAAAAGGAAACAATCCTACTTGTAAGAGCTACAAAAAATACTTAGAAGTAAATTTAACCAAGAAGATAAAAGATCTCTACACTGAAAACTATAAAACATTGATTAAAAAAATTGAAGATGACACAAATGAAAAGAAAGATATCCCATGTTCATGCATTGGGTGAATAAATATCACAAAAATATTCATGCCACCCAAAGCAATAAACAAATTCAGGTAATCACTATCAAAATACCAAAAATATTTTTCCAGAGAAACAAAACAGCAATCTTAAAATTTTGAAATACAAAAGACCCCATATAGACAAAATGACCTTGAACAAAAAGAATAAACCTAGAGATAATCTACTACAAAGTTATAGTAGCCAAATTGGCATGATACACATATGGAACAACAGAGTCACTTATTGTTCAGAGATAAATCGATATATTTACAGCCACCTGAGTCTCAGTGAAAGTGCCAAGACACACAGTGGGGAAAGGACAGTTAATAAATGTTGGTTGGAAAACTGGATACCTGCATGCAGAAGAATGAAACTGGACCCGAAACTGTAAAACTACTAAAGAAAACACAGGAAAAGCTCCACAATATTGGTCTGGGCAGTGATTTTTTTTTTTTTTTAGATAGGACCTCAAAAGCAAAAATAGACAAATAGGACTGCAACAAACCAAAATGCTTCTGCACTTCAAAGGAAAGATACAACTCACAAATTGGAGGAAAAAAATGTTTGCCAATTATACACTAGAAAAGAAGTTAATATCCAGAATATACAAGGAACATACAACTCACAGATTGAGGAAAAACATTTGAAAAGTATTCTTTGGATAAGAGATTAATATCCAAAATATATAAGGAACTCATATCAGTAGGAAGAAAACAGATAACCCAATCAAAAGTGAGCAAAGGACCTGAAGAGCCATTCCCAAAAAGAGACATATATACAAATGACCAACAGATACATGAAAACATGATCAATATCACGAGTCACCAGGGAAATCCAAATTAAAACCACGATGAGATATCACCTCTTATCTGCTAAAATGGCAATTATAAAAAAGATGAAAGATAAGTGTTGGTGGACCCTTGCACAAGCTGTTGATGGGAACGTAAATTCATGTGGCCAATATGGAAAATAATATAAAGGTTCCCAAAAAAATTAATACAAGTATTTTATAATCCAGAAATCCCACTACTGGATATATATCCAAAGGCAATGAAATCATTACGTTGAAGAGATGTCCACACTTCCCTATTCACTGCAGCATTATTTACAGTAGCCAAGATATGGAATCAAACTAAGTGTTCATCAATGGATGAATGGATAAAGAAAATGTCGTCTATATACGTAATGAAATACTACTAGTCATAAAGAGAAGGAAATTCTGCCATTTGCAGCAAAATGGATGAACTTGGAGAATATCATGTTAAGTGAAATAAGCCAGGCACAGAAAGACAAATACTGCATGATGTCACTCATATGTGGAATCTACAAAAGTTGGTCTTAAAGAAGTAGAGAGTATATCGGTGGTTATCGGGGGCTGTTGTGGTTGGGGAAGTAATGGTGAAAGGATACAAAATTTCTGTTTGGAGGAATAAGTGACTATAGTTAATATCAATATATCTTATTTGTGAAAATGCTAAAAGAGATGTTAGTTGTTCTCACCAGAAAAAAATAACTTTATGAAGTAAGTCATATGTTAATTAGCTGTATTTAGTCATTTCACAATGGGGCCTTGTGGGCTGTGGGTTGGACAAGCTTGATGTAATATATTTATCTAGCCAGGTATCTAAATATGTATCTTAAGGATGACTGCCTCAATTTCCAGCCCCTCAATTCTGTTTCTGCTCAGCTCTGCTGTAATTACCTCCTTTAAATCTGCTCACAGGCTGATTCAGAGAAACAATTTTCTGAGAATTGACTCAGAATTCATTAGGATTGAATAGATACTGGAAAGATATAAATAGTTAAAGTTGGATGTCACTTAATTTACTTGAGAATGAGTATTTTATGATTGCTTTATATAAGTAAAAGACTTTTTTGTTTCCTTAGCAGAAAACAGCCTCTTGAAATATCTTTTCTTTCTCAATTTCTCCTCTCTCTGCCCCACGCCTTCCCATCACCGTAAGACTTAAATCAGTCTGTAATCTGTCCTTCAGCTCTATGTGTTATATGATAAATGTGCTAATAACCTTGAATTCTTTCCAGTCCTCCTTGGCTTCAGATCATAGGAACCTTTCTTAGGAAAGAAAATGGACTTTCAAAGATTAGAATTACCACGTAACAGATAGACGGGAGCCAAAACCCACAAGCCTTGAGAAGAGATAAAAAATACTGATTTCTGTGATGTCTTCCACCTTCCAGTTTTACAAAGAGTTACTTCCCCTTCTCTGACAGTTACAGGTCAGCTGCTGCTCCTGGAAGCCAGCAGGTCTTCCTCCATCATACAAAAGACAAATACATGCAAAGCAGTTTCTAACAGGTCAGCACTGTTTATAAGTTAACTCTAAATTGCTTCCCTGGCCCAGTTTTAAGCTCTGCATTCATACTTATCCCTCATTCTCTAAGTCTCTGACCTGAGATTATTTTTTTCTGGTTTGTGGGTCTAGGTGTCAACTCTTGTAATATTTACTCTTCCCCAGATTGAAGCATTTATCATCCTAGACTATAATTTCTCTTGCCTACTTTGATAGCCCCAGGGTTTCCCTAAATCAGCCTAATACGTGAAAGAAAGGAGCTATAAAGATGCTTTTATATATTACAGCAGAATAATTCCTGAATGAGACTCTACTCAATTACAGAAAAATTCAAACCCAACATCTTTTGCTGTTATACCATGTACTGTGAAGCAATACACGATATTTCTCGGTTAGACTGTGCTAAATGAAAGCTTGTGAAGAATATATGATTATGATCATTGCTCTAAAACACAATTTGAGAGACTAAATTTTGGGGAAAATTCCAACACCTTGAGCTTTCTACCTAATAAATAAGGAACTTAGACATAAACAGGAAATATTTCTTTACTTTTGGTTTCCTGTTTAAAACTTTTTGACTCCTTTTCTGTTGTTGAATTCACTATATCAGAGAATGAATGGTCATTTCTGACACCCCTGATGATTTACAGAAAAATGCTTCCTAACTTCTAGAATTTCAGTCTCAACCCAGTGCATTCATGTGCCTTACTACTTTCTTCGCATTTTCTGTTATACGTCTCACAGGCATTTCAGGTTTGTTTTCCGAATCTGACCCCTAGACCTTTACCTATTCCCCAAACCTTTTTTTCTGTCTTTTTTATCCAGGTATACCTATTGTCCCACTCACAGAATCTGAAAATTGTGCTGTCTTTACCATTGCCCTCACAAAATTCTATCCCACTTCCAAAATGTATTTCAAAATCATCTACTTTTCCCAGTCTCCACTCTAATTCAAATCACTGTCACTTACATCCCAGACTGTGCAATAGCCTCTTTTGCCATTTTTCCCCTTCTATGTACTCTTGCCTCCCTCCAATCCATTATCCACATAGCAAGGGCAATCTTAAAATTTAATGATCTTCTCTGCTGGAAACTCTTCAGTAACTCCCTGTTGCGTGTTGGATATGACCCACATCTTTAACATGGTCAGCAAAGCCTCACATAATCTGTCCCTTAACAACATTTCCATATTCATTTTATAATATGCTCCCAGGAGCTTGCCGCAATCCAGCATGCTGGTTTTCTTAGTTACTTTAAAGCACTCAAAACTTTCCTCAATTGTCCTTAGGCCATGCTGTTCCTCCGGCCTGGCACACACTTCCTTCACTGTCTTTACCAGTCTAAATTAAAATACCACTTCCTGACACATGTACATTTACATTTTTTTAAATTGTTTTGCCTGATAATTCTTGCTGGAGGATTTTCCCTGGCCAACAAAAGCTAGTCGGCCCATGTAAGAGGCAGGTCACAAGTCCTAAGGAATTAATGCTTCCTCTCCTCCCCATTTCAGGAACAGCCTCCAACCTATGACTGATGGGAGTGAGGGGCGACTACCCCAGCTCCCTCAGCTGGAACAAAGAGTATTGTACTTTATCTCTAAGTGTTCCTAGATGGACTGAGCCCCAGTTGCCCAAATGGTAACCTATTTAATAACATACCTTGAAAAGAGTTTCTTCTCTTCCCTTTTTTCATGTCTGCAATCTTTTATCAGTGCACCTCCCAAATAAGCTCCATGTATCTTCTTCTCTGTCTTGGATCAACTTCTAGAGGATTCAAGCATAAAGTACAGGGAATTTTGTTATGAAGGCGGAATCATTTATTTAACAAAGTCCTGTATACCTAAAAGCATTACTAGGAACTCATTCTGCATGCTCACTATGTACGTTTTGATCCAAAAAGAATTGACAATTTAGAATTATGCAGTAGTGATGCCCATGTAATCTGTAATTATTCATGTATCTTTGTATGCAAATCCATGTGTTTATGTGAGTTAAATATGTGACCATTTTAACTACTTGTGTAAACATATGTATGAGTTAAAGACTAATTATTGATGGATAGATGTATCTGTACAAGCGTATGTTTGCATGAGTTATCTATATGGCTACTTTATCTGTGATTACTTACATGTTTGGATTTTTTAAAAATATTATTTTGATTGTCTCATGCTAGGAAAACAGGGTTTAAAAACCATACTAAATGCCTTTTAATAATATTCTACCTTGATAAAACAAATTAGATATAATATTGAACTATTGAGTACCAAGTAGCCAATCAACTGTTTTGATTACTTATAATACCAAATTTGTCTTCCTAAGTAATGGAAAACACTGGCTATAAATAAGAACAGAGGCAGCAGCAGCAGAGGAAACACTTGAGTAGAAGATGCCAAAAGCTATCCCTATGAATGTTTGTGGCTGTTTGTATTCTCCATTGGCAGGCCAGGCTGGCCTTCAAAAATGCTCCCAGGTCAGCTTTCATTATGGCAAGGGAACTCCATGTCTCTAAAGCTCATCTTCTGAGGTTTGTTGACCTTGGAGAACTTGGGTGTGGTCATTTATAAATAAGTTAGTGATATAGACATAATTTATAGGTCATCTTTTAATATAAAGTTAACAGGGATAGTCCATGGCACATTTTCACAAATGGTAAACAATAGGTAAGCTTTTTGAGAGGAGGGAGAATCAACCCAGATAAGGAGTTAAAACTTAAAGAAACAAATTAAATAAAAGTCTATCTTGTTATATTAAAAGGTAAAGTAAAATACTGCCTATTTCTCTTTTTTCTTTTTTTTGAGAGGGAGTCCTGCTCTGTCGCCCAGACTGGAGTGCACTGGCGCGGTCTCGGCTCACTGCAATTTCTGCCTCCTGGGTTCAAGCAATTCTCTTGCCTCAGCCTCCCAAGTAGCTAGGACTACAGGTACTACAGGCGTCCCACCATGCCTGGCTAATTTTTTTGTGTGTTTTTAGTAGAGACGGGGTTTCACAGTGTTAGCCAGGATGGTCTCAATTTCCTGACCTCATGATCTGCCCGCCTCAGCCTCCCAAAGTGCTGGGATTACAGGCGTGAACCACCACGCCCGGCCTACTGTCTATTTCTAATTAAATATCTACCATTAACGACTCACTACTTTACCTTTTAATCTAACAAGATAGACTTTTATTTAAATTGTTTCTTTAAATTTTAACTCCTTATGGGTTGACTCTCCCTCCTTTCAAAAAGCTTACCTATTGTCTCCTTACACTTAAGATTGAGTTTTAGGAAGCTTATTGTAGCAGGATGGTTGGGGAAGGAATTCTGGTACATATGCTATGCATTCTTGGTGACCTCCAGTCCTCTGTGCTGGTCCCTTGGTGATCTCCAGGACTACATGGTATGCGTGAATCCTGAGCTGAGATCTACCAATATATGCCTCATCCAGCTGGTCTTTTGGACTGTCCTACCAGTACTGATGATGAAGATTATAATCCCTAAAATTTGTATCCACTGATGGCCTCCTTATGGATCCAAATGTCAATTGCCTCATTGATTTTTTTTAGCACTGTTATGTCCCAACACTAAACATGTGGGAATTCCCAGGCCTGGCACACTATGTGTAGGCTGTGAGGATCAGGGCTCTATCTCATGCCCATGCTTATAGGCACTGCCATCTGTCATTATTCTTCCATGCCATGCTGGACATGGTAGTGAAATGTAGCATCAGTTGGCTGTTCTTAATGTCTTCCTTAACTTCTCCAGGTTTTCTTTCATAGTGTTTGTCATCTGCCCCTCTAATTTTTTCTAGATCCTTTCTTATATTATTCTCTAACACGAACTTCCCATATGAAACATCCTGTTTATACTATGCTCTGATTTATTGTCAAATCCTATACTTATATTCCTTGAGGGGATTCTAAACTATAAATATATTTGAGTTTAGAAACTCCCTTTTTTCCTCAGCAAAGATTGGTTTTCAAGAATAATTTCTAGCTATGATTCAAAGATCATTTGGGAAATCAAAATTTTAGCCTGGACTGTGTTTATTTTATTACAACAAAAACACAAATGCTCTTAAAGTAACAGATGTCTCTGACTAAGAGAAAGATCACATTCAAGAACAAAAAATAAAAAATAACATTACTATATTTCAAAAATAGTATTTGTATTATTTTAACAACAAATCATGCAAAGATTTACAACACTTCCATAGCCCTACCTAGATTTTGAAGGTTGCTCACTTTGGGATGAAGTAGTGTTTCTAAAAATGTTTTTGTTGTTCCAACTCTCCTTTTTCTTGTCAGTTGACAATAATTTATGAAATCCTACACTCACAAATTACAAATAAGACTGGGGCATTTCCTTAGGTCATGGAGCACTTTAGTGGAAAAGCCAGAGATTTTCTTTTTTATTACTTAATGACTAAAAGCAACCCACCCCAAAATGAGAATCTACTAGGGAAATTTTATAAGAAAAAATAGCAACCAAGAGTTTTTCCTAATCTTTAGAAAGCAATGGTTTGTTACAAGATTGACTATAAGTTTTGGTGCATGATGGATTTAGAAGTGTGAAACAGTTATTGCAAAATTGAAAGAATTGGCCTTATTGTTAACAATATATTCAACTGTTATGAATCTTTAGAACATATTGCAGTAGCTATCTGGCTACCCACTAGAGAAAAAGGACAAGATATTAAAGGTTTGGAGGGCAAAAATAAAAACCTAAATAATTTAGAGTTTTATTCAACACATACCTTTTTAAATAAACCTCTGGAATGTGATTACATAAAAAAACTTATACAATTTCTTTAGAACATATTCATTTCCTTTGCCAAACTCGGTTATTTTTCCTTTTCCTAGTTAACCTTGCTCCTCCAACAGACAAGAAATATGGAAACAAAACAAATATGATCTTCTAGGTTAATCATAATTATGAAAAATACTTTTGATACTGATTTCCATTTTATATCCATAAGACCTCAGATTTTGAATTTCACTTCAAAACAAAGAAACTCAACAAGAATGGCTCTTTTCATTAAACAACGGGAGAGTATTATGTTTCTCATATTTCAAATAATAAAAAGCTAGTAGTTATGAACAGCAGATCAGAGTCCTTTTAATTGTGTTAAAGAAAATGCTTTACTTTCTGCTTACATCAAAACTATAAAATTACTTCATAAAATCCAAATGCATATAACTCAACTATAACAGCTACTACATAATATTGCCCTTGTGTAATTTACGCCAAATATTTCTCAAATTATAGATTTTAATTTACCTTTTTAAATTAAATCTTACACCAAGAATATGCATCAAACATAAGATATTTGAGTAAATGTGGTATTTGAATAAATTTAATTGGATTTTATTGATGGTATGGCCTGAGCTTGAAAAAGCCCCTAATATTTCTATTTCTAATGTATTCTCCTGATAATTTGTTTGAAGGTGTATTTATAAAAGATACACTTGTGTTACCTTAAATGGTTACAGGATAAGAGACTTGGTATGTTAGAGAAATAGAGGACTTCACTCTTAGGTTACTCTTTCTGGACAGAATGCAGGACAGTCAAATAGAAACTTTCTACAGTTAGCATTTTTATAACATAGGAAATCTTAGGTTGTCATGGAGGCATTTAGGTAAATTGATTTCCATGGGCATATGCAGAACTTTCAGGTAAAAAACAGAAATTAACATAAATTGTCCAATCATTCTAATGGTGCCTTTAGATCCATATTTAGGTAAAATACGTTTGTACAGCACCAAAGCAATCTTGTAACATCCTTTCTTTTCACATAAAACTGGGGCACACTGGGGGGCCTACATGGGAAGACAAATGGAAAGAAAAAATATAAATGCTTAAATGTTTAGGAGCACATCTTCTTAAATAACCTCCACTTGTCTACTGAAGTGCCTAAGCAGTAAATGCATAAAACTGATGATGTTTATGGTGGCCATGGCACGAGAGCATAAAAACACAACAGCAGGGAATGGGTGGTCCTGGGGGAGAGAGAGATTATGGCAAGTTAAGCAAGAGAAACCTTAGATCGAACTGCCTCAGGGAGCTGAGGAGCCACATCATAAAACCAATCTGAGCCCATAATAAAATTGGAAGGAAAGTCTATCCTAAAACACTTAACATCTAAAACATATTCGAAAAACTGTTACTGAACCAAAACCAAAGCCCTTAGAAGTAAGATTCAAGCAATAGGATGCAAATAGCCTACAACTAGGGGCAGGGATAGATCAGGTAAACATTTTTGAACAGGTACTACATTGTTTAATGTATGACAGTAAGAGCAAAGATAATATTGCTCATTAGTTCACTCATTCAGCAGGTATTTATTTACTGAGTTCCTGCTGCATACCTGGTAAATTCTAGGCCTTGAGAATATATTGGCAATCAAAAAAAAAAAAAAACATTGTCCTCATGGGGATTAAACTTTAGTTGTGAGGACAGAAAATAAACAACAAAAAGGGCAGAACATGCAGTGTGCTAAGTGGTGATAGGTGCTATGGAAGAAACAAAACAAGTTGAGGATAAGAAGTACTGTGTGAAAGGAGTAAGATGCAATTTTAAATGGCATAGTCAAAGTTTTCACTGACCTGAAAAAGGTAAGCCAGTCATGCACATTTCTTTGGAAGAGAGGTCCAGACAGAAAGAATATTAGGAGTAAAATCCTGAGGCAAGAATATGTTTGGCTTGTTTCAGAAAGAACAAGAAGGCTAATATAATTGGAATGGCATAAAAGAGGTGGGAGATAAAATAGGGCTCAAGTGATACACAGTTCTGTAGACTTTTCTAAGAATGTTAACATATGCAAAAGAAGTTCTCCATATGTCTTTCGTTGTGAATGAGATGAGAGACTATTGGAAGATTTTAATAGATAACTGAGATGATATTTTTTAGGGGACCACTCTGGCTGCTAGGCAAATAACAGATTATAGGGAGGCAAAAATAGAAATAGGGAATCTAGATAGGATGATATAGCAACAATCCAAGTAAGAGAAGATGACAGCAGGTGGTGATAAAGGAGGTGATGAGAAATTATCAGATACAAAAGCAGGGTTTCCTGACTTTGGCACTACTGAAATTTTGGGGTGAATCCTTATTTTTGTTGTGGAAACTTCCTTGTGAATTGTAGGATTTTTTTCATCTTTGTAAGTTATAATTTACTTTTAAATTATTGAGGTACATATTAGTTGTATATATTTATGGGGTATATAACATGTTTTGATATAGGCATGCAAAGCATAATAATCATATCATGGAAAATGTGTATCCGTTCCTTCAAGCATTTATCCTTTGTGATACAAAAAGTCCAAGTATACTCTTTATTTTTAAATATACAATTAAATTACTGACTACAGTGACCCTCTCATGCTAGCAAATACTAAGTCTTATTCCTTTTTTCTATTTTTCTTTTGTACGCATTAACCATTCATACCCCTCTCCTCCACTCCCATTACCCTTCCCAGCCTCTGGTAACCATCCTTCTACTCTCTATCTCCATGAGTTCTATTGTTTTCATTTTTAGATCCCACAAATAAGTGAGAAAATGGGATGTTTGTTGTTCTGTGTCTGGCTTATTTCACTTAGGATATTGACCTGCAGTTCCATCTATGTTGTTGCAAATGACCATTATTCTTTTTTATGGCAGAATAGTACTCCATTGTATGTATGTACCATGTTTTTAAAATCCATTCATATGTTGATAAACACTTAGGTTACTTCCAAATTTTGGCTATTGTGAATAGTGCTGCAATAAATATGGGAGTACAGATACCTTTTTGATACACTAATGTCCTTTCTTTTGGGTGTATTGATCCAGCAGTGGGAGTGCTGGATCATATGGTAGCCCTGTTATTAGTTTTTTGAGGAACCTCCAAATTGTTCTCCATAGTGGATGTACTAATTTACATTCCCACGAACTGTGTGTGAGGGTTACCTTTTCTTCATATCCTACTCAGCATTTGTCATTGCCAATCTTTTGGATAAAATCCATTTTTACTGGGGTGACATGATATCTCATTGTAGTTTTGATTTGCATTTCTCTGATGATCAGTGATGTTGAGCAGCTTTTCATGCCTGTTTGTCATTTTTTATCTTCTTTTGAGAAATGTCTATTCAAATCTTTTGCCCATTTTAAAATCAGATTATTAGATTTTTTTCCTAGAGGGTTGTTTGAGCTCCTTATATATTCTGGTTATTAATTCCCTGTCAGGTGAGTAGTTTGCATATACTTTCTCCCATTCTTTAGGTTATCTCATTCCTTTGTTCATGATTTCCTTTGCTGTGAGGAAGCTTTTTAACTTGATGTGATCCCATTTATCCATCTTTGTATTGGTTGCCTGTGCCTGTGGGGTATTGCTCAAAAAGTCTTTGCCCACTACAATGACCTGGCAAGTTTCTCTAATGATTTCTTGTAGTAGTTTCATTGATTGAAGTCTTTGATTTAATTACTTTTATTTGATTTTTGTATATGGCGAGAGATAGCAGTTTAGTATCATTCTTCTACATATGGATATCCATTTTTCCCAGCAACATATATTGAAGAGATTATCTTTTTCCTTTATGTTCTTAGCATTTTTGTTGAAAATGAGTTCACTGTAGGTATGTGGATTCATTTCTGGGTTCTCTATTCTGTTCCATTGGTTTATATGCCTGTTTTTGTGCAAGGATCATGCTGTTTTGGTGACTATGGCTCTATAGTATAATTTGAAGCCAGGTCATGTGATTCCTCCAGTTCTGTTCTTTTTGTTCACAATAGCTGTGGCTATTCTGGGTCTTTTGTGGTTCCATGGAAATTTTAGAACGCTCTTTTCTATTTCTATAAAGACTTTGTTTGGTATTTTGATAGAGATTGCATTAAATCTGTAGGTTGTTTTGGGGTAGTATGGACATTTTAACAATATTGATTCTTCCAATCCATAAACATGGAATGTCTTTCCACTTTTTGGCGTCCTCTCCAATTTCTTTCATAAGTGGTTTACAGTTTTCATTATAGAAATCATTTACTTCTTTGGTCAAATTAATTCCTAGGTATTTAATTTTATTTGTGGTTATTGTAAATGGGGTTACTTTTTATCTTATTTTCAGATTGTTCACTGTTGTCATATAGAAATGCTACTGATTTTTGTGTGTTGATTTTGTACCTTGCAACTTTGTTCAATTTGCTTATCAGTTCTAATAGTCTTTGTGTGTTTGTGTGGAGTCTAGGTTTTTCCAAATATAAGATCATATCATCTTCAAATAAGGATAATTTGACTTCTTCCTTTCCAATTTGGATGCCCTTTATTTCTTTCTCGCACGTCATTGCTCTAGCAACTATTTCCAGTACTATGCTGAATAATAGTGGTGAAAGTGGACATCCTTGTCACGTTCTAGATTGTACAGGAAAGGCTTTCAGTTATTCTCCATTCAGTATATTAGCTGTGAGTCTGTTGTATAAGGCTTTATGTTGAGGTATATTTCTTCTATAACCAGTTTTTGAGGGTTTTAACATGAAGGGATGTTGAATGTTATCAAATGCTTTTCCAGCATCAGATGAAATGACTTTATGGTTTTTGTCCTTCATTCTGTTGATAGGATATATCACATTGATTGATTTGCATATATTTAACCATCCTTGCATCTCTAATAAATCCCACTTGGTCATACTAAATGATGTCTCTAATGTGTTGAATACAGTTCACTAGTATTTTGCTGAAGATTTTTACATCAATATTCATCAGAGTTATTGACCAGTAGTTTTTTTTTATGCATCTTTGTCTGATTTTGAAATAAGGGTAATACTAACCTATAGAATGAGTTGGGAAGTATTCCCTCATCCTCTGTTTTTCAGAATGGATTGAGTGGGATCGGTATTAGTTGTTCCTTAAATGTTTGGTAGAATTCAGCAGAGAAGCCATCAGATCCCAGGCTTTTCTTTACTGGGGGACTTTTTATTGTGGCTTTGTTCTCATTACTTTTTATTGGTCTGTTCGGGTTTTGCATTTCTTCATGGTTCATTCCTGGTAGGTTTTATGTGTCTAGGAAATTGTTCATTTCTTCTAGATTTTCCAACTTATTGGCATATAGTTTCTTATAGTAGCCACTAATGGTCCTTTGAATTGCTGCGATGTCAGTCATAACATTTCCTTTTTCATCTCTGATGTTATTTGTCTCATCTCTTTTTTTGCATAATTAGTCTAGTTAAAGATTTGTCAATTTTATTCAACTTTCAAAAACTAACTTTTGTTTATCTTTTTTTATTGTTTCATTTCAATTTTATTAATTTCAGGTATAATCTTTAAATGTCTTCTGATTATTTGGTTTTTGTTTGCTCTTCCTTTTCTAGTTTTTTAAAATGCGTCATTTGAAGCTTTTCTTCCTTTTTGATGTAGGCACTTAATAGTGACAGACTTCCCTCATAGTACTGCTTTTGCAGTATCCTGTAGGTTTTGATATGTTGTTTTAATTATCATTTGTCTCTAGAAAAATTTCAGTTTCCTTCTGAATTTCTTCATTGACCTACTGCTCATTCAGGATCATATTGTTTGATTTCCATGTATTCGCATAGTTTCTAAAATTTCTTTTTATTGATTCCTAGTTTATACCATTGTAGTCAAAGAAGATGCTTGATATTACTTCAAGTTTTTGAATGTTTTATTACTTATTTTGTGACTTAATTTATGGTCTATCCTTGAGAAAGATCCATGTGCTGAGGAAAAGAATGTGTATTATGCAGCTCTCGGATGAAACATTTTGTAAAAAATCTATTAGGTTCATTTGGTTTATAGTGCAGATTAAGGTTGATGTCTCTTTATTTTCTATATGGAAGATCTGTTTAATGCTGGAAGTGAGGTGTTGAAGTCTCCAACTGTTATCATATTCAGGTCTATCTCACTCTTTAGCTCTGATAATATTTGCTTTATATATCTTGGTGCTCCAGTGTTGGGTGCATATATATTTAAAATTGTTATATTCTCTTCCTGAATTGAGCCCTTTATCATTATATAGTGACCTTGTTTCTCCTTAGAATTTTTGTCTTGAAATCTATTTTGTCTGACATAAATATAGCTACTCCTGCTCTTTTTTAGTTTCCATTAGCATGGAATATCTTTTTCCTTCCCGTTATTTTCAGTCTGTGTGTCTTTATAGGTGAAGTGTGTTTCTTTTAGGCAACAGATGATTGGATTTTGTTTATTTAAACATTTATTTTCAGTTTGGGAGCACATGTAAAGTTTTGTTATATAGGTGAATTCGTGTCGTGGGGGATTGTCGTACTGATTACTTTATCACCCTGGTATTAAGCCTGATACCCAATAGTTACTTTTTCTGCTCCTCTCTCTCCTCCTACCCTCCATCCTGAAGTACACCCTGCTGTTTGTTGTTCCCTTCTTTCTGTTCATGAGTTCTCATCATTTAGCTTCCACTTAATGTGAGAACATATAGTATTTGGTTTCCTGTTCCTGTGTTAGTTTGCTAAGGATAATACCTTCCAGCTTCATCCATGTTTTCACAAAATACATGATATTTTTCTTTAGCCAATCTATGTCTTTTGTTTGAAGAGTTTAGTCCATTTATAATAAATGTTATTGTTGATAAGGACTTCTGCCATTTTGCTATTTTTTTTTTCTGAATGTTTTGTGGTCTTCCTTCCTTCTTCCCATCTTCCATTTAGTGAGGGTGATTTGTTCTGGTGATGATTTAATTTCTTGTTTTTATTTTTTGCGTATCAATTGTATTTTTCTCTTTTCTTGGCTTGAGAGTACTATGAGGCTTTCAAATACTATGTAACAACCCATTATTTTAAGCTGATGACAATTTAACACTGTTTATTATACAAAGAAAACTGATACAGACTCTTCTACCCCTTAATTTCCTCCCTCTGCTTTTTAACTTTTTTGTTTATATCTTACTATACTGTCTTCAAAATTTGTTGTAGTTATTTTTGATGGATTCATTATTTAGCCTTTCTACTTTAGATAGTAGTTTACACACCAAAGTTACAGTATTACAACATTCTGTTTTTCTGTGTACTTACTATTGCTAGTGAGTTTTGTACCCTCAGATGATTTCTTATTGCTCATTAACAATCTTTCCTTTCTGTTGAGGTACTCCATTTAACATTTGTTGTAGGACATGCCTGGTGTTGATGAAATCCCTCAGCTTTTGTTTGCCTGGGAAAGTCTTTATTTCTTCTTCGTGTTTGAAGATATTTTCACGTCTATACTACTCTAGGATAAAAGATTTTTCCTTCAGTACTTTAAATATGTCATGCCACTCTCCCTGACCTGGAAGGATTTCACTGAAAAGTCCGCTGACAGACATATTGGAGCGCCATTGTATATTATTTGTTTCTTTTATATTGCTGCATTTACAATCTTTGTCCTTGATCTTTGAGAATTTGATTAATAAATGCCTTGAGGTAGGCTTTTTGGGTTAAGTCTGCTTGGTAGATCTATAACCTTCTTGCATTTGAATGTTGAATTTTAAAAATTCTCTGTTATTATTTCTTTAAATAAACTTTTGATCTCTATCTCTTTCTCTGCTTTCTCTTTAAGGCCAATACCTCTTACATTTGCCCTTTTGAGGCTATTTTCTAGCTTCTGTAGCTGTGCTTCATTGCTTTTTATTTTTTTTTCTCCTCTTTGTATTATCAAATAGCCTATCTATCTTCAACCTCACTAATTCTTCTGCTTGATCAAGAGACTCTGATGCATTCTTCAGTATACAAACTGTTTTTTGCAGCTCCAGAATTTCGCTTTTTATTTATTTCAATCTCTTTGCTTAATTCATGTGATAGAATTTTGAATTTATTCTCTGTGTTATCTTGAATTCCTTTGAGTCTCTTCAGAACAGCTATTTTGACTTTTCTATCGGAAAGAGCATATGTCTGTTTCTCCAGTATTGGTCCTTGGTCCTTATTTAGTTCATTTGGTGAGGTAATGTTTTCTTGGATTGTCTTGATACTTGCAGATGTTTGTGTCTGGGCATTGAAGAGTTAGGTATTTATTGTAGTTTTCATAGTCTGGGTCTGTTTGTACCCATTCTTCATGGGAAGACTTTCCAGATACTCAGAAGAAATTGAGTGTTGTGATCTAAGCCTGAACTGCTTTAGGTCTTGGACAATATCTGGGAGAATTCTCTGGATTATTGGGCAGCAACTCTTGTTCCCTTCCCTTACTTTCTCCCAAACAGATTCCGTCTCTCTGTTCTGAGCCACATGGAGCCAGAGGTAGAGTCACACAAAGCTCCCCTAAGGCCACCATCACTAGGACTGTGCTGAGTCAGACCTGAAGCCAATACAACACTTGATCTCACCCAGTGCCTGTAGTAACTGCTCCTTGGCTACTGCCTATGTTTGTTCAAGGCCCTAGGGCTCTACTATCAGCAAGTGGCAAAGCTAGCCCAGCCTTTTTCTTTCTCTTTGGGGGAGCAAGTTTCCCCAGACCCCAGGTAGGACCAGAGGTGCTATCAGGGAGCCAGGGACTAGATTCAAAAACCTTAGAAGTCTTACTGGTATTCTGTTGTACTGCAGCTGAACTGGCACTCAAACCACAAGATTCAGTCTCTCCCACTGTTCCCTCCCCTTTCCAAATGCAGAGGAGCCTTGCTCCATGGCCACCACCAGCAAAGGCCCATGGGAAATACTGCCAGACTACCAGCAGTGTTTCCTTAAGGCCTAAGAACTCTTCACTCAGCTTGTGGTGAATGCTGCCTGGCGTGGGACTCACCCTTCAGGGCAGCGGGTTCCCTTCTGGCCCAGGGCAGGTTCAGAAATGTCACCCAAGAGGCAAGACCTGGAATCAGGGACCCCAAGAGTTTGCTTGGTGCTCTACCCCTCTGTGACTGAGCTGGTACCTATGGTGCAAGATAAAATCCCTTTTACCTTTCCCTGTGCTTTTCTCAAGCAGAAGGACTCTCTCTCACCATAGACATCAAAGCTGGGAATGTGCTGAATTTCACCTGAAGTCAGCAAGTCTGTCTCACCCAAGGCCCTCAACATAGTACTTGCTTATTGCTGCTGGTTCTTCAAGGTCCAAATGCTCTTCAGTTAGCAGGTGATAAATCCTGTCAGAACTGCCTCCTTCCCTTCAAGAAAGTAAGTTCCCTTCTGGCCCAGGGTGTGTCTAGAAATGTCTTCCAGGAACTAAAGCCCAGAAAGGAGGCCTCACCACTCTGATACCCTATCCTGCTGGTATCCAAGATGCAAGACCAAGTCCTCCCCATCCTTCCCTCTCCTCACCTCAAGCAGAAGGAAGGGGTCTGTTTTAGAGCCATGAGGTGTGTAGCCTTGGATTATGGGAGGGGTGATGCCAGCACACCCTTAGCCACCCCACCTTGTTTCTCAGTAGGTTGCATGCCCCCTTCACATGGTGCGCTGGCCCTAAGTTCAGTTCAGCATTAGGACTTGCCTTGCAGTTGCTATCCTTGTGGTCTACCTTGCCTTTCAAGTTTACTTAGGGCTCCAGAGTACTTTCACCTGCTATGATGAGGCTTTTGTGGGAAGTTAAGTTCTGACCACTAAGATCTGTGATTTGCCTCTGGCTAGGGGTTGTTTGAATGCTCCCTCAGTGGCAAGGCACCCCCTGAGTTTGGTCTGGGTTTTCTTTCTGCTTTAACAGGGCAGTCCTGGATTCAGTGCCTCGCATTTGTGGTGCTCTCCCTCTCCCCATTGCAAGGAAACACTCTCTGCACCATGCTGCCCCTGCCAGGGGATGGGAGACGGATGGTGTCAGTGATTTAAGATTTCTTTCCTACCTAAGTGCCTCTTTCAGGAATATAAAGTTAAAACCAGGTACTGTGAATACTAACCTGATTTTTGTGGTTCTTATGAAGGTGCTTTTTTTGTGTAGACAGTTGTTAAATTGGTGTCTTTGTGTGAGAGACAATTGGTGGAGCCTTCTTTCTCTGCCCCAACTCCCTATAGGGTATTTAGTAGCATTCCTGGTCCATACTAATTAGATGAAAGTAGCAACTGCTTTCACCCTCATTTGTTGCAATTAAAAATATCTCCAAACATTGCCAAATGTCTTCCCAGAGGAAAAATCAACACTGGCTTAGAATGACTATTGTAGATATATTTTATAGGCAAAGCCAAAAAAAAAAAAAAAAAGGACTGGAAAGAGATGTGTCCAGTGTGATGCATTAATTGGAAGACAGTTAAACTTTTGTCACTATCAGACAAAGCAAATAATCCAGGGTGTGTTGGTGAGCATTGTTCAATGAGGTAACCCAGGAAACAGCTTTCGGGGGTGGAAGCATTGCCATACCAAATATATCTGATTTATTAGGTAGCTCACAAGAACTGAAACAAATTTTTAACTTGTAGAAAGGCCAAAGAACATATGAAGATTAAACAACATCAATTTTAAGAACACAAAGCTCAAATTGCATGCTTCACTTTCATTCCTCTCTCAATGGAGAAAACCTAGCCATATGGCTACATGAAGTGACAAGAGTTTTGCAATTTACTCTCAAGCTGGAAATACATGTAGGCAGTCAAAATGTGGGTAAAGAAAAGTCTATAACTAAATAAAAGTTTTGATAATGAGGGATAATTTGCTGTCTCTTCCAACAATGTCTTAAAATTTTTGTCTGATCAACTAAAAGAATCCTGTTTCCTTCCTAGGAAAAACTACTGGTAGAATATGTTTATCAAAGGTAGTAATGGTGCAGGGAAAGGCCAGGAGTTCAGTTTTTGAACATATTAAGTTTAAGATGCTTGTTTGACATCTAAATGGGGAGTGTTTTGAAAGAATGACCCAAATAATTTAGGATAGAGTTTTAAATTTCAGAACATGAGCTTGTGAAATGGATAAGCTCACCAAAGGGCTGTGTGTTTATGACTAAAGGATTCTAATAAGTCTTAGGATCCTCTGATGCTTCTAATTGAGGAAGATGAGAAAGAATTAACACATGAAACTGAGAAGTAGCAGTAAGTAGAATGGAAATTATTGTAGTGTCCCAGAAGCTTAGTGAAAAGTGCTTTAAGGAAAATAAAATGATCAATTATGTTAAACCCTGCTAAGTCAGTATGAAGAACTAACCATCATGATCTTAGAGCAATTTTGGTGGCATGGTGATTTTGAAAAGGAAGTAAGAGAAAATATGAAAAGAGAACTGGAAACAACTGTCATGGTTACTTATCCAAGGATTTATACTGCAATCAGAGCAGAGAAATGGAACAGATGTCTCAGGGTGGGGGTGGGGGCAGTAAAGAGGTTTTATAATCCAATAAATGCTATAAAATGTTTGAATATTCATATGAAATATCCAAAAAAGGGAAAATTTATAACTTTTGCTATTTTTCCCAGTACCTCAAAACTGAACTAGCTTGAGTTCTGTTATAAACACCATTTTATTCATTCTTTTTATTTAAAAAGTTATACGTTATAAAAATTTGTATTTTCATTTAGAAAATGAAATACATAAAACTTTTCTATTTTGAATTCTATGTAATATTATTTGAAATAGTAAGATTGACATTCCATCAATATATGCTAGCATGCCCATCAACCACTAAACATTTTCCCCTAATCTGATAATCTTTGGATCTAGCTATATGCTGCTTACAACAGACAAAATCATAAAAACACAGAAAGGATGAATGTTAAAGAATAGAAAAAGAGATAACAAACTATGCAGTCATAAAAAAGGATGCATTCATGTCCTTTGCAGGGACATGGATGAAGCTGGAAACCATCATTCTTGGCAAACTATCACAAGGACAGAAAACCAAACACTGCATGGGAGTTGAACAGTGAGAGCATGTGGACACAGGGCAGGGAACATCACACACCAGGGCCCGTTGGTGGGTAGGGGACTGGGGGAGGGGTAGCATTAGGAGAAATACCTAATATAAGTGATGAGTTGATGGGTGCAGCAAACCAACATGGCACATGTATACATATGTAACAAACTTGCACATTGTGCACATGTACCCTAGAACTTAAAAGCATAATGAAAAAAAAGATAACAAGCAAATATTAACAAAATAAAGACTGGCATAACTATATTAATATAAAAACTAAGACAAAATCCATATTGACAGATTTAAAAAGGTGAATAAATAATGAAAACAATTCAAAATGTTAGCCTCAAAAATAGATAGCAAAAATTGACTAAAATGCAAGGAAACAGACAAATGCGTCATAAAAATTTTAATAAAATACCTCAGTAATTCATAGAATATGTGTACACACACAAACTTCATCTAATGGCTATAAATGGAACACTACACCTAATAAATGAGAACATATTTTGTAAAGCACAAATGGAACATTTGTTAAGTAAAGTATTGACCACATACTATACCTGCAAATTTTAAGTGTTAAAATCTGACCACAATTAAGTTAGATATCAATATTAAAAATTGTTAAAAAAAATATTCCATTTTTTGAGAAATTTAAAAATAATATAGTTCTAAATAATATGTGGGTCAAAGAAGATAAACCAGTGACCTTTTTTGATTAAATGATGTCTATTAGTATGCTGTTTATTTAGTCTTTTTTAAACTTTTTTTTTTTTTTTTTTTTGGAGACAGAATCTTACTCTGTCAGTCACCCAGGCTGGAGTGCACTGGCACAATCTTGGCTCACTAAAACCACCACATCCAGGCTCAAGTGATCCTCCTGTCTCAGCCACTGAGTAGCTGGGATTACAGGCACACGCCACCGCACCCAGATAATTTTTGTATTTCTAGTAGATACAGGGTTTCATCATGTTGGCCAGGCTGATCTCTAACTCCTGACCTCAAGCGATCAGAACAGTTTTGAAAAATAAGAACAAATTGAGGCCAAGTGCAGTGGCTAATGCCTGTAATCCCAGCACTTCGGGATGCTGAGGTGGGCAGATCACTTGAGGTCAGGAGTTTGAGACCAGCCTGGCTAACATGGTGCGGTGGCTCACACTTGGCCATTTTTTAACATCATCTTAGAAAAGACTAATATATGTAACAAATCTGTGGCATGAATAAGAAAAAAGAAAAAAATCAACATTAGATATAAAAAATATACTAAAGACATATTTTTAAAGTAAAATAAAATAAACATAAGTAATTAGTGTTAAAAGCAAATGCTTTAGCAATAAATTTGAAAGCTTGTTACATTTTAGAATAATGCAATTTATTTCAACAGGCTCAAAAAGATATAGCAAAAAAGAATATCCTATATCTATTTAGGAAATCAATAAAAAATCCATAGGAGTGAGTTTCTCTCTCCTCCAAATGAAAATCTGGACCCATATAATTTTAGTGGTGAGTTCTTATATCCATTCAAAAAATTAATCCCAAAACAATATAAGTAAGTTCTTCTATAGAGCAGGCAATTAAGGAACAGAAAATCAATGAGGCTACTACTACTATAACTTTGATACCCAAAACAAATGAGGTAATAAGGGAGTATAAAATTATTATCCCATCTAATTTTAAAAACACAGATGGAAATAGCTCACATAAAATATTAACGCACTGAATTTTGCATAATATTAAAAAAATCATCTTGGCCAAATTGATATTTTTTTCCAGGAAATGTAGGGAAAACATTAAATACAAAGGTATCTAACATTAGAAAAATTGATGAATGCAATTCCTGGTTAAGTGACATAATTCCTAGTTGCTTTAATAAACCTTCTAGATTTTAAAATTATAGAAATGACAGACCATAGGTAAAAAGAAAGCAGTAACTACTGTGTTGGTATCATGAGTTACACTGATACAATTTATGATTTTGTAATATCCTCACGTTACAAAATACAACTGTATTTTGTAGAGAAGTTTTTAACTATGCTTACATATGAAATGGATTGTGAATTTATCTCTTGTAATTCATTGAATTTAAGTTTCAAATATACAACAGTATCACAACAGTATTTTGATATCCTGTATCCAGAAACACCTTTTTTAAAGCATTATCTATGCATGCGACAGTTGCTAAAACTCATCTGCAGAACCATGTTTGGCTGATGCTATCTTGGAAATGCTTTCCATTACCAAGCCAAGGTTTTCAAGAGGATTTGGTCTATCTATCTGAGTTTTCTTGTGCCAATTTTTGCATTTCATATATTCCCCCCAAAAATGTTTCTTTTCCACCTATCATTTTAATTATTACTATATGACTGTTAATACTATCTTTAAAATAACTTACAACTTCTGCTACTTTATAGCAATTCATTTTATATTTTCTTTTATTTTTCTGTTTATTTCTCAATCTCAAAACAATTGTCTTTTATTAATGTTTTCGAAAGTACCAAATTTATGTTGTAAAATAAGACAAAGTGTCTATTTTTCAAATGCTTTAAATTATTCAGCATTTTTGTTTTTACAAAACAAGATTGGCTGAAATGATAAGTCACATAAGTCTCTAGCATACACTTTACAAAGTAAAGTGACATAAATACCATAAAAACAGACTACAAAATGAAAACTATTATAAGGATGCTATTATTTATTCTCCAAAAAATAGGAATCATGAAACTTCATGCACTTAACATTATAGATTTGAAATAATATATACAGCTAAAACTGACAGGGACTACTAGAAAAATAATAATTATATTACAAAAATATATAAATCTAAGAAATAGACAAATCAAATAGACCTCAATTGAGCAAGAATAAAGAAGATTTAAATAACGTTCTTAAGATTTATCTGACAGATAGGCCTGTACCCAATAGAGAATATATTCTCATTTAAATGTATGTTGGACATTAATAAAAATTGACTACAATGTAAATATAAAATTCCAAAACCTTGATACATATAAGTGACATTTATGTAACAAAATCAAATAACATTTGTAATCCACAGAAAGATAGGATCTCTCATGTAAATGTAGGTCAGGGTATTGTTAGCTGATCTAGGTTAGCCTCTTTGAGGGTAACTAAAATTACTTGGTTTTGCTCCACATATTTCATTCACCAGGGAGCTAACTCAGGCATGTTCTCATTATAATAGCAGAATGTGAGAGAGTCAGAAGAAGACATGCAATGCCACTTGAGGCTAGGCTGGGAACTGATACACTGTTCATTTCTATCTTATTTTATTGGCCAAACCAAGATAAAGGTCAAACCAAGATTTAAGGGATAGGGAACTAGACTGCACACCTCTTTATTGAGAGGAGTTAGGAAGTCATATGGCAAAGGATGCATATAGGGAAGGGTAAAGAATTGAGATGATTAATACAATCATTCTTCCATGTGAAGACTAGGAAAGACAGGTAGTGTGGGTCTTAGCAACTAGTAGGTCCATGCAATGCTTGTAGAAATAATATGAGAAAGATTATCTATATGTAACTTCCCCAAAACAAATATTACACAATAGGATGGAAGATTATGGGGAAACACTTTCTTCTCTGGACAAATAACACAAAGATTTTTGTAAAGCTAAACAAATGAAAAATCCAGAATTTGTCACAAATTACAGAATACTATCTTGATAAAGCATTAACACATAGGTATTAATATGATTTCTAGTTACTCTACTAATATTTCTCTTTTCCTTTATGCTTTCCACTTACTTTTCTCTCAAAGAACAGTGAAGGAACTTTAAACATACCATGATATTTTAGTTTTTTCAGGAAAAAAGTTATTCAAACTGCTTCAGAGTATTCCATGAACAGTAACAGGTTTTCATTGTTGACATATCTATGACTTTATTAATAATAATGTTGTCCCTTCTAGGGGAAATATCTACCTTTAGCTTGGTTTCTTCATCATTTAATTAAAATCTCTGCAGCAAAAGCTTTGTGCATGGTATGGTTAGAATAGGAGAAGTACTGAATGTGCTCACTGAGTACTGTGAATCAATAAAGAATTTTAATAATGGGTGATGAATATAATAGTATCACATAATGGTTTCACTATATTTCATGACACTTCCACCTATGTATTCTTGATTAGTCTTCATTTATGCCATGCCTCAATTCAAAAAGGATTTGAAGTCTTGAATAATCTCTATTTATTAAAGTATTTGACAACATTAAGAGCCCATTGTTTTATGATTAACTACTGATATTTAACACTAGAAAGAAAGGAAAAAAGAATTGTCATTCATCCCTGTGCTATATCATAATATAAATAAAAGAATGCAAAGTGAGGTTGTGAAAAAAGTCCTAACGTAATATGAAAGAGTGTTTTTGGTTAAAATTGGGACTCTCTATACAGGAGAATTGTTAATTTCATGCCCTCTGAAATATCAAAATAAATGAATTATACTCTAGTTACATGTAAAAAATACTTTGCTTTTAGAAAAAAAATTTTAACACCCTGCATAAAAGATTAATAGATATAGCCAAGTGCATCTGGCAATGTGAGTATAGTACCTGTTCCAAATGCCAGCTGGATTTGTAATTACATCTTTGGAGAGTTTGAAGACCTGAATGGCTGCACTGGATATAGTATATATGATTTCCTGACAGCTAGTGCTACTTATCAAATATTAACTATCCTTTAAGTAGAGATACTATTTTATATATACTATATTTAACATATATATGAGAGAAGATAAATATCCTTCTATTAAATTAATTCTCATCATATAAATATAATTAAGGGGGTCTTCAAGATGTCTGACTAGAGGTATCCAGTACTTGCCTCTTCCACAAAGAGCAACCAAAATAGCAAGTCAATAATCACACTTAAAATAGCCTGAGAGAAAACACTGGAATTCAACAAAGAAATGACAGAAAACACCTGAGGCATGAATGGAAAGGGAAGCAGTGCAACCAACTTGGCTAGGATTGGCTGGCAGCCAGCAAGGCTCCCCAGTATGGGGGAAGCAGAGATACCAGCAGTCTACATTCCCACCATGGACTTTTGTGATCCTAGCCACAGAAGAGGCCCTATACCCAAATACAGGCCCTGAGATAAGTAGTATAGCAAGCTTCCTCTAGTCTATACAATGGTGTTGCTTCAAATAGGGAATTCACACTGAGTCCCACACACCTCCTGAGACCTAAACAGCTGCAGTATGTTGCCATTTTGAGAGCCCAGACATCATTCAGCTCTGGGGCCCAATGGTCCCTGCATCTGCACATCCCTGGAAACCTCCACTAACATCCTTCCATGTCCATCCAGAAGGCTATAGTGGCATGATGACAGCTGGACCCAGCAGTGTAGCAGGATTCCCCAGCGCCATAACCCTCACTGTGTCCTATACCCTAGGGAATGGTCTGTGCAGTGCCTCAGGGAGGCTGTCCTCAGGACAAAGGGAGCCAAAGTGCATACTCCCCAGAGCCTGAAAGCTGCCTGCCTGGGTCCACTGCCAATAAAAGCAACACCCACGTCCCCAGCAGCAGGGCTACAGAACATTTGTGTGTGTCGCAAAGACAGTCCCTCCCTGCCCACTGCTGCTGCTACCTGAGTATGCTGCCCAGGGTCTTAGGGATTGCCCCACCAACCACAGCCTGTAGCCATGTACACCAGTAGGGAATCTAAGAACAGGCTTACCTGGCCTGGCACCACCCTCCAGTGCCTAAGCATGACACTCTGGGACTTGGGCTTTACCCTGTCCTGTATATCATTCTGGGCATGCATGCACACCAACAGGAGGCCTAACAACAGGCCAAGAACACCTGCCGCTGGTGGCAAAGCACACCATCTGGGATACTGAGGATTTCCCTGCCACATCCAGGGCTGGCTAACCTAGCCTCCTACTGTTGCTGCCACCACTGGCACCCAGATAGATAACCTGCCTTATATTTTGCAGCCATCATCACCACCAGTAGATGCTGCTTAGGAACCTGAGGATTTTCCTGCCACTTCTACTGCCATATCCCATGCCGTGCATGTTGCCCGGGAATCCAAAAACCAAGCCCCTGCCTGGACCACTACTGCCACTGTTGGCATCTGAGAAAGCCACCTGGAGGCCTAAGAATTGGCTCACCTCAAGCTGCTAACAGTAGTGCCCACCTGGGGGCCCAAAGACAAACAGGCTTGGCCTGCCGCTGCCACTATGGGGCCAGAGGACTAGTCCACCTCATGTCTCCATCCCCACCTCAGGCTTGGAAAAGCCTCAAATCTGCCAAGAACCCTATGCCCAGTAATATGGTTTGACTGTGTTCCCACCCAAATCTCATCTTGAATTCCCATGTGTCATGGGAGGGAGCCAGTGGGAGGTAATTGAATCATGGAGATCATGGGGGTGGGTCTTTCTCATGCTGTTCTCGTGATAGTGAATAAGTATCACGAGATCTGATGGTTTTATAAAGAGGAGTTCCTCCCTACAAGTTCACTCTCTTTGCCTGCCTCCATCCATGTAAGGCCTGACTTGTTCTTCCTTGCCTTCTACCATGATTGTTGGGCCTCCCCAGCCACGTGGAACTGTAAGTCCATTAAATCTCACTTTCTTCCCAGTCCTGGGTACATCTTTATCAGCAGCATGTAAACAGACTAATATAGTAAATTGGTACCAGTAGAGTGGGACGCTGCTGAAAAGATACCCAAAAATGTGGAAGTGACATTGGAACTGGGTAACAGGCAGAGGTTGGAACAATTTGGAGGGCTCAGAATAAGACAGGAAAATGTGGGAAAGTTTGGAACTTCCTAGAAACTTGTTAAATGGCTTTGAGCAAAATGCTGATAATAAGGACAATGAAATCCAGGCTGAGGTGGTCTCAGATGGAGATGAGGAACTTGCTGGGAACTGAAGTAAAGGTGACTATTGCTATGTTTTAGCAAAGAGACTGGCAGTATTTTGCCCTGCCCTAAAGATTTGTGCAACTTTGAACTGGAGAGAGATGATTTAGGGTATCTGGAAGAAGAAATTTCTAAGCAGCAAAGCATTCAAAAGGTGACTTGAGTGCTGTTAAAGCCATTCAGTTTTATAAGAGAAGCAGAATGTTAAAGTTCAGAAAATTTGCTGCCTGACAATGTGATAGAAAAGAAAATCCCATTTTCTGAGGAGAAATTCAAGCTGGCTGCAGAAATTTATATAAGTAATGAGGAGCCAAATGTTAATCACCAAGACAATGGGGAAAATGTCTCCAGGGCATGTCAGAGGTCTTCACAGCAGGCACCCCCAACATCACAGGCCGGAGGCTTAGGAGAAAAAATTGTTTCATGGGCCAGGCCCAGGGTCTCTGTGCTGTGTGCAGTCTAGGGACTTGGTGCCCTGTGTCCCAGCAGCTCCAGCCATGGCTGAAAGGGGCAAAGGTAGAGATTGGGCCATGGCTTCAGAGGGTGCAAGCTCCAAGCCATGGCAGCTTCCATGTGGTGTTGAGCCTGCAAGTGCACAGAACTCAAGAATTGGGGTTTGGGAACCTCTGCCTAGATTTCAGAGAATGTATGGAAATGCCTGGATGTCCAGGCAGAAGTTTGCTGCCAGGGTGGGGCCTTCATGGAGAACCTCTGCTAGGGCAGTGTGGAATGGAAATGTGAGATTGAAGCCCCCACACACAGTCCCTACTGGGGCACTGCCTAGTGTAGCTGTGAAAAGAGAGGTACCGTACTCCAGACCAGAATGGTAGATCCACTGACAGCTTGCACCATGCACCTGGAAAAGCCACAGACACTCAACTCCAGCCCATGAAAGCAGCCAGGAGTGAGGCTGTACCCTGCAAAGCCACAGGGGCAGAGCTTCCCAAGACCGTGGGAACCCATCTCTTGCATTGGTGTGATCTGAATGTGAGGCCTGGAGTCAAAGGATATCATTTTGGAGCTTTCAGATTTGACTGCCCCACTGGATTTTGGACATGTATGGGGCCTGTAGCCCTCTTCTTTTGGCCAATTTCTCCCATTTGGAATGGCTGAATTTACCAAATGCCTGTACCTCCATTGTTTCTAGGAAGTAACTAACTTCCTTTTGATTTTATAGGCTCATAGGTGGAAGCGCCTTGCCTTTTCTCAGATGAGACTTTGGACCGTGGACTTTTGAGTTGATGCTGAAATGAGTTAAGACTTTGAGGGACTGTTGGGGAGGCATTATTGGTTTTGAAATATGAGGACATGGGATTTGAGAGAAGCCGGAGCAGAATAATATGGTTTGGCTCTGTCCCCACCCAAATCTCACCTTGAATTCCCATGTGCTGTGAGAGGGACTCAGTGAGGTAATTGAATCACGGAGATCATGGGGCAGCTCTTTCTTGTGCTGTTCTCATGATAGTGAATAAGTCTCATAAGATCTGATGGTTTTATAAAGAGGAGTTCTCCTGCACAAGCTCTCTCTCTTTGCCTGCCTCTATCCATGTAAGATGTGACCTGCCCCTCCTTGTTTTCCACCATGATTGTGAGGCCTCCCAGCCATGTGGAACTGTAAGTCCATTAAGCCTCATTTTCTTGCCAGTCTCAGGTACATCTTTATCAGCAGCAAAAGCATTCCCAAGAGGGACATTTATAGCAATAGAACCTACATCAACAAAGTAGAAAGATTTCAAATAAATGATCTTAAGGATGCATCTCAGGGAACTCAAAAAGCAAGAACAAACCTAACCCAAAATTAATAGGTAGAAAGAAATAGCAAAGATTCCTCTCTACCAAAGTGAACCAGAAAGAAATAAAAAATCTGAAAAGACCAATAATGATTAATGAAATTGAATCATAATCAAAAGTCTCCCAAGAAAGAAAAGCCTAGATTCTGATGCCTTCACTGCTGAATTCCATCAAACTTAAGAAGGACTACTACTAATTATTCTGAAACTATTCCCAAAAAACTGAAGAAGAGAAAATTCTCCCTAACTCATTTCATGAGGTCAGAATTACCCTGATTCTAAAACAAGACAAGGACACAACAAAAGCAACCTACAGGTCGATATCCCTGATGAACATAGATGAAAAAATTTCTTATCAAAATACTATTATACTGAATCCAACAGCATATAAAAAAGATAATACTTTCTTATCAAGTGGGATTCATCCCAGGGATAAAATGATTGATAGATCAATATCTGCAAATCAGTAAACACAATTCATCACATCAATAGAATGAAGAAGAAAACCAAATATCTCAATAGATGCAGAAAAGCATTTGATAAAACTCAATGTCTCTTCATGATAAAAACTCTCAACAAACTAGGCATATATGGATCATACCTCAACATGATAAAGGGCCATATAAAACAGACCCACAACTGACATAGTGAATGAGGAAAAGATCAAAGCTCCTTTTCTCTAAGAACTGGAAAAAAGATGAAGATGACTATTTTTGCCAGCCCTATTCAACATAGTAGTACTTGAAGTACTAGCCAGAGAAATCAGGCAAGAAAAAGACATCCAGATAGAAATAAAGGAAGTCAAATTGTCCCTCTTTGCAGATGAGTTGATCTTATATTTAGAAAAACTGGCCAGGTGCGGTGGCTCATGCCTGTAATCCCAGCACTTTGGGAGGCTGAGGTGGGCAGATCATGAGGTCAGGAGATCGAGACCATCCTGGCTAACATGGTGAAAACCCATTTCTAATAAAAATACAAAAAATTAGCCGGGCGTGGTGGTGGGCACCTGTAGTCCCAGCTACTCGGGAGACTGAGGCAGGAGAATCACGTAAACCCGGGAGGCAGAGCTTGCAGTGAGCCAGAATTGCGCCACTGTACTCCAGCCTGGGTGACAGAGTGAGACTCTGTCTGAAGGAAAGGAAAGGAGAGGAGAGGGGAGGGGAGGGAGAACGTAAGCACTCCTCCAAAAAAACATAAATCTTAGATCTGACTTAAAAATTTAGTCAAGTTGCAGAATACAAAATCAACATACAAAAATCAGTGATGTTTCTAAACACCAGTAATGAACTAGCTGAAATAAATCAAGAAGGAAATACTATTTACAATAGGTACAAAAAATATGAAATACCTAGGAATAAATTTAACCAGGGATATTAAAGACCTCTGCAAGGAAAACTACAAAAACCCCATCTCTACTAAAAATACAAAAATTAGCCAGGCATGGTGGTGCACACCTGTAGTCCCATCTACTTGTGAGGCTGAGGCAGGAGAATCACCTGAACCGGGGATGCAAAGGTTGCAGTAAGCCAAGATTATGCCACTGCACTTCAGCTTGGGTGACAGAGTAAGACTGTGTCTCAAAAAAAAAAAAAAAAAATTGAAGAAGACACCAAAAATTAGAAAGACGTCCCATGTGCATGGATTGAAAGAATATTGTTAAAATGACCATATTGCCCAAAACAATCTACAGATTCCATACATACCACTTCAAAATACCAATGGCATTCTTCACAGAAATAGTAAAACATAAAGCCAAAATTCACATGGCACCAAAAAAGAGCCCAAATAGCCAAAGAAATTCTGATCAAAAAGAACAAAGCTGGAGTCCACACACTATCTGATATTCAAAATATATTACAAGGATATAGTAACAAAACAGCAAAGTATTGGTATAAAAACAGATATACAGACAATTGTAACAGAATAAAGAACTCAGAAATAAATTCACATAATTACAACTAACTGATTTTTGACAAATGTGCCAAGAACACACATTCAATAAATTACACTCTTTTCAATAAATGGTGGTGGGAAACTGGATATTCATATACAGAAGAATGAGACTAGTAACCTATCTCTTACCATATATAAAAATCCACTAAGATTAAAGATCTAAGCTTATGACCTAAAACTATAAACTACTAGATGAAAACATAGTGAAAACCCTCTAGGACATTGGTCAAGGCAAATATTTTATGGCTAAGACCTCAAAAGCACAGGCAACAAAAATAGACAAATGGGACTATATTAAACTAAAAAGCTTCTGCACAGCAAATGAGACAAAATTATGAAGAGACAACCTATTTAATGGGAGAAAATATTTGTAAACTATTCATCTGTCAAGGAACTAATGCCCAGAATAAACAATGAACTAAAAAATAGAAAAGTAAAACAATCCTATTAAAAAGTAGGCAAAGGACACATAAACAGATATTTCTGAAAAGGAGGCATACAAATGGCCAATAGGTATATTGAAAAATGCTCAGTATCATGAATCATTAGGAAAATGCAAATCAAAACCACAATAAGATATATATAATTTCTATAATTATTTACCATAAGATATTATTTCTATCACATTGCCTTTAACCAAAGATTGAAGACAGGTTCTAGAAAAGAATAAAGGGGAATAGCTCACAGGTTACAGAAAAATGTATGAGATAGTTTGATTAGTAGCCCTGTTATATCTCTGTCACCACAGCTACTGAACAAATGTTTCATTTAATCTATAAATCTATAATTGAGGAAGGAAAGCATTTCAATGGGACAGGTGAAAAAGGACAATCAATTCAAAATTAGATACAGAAGAATTTCTTTCAAAACCAGTATGCTGGATTCTCCTAATGCTAAGAAAAAGATTGTGAGTTGTAGATCTACAGTAAATTAAAAGGTAAAACATGACAATGATTTGCAAAAATATGTCTAAGAAAGTTGTGTTTTAACGAAAATTCAAGTGAAGGGAAGGTTTTATTTTTTTATTTATTTCTTTTCTCTTTTTTCTTTTTTTTTTAGATCGAGTCTTGCTCTGTTGCCCAGGCTGGAGTACAGTGGCATGATCTTGGCTCACTGGAACCTCCGCCTCCTGGGTTGAAGCAATTCTCCTGCCTCAGCCTTTCAAGTAGCTGGGACTACAGGCGCACACCACCATGCCTGGCTAATTTTTGTTATTTTAGTAAAGACGGGGTTTCACCATATTGGCCAAGCTAGTCTTGAACTCCTGACCTTGTGGTCCACCTGCCTTGGCCTCCCAAAGTGCTGGGATTACAGGCACGAGCCACCACACCTGGACAGTGAAAAGAAGTTTAAGCACCAAAGTGGTCTCCTTTGGGTCATGTGTCATCTTTCTCCAGTGTATTTGAAAAAGTAAGAGGGTTTGTCTCACAAGAACTCATCAGTTATCCCCATGACAGATCTCTGCTGACCCTCCTACTCCCTTCTCTGTGGTTGGTTACTTCTTACTTCACCCACAGAGTTCACATGGAATTTCAACCCTGGCTCTCGCTGACCCAGTGTGTGCCAATGCTGACCTCTCCAGAATGGAAATATGAAGATGGTACCATTTCTTTCAACCCTGAACTTCATTCTACATATAGAAACCTCCACTTTACTGAATGTTTGAAAATATCTAGAAAGCATTACAACTTAAGACGTATGGAGGAGGAAGAGGTTACCTTCAAAGTTATGCTAACTGTGACTCTCTTGGGAATCTAAGAAAAAAAATTAAAACTTTGCCTTCCACAAGAGAACGTCTCATGGGAAACTCCCTGTTTTTAGAGTTTATTTTTCTATGTGGAGATCTAATCTACATTCTTTCAGAGGTGGTCGTGTCCTTAATTCTTTGGTACAAATCTCCACCACTCTTCAGGAGGTCCTAGTTCCTTCCCTTCAGAGGGATCAGACCTACTCCTTAAGCCCTGTAGCTCATTCATTCCCCCAAATTGAATTCCTGAGTAGAGAATAGTAGTACGTCAAGGTGCTTCAGCAGGCGAGTATAGTAAGTACTTGGTACTAGACTCAGGAAACATCAGTCTAGTGTAGATTTTGAGAGCCAAACTATGGTCTGCTCTAAGTTTCTCCACCTTTGTGAGGTAAAGACATGCTTTCTTGGTCTCCTGGTAACAGCCAGAGTATATACATATGTATACATATGTATATATACCTATAAAATGTGTGTGTGTGTGTATATATATATATGTTTTAACTGTAGTTATACACACACACAATTCTCATAATATGAATGTAAAAAATAAAATGTTTTGATTTTAATTTCTCTAATGACCAGTGATGATGAGCTTTCTTTCATGTTTGTTGGATGCATAAATGTCTTCTTTTAAGAAGTGTCTGTTCATATCCTTTGCCCATGTTTTGATGGTGTTGTTTTTTTTCTTGTAAATTTGTTTAAGTTCTTTGTAGATTCTGGATACTAGTTCTTTGTCAGATGGATAGATTGCAAAAATATTCTCTCATTCTGTAGGTTGCCTGTTCACTCTGATGATAGTTTCTTTTGCTGTGCAGAAGCTTTTTAGTTTAATTAGATCACATTTGTCAATTTTGGCTTTTGTTGCCATTGCTTTCTGTGTTTTAGTCATGAAGTCTTTATTGTGGCACTGTTCACAATAGCAAAGACTAGGAAAACAACTGAAATGCCCATCAATGATAGGCTGGATAAAGAAAATGTGGCACATATACACCATGGAATACTATGAAGCCATAAAAAAGGATGAGTTCATGTCTTCCGCAGGGACATGGATGAAGCTGGAAACCATCATTCTCAGCAAACTAACACAAGAACAGAAAGCCAAACACCGCATGTTCTCACTCATAAGTGGGAGTTGAATGATGAAAACACATACATGGACACAGGGAGGGGAACAGCACATACTGGGGCCTGTCGGGGGGTGGTGGGCTAGGGTAGGGATAGCATTAGGAGAAATACCTAATGTAGATGACCTGTTGATGGGTGCAGCAAACCACCATGGCACATGTATACCTGTGTAACAAACCTGCATGTTCTGCACATGTACCCCAGAACTTAAAGTATAACAAAAAACAAATAAATAAAACGTATTTCTGTAAATTAAATGTTATTTTTACAACGAAGATATTATATAGGTTGAGTAAAGTTTATTTCCGTTCATTCGAACATTTCTTTCCAGACGATGCATAGAGCAGTATTTTTCAGTGTGCTTTGGGAACGCTTGGAGATCACCAGATCAAAATTATTTTAAAATATTAACAAACATTATTTGCCTTTTCTACTGTCATCATTTTATAAGCATACAGTTGAATTTTCCAGAGGCTAAATAGCATCCATTGCCATCATTGTTCTGATAGCCACTGGAATTTGTGTTGTGTATTCTTATGTCTTCCAAGATTTTCTAAAGTAAGATTTTTAGGGGTCTTTATTAATTTTTAAGAGTATAAAGAGGTCCTGAAACCAAAACACTTGACAACTACTGGCATAGAGTATTACTGATACAAGATCACTCATTTCTACTTCTTTAAGCCATAGAATGGTCCACTTTTAATGGACTCACTTCAGGTATATCACAAATGCTAAGAATTTTCAAATTACACCTTTTCTTTGTCTCAAGTATATCAAATATGTGCCAGGGTGTTCTACACAAGTCTTTCTAAGCCAGCAGGATAGTTTTCCTTTAGCCTAGAACTTGGATTTTTATTCTCTCCTACCTAAAAAGATTTTCTCCTCTTAGATTTATATATTACTATATGTGTGTAATGTAATACATAATTACATATATTTAAAAAAATAATATATATGTAAACTATATGTATGAATGGTTTTATACTCTCTCTATAGTTTTAAACTAGTCTTTTTGGCCAGGCACGGTGGCTCACGCCTGTAAGCCCAGTACTTTGGGAGGCCGAGGCAGGCAGCTCACCTGAGGTCAGGAGTTTGAGATCAGCCTGGGCAACATAGCAAACCCCGTCTCTACTAAAAATACAAAAATTAGCCATGCATGGTGGCCCATGCCTGTAATCTCAGCTACTTGGGAGGCTGAGGCCGGAGAATTGCTTGAACCTGAGAGATAGAGGTTGCAGTGAGCCGAGATCGCATCACTGCACTCCAGACTGGGCAACAGAGAGAGAGACTCCATTTCAAAAAATAAAATAAAATAAAAAATAAAGTCTTTCTGTTAAAACTAACCATTCTTGTAGTAGACTATATACAAAAAAGTGATGAATTTCTGTAGATATGTCAGCTGTATAATCCTTCAACATTTATATTTTATGGAACAATAATTTTATGATCTAAAGACATAAACTCTTAATTAGAAAATAAAAACTCAAATTTTGAGCACATTTAGTTTTTACTCAAAATGAACTATAATACCTAGCTACTGAGAAACTATCAAAGCTATCATTTCTTTTATTATTATTATTATTATTATACTTTAAGTTTTAGGGTACATGTGCACAACGTGCAGGTTAGTTACATATGTATACATGTGCCATGCTGGTGTGCTGCACCCATTAACTCATCATTTAGCATTAGGTATATCTCCTATTGCTATCCCTCCCCCCTCCCCCCACCCCACAACAGTCCCCAGAGTGTGAAGTTCCCCTTCCTGTGTCCATGTGTTCTCATTGTTCAATTCCCACCTATGAGTGAGAATATGCGGTGTTTGGTTTTTTGTTCTTGCGATAGTTTACTGAGAATGATGATTTCCAATTTCATCCATGTCCCTACAAAGGACATGAACTCATCATTTTTTATGGCTGCATAGTATTCCATGGTGTATATGTGCCACATTTTCTTAATCCAGTCTATCATTGTTGGACATTTGGGTTGGTTCCAAGTCTTTGCTATTGTGAATAGTGCCACAATAAACATACGTGTGCATGTGTCTTTATAGCAGCATGATTTATAGTCCTTTGGGTATATACCCAGTAATGGGATGGCTGGGTCAGATGGTATTTCTAGTTCTCGATCCCTGAGGAATCGCCACACTGACTTCCACAATGGTTGAACTAGTTTACAGTCCCACCAACAGTGTAAAAGTGTTCCTATTTCTCCACATCCTCTCCAGCACCTGTTGTTTTCTGACTTTTTAATGATTGCCATTCTATCTGGTGTGAGATGGTATCTCACTGTGGTTTTGATTTGCATTTCTCTGATGGCCAGCAATGGTGAGCATTTTTTCATGTGTTTTTTGGCTGCATAAATGTCTTCTTTTGAGAAGTGTCTGTTCATATCCTTTGCCCACTTTTGATGGGGTTGTTTGTTTTTTTCTTGTAAATTTGTTTGAGTTCATTGTAGATTCTGGATATTAGCCCTTTGTCAGATGAGTAGGTTGTGAAAATTTTCTCCCATTTTGTAGGTTGCCTGTTCACTCTGATGGTAGTTTCTTTTGCTGTGCAGAAGCTCTTTAGTTTAATTAGATCCCATTTGTCAATTTTGGCTTTTGTTGCCATTGCTTTTGGTGTTTTAGACATGAAGTCCTTGCCCATGCCTATGTTCTGAATGGTAATGCCTAGGATTTCTTCTGGGGGTTTTTATGGTTTCAGGTCTAATGTTTAAGTCTTTAATCCATCTTGAATTAATTTTTGTATAAGGTGTAAGGAAGGGATCCAATTTCAGCTTTCTACATATGGCTAGCCAGTTTTCCCAGCACCATTTATTAAATAGGGAATCATTTCCCCATTGCTTGTTTTTCTCAGGTTTGTCAAAGATCAGATAGTTGTAGATATGCGGCATTATTTCTGAGGGCTCTGTTCTGTTCCATTGATCTATATCTCTGTTTTGGTACCAGTACCATGCTGTTTTGGTTACTGTAGCCTTGTAGTATAGTTTGAAGTCAGGTAGCGTGATGCCACCAGCTTTGTTCTTTCGGCTTAGGATTGACTTGGTGATGCGGGCTCTTTTTTGGTTCCATATGAACTTTAAAGTAGTTTTTTCCAGATCTGTGAAGAAAGTCATTGGTAGCTTGGTGGGGATGCCATTGAATCTATTAATTACCTTGGGCAGTATGGCCATTTTCACGATATTGATTCTTCCTACCCATGAGCATGGAATGTTCTTCCATTTGTTTGTATCCTCTTTTATCTCATTGAGCAGTAGTTTGTAGTTCTCCTTGTAGTCCTTCACATCCCTTGTAAGTTGGATTCCTAGGTATTTTATTCTGTTTAAAGCAATTGTGAATGGGAGTTCACTCATGATTTGGCTCTGTCTGTTATTGGTGTACAAGAATGCTTGTGATTTTTGTACATTGATTTTTTATCCTGAGACTTTGCTGAAGTTGTTTATCAGCTTAAGGAGATTTGGGGTTAAAACACTGGGGTTTTCTAGATATACAATCATGTCATCTGCAAACAGGGACAATTTGACTTCCTCTTTTCCTAATTGAATACCCTTTATTTCCTTCTCCTGCCTCATTGCCCTGGCCAGAACTTCCAACACTATGTTGAATAGGAGTGGTGAGAGAGGGCATCCCTGCCAATTTTCAAAGGGAATGCTTCCAGTTTTTGCCCATTCAGTATGATATTGGCTGTGGGTTTGTCATAGATAGCTCTTATTATTTTGAGATACGTCCCATCAATACCTAATTTATTGAGAGTTTTTAGCATGAAGGGTTGTTGAATTTTGTCAAAGGCCTTTTCTGCATCTATTGAGATAATCATGTGGTTTTTGTCTTTGGTTCTGTTTATATGCTGGATTACATTTATTGATTTGCGTATATTGAACCAGCCTTGCATTCCAGGGATGAAGCCCACTTGATCATGGTGGATAAGCTTTTTGATGTGCTGCTGGATTCAGTTTGCCAGTATTTTATTGAGGATTTTTGCATCAATGTTCATCAAGGGTATTGGTCTAAAATTCTCTTTTTTGTTGTGTCTCTGCCCGGCTTTGGTATCAGGATGGTGCTGGCCTCATAAAATGAGTTAGGGAGGATTCTCTCTTTTTCTATTGATTGGAATAGTTTCAGAAGGAATGGTACCAGTTCCTCCTTGTACCTCTGGGAGAATTCGGCTGTGAATCCAGCTGGTCCTGGACTCTTTTTGGTTAGTAAGCTATTGATTATTGCCACAATTTCAGAACCTGTTATTCGTGTATTCAGAGATTCAACTTCTTCCTGGTTTAGTCTTGGGAGGGTGTGTGTGTCGAGGAAGTTATCCATTTCTTCTAGATTTTTTAGTTTATTTGCATAGAGGTGTTTGTAGTATTCTGTGATGGTAGTTTGTATTTCTGTGGGATTGGTGGTGATATCCTCTTTATCATTTTTTATTGTGTCTATTTGATTCTTCTCTCTTTTCTTCAAGGCTATCATTTCCCATGTACTTTGAAAGTAAACAGCCAGTCAACACTGACTATTCAATTATAGTTTAACAGTGAAAAAAATAGCTCTACATTTTAGTTTTGGATTCCCTTTGGACTTCCTATATTTTAGCAAACCTTATAAAAAGCAGGAAGAAAAAAATGCAGAACTATATCAATGACGTAAAATTCATCTGTGAAGTTGACTTCTGGTATTTCTATTCCATATGGCTTCTTTGTGTACCAGAAGGTTTCCTGCTATTTACTTAGAAATCACTTCTCTCCTTGACTACAGGACCTACCCATTACTTTATCCCACATCTTCAGAGGCAAAGCATAACTGAAGATCTTGTAAAACCCAGCTTCTTATTCAGACTCTCTACCACTTTAAAAGTTACCTGCTGGTGCCAGATGTGCTTAGAAACTGCTAAAAGTGGGTCACAACCAAAAAATAATGGGTCAAAACAATCATATTTAGGAATTATGAAAAAAAATTTACCCCATTTACAACGACCACTTTAAACATAATTTTAAAATCAGCTTTGTTCTATGATCATTCAAGCATTATAAACTTAGTTGAAAGTTACTTCGAAGTCTTTTTCCACTGGCTTTTCATTTTGTTAGTGTTAATGCACAGAATAGAAATAGCAGGCATGATTTAGATAGAACTTAAAGCAGAATCTACACAGGTCTCAAGTGCCTGTATCTTAGAAAAAGCACAGAAATATTAAACATCTCCTACTTTGTACCTTTTACCTCAGTACAGTAGTTAAAGTAAAGGAAGTTTCTATACCTACATTGTGAAATGGTTTCAGTCTCTCTCACTTTCATTGACACGTTTCAGGGTACCAGCCAAGTCAAAAACCTATTCTTTGAATTGAACTTTCATACACATTCTCTGCTGAACTTTTGATCCCATGTGTTCAAGTTCATGCTTTCCTGATGACATCTGAATGCATCAAGGATAAACACCTAACTTAGCATGTTCTATAAGTGAAGTCTGAACCCACAGCATGCAAATCTCCAATGTCAAAGTCACGTCCCTCATGTCCCTCACAGTGTGACTGAGGCCTGGAAATGGGGATATTTATGTGGGTGCACCTGAGAAAATTTAATAAAATCTTCTAACTAACTTTTTTAATACTTGAACACCCATAGTTCTCTGAACCCTCTTAGCATGCAGGATTGTACTCCTCCCACATCTAGAATACATAAAGAAACATCAGTTGAGGCATATATCTTACAAGAATTTGCTTGCCCTCCTCAAAATCCATCCCCCTCTCCTCTTGACTAACATACCAGTAATGAGGATCAAGCTTAACATAGCCCAACTAAGAAAGCACTGACCATACCAAAAGGGATTATTCACAGAAGGATCTGCAGGGCCAGGTAAATAGGTTCCAGCAAGAACTGAGAAAACATGCCTGGGAATGATACATGATGGTGCTAAACCAGAGAGCAGAATATAGCTAAATAATGGAGAGTTTGCTGTCTGGGAATGTTCTCCCATGATTCAGATTCAAAGCACCTGTAACAACTCCTGAAAAGGGTCCTAAAGAGGCAAATGTGCTAGAACTGCCTAGGCATTGTTGGCAAAGAAAACATAAGGCTCACAGATGTATTGTTCTAGAATGGATCTATTATATAAGACTCAAGAACATATCAGCTTACTACATTCACCATGAGGATAAGTAGAGCACTCCCTTCACTAGCCCTTAAAGAAATGTGCTAGTGAAAAGGTCATGACATCACTGAGAAGCTCAGTAATGGCTGTCATCTGCTGGAAAAGATTGATAGTAGGGATGGTATTATGGAACTGGTATTCCTATTGACAATTGAGATGATAGGACTCTGGAATAGAAGATGCAATATAGCAGTATTTAAATATAAGATTCAAATTTGATGGAATTACTGTAGCCGGCTCCAAGGCCAGAATGCTAACTAGGGGACACTGACTCATAGGGATCCATGATGATGGCTAATAGAGACAAAATAGATGAGAAACCAAGAAGGTTGCTGCTTGATATAAACTATCACTCCCCCAATGGAAAGAATCAGGATCCCTCATTTTCTCAGTTTCTAATCCTGAGTAAGTTCCCAGAGCCAGTGTTCATGGATTGACAGAGGATTAAAGTTTAAGGATTGAGTATATAATATACTATACCATACTAAAGAAAGTGTGCACAATTGGTCTATGGCCATTCACCAAGTAATTTAACACCAAAGAAAGTGTCTATATATTTTCAGGGCTTTTACATACAGGAGCTAATCTACCATTGACATTAAAAGGCCTCAAATGCTTTTATAGCTCCCCGCCCCCCACAATTATGTGGGGGGGACATAAGGAGGCCAGATAATATATTCTTGACCCAGATATATCTTACAGTGAAGTCAGTAGGGCCAATAATTCACCTGGTTATTTTCTACATGTCTAAGATGGATACCCTTAGTAGCTGAAAAAATTCTCTTTTTTTTTTTTGTCTTGTGGAGTAACAGCAATTGTAGTAGGATATTCCAAATGGATGACTCCAAAACAGTGACCTCTGATCATGTGGTTAATCAAAATATAGGTTTTGGGGTGAAAAAGCAGAAACATTTGTATTCTTAATAACTTAAGGTCTTGGCTATGTCATGGCCTCCCCTTTAAAGAGAAGAGCACCTCATATCAGCCATCACTAAGAGAAGCACAGAGCTTGGCAGGCTGCTCCAAGTTTTGGAGGGAATATATACCCTTGAGAATAATACTCAAATCTATTTTCACTGCCAGTTTCTGGAGGGCACCAGAACAATGGGAGGCTGTTTGGGTCATATGACCCAGCAGTTCCCACAATTCTAAATATCTGGGATTGATGGAAATGCCATATAGATTCTCTGACACGCCACAATAGGACATTTGCAGTATCAACCACTAGGACTTGGATGGCTGTTCCTTCAGGAAACAGTCCCTGGCATGCTACCTGGCCCTAGTAGAGACTGAAAAATCAAATGCCTATGCATCGTAGCTAGCAATTATGAGCTGTGAGCTGTCACATCTACAGAGTTATAATATTGACTGGGCAAAGCAGTTATACATTGTAATGTAGGATTAGAACATTTGGATCAGACTTTAGAAGGTCCTGAGGACAGAAGTAAGTTACAGAGTTATCTCAGACCCCATCAACCTCATGTCATCTATCTCTGTTGTACTTATGACTCTGTTGTCTTCTATCCATGATTTCATCGGCATAGGGATTGAGAGGTTCCTAATAACTACTTGAACAGAGAAAGAGAAAACATAAAACTGTTTCAAAAATGGGTCAGCTCAGGCGGGGCCAAGATGGCTGATTAGACGCAGTGGTGATCAGAGACTCCCATTGAAAAGAACCATAATAGCGTGTGAATCCTGCACTGGCAACCAAGGTATCCAGGTTCTGTCATCAGAACTGATTAGGCGGCTGGTGTGACCCACAGAGAGGAAGAAAAAGCAGTGGGGTGAGGCAGTCCACCTGAGAGCCACATGGGGCAGGGGAGTCCCCAACCCCTAGCCAAGGGAGGTGGTAAGTGAGCTTGCTACCCAGCAGGGGAAACCATGCTTTTTCCATAGAATTGTGTGAGACATGGATTGGAAGATCCCACTGGTGAACCCACACCACTGGGGCCTAGGGTCCCAATCCTGGAGCCACGCAGATTCTCAACAGCCTGTCAGCTAGAATCTGCTTAAGCCTGCCAAGTACCTGGTGTGAGGGCCAACCAGCACAACAACTGTGGCTGCCTACTGTCTAAGCCTTTGAGCCCCTTTGGGGCGGGGCAGCAGTCAGCATGGGGATTGATAACTGCCTAACACGCTAAACTCCCTGGGCAGGGGAAGGGCGGCATCCATCTCTATAGCTCCAGGCTGTTCTTTTCCCCTGCTGCAGCCAGGCAGGCTGGTCGGCTTGGTCCCAAAAGGTGTTCCCTGGAGCGCAACACACTGGCTGTGGCAGACTGCAGCCAGAGCACCTATTCAGGCCTGACCCAGATCCATCCTTCCTCACTGGGTGGGGCCTCCCTGCAAGAACTCCAACAACTCTGGCCAGGGACTCAGGGACAGAACCCTGATCTCCCTGGACCTGAGCCTCTGGGGAAGGGGAGGCCACAGTCTCTGCAGACCAGCAGACTTAGTCTTTCCTCCTGGTAGTTTTGAGGAATCCGGGCAGCCCAGACAAATGGGTTTCCCCCAAGCGAAGCACACACCCTCCACCAAGGGACCGTCAAAGTACTTAGTTAAATGGGTCCTGTTCCCCATGCCACCCAACTGGGTAAGACCTTCCAACAGGGGTTGTCAGACACCCTATACAGGAGCAATCCTACTGGTATCAGATTGGTGTCCCTTGAGGTCAGAGATCCAAGAAGAAGGAGCAGGCACCCATCTTTGCTGTTCTCCTGCCTCCCTGAGTGACATCAGCAGGCGTGGGAGTGAACCAAATGAATAGGGCATGATGTGAACACCCAGCAAACTGCAGCAGCCATACAGAAGAGGGACTTGACCATTGAAAGAAAAACACACAAACGAAAAGCAACAACAACAGCATCAACAATAAAAAAGTTCCCACAGGCCGGGTGCGGTGGCTCACGCCTGTAATCCCAGCACTTTGGGAGGCCAAGGCGGGCAGATCACGAGGTCAGGAGATCGAGACCATCCTGGCTAACATGGTGAAACCCCGTCTCTACTAAAAATACAAAACAAATTAGCAGGGCGTGGTGGCAGGTGCCTCTAGTTCCAGCTACTCGGGAGGCTGAGGCAGGAGAATGGTGTGAACCCAGGAGGCGGAGCTTGCAGTGAGCCGAGATTGCACCACTAAACTCCAGCCTGGGCGACGGAGCAAGACTCCCTCTCAAATAAAAAAATTTCCCACAAAAACTCCGTCCAAGGGTCAGCAGCCTCAAATATCGAAACTAGAAAAATTTATGAAGATGAAAAAGAATCAACAAAAAAATGCTGAAAACTCAAAAGGCCAGAGTGCCTCTTCTCCTCCAAATGATTGCATTGCCTCTCCAGCAAGGGCACAGAACTGGATTGAGGATGAGATGGATGAATTGACAGAAGTTGGCTTCAGAAAATGGGTAATAAAAAACTCCACTGAGCTAAAGGAATATGTTCTAACCCAATTCAAAGAAGCTAAGAACCTTGATAAAAGGTTTGAGGAGCTGCTAACTGGAATAATCAGTTTAGAGAGGAACATAAATGACCTGATGGAGCTGAAAAACACAGCACAGGAAGTTTGTGAATATAACACAAGTATCAATAGCTGAATTGATCCAGCAGAAGAAAGGATATCAGAGTTTGAAGACCACCTTGCTGAAATAAGGCATGCAGACAAGATTAGAGAAAAAAGAATGAAAAGGAACAAATAAAGCTTCCGAGAAATGTGGAAATACGTAAAGACTGAATCTACAATTGATTGGAGTACCTGAAGGAGGCGGGGAGAATGGAAACGAGCTGGAAAACACTTCAGGATATTATCCAGGAGAACTTCCCCAACCTAGTAAGACAGGCCAACATGCAAATTCAGGAAATACAGAGAACACCACTAAGATACTCCATGAGAAGATCAACCCCAAAACACATAATCATCAGATTCTCCAAGGTAGAAATGGAAAAAAATATGTTAAGAGCAGTCAGAGAGAAAGGCCAGGTCACCTACAAATGGAAGCCCATCAGACTAACAGCAGACCTCTCAACAAAAACCCTACATGCCAGAAGAGATTGGAGGCAAATATTCAACATGCTGAAAGAAAAAAAATTCAACCCAGAATTTTATTTCCAGCCAAGCTAAGCTTCATAAGCAAAGGAGAAATAAAATCCTTTCCAGACAAGCAAATTCTGAGGGATTTCATCACCACTAGGCCTGTCTTGTATAGGATATAGTAAATTTCTCTTCAAAGTTTAGCCTGTTAACTTCCTTTAAAATTCAAAAGGGAGAAAATTGTTAAGTACAATGAGTTCTGAGTCCCTCTACAAAGAACCAATGTGTTCGTATGTTCAGCTTCCCTGTTCTTTGTTCTCCATTTTAAAGTTTGACTTCCTCATTCTTTACCTCTCTTTGCCCCTAGTTTCAGTAAATAACACCCTCCTAGCCTCTATCACCTGCTCTGACCTTAGTCACCCTTGGTTCCCTGCTCTGTTCTTAGTCATCCTTAGTCACCTGCTGTGTAACTGTCCCTCCTGTCAAAACTACTCACCCCACCACTCTGGCTCCTACCCTCACTCTCTTCAAAATAGCCAATCGGGATTAGCTTAGACTGTGCCATCCAACCCTAGCCAATAGGGAAAAGACACAGCAGTAGGGACTAGCTGTGTTAGGAATAAGACCCCCTTCCCCTACCTTGTTCCTTGTGCTCTTACCATTGCTCCATCCACGAGATGCACCCTTCTATAGAAGTAAATTGCCTTGCTGAGAAAACTTTTGACTAAGTGTTATTTTCACTTGGCAGCACTGAGCATTTACTTCTATCACTTGCAAGAGCTCCTTAATAAAGCACTAAATGTGAAAAGGAAAAAGTGGTACCAGCCACTGCAAAAACATGCCAAAATATAAAGACCAATAACACTATGAAGAAACTGCATCAACTAGTGTGCAAAATAACCAGATAGCATCATGATGACAGGCTCAAATTCATAGATAACAATACTAACCTTAAATGTAAATGGGCTAAATGCCCTAATTAAAAGACACAGACTTGCAAATTGGATAAACAGTGAAGGCCCATTGGTGTGTATTCAGGAGACCCATCTCATGTGCAAAGACACACGTAGGCTCAAAATAAAGGGATAGAGGAATATTTACCAAGCAAATGGAAAGCATAAACAAAACAACAACAACAACAAAAACAGAGGTTGCAATCCTAGCCTTTGACAAAACAGATTTTAAACCAACAAAGATCAAAAAAGACAAAGCAGGGCATTACATAAAGGTAAAGGGATCAATATAACAAGAAGAGCTAACTATCCTAAATATATATGCACCCAGTACAGGAGCACCCAGATTCATAAAACAAATTCTTTGAGACCTGCAAGGAGACTAAGACTCCCACACAATAATAGTGGGAGACTTTAACACCCACTGTCAATATTAGGTCAACAAGACAGAAAATTAACAAGGATATTCAGGACTTCAATTCAGCTCTGGATCAAGTGGACTTAATAGACATGTACAGAACTCTCCACCCCATATCAACAGAATATACATTCTTCTCAGTGCCACATGGCACTTATTCTAAAATCAACCACATAATTGGAAGTAAAAAACTCCTCAGCAAATGCAAAAGAATGGAAATCGTAACAAACAATCTCTCATACCACAGTGCAATCAAATTAGAACTCAGGATTAAGAAACCCACTCAAAACCACACAATTACATGAAAATTGCACAACCTGCTCCTGAGTGACTCCTGGGTAAATAATGAAATTAAGGCAGAAATCAAGAAGTTCTTTGAAATCAATAAGAACAAAGAGACAATGTACCAGAATCTCTGGGATGCAAATAAAGCAGTGTTAAGAGGAAAATTTCTAGCACTAAATGCCCACATTAGAAAGGTAGAAAGATTTCAAATGAACACCCTAATACCACAATTTAAAAAGAGCTAGAGAAGCAAGAGCAAACTAATCCAAAAGATAGCAGAAGTCAAGAAATAACTAAGATTAGAGAAGAACTGAAGTAGACAGAGACATGAAAAACCCTCCAAAAAATAATTAATGAATCCAGAAGCTGGTGTTTTGAAAAAATTAACAAAATAGACTGCTATCTAGAGTAATAAAGAAGAAAAGAGAGAAGAATCAAATAGGAACACAAAAAAGATAACGGGGATATCACCACTGACCCCACAGAAATACTAACTACCATCAGAGAGTACTATAAATACCTCTACGCAAAGAAACTATACCCTCCCAAAACTAAACTAGGAAGAATTGGAATCCCGGAATAGACCAATAACAAGTTCTGAAATTGAGGCAGTAATTAACAGCTTACCAACAAAAAAGCCCAGGACCAGATAGATTCACAGTCAAATTCTACCAGAGGTACATAGAGTAGCTGATACCATTCCTTTGAAACTATTCCAAACAATTGAAAAGGAGGGACTCCTCCCTACTCATTTTATGAAGCCAGCGTCATCCTGATACCAAAACCTGGCAGAAACACAACAACAACAACAACAAAAAACTTAGGCCAATATCCTGATAAACATCTATGTGAAAATTCTCAATAAAATACTGCCAAACTGAATCCAGCAGCACATCAAAAATCTTATCCACCATGATCAAGTCAGCTTCATCCCTGGGATGCAAGGCTGGTTCTACATATACAAATAAATTAACATGGTACGTCACATAAACAGAATCAAACGCAAAAACCACATGGTTATTTCAATAGACACAGAAAAGGCCTTTGATAAAATTCAACATCCCTTCATGATAAAAACCCTCAATAAACTGGGTATTGATGGAATATATCTCAAAATAATACGAGCTATTTATGACAAACTCAAAGTCAATATCATATTGAATGGGCAAAAGCTGGGAGAATTTCCTTTGAAAACCAGCATAAGATAAGTATGACCTCTCTTACTACTCCTGCTCAACATAGTATTGGAAGTTTTGGTCAGAGAAATCAGGGAAGAGAAATAAACAAAAGCTATCCAAACAGGGAGCAGAAGTCAAATTGTCTCTTTTTGCAGATGACATGATTCTTTATTTAGGAAACCCCATCATCTCAGCCCCAAAACTCGTTAAGCTGATAAGCAACTTCAGCAAAGTCTCAGGATACAAACTGATGTATAAAACTCACAGGCATTTGTACACACCAACAGTAGACAAGCAGAGAGCCAAATCATGAATGAACTCCCATTCACAATTGCTACAAAGAAAATAAAATACCTAGGAATACAGCTAACAAGGGATGTGAAGGACCTCTTCAAGGAGAACTACAAACTGCCACTCAAGGAAATAAGAGATGACACAAACAAATGGAAAAACATTCCATGCTCATGGATAGGAAGAATCAATATCGTGAAAATGGCCATACTGCTCAAACTAATTTATAGATTCAATGCTATTCCCAAACTACCATTGACATTCTTCACAAAATGAGAAAAAAACTACTTTAAATTTCATATAGAATCAAAGATGACCCCGTATAGCCAAGACAATCCTAAGCAAAAAGAACAAAGCTGGAGGCATCATGCTACCTGACTTCAAACTATACTACAAGGCTACAGTAACCAAAACAGCATGGTCCTGGTACCAAAACAGAGATATATACCAATGGAACAGAACAGAGACCTCAGAAATAACACCACACAACTACAACCATCTGATCTTTGACAACCCTCACAAAAACAAGCAATGGGGAAAGGATTTCCTATTCAATAAATGGTGCTGGGAAAACTGGCTAGCCATATGCAGAAAACTGAAACTGGACCCCTTCCTTACACCTTACACAAAAATTAACTCAACATGGATTAAAGACTTAAACGTAAAACCCCAAACTATAAAAATCCTAGAAGAAAACCTAGGCAATACCATTCAGGACACAGACATGGACAAAGGCTCCATGACAAAAACACTAAAAGCAGCCGGTCGTGCTGGCTCACACCTGTAATCCCAGCACTTTGGAAGGGTGAGGCAGGTAGATCATGAGTTCAGGAGATGGAAACCATCCTGGCTAACACGGTGAAACCCCGTCTCTTCTAAAAATACAAAAAATTAGCCAGGTGTGATGGCATGCACCTTTAATCCCAGCTACTTGGGAGGCTGAGGCAGGAGAATTGCTTGAACCTGGGAGGCAGAGGTTGCAGTGAGCCAAGATCATGCCACTGCCCTCCAGCCTGGGCTACAGAGTGAGACTTCATCTCAAAAAAAAAAAAAAAAAAAAAAAAAAAACCACAAAGCAAAACAAACAAACAAAAACACTAAAAGCAATTGCAACAAAAGCCAGAATTGACAAATAAGATCTAATTAAACTAAAGAGCTGCTGCACAGCAAAAGAAACTATCATGAGAATGAACAGACAACCTACAGAGTGGGAGAAAAGTTTTGCAATTTACCTCTCTGACAAAGATCTAATATTCAGAATTTACAAGGAACTTAAACAAATTTACAAGAAGAAAACAAACAACCCAATCAAAAAGAGCTAAAGATATGAACAGACATTTATCAAAAAAAGACATACATGCTGCCAACATATGAAAAAAAGGTCAACATCACTTTTCATTAGAGAAATGGAAATCAAAACCACGATGAGATACTATCTCACACCAGCCAGAATGCTGATTATCAAAAAGTCAAGAAACAATAGATACTGCTGAGGCTGTGGAGGAATAGGAATGGTTTTACACTGTTGGTGAAAATGTAAATTAGTTCAACAACGGTTGAACTAATTGTTGAACACTGTTGAACCATTGTTGGACTAATTTAAGTTTGAATTCCTCAAGGATCTAGAACCAAAAATACCATTTGACCCAGCAATCCCATTACTGGGTATATACCCAAAGGGATATAAATCCTTCTACTATAAAGACACATGCATATATATATTTATTGCAGCACTATTTATAATGGCAAACACACAGAACCAACCCAAATGCCCATCAATGATAGACTAGATAAAAAAAGTGTGGTACATATACACTTACTATGTGGCCATAAAAAAGAATGAGATCATGTCCTTTGCAGGGACATAGATGAAGCTGAAAGCCATCATCCTCAGCAAACTAACACAGAACAGAAAATCAAATACTGCATGTTCTCACTCATAAGTGGCGGTTGGACAATGAGAACTCATGGACACAGGGAAGGGAATAACACACACCAGGGTCTGTTGGGGGGTGAAGGGCAAAGGGAGGGAACTTGGAGGATGGGTCAATAGGTGCAGCAAACCACCATGGCATGCGTATACCTATGTAATACACCTGCATGTTCTGCACATGTATCCCGGAATTTAAGTACTTTTTTTTTAAAATGGGTTAACTCTGTATGTTGATACTGGTCCAATGTGGATTGCAGATGCACTGCTGCCCACTGGTAGCACTCAAAGCCAATGTGTGTTGGTGTATGCATGATGGGGCATTTTCCAGTGGGCAGATCTTAAGTGTTACTTGTTATTTAGTTTATGGGTAAAGAGGAGAAGCTTTGGATAAGAATATCTACAGATTCCTGAGCAATGGAGAAAAGTTTGGCTGGATGATCTGAGGACTGGAAGGAAATATTGGAAGGCTGTGGACAAGTTGGTCTGGTAAGAGGAGTACCTGTTCTTGCCCATTTCTCTATTGGATTGTCTTATTTTAATTTTTCATTGATTTGTAGAATTGAATATTTGTATGTCTTAAATATGAGTCCTGTGTTGCAATATGTACTATAAATATCTTTTTCTACCAAGGGGTTTGTCATTTCACTCTCCCAAATGTGTAATTTGATCAACAGAATGCTTTAATCTTAATGTAGTATGATACAACAAGTTTCTATTTTCCTTTAGAATTTGTATTCTTCTGTACTGTTTAATAATTAAAAAGCTTATCCACCATGATCAAGTGGGCTTCATCCCTGGGATGCAAGGCTGGTTCAACATATGCAAATCAATAAACGTAATCCAGCATATAAACAGAACCAAAGACAAAAACCACATGATTATCTCAATAGATGCAGAAAAGACCTTTGACAAAATTCAACAGCCCTTCATGCTCAAAACTCTCAATAAATTAGGTATCGATGGAACGTATCTCAAAATAATAAGAGCTATTTATGACAAACCCACAGCCAATACCATACCGAATAGGCAAAAAACTAGAAGCATTCCCTTTGAAAACTGGCACAAGACAGGGATGCCCTCTCTCACCACTCCTATTCAACATAGTGTTGGAAGTTCTGGCCAGGGCAATCAGGCAGGAGAAAGAAATAAAGGGTATTCAATTAGGAAAAGAGGAAGTCAAATTGTCCCTGTTTGCAGATGACATGATTGTATATCTAGAAAACCCCATTGTCTCAGCCCAAAATCTCCTTAAGCTGATAAGCAACTTCAGCAAAGTCTCAGGATAAAAAATCAATGTGCAAAAATCACAAGCATTCTTATACACCAATAACAGACAAACAGAGAGCCAAATCATGAGTGAACTCCCATTCACAATTGCTTCAAAGAGAATATAATACCTAGGAATCCAACTTACAAGGGATGTGAAGGACCTCTTCAAGGAGAACTACAAACTACTGCTCAACAAAATAAAAGAGGACACAAACAAATGGAAGAACATTCCATGCTCGTGGATAGGAAGAATCAATATCGTGAAAATGGCCACACTGCCCAAGGTAATTTATAGATTCAATGCCATCCTCATCAAGCTACCAATGACTTTCTTCACAGAATTGGAAAAAACTACTTTAAAGTTCATATGGAACCAAAAAAGAGCCCGCATCGCCAAGTCAATCCTAAGGGAAAGAACAAAGCTGGAGGCATCATGCTACCTGACTTCAAACTATACTACAAGGCTACAGTAACCAAAACAGCATGGTACTGGTACCAAAACAGAGATATAGAACAATGGAACAGAACAGAGCCCTCAGAAATAACGCCACATATGTACAACTGTCTGATCTTTGACAAACCTGAGAAAAACAATCAATGGGGAAAAGATTCCCTATTTAATAAATGGTGCTGGGAAAACTGGCTAGCCATATGTAGAAAGCTGAAACTGGATCCCTTCCTTACACCTTATACAAAAATTAATTCAAGATGGATTAAAGACTTAAACATTAGACCTGAAACCATAAAAACCCTAGAAGAAAACCTAGCATTACCATTCAGGACATAGGCATGGGCAAGGACTTCATGTCTAAAACACCAAAAGCAATGGCAACAAAAGCCAAAATTGACAAATGGGATCTAATTAAACTAAAGAGCTTCTGCACATCAAAAGAAACTACCATCGGAATGAACAGGCAACCTACAAAATGGGAGAAAATTTTTGCAACCTACTCATCTGACAAAGGGCTAATATCCAGAATCTACAATGAACTCCAACAGATTTACAAGGAAAAAAGAAAGAACCCCATCAAAAAGTGGGCAAAGCATATGAACAGACACTTCTCAAAAGAAGACATTTATGCAGCCAAAAGACATATGAAAAAATGCTCATCATCACTGGCCATCAGAGAAATGCAAATCAAAACCACAATGAGGTATCATCTCACAACAGTTAGAATGGCAATCATTAAAAAGTCAGGAAACAACAGGTGCTGGAGAGGATGTGGAGAAACAGGAACACTTTTACACTGTTGGTGGGACAGTAAACTAGTTCTACCATTGTGGAAGACAGTGTGGCGATTCCTCAAGGATCTAGAACTAGAAATACCATTTGACCCAGCCATCCCATTACTGGGTATATACCCAAAGGAATGTAAATCATGCTGCTATAAAGACACATGCACACGTATGTTTATTGTGGCACTATTCACAATAGCAAAGACTTGGAACCAACCCAAATGTCCAACAATGATAGACTGGATTAAGAAAATGTGGCACATATACACCATGGAATACTGTGCAGCCAGAAAAAATGATGAGTTCATATCCTTTGTAGGGACATGGATGGATGAAGCTAGAAACCATCATTCTGAGCAAACTATTGCAAGGACAAAAAACCAAACACTGCATGTTCTCACTCACAGGTGGGAATTGAACAATGAGAACACTTGGACACAGGAAGGGAAACATCACACACTGGGGCCTGTTGTGGGATGGGGGAAGGGGGGAGGGATAGCATTAGGAGATATACCTAATGTAAATGATGAGTTACTGGGTGCAGCACAGCAACATGGCACATGTATACATATGTAACAAACCTGCACGTTGTGCACATGTACCCTAGAACTTAAAGCATAAGAAATATATATATATTAAAAAAAATTTCTCCCTAGCCCCAGTGTCAAGAGATAATTTGTTTTTGTCCAGAAGGTTTAGTGTTACACATTTCACATTTAGATCTACATAACATTTGGTGTTAATTTTTATGTATAATGTGAAACCATGTTTTTCTTTTAATATGGACATCCAATTGATCCAGTACCATTTACAGAAACATCACTGTTTCCCCACTGCACTGCACACTTTATCATAAATTAAGGGACTGTATAAGTGTTGGATTTGTTTCTGGACTTGCCCACAGAATCAATGGGACTATCTCTCTTTTCTTGCGAGAATAGCAAGAATTTTTAAATTATTACATCTTTGTAATAGTTCTTAGCATTAGGGTCTGGAGCTTCTTTGTGATTGTTTTTTTCCTCTTCCTCCTCCTCCTTTTCCTTCTTCAGTTGCCAAATCTATTTTATTATTTAGATTTGACATCAATTATAGAATCAGCTTGTGAATTGCAACAAACAACTACCGTTATTTTGATTTGATTTCAATTAATCTATACATCAATTTGGAGAGATGTATAGATTAGACTGAGATGTATAGAGAAAACTGATATCTTTGCAATACTGAGTCTTGTAATACATAAACAGGATATATCTCTTTTATATTTAAGTCTTTTAACCTTTCAGTAATGTTCTGTTGTCTCAACATAGAGGTTTTGCATATATTTTGTTAATTTGTTAAATACGATTTTAAAGTAATAACTTTTTAAAATTCTATATTGGTTGCTGATATAAAGAAATAAAATTGATTTATACATTTTGATTGAATCATCTCAAGTTCTGTCTTCATCGATTCCCTTTTCTCTTAAAAATAGATTACATTCTTACATTTCTCTGTATCTTGGGTAATTCTGTATTCTGTCTTGGGTTTTATCTAGGTTATGTTTTAAAGAGATTTATTTCTGTTAGATTCTTCCAAAGACTGATATTTTGTTTTAGCAAGAAATTAACTTGGTTGGATGTAAGCAGCCATTCTTTCTCATGAGCAGCAACTCAAATTCCAATTCAGTTCTTTCAAGCTTAATGAGGCTGTTTAGAATCTTCTCTGTGTACCTTTGTTCAGGTATCAGCCGGAGATTTGGGCAAGATTTTTATCTTCCCTTTTTAACTTCGTTGTTTCCCAATGTTTTTGATGGCCCTGAACTCTATTCTCTGTTTCTTCTGTGGATTTTCTAGTAAAGTTTTAGTCATGCCACCTGACTGGGGCCTGCCCTCAGGCTAGAAACTATGAAAATGGAAAATGCACTCTTGCTGTTTCTTTCTTTCCACATCTTTTAGTCTTTCTTGAGTATTTTTCAGGTAGTTGTGAAGTTATTTTGTTCACAGTAGTTGTTTTAGGAATGGTTAAAATACTGGTCTGATAGGAGCTTTCTCATCCTATCACAGTGTTTGTAAAGTTAACTTGACTAATCTATTTGACTTCTCCTATTTTTTTCCTTCTTGTCTACTTTTTGTTTACTTCAGGTAATTTTTGATTGACCTTACAGACCATGTGTCTAAAAATACTTGGGGGCTCTGAATAATCTTATTTCCTTCAGAGAAAGATTCCCCTATGCTTTGGTAATTAATAGAAGGAGGAAGATCACCTTCATCCAATCAGGGATTAAGCTGACTTGGGCTGGATTTTACTATCATAAACTTCTGTCTACCTGCTCTTAGACTATTGCTCTTCAGAGTTCCCAACTAAGAGCATGGGGTATTTACTAAGACCTCTTGAGGACAAATCTCTGATTTTTTTTTTTTATCTTGCCCAAATTCCTATCTAGGGGGTCTGGGGATTCATGCCCTACAATCAATTCTCATCAGATGGGTTTCATTTAATCCTGTATATCGTGACTTACATTCCAATCTGACTATGGCATAACATGGAAGAAAATCAGAATATTTAACCCCAAAACATGTTTCTCTGCCATATCTTGAAATGGTCCTGCAAAGCTGTCTGCTGTGGGAAAAATCCACATTCTTTGGAGAATCCCCTTTCCTCTTTGTTTTCTTTTCTTCTTTTCCAGATCCGGGAGATAATCAACTAAGAGCCAGGCACCCTGTTAGGTCTGATAAGAAACATTTTACAACCTGCTCTTTCCAAAGTCTGCTATCTGAGTGCTTCCTCTGCTCAATAAAACTTGGTGTCCACCATCTTTTAGCTTAACCTGAACATTTACTTTCTATTGCTCCCAGGTCTTCAGGTAAACTCAACCAATTGTCACCCAGAAAACGTTTCAATTTACCTATAGACTCAAAGCCCCCTCTTTGAGTTTTCCCGTCTTTCTGAACCAAACCGGTGTATTTCTTTTCTTTTCTTTTTTGAAACGGAGTCTCTGTCTCTGTTGCCTGGGCTGCAGTGCAGTGGTGCAATCTTGGCTCACTGCAACATCCATCTCCCAGGTTCAAGCAATTATCCTGCCTCGGCATCCAGAGTAGCTGGAATTACAGACACGTACCACCATCCCTGGCTAATTTTTGTATTTTTAGTAGAGATAAGGTTTCAGCATGTTGGTCAGGCTGGTGTTGAACTCCTGACCTCAAGTAATCTGCTTAAATGTATTTGATTGATGTCTCATGCCTCCCTAAAATACATAAAACCAAGCTGTACCCTGACCACCTTGGGCACATGTTCTCAGGACCTCCAGAGGGCTGTGTCACAGGCCACGGTCACTCATATTTGGCTAAGAATGAATCTCTTAAAATATTTTACAGAGTTGACTCTTTTCATCAACAGTCTTTTAGTAATTGAGTCTTTTTCAGGTAGTTGTGGAGTTATTTTGTGCACAGTTAGTAGTTGTTTGAGAAATGGTTAAAATATTGGTCTGATAGGGGCTTTCTCATCCTATCACAGCGTTTGTAAAGTGACCTTGATTAATTTATTTGAATTCTCCTGTCTACATTTTTTTCTTCTTGGTCTACTTTTTGTGTACTTCAGGTAATTTTTGATTGACTTATATATCCTGTGTCTAAAAATATTTAGGGGCTCTGAATAATCTTATTTCCTTCAGAGAGATTCCCCTATGCTTTGGTAATTAATAGAAGAAGAAAAATTACCTTCATCCAATCAGGGATTAAGCTGATTTGGGCTGGATTTTACTATCATAAACTTCTGTCTACCTTCTCCTAGGATATTGCTCTTCAGGATTCCCAACTAAGAGCATGGGGGTATTTACTAGGACCTCTTTTCCTTGGCTGATCCTAACTCCAACTTTTCCCTCCTTAGCACTGGGTAAAAAATGCCGACAACCTTTTCAGAGGCTTTCTGCTTAATATCTAAGTCTCTTACCCAGTGTAGTTTAAGAATTCAGCCAGTTCCCTAAGGAAAAAGCTAAGATTAAAGGGCACATTTTTCTGTTCCACACTTCTTTCCAGGATTTTGGCCTGGAAAGTTTGGCAGATGTAAACTTAATGTGTCATCTCTCCACCACCCATAGAATTGCCTGAAACTCCCTTGTCTTCTCTGCTGTCATCCAGTTTTATTTGCAGCCTCTTGCCTTGCCCAGATAATTGACAAAAGTACCTAGAAGTAAAATAGCATTCTGTGGTCAGCATTTTTGGGGAGAATAGGCCTTATATAGGATATGTGATTGTTGCCAGGAAGTTCTTTGTCATATACCCAATGCATCTGTGCATTAATTAGAGATTATCCCAATTCCTTCCCTAAATTGTAAATCAGTTTTGACATTTCTATCCAAGTTTAAAATCACATTGTTCTAGCCTTTAATCATTCCTTTTTGGTAATATTATAAAAATAATATGAACCTACTTTCCTAATTGATTTGTCTAATTTAACCTTTGTAGAAAAATTATTTATCTCTATGCTTCCAAACTATCCCTTTCATAATTCTGTTTTGCTCAAGAACAATAGTGGGCCACTATGGTATTAGGGATCAAATTTTAAAGAATTAGTTTAGCACTGCAGTCTCATTTCTAAATGGACCTGGCACACCTCATATCCATCTACCATGCCAGCCCCCATTCCCACACCAGTTGATTTCTCTAGCTTTTCTGTGTTGCTTAGAACATTTTGATCCATTCAAATGGCTATATCCTTTCAGTGTACCTAAAGAATCAACTAGTTCAAACTTAAAGAGACCTTCAAATTATAGCATTCTTTCACTCAAAGATTCAAATTATTTTGAGAAATGAGGGAGAGCTTTTCTCACATTTGTGTCTCCAGTACTGGAGAACAGAATTTTTTTTTTCCTGTCGAAAACCTTAACTGTTGGTTGAATTGTAAGTTGTATCGCTAAGTCTTGTGCAAACAGTTGAGTCTTTCCTGAACAATTCTAATCATGATAATCACTCTTTCTTCATTTTATCTTTGACACAATAATTAAGAAATTACAAAACTACCCTATTACTCAATTTATACCCTATTATAGCTATTATCATTATAATTATATCCCAAATTTGAATGTGGGCTTTATGAAGGTAGAGTACATGTTCTGCTATTCTCTTTACTCCTCCCTAAATGAGTTTCATGAGGTTTTCATCATCTGAGGATCCTCAGTGAATGTGTGGGTGACCGGATGGAGGAATGCATAGGTGAATTAATGAATGCTTAAATAATTGATAAATGTCAAATGGAAACATTTTAACAATGTTTCCCAAATACATGGAATTGTTTTGTTTTTGTTTATTTTTGCTTGCATATCTGCACTTTACCTGTTAGTCCATCATAAAAAATTAATTTATTTAGATCCATTTCTGCAAAAATAAAATGCAGGAATTAGTTGATGCCATTTTGTCTTGGGTTTTTTTTTTTAAATTTCGTCTTGTTTGTTTCTGCTTTTTAACAATGTCATAAGAAATAATGTTCCATAAGGTGGTAGAATTAGGTAAAATTTAAACACTGACTTTTTTTTTAATATAAGGAAACTCAATTTTTTAAGCCCTACAAGTAAACATGGACATTGTTGATACTTATTTTTTTAACTTCCAACTTTTCTAAATTATTCTTCTAGTTTTCATATTATTTATCACAGTACAGTAGACCATAACCTGTGCCATACTATTTTATGTAAACATAACTAACACAAGTTAGATTTTCCATAAATAATAATCATAGTCTTCACAAACTGCTTAATATTTTCCATATTTATATTAATGGATACAGGAATAAAAACTTTCAAAATGTATAAAACATGTCTATATCATTAAAACAACATTTCCAATGTCAACTACTTTAAAATCGTATTTTCTTAGAATTTAGTTTATTACACAGTCCTCATTACATATGTCTGTGTGCATCTCCAGATCAAAAGGAAAAGCTAGAAGTTTAATTATTCCAAAATATAACTTAAATTACATACTCCCCTTACAAAAAACTGAGCACCAGTAAAGAGAAAGTGTCCTTTCCCTGTATCTCTGCCTCTAACTTGGCCGCCTTCCTACTACTCTCATTATTGGGAGTACCCATGAGTAAGTGCTTTCTAGACTTACATAAATATATTTGGATAAATACAAATATTTAGTTTATGCTTTAAAAAGTAATGCTTGGTGAAGCCAAGATGGCCGAATAGGAACAGCTCCCAGCATGAGCGATGCAGAAGACGGGTGATTTCTGCATTTCCAACTGAGGTACCAGGTTCATGTCACTGGGGAGTGTCAGACAGTGGGTGCAGGACAGTGGGTGCACTGCACCAAGCATGAGCTGAAGCAGGGCGAGGCATCGCCTCACCTGGGAAGTGCAAGGGGTCAGGGAATTCCCTTTCCTAGTCAAAGAAAGGGGTGACAGACGGCACCTGGAAAATCAGGTCACTCCCACCCTAATACTGCACTTTTCCAATAGTCTTAGCAAATGGCACACCAGCAGATTATATCCCACACCTGGCTCGGAGGGTCCTACGCCCACAGACCCTCACTTATTGCTAGCACAGCAGTCTGAGATCAAACGGCAAGGCAGCAGTGAGGCTGGGGGAGGGGTGCCTGCCATTGCCTAGGCTTGAGTAGGTAAATAAAGCAGCCCAGAAGCTCGAACTGGGTGAAGCCCACCGCAGCTCAAGGAGGCCTGCCTGCCTCTGTAGACTCCAATTCTAGGGGCAGGGCGTAGCCAAATAAAACGCAGCAGAAAACTCTGCAGACTTAAATGTCCCTGTCTGACAGCTTTGAAGAGAGTAGTTCTCCCAGCACACAGCTGGAGATCTGAGAACGGACAGACTCCCTCTTCAAGTGGGTCCCTGACCCCCGAGTAGCCTAACTGGGAGGTACCGAGTAGGGGCAGTCTGACACCTCACACGGCCGAGTACTCCTCTGAGACAAAACTTCCAGAGGAACCATCAGGCAGCAACATTTGTTGTTCACCAATATCCGCTGTTCTACAGCCTCCGCTGCTGATATCCAGGCAAACAGGGTCTGGAGTGAACCTCCAGCAAACTCCAACAGACCTGCATCTGAGGGTCCTGACTGTTGAAAGAAAAACTAACAAACAGAAAGGACATCCACACCAAAAACCCACCTGTAAGTCACCATCATCAAAGACCAAAGGTAGATAAAACCACAAAGATGGGGAAAAAACAGAGCAGAAAAACTGGAAACTCTAAAAATCAGAGTGCCTCTCCTCCTCCAAAGGAACGCAGCTCCTCACCAGCAACAGAACAAAGCTGGATGGAGAATGACTTTGATGAGTTGAGAGAAGAAGGCTTCAGACGATCAAACTACTCCGAGCTAAAGGAGGAAGTTCAAACCCATGGCAAAGAAGTTAAAAACCTTAAAAAAAAAATTAGATGAACGGCTAACTAGAATAACCAATGCAGATAAGTCCTTAAAGGACCTGATGGAGCTGAAAACTGTGGCACGAGAACTATGTGACGAATGCAGAAGCCTCAGTAGCTGATGCAATCAACTGGAAGAAAGGGTATCAGTGATGGAAGATGAAATGAATGAAATGAAGTGAGAAGAGAAGTTTAGAGAAAAAAAAAATAAAAAGAAATGAACAAAGCCTCCAAGAAATGTGGGACTATGTGAAAAGACCAAATCTACGTCTGATTGGTGTACCTGAAAGTGACGGGGAGAATGGAACCAAGTTGGAAGACACTCTGCAGGATATTATCCAGGAGAACTTCCCCAATCTAGCAAGGCAGGCCAACATTCAAACTCAGGAAATACAGAGAACGCCACAAAGATACTCCTCGAGAAGAGCAACTCCAAGACACATAATTGTCAGATTCACTAAAGCTGTAATGAAGGAAAAAATGTTAAGCGCAGCCAGAGAGAAAGGTTGGGTTACCCACAAGGGGAAGCCCATCAGACTAACAGCTGATCTCTTGGCAGAAAGTCTACAAGCCAGAAGAGAGTGGGGGCCAATATTCAATATTCTTAAAAAAAAAGAACTTTCAACCCAGAATTTCATATCCAGCCAAACTAAGCTTCGTAAGTGAAGGAGAAATAAAATCCTTTACAGACAAGCAAATGCTGAGAGATTTTGTCACCACCAGGCCTGCCCTAAAAGAGCTCCTGAAGGAAGCACTAAACATGGAAAGGAACAACTGGTACCAGCCACTGCAAAAACATGCCAAATTGTAAAGACCATCGAAGCTAGGAAGAAACTGCATCAACTAACAAGGAAAATAAACAGCTAACATCATAATGACAGGATCAAATTCACACATAACAATATTAACCTTACATGTAAATGGGTTAAATACTCCACTTAAAGGACAAAGAATGGTAAATTGGATAAAGAGTCAAGACCCATCAGTGTGCTGTATTCAGGAAACCCATCTCATGTGCAGACACACACATAAGCTCAAAATAAAGGGATGGAGGAAGATCTACCAAGCAAATGGAAAACAAAAAAAGGCAGGGGTTGCAATCCTAGTCTCTGATAAAACAGACTTTAAACCAACAAAGATCAAAAGAGACAAAAAAGGCCATTACATAATGGTAAAGGAATCAATTCAACAAGAAGAGCTAACTATCCTAAATATACATGAACCCAATACAGGAGCACCCAGATTCATAAAGCAAGTCCTTAGAGAACTACAAAGAGACTTAGCCTCCCACACAATCATAATGGGAGACTTTAACACCCCACTGTGAACATTAGACAGATCAACAAGACAGAAAGTTAACAAGGATATCCAGGAATTGAACTCAGCTCTGCACCAAGCAGACCTAACAGACATCTACAGAACTCTCCACCCCAAATCAACAGAATATACATTCTTTTCAGCAACACACCACACCTATTCCAAAATTGACCACATAGTTGAAAGTAAAGCACTCCTCAGCAAATGTAAAAGAATAGAAATTATAACAAACTGTCTCTCAGACCACAGTTCAATCAAACTAGAACTCAGGATTAAGAAACTCACTCAAAACCGCTCAACTACATGGAAACTGAACAACCTGCTCCTGAATGACTACTGGGCACATAACAAAATGAAGGCAGAAATAAAGATGTTCTTTGAAACCAATGAGAACAAAGACACAACATACCAGAATCTCTGGGACACATTCAAAGCAGTGTGTAGAGGGAAATTTATAACACTAAATGGACACAAGAGAAAGCAGGAAAGATCAAAAATTGACACCGTAACATCACAATTGAAAGAACTAGAGAAGCAAGAGCAAACACATTCAAAAGCTAGCAGAAGGCAAGAAATAACTAAGATCAGAGCAGAACTGAAGGAAATACAGACACAAAAAATCCTTCAAAAAATCAGTGAATCCAGGAGCTGGTTTTTGAAAAGATCAACAAAATTGATAGACCACTAGCAAGACTAATAAAGAAGAAAAGAGAGAAGAATCCAATAGATGCAATAAAAAATGATAAAGGGGGTATCACCACTGATCCCACAGAAACACAAACTACCATCAGAGAATACTAAAACACCTCTATGCAAATAAACTAGAAAATCTAGAAGAAATGGATAAATTCCTGGACACATACACTCTCCCAAGACTAAACCAGGAAGAAGCTGAATCTCCGAATAGACCAGTAACAGGCTCTGAAATTGTGGCAATAATTAATGCTTACCAACCAAAAAAAGTCCAGGACCAGATGGATTCACAGCCGAATTCTACCAGAGGTACAAGGAGGAGCTGGGACCATTCCTTCTGAAACTATTCCAATCAATAGAAAAAGAGGGAATCCTCCCTAACTCATTTTATGAAGCCAGCATCATCCTGATACCAAAGCCGGGCAGAGACACAACCAAAAAAGAGAATTTTAGACCAATATCCCTGATGAACATCGATGCAAAAATCTTCAATAAAATACTGGCAAACCGAATCTATCAGCACATCAAAAAGCTTATCCACCATTATCAAGTGGGCTTCATTCCTGGGATGCAAGGCTGGTTCAACATAGGCAAATCAATAAACGTAATCCAGCGTATAAACAGAACCAACAACAAAAACCACGATTATCTCAATAGATGCAGAAAAGGCCTTTGACAAAATTCAACAGTCCTTCATGCTAAAAACTCTCAATAAATTAGGTATTGATGGGATGTATCTCGAAATAATAAGAGCTATTTATGACAAACCCACAGCCAATATCATACTGAATGGGCAAAAACTGGAAGCATTCCCTTTGAAAACTGGCACAAGACAGGGATGCCCTCTCACCACTCCTATTCAACATAGTGTTGAAAGTTCTGGCCAGGGCAATCAGGCAGGAAAAGGAAATAAAGGGCATTCAATTAGGAAAAGAGGAACTCAAATTGTCCCTGTTTGCAGATGACATGATTGTATACTCAGAAAACCCCAGCCTCTCAGCCCAAAATCTCCTGAAGCTGATAGGCAACTTCAGCAAAGTCTCAGGATACAAAATAAATGTACAAAAATCACAAGCATTCTTATACACCAATAACAGACAAACAGAGAGCCAAATCATGAGTGAACTCCTATTCACAATTGCTTCAAAGAGAATAAAATACCTAGGAATCAAACTTACAAGGGATGTGAAGGACCTCTTCAAGGAGAACTACAAACCACTGCTTAATGAAATAAAAGAGGATACAAACAAATTGAAGAACATTCCATGCTCATGGATAGGAACAATCAATATCGTGAAAATGGCCATACTGCCCAAGGTAATTTATAGATTCAGTGCCATCCCCATCAAGCTACCAATGACTTTCTTCACAGAATTGGAAAAAACTACTTTAAAGTTCATATGGAACCAAAAAACAGCCCACGTTGCCAAGTCAATCCTATGCCAAAAGAACAAAGCTGGAGGCATCATGCTACCTGTCTTCAAACTATACCACAAGGCTACAGTAACCAAAACAGTATGGTAATGGTACCAAAACAGAGATATAGACCAATGGAACAGAACAGAGCCCTCAGAAATGATACCGTATATCTACAACTATCTGATCTTTGACAAACCTCACAAAAACAAGCAATGGGGAAATGATTCCCTATTTAATAAATGGTGCTGGGAAAACTGGCTAGCCATATGTAGAAAGCTGAAACTGGATCCCTTCCTTACACCTTATACAAAAATTAATTCAAGATGGATTAAAGACTTAAATGTTAGACCTAAAACCTTAAATACCCTAGAAGAAAACCTAGGCAATACCATTCAGGATATAGGCATGGGCAAGGACTTCATGTCTAAAACACCAAAAGCAATGGCAACAAAAGCCAAAATTGACAAATGGGATCTAATTAAACTAAGGAGCTTCTGCACAGCAAAAGAAACTACCATCAGAGTGAACAGGCAACCTACAGAATGGGAGAAAATTTTTGCAATCTATTCATCTGACAAAGGGCTAATATCCAGAATCTACAATGAACTGAAACAAATTTACAAGAAAAAAAAACCCCATCAAAAAGTGGGTGAAGGATATGAACAGATACGTCTCAAAAGAACACATTTATGCAGCCAACAGACACATGAAAAAATGCTCATCATCGCTGGCCATCAGAGAAATGCAAATCAAAACCACAATGAGATACCATCTCACACCAGTTAGAATGGCAATCATTAAAAAGTCAGGAAACAACAGGTGCTGGAGAGGATGTGGAGAAATAGGAACACTTTTACACTGTTGGTGGGACTGTAAACTAGTTCAACCATTGTGGAAGTCAGTGTGGCGATTCCTCAAGGATCTAGAACTAGAAATACCATTTGACTCAGCCTTCCCATTACTGGGTATATACCCAAAGGATTATAAATCATGCTGCTATAAAGACACATGCACATGTATGTTTATTGCAGCACTATTCACAATAGCAAAGACTTGGAATTAACCCAAATGTCCAACAATGATAGACTGGATTAAGAAAATGTGGCACATATACACCCTGGAAGACTATGCAGCCATAAAAAAGATGAGTTCATGTCCTTTGTAGGGACATGGATGAAGCTGGAAACCATCATTCTGAGCAAACTATCGCAAGGACAAAAAACCAAACACCGCATGTTCTCACTCATAGGTGGGAACTGAACAATGAGAACACATGGACACAGAAAGGGCAACATCACACACCGGGGCCTGTTGTGGGGTAGGGGGAGTGGGGAGGGATAGCATTAGGAGATATACCTAATGCTAAATGATGAGTTAATGTGTGCAGCACACCAACATGGCACATGTGTACATATATAACAAAACTGCACGTTGTGCACATGTACCCTAAAACTTAAAGCATAATAAAAATAATTTTTTTATTTAAAACTTGAAAAAAAAAGTAATGCTTGCACATGGTAAAATTAAGACTACTAAAACAAACAATCAAACATAGGCTTCTTTCCAAAACGAGACTTCAAATCTGTCTTCAATAAAAATTAAAAACATGCATATGTATAACTGTGTGTGTGTGTGTGTGTGTGTGTGTGTGTGTGTGTGTGTGTGTGTTATATGTTTATAATAGATATGGGAAGATATAGGTAAAGTATCCTAGATGAATTTAAGCAAATGGGAGCAAAATACATGAATTTTCTTTGACTCTGCATTTTTTCCTCAATAATGATCTTTCCAAATCAGCACATATTTACAGAATAATGGTATTTTTAACTATTACATTGCAGAGTAGCATCATAATTTAACCAACCAGTTTCTGACTTACGAACACCTAGGTTCTTTCAAGTCTTTTGTCATGACATACACTGCATCAATCAATGTAGTTCTAAGTACATCTTTGTATACATGAGTATGTCTGGAGCAGAATTGTGAAATTAAAGGATGTGTATATTTTTATTTTCATATATACACTGCCAAACTGTTCTGCAAAGAAGTTATAACAATGGTTTTGATGTCTTTTCACTCATATCTTTCTCGATGTTGTATATTACCAACTGTTTTTCTGTGAGAAGTTGTCTAGGGTAATAATTTGGAGTTCAAACTCTGGTGGTTGACTGCTTAGGTGTAAAAATTAACTCAGCCATTAGTAGCTATGTGTTTCACAGCAAGACACTTACCGCCTCTTTGCCTCATTTTCCTCATTTGTAAAACATTTGCTCAATCAATATGCATTTACTGAACATAAAATTTTGCAAAATTCTGTTCTAAGGACTGAGGATCCAACTGAACAAAACCGACAAATATTCCTGTATCATGAGTCTTAAAATCTACAGAGGAATAATAAATAACTACCCCTCAGAGTTCTTGTGAGAATTAAATAAATGGATTAATTAATGTATTTAATAAATAATTTAATTTATTAAATTTAAATTATTTATTTTATATTAATTAAATATATTTATTTATTTAATATAAAAATTATTTTTATATTACATATAAATTATAATATACAATTATTTATTATATAATTATTAATAATTTAATTTATTAACTAATAAATAATTTAATTTATTAAATAAATTAAAGTCTGTTGGTTGTAGATGTGTGACTTTATTACTGCATTTTCCATTCTGTTCCATTGGTCTATGCGTCTCTTTTTGTACCAGTACCATGTTTCATAGTTACTATGGCTTTGTGATATAATTTGAAATCAGGCAATGTGATGCCTCCATATTTATTCTTTATGCTTAGGACTGCTTTGGCAATTTGGACTTTTTTTTCAGTTCCATATGAACTTTAAGATTGTTTTTTCTAATTCTGTGAAAGATGACATTGGTAATGTGATAGGGATTATGTTGAATCTGTAAACTGCTTTCAGCAGTATGGTCATTTAAACAATATTGTTTCTTCCAATCCACGAGCCTGGGTTGTTTTTCCATTTGTTTCTGTCATTTACAGTTTTTTTTTATCAGTGTCTTATATTCATCCTTGCAAAGATCTTTAACCTCTTTGATTAAATGCATTTCCAGTTTTTTTTTATTACTACTGTAAATGGGATTGAGTTCTTGGTTGGGTTCTCAGTGTGAATGTTATTGGTGCGTAGAAATGCTACTGATTTTTGTACATTGATTTTATATCCTAAAACATTACTGAAGTCGTTTATTAAGCGTAGGAAACTTTTGGAGGAATCTTTAGGGTTTTCTAGTTATACAATCAGGTCATCAGTGAACAGAGATAATTTGACTTCCTCTTGTCTGAACAGGATATGTTTTCTTTCTCTCTCTTGCCTGATTTCTCTAGCTAGGACTTCCAATCCTATGTTGAATAGAAATGGTGAGAGTAGACATCCTTGTCTTGTTCCAATATTTAGGGGGAATAATTTCAACTTTTATCCATTAAGTTTCATGCTAGCTGTGAGTTTGTTATAGATAGATCATTCTTACAATTTTGAGGTATATACCTTTGGATGTACCTAGTTTCTTTAGGTTTTTTTTTTTTTTAATCATGAGGGATGTTAGAATGTATTGGATGTCTTTTGTGCATACATGGAGATGACTAATTGTTTTTTTTAGTTCTGTTTATGGGGCAAATCACATTTGTTGATGTGCAAATGTATCCTTGTATCCCTGGAATAAAATCCACTTGATTGTGATGAATTATCTTTCTGAGGTGCTGTTAGATTTGGTTTACTAGTATTAATATTTTGTTGAGGATTTTTACATTTACGTTTATCAGGGATATTGGCCTGTAGTTTTCTTTTTATTGTGTCCTTTCCTGATTTTGATATCAGGATGATACTGGTTTCATGGAATGACTTAGGCAAGAATACCCTCCTCTGAGATTTTTTGGAATATTTTCAATAAGGTTGGTATCAGCTCTTCTTTGCATGTCTAGTAAAATTCACCTGTGAATCCATCTGGTCCTGGGCTGCTTTTTGTGGGAAGATCTTTTAAATTACTGATTCATTTTCATTACTCATTATTGGTCTGTTCAGGATTTCTACTTTTTCCTGGTTTAATCTTGGGAGATTATATACTTCCAGTAATTTATCCATTTCCTCTAAGTTTTCTAGTTCATGTGCGTTGAGGTGAAATCATGTTCCCTGCAGCAACATAATGGAGCTGGAGGCCATTATCTTAAGTGAACTAATCCAGAAAGCTACATACCACATGTTCTCACTTATAAGTGGAAGCTAAACAATGGGTACACATGGGCATAAAGGTGAATAAAATGGACAAAAATAATGGACACTAGGGACTCCAAAAGGGGATAGGGGAAATGGTGAAAGGGGAAATAAGGGTTGAAAAACTACCTATCAAGTACAATGTTCACTATTTGGGTAATGGATATACTAGAGGCCCAATCCCCACCAGTACATAATCTATCCGTGTAACAAACCTGCACATGCACCCGCTAAATCTATATTTTAAAAAAACATAAAATGTTAGAACAGAGTCTGACACATGGTAAATCCTTGGTAAATGTTTACTATTACTAGTATTGTTATTAGTACCACGATTACTCCAACATGAGAAACAATGGTATCTGAATGTTTTCATTTCCACTGTAATAATTGTCAGTAATATCGAATATATGTTCATATGTTAGAAAATATTTGAATTTTTTATGTCTTAGCTCATCTTTCCATTAGAGAGTGGTCTTTGAGTGCTCTGCAAAAACAGTCTATACATGTAAAAATATTCTTTACATAACAAATCATTGCTATGTATAAATTTAAACATTTGATGTCTGCAGATGTAGCATCTTTTAATTGCTATTAGGTTAGTGCAAAAGTAATTGCAGTTTTTGCCATTACTTTCAATGTTGGTATATTTTTATAATATCATTGTTATATTTCTGCATGCTATATTTTAAGACAATTTTTAGAGCAGTTTAGGTTCATGCAAAATGGAGAGGAAAAGAGATTTCCCATATACTCCCTTCCCCACGCATGAACAGTCTCTCCCATTATCTAAATCCCTCACTAGAGGGTACATTTGTTACAATTGATGACCCTACATTGACACATCAAAATTATAGTTTACATTATAGTTCGCTCTTGGTGGTGTGCTTTCTATGGGTTTTAACAAATGCATTTTCACATGTATCCACCTTTATGACAAACAGAATAGTTTCACTACCCTAAAACTCCTATGTTCTCAGCCTATTCATCCTTTCCTCACACTTAATCCCTATCAACCCCTAATCTTTTTACCGTCTCCACAGTTTTGCCTTTTCTATAATGTCATGTAGTTGGAATCATGCAGTATATTGCTGTTTTATATTGGCTTCTTTCAGTTAGTAATATGCATTTAAGTTTTCCCTATGTCTTTTCATGTCCTGATAGCTCATTTTTTTAAACCACTGAATAGTGTTCCATTTTCGGGATGTACCAAAGTTTATTTATCCATTTACTAACTTTTGGACAACTTGTATGCTCCGAGTTTTTGGCAATTATAAATAAAGCTGCTATAAACATCCATATGCAGGTTTTTGTGTAGACATAAGCTTTCAACTCTTTTGGGTAAATACCAAAGAGCATGTTAGGTTAGCTGGATTGTATAGTAAGAGTGTGCTTTTTAAGAAACTGCCAAACTCTCTTCCAAAGTGGCTGTACCATGTTGCATTCCCACCAGCAATAAATGAAAGTTCCAGTTGCTCTATATCTTTACAAGCATTGGGTATTGTCAGTGTTCTGGATTTTAGCCATGCTAATGGGTGTGTAGAGGATCTCAGTGTTGTTTTAATTTGCATTTCCTTGATGATATGATATGAAGAATCTTTTCACGTCCTTGTTTGCCATCTATATATTTTCCTTGGTGAGACGTCTGTTAAAGTCTTTTGGTCTTGTCTTTATTTATTTGAGACAGGGTCTCACTCTGGCTCCCAGGTTAAAGTGGAGTGGCACAATTTCGGTTCACTGCAGCCTCAACCCCCTGTGCTCAAGCAATCCTGGCACCTCAGCCCACCAAGTAACAAACTACAGGCATGCCCTATTAAGCTCAAAAAAATTTTGTATTTTTTTTTTTATAGAGACAGGGTTTCACCATGTTGCCCAGAACGGTCTCGAACTCCTGGGCTCAAGTGATCCACCCGCCTTGGCCTCTCAAATTGCTGGGATTATAGGCATGAGCCACTGTGCCCGGCTTTTGGCCATTTTTAAATCGGGTTGTTTATTTTATTATTGTTGACTTAGTTATCTTTTAAAGAACATCGTTCTTAATCTAAGATGATAAAAATCCATATTTAATTTTGGAATTTTAATATTTTTGCATTTTTATTTAATGCTGTACATGAATTTCAGTTCACAAAGTCAAGAGTATAAAATCATAATTTTACCTTTTCTTGGATCAACTTATGAATTCCTATCACACTTGGTTGATGGGAAACCTAATCCCAGTCTTTATGTTTCATTTTTTTCTCCCTGGGATTATAAAAGGTTCTAGGAACTCCTACACTGCCAAAGTTTGAAAAAATAGCCCATGTTATCACCAATTCATTTGTCCATAGAAGGTTCTCCTCCCCTTAGCACAGCCCAGCAGAAATTACAGCTTACAAAATGCCACGCTTAGGACATAAGAATCTTTTGTTTTAAAACCACCCATGACTTCATCTACCTAGACGCATTCTCCAGACGTTTCCTCTCCTCTCTTGCTGCGTTATTAAGGGCATGTTAAGAAAGCCTGAATAAGCATCACTCTCATGTCTCTTTTCTTGATCTTACTTCTACTTCTCTCAGTGCTGAAGAATTTCTTTTCATTTTGAGAAAATCTACACCAATCCCTGATTCTGTCCCAGACATTTTATCAATCCCATTTCAAGGCTTAAATTTTTAAAAAAACAAAGCCAAAATTTTTGCTTTACTCAGACGGCTGGGTATAGCATAAAAAAAAACTATATCCATATCCCTTTTCTTAGGCACTGAGTGGGAAGACTCACTAAATACTTAAATAGGGCAGAAAGAGTGAAATACAAATAGAAAAAAATCCATAAAAAGCTGGATATTTAGTTATAAAACAGTGGAAATTTACTCTAGTTACACTAAGCAAAAAAAATAATTTATTAAAAAGATGTTGGGTAACTCCTAATCTCCAGGAAACCTGGAAGACCTAGAAAAGAAAGTCAGCAGCATCTAAAATCAGGCCATGGTACTGGATCACTATCAGTATCACTGCTACCTCCACTAAGCCGAGGCTCCTCGGCTTATACTGACTCATCACTGGCCACTGGATACTACCACTTGGGCTGCTGTGCCACTGCTGTTGTTGAAAAGAGAACGTTACTGCCACAACCACTACCATATTGACTGTAATGAAAACATGCTGGCTCAATTGCCTTTATGTCATAAACTATTGACTGAAAGTCTATGATGTGGCAATGGATTAGTAGAATTTAAGTCATGGGCTATCAATGGAAAAGAAACTACCAAAGAGAGTATTAGGCATTTTTAGCTTTTACACAGTGCAGTAGTCTCAGAGACACAAAGCAAAGGATTACCCAAACACAAGATAGAGAATTATATGATTGGTACCCTCTAAAATGATAAATGTCCATTATAATCACTCACCTTTGATGCCCCAAAAGAAGAGTGCTAATTGTTTACAAACAAAAACAAAAACAAAGAAAAAACAAAATACCATTTTCTGCCTAATTCAAGCAGCCTTAGTACAACAACAAAAACATACACAACTGCTCTCTAAAAGTCATCAATCTGAAATCCCATCAATTTTTGCTTCCAGATCCAAGCCCAAGATCTCTGGGAGATATACACTCCTCCTATGGTTCTATCATACTTTCACGTGATTGTTTCATAATATATGGAGACAGCAGTAAACTCCACCACCACCACCATACTCTATATGAAAAAATAAATACAGCAAGGAAGAATATGCAAGTATGTTCAACTGACACTGAAAGCTTTTTGCATATTTATGGTTTACTTCCTCTATGATTTATTATATGATATTTTGCTTTAGCCAGCACCTCAGCTGACTAGGGTTCTATACCTGGTGCCAGATATCCAAATATCAATTCCTGAGTGGTCTGAGCACTTGTTGGTCCTACCTGTGGTTGCTGTAGTCTCCATTAACCATTTTTTTTTTTTTTTGTCCTCAGACAGAGTCTCACTCTGTTGCTCAGGCTGGATTGCAGTGGCACAATCTCCGCTCACTGCAACCTCTGCCTCCTGGGCTCAAGCAGTTCTTCCTGCCTCAGCCTCCTGAGTAGCTGAGATTACAGGTGGCCGCCACCACAACCAGCTAATATATGTATTTTTAGTAGAGATGGGGTTTCACAATGTTGGACAGGCTGGTCTCAAACTCCTGACCTCAGGTGAACCGCCCACCTCTGCCTCCTAAAGTGCTGGGATTACAGGTGCAAGCCACCGTGCCCAGCCTCCATTAACTTACCTGACCTAGAGACTGTAAGGGGCACTTCAGGCTATGCCCTGATTTTATTTACAATTTCCCCTGCATCTACAACTCAAATGTCTTTTGATTGTCTGGTTTAATCACCTCACTCAACAACACACACCTGCTTTTTATCTATTCTCCCAGAGTCATAAGATCCTATAATGGGCAAATGGCTGTATTAGCTTCTAATTCAATAGAAACACATTGGAGTCTCCTGGTGGAAGCATTCTTTTGGGGGAGTAATAAGATCCAAACTGGCAGATCCCAAGTCACAAGACTTTTGCAAGGAAATCAGTAGATAGAATTGTGAGAAATACCACTCTTATTTCCTCACTTTCAACTCCAGTTCCTTGACCAGTATATTGTAGCCATGTTTTGATTAAAAGCTCAAAGTATTTTTATTCCTTGAGCGTACCCAACTGGAAACATTATCAGCTTTCAAGTGTACAAAACTGTCTTCAATGCCCATTCCAAATGTCCAAATAGCTATAGTTGTAGCTGTATTTTAGTACAGGACTACAGAGAAAACTTAGTAAATTCTATGAACAGTAACCAATTGCTATATCATACATATATATATATATATATATATATATATACACACACACACACACACACACACATATATACAGAAACATATATATATATAAATTAATTGCTCAGAAACAATTTTATATAAGGCCAGGAATGATGGTGCTGTAGAAGCATGGCGAGCAAGGAAATTACACACAAATTTAGAATGTTTCCATTACAGTATAACAGCTGTCCCTTCCATCAGGGGAAATGCTGGAGAGCCAAAGAGGAAAAAATATTTGCTGGAGTTACTGTTTCAATGATTACTATGATTTTGGTTAATCCAGAATTTATAAGTTTTATTTAAGAAATAAAGTATGTAATTTACTTAAAAAGTAATCTATTGTATAATTTAACAAGTAGGAATCCAGCTTTTTTTTTAAATAGCCAGCCAGTTGTCACAGCAGTATTGTTTACATACATTTTTTCACTATTGCATAGGAATTCTACCATTTTATACTAAATTTCTGTTTTTATTTATACGTACTTCTTTATTCTCTAATATGTTCCATTTGGTATCTGCTTGTTTTTTAAGAAGCCAGGGCAAAACTTTTAAAATAAATTTTATAATCAACATTATAGATGACAAATAATACTTTCTCACTGCATTATACATTTACAGATTATTTTTGATTATTCTTATGTGTTTGTTTGGCTGTAGAATTAGCTTGACTACTTTCAGAGTCCTGCAGGTATTTTTGTTGGAATCACATTAAATTTATGGATTAAGTTCAGGAGAGTAGACATCTATAAAATACTGAGAGTCTTTCTATCCAAGAAAAGTAGATGTCTTTCCATTAATTGAAGACTACATGTCTCCTGCCAGAATTTTATAATTTTCTTTACATAAAGTCTACACACTTCATGTTAGGTGTATTTGCATTTTATATGTTTATGTTCACTTGTAAATAGTATGTTTTCATCTTTAAAACTACTTGTACAAAAAATTAAGGTTTGAATAGTAGTTTGTAATAGGACCTCTTACTGAATATTGTTACTGTTTCGGTATTTTTTAACAATATTCAAGTTATTCCCTTAAGTTGTCCAAGTATGCAATTATCTGCTAATAATGAAAATGGCTGTTCCTTTCCAGTTTTATGTCTTTTCTTGCCTTTTTAATGATCATAAACTATACATTCAGAGTAAATGTAAATGATGGCAGTGTTAGTGGGCATCTTTGTATTCCTGGTTATAATGGAAATTATTCTTGTTTTTCAGTATTTATTGTACAATCACATGTCACTTAGTGATAGGGATATATTCTGAGAGATGCTTTGTTAGGTGCTTTCATCCTTGTGTGAACATCATAGAATGCACCTACACAAACCAATATGGTATAGTCACCTACACACCTAAGCTATATGGTATAGCTTATTGTTCCTATGCTATAAACCTGTACAACATCTTACTGTACTGAACACAGTAGGCAAATGTAAAACAATCCTAAGTATTTTTGTATTTAACATATCTAAATAGAAAAGGAGGCTGGGCATGGTGATTCGTACTTGAAATCACAGCACTTTGGGAGGCCGAGGTGGGCAAATCGCTTGTGCCCAGGAGTCAGAGACCAGCCTGGGCAACATGGCGAAACCCCGTCTCTATAAATATTATAAAATTAGTTGGACGTGGTGGCACTTGTAGTCCCAGCTACACGGGAGGTTGAGACAAGAAGATCCCCTAGGCCTGGTGAGGTCCAAGCTGCAGTGAGCTGTGATTGTGCCACTGCACTCCAGCCTGGGTGACAGAGTGAGACCCTGTCTCAATAAACAGATACATGATAGATATATATTAATAGATAGAAAAAGTACAGTAAAAATATGATATTATAATCTTATGGCATCACCATCGTATATGTGTTCCATTGTTGACAGAAATGTCCTTGGATGAGGTACATGAATGAATATATCTTGTCTGCATAAATTTTGATAAGAAGTTTGTTGGCATTCTTTATTTTGTTCCTCTAGCTAATGTGTCTTATTCCTCTGGCTTCTTTTAAGATTTTCTGTTGCTTTTTTGTTTTTAGCAGTTTTTTAAAGATATGCCTTGGCATAGTTTCATTATGTATATTATGTTTGCATATATATACATTATAGTTTTCAGGTTATATTGTAAAGCTTATTGCTCCTAGGCTACAAAACCTGTACACCATGTTACTGTGTTGAATACGGTAGGCAATTGTTACACAGTCATAAGTATTTGTGTTTCTAAACATATAAAAAGTACAGTAAAAGTAAGGTATTATCATCTTTTTTTTTTTTTTTCTTTTGGAGACAGAGTCTCACTGTCTCCCAGGCTGGAGTGTGGAGTGCAGTGGTGCAATCTTGGCTCACTGCAACCTCTGCTCCCAGGTTCAAGCCATTCTCCTGCCTCAGCTCCTGAGTAGTTGGGACTACAGGCACACACCACCACGCCAGGCTAATTTTTTTGTATTTTTAGTAGAGACGGGGTTCCACCATGTTGCCCAGGCTGGTTTTGAACTCCTGAGCTCAGGCAATCCGCCCACCTTAGCCTCCCAAAGTGCTAGGATTACAGGCGTGAGCCACCGTGTCCAGCCAGGTATTATAATCTTATGGGACCACCATCATACATGTGGTAAGTTGTTAACTGCATCATTATGCAGTATATGACTGTATATAATTTTGGCTTTCAGTTTTGCTATGTAGTTATTAAAAATCAAAGACATAAGCATCTACTTATATTTTAGTAAGTTTATATTAAATTGGGAAATAATCAAAATCTTCTTCAGCTTTCATTGAGGTGACCATATAATTTTTTTGCCCCTCAGTCTTCAATAGGTGAAGTATACGAATTCATTTTCTCATATTGTAACATTCTGACATTTCTAAAATAAGCCTCTTTTTGTCATGGCATATTGCTTTTTAAACTTATTTCTAAATTATGCTTATAAGTTTCTTAAAATTTGTAAGTACAATGGCATTACAGTTTTATTTTGGGGCTCTTTTTAAATTTTGCTGTTTATGTTGGAATAAACCTTAAAATGAACAGGAGTTTTACATCTCTCTTTATAAATTGAGATACCTTAAGTAACATTAAAATTTTTATTCTTGAAATAAACCATCTTTGAAATTGTTGACTGTGCTGATTTTGCTATTTATTTATTTATATGAATATGGGTAATGGATCAGACAAGACCTGATCTTTTCAATACTTTTATGTTCTTTCAAGTTTTACCTCCTTAATTCCCCACTTCATATTAAGATAATAGAATACCAAAAAGCAAGAATTCCCACATACATTCATCAGTGGGATTTAAGGCAATCTTTAAATTTTCTTCCATCTGTTCTAATTGCTATAGATTTAACGTTTTTTCCACAAATTAAAAAATCCAAATTTATTTGCATTGTGCTTAAGCTATTATTCGCTAATATTTCTTTTCATTTTATATCTGTGTTTTACTTTCTATTTTCATTTCTAATGTTAAAAAATTATGACTTCTTTTTAAAATTAGACTATAGAATGCATTATCTAATTTATAGGCTTTGTTTTTCAAAGTATCCTACATTTACCAATTCCATTTTCAATCATCTTTAATTTTTTTCTTTAAATATTTACTTCCTTTTAATTTTTCAGTACATGTCGTGATTATGCTTTTTTATATTGAGTGCTAATTATATGTAAATTATATCGTTCACTTTTAGAATCAAAGCAATAAATTTTACTTTGAACACAGATTTATTTCTATTTGTAAATTTTATATGTAGCTTATCCGTGACTCATTGTTGTCTTGATATTCTTCAATTTCAGTACTGATTTCATTTTTAACCAAAACTTTTAAAAAGATAAATTTTATATTTAAATATATAAACGTTAAAGCAAATATATAAGTGCTTTGGCATTTGGGATATATGTGGTTAAGGTTTCATTTTTTTTTACATTGTTAAAAGAATGTGTCCTTTGTTTTTGCATTTTATGGTTACATTTTAGTAGGGCATAACATACAGAGTATCTTATTCCTATTGACTTGTATTCAAGTTGACTTACTCTTCTGTGCTCTCCATTCCTGTACTGAGCTCATCCAGGGAATGTTTATATTTCAGCTATTTTATTTTTAGTAGTGAAATTTTCATTTGGTTCTTTATTATAACATGATTTTTCTGTTGTGGCCACCTTTACTTCATAGAGCAAGGTAATAATAGTTGCTTTAAAAGTCTTCATCTAATGATTCCAAAATCTGTGGTAGCTCTAGTTTTTAGAGTCTGTTGGTTTTTACTGATGTTTTTCTAGTCCTTCATATGTTCAATAATTCTGATTATATTCTAGGCATTTTGAATATTTTGTTATAAGACCCTCGGTCTTGTTTAAATCTTATGAAGAATATTGATTTTTTTTTTTTTTTTTTGAGACGGAGTCTCGTTCTGTCACCCAGGCTGGAGTGCAATGGTATGATCTCGGTTCACTGCAACCTCCACCTCCTGGGTTCAAGCGATTCTCCTGCCTCAGCCTCCTGAGTAACTGGTATTACAGGTGTGCACCTCCATGTCTGGCTAATTTTTGTATTTTTAATAGAGACGGGGTTTCACCATATTGGTTAGGCTGGTCTTGAACTCCTGACCTCGCAATCCACCCTCCTTGGCCTCCCAAAGTGCTGGGATTACAGGCGTGAGCCACTGCGCCTGGCAATTTGTTGTTGTTTTAACAGGCAATCGGCCTGGTTAGGTCCAGGCTGTAAGTTCCTTCCTGTGCTCTGTGCTTCCAACATCAGTTCATTTACCAAAGCCTTGTAGTGCTGTTCAGGTCTGTCCTGCATGTGTGCCACATAATGTCCATTCTGGGACCTGCACAGTGACCTACCCAAGTAGTGCAGGTCTCAAAGCCTTTGGCATGCTGTTTTAGGTCAGATCCAAGCATTTGTAGGTTGGGAGTTAGCTCAGAAGTTCATACATAACTCTATAAAATCACTTTCTTGAGCTCCCTCCTTTCTCTTTGGCACTATCTAGCTCTCAAGGACATTTTTCCTAGTCCTATGACTAGAGAGACAGGGCTTCAGTTTCCTCTCTCTGCCAGATATTTTCTTTGACCAGTTTTGCCTCTGGGGCTGAGCAACATGAGGATATAGGGAAATAAAAGAGCAAAGGACGTTCTCTCCTATGTTCTTGAGAATATATTTTTCTGGCCCAAGAGGAATGTTCCCCTCCCTCTTTGTGTTAGTTTCCTGCATGGCTACTCCTATCATCTCAATACCATAGGATTTTCTAGGTTTGAGATGAGAGAGAATAAACCAAACCAAACAAAAACCAGAGGATTTAACCACCTCTCTCTGACCCTCAGGGGCTGGTTTTCTTGCTTCTCAGACCAGAAATAGAAGCTTTCTCCTGGAGATTTTTCCTTCTATACCCAGTGTGCAGTTTTCAACTTCAGGCTGCCTTTGAGTCCAGGTCAAGCAATATTAGAGTTAAAAACTAAAGGAAAAGCAAAGAAAAATGAAAACATAGAAACACCCCAATTTAATACTAAATCAAATTACAGCTTTTTTCCTAATCTATAAGCTACGGTTTATTTTTAATTAATAAACTTTATTTTTAGAGCAGATTTAGGTTCACAGCAAAACTGAGCAGAGAATTCCCATATATCTCCTGTTACCGCACTTGCACAACCTCCCTCACAATCAACATCCCAAACCACAGTGGCACATTTATTATAATTGATGAGCCTGTATTGACACAATCATTATTACTAAAATTCCATTGTTTACATTAGGGTTCATTCTTGGTAGTGTATATTCCATGGGTTTTGACAAATAACAACATATATGCACCGTTATAGTAGCATACTATATGGGTATATAATGGGGTATATAATCTCCACCCCAAGGGGAGACATTACTCTGATTTTTCCACCTCATGTTTTTCCCTGGTAATTGCTGTGACAGAATGTTGTTTTTGGAGTTGAGTAGGCAAGTGGTGTGCATGATATGAAAAACCAAAAAAAAAAAAAAAGAAAAGAAAAAAAAGCCACCAAACCCCACAAACTTTCTGACCCAAAGCACTCATCAGTTTTAGCCTGTCTATGCAGTGATCGAGGACTTTTCCTATAAGTGAGAAGATCCTACCTCAGTTTTCAGCTGGGTTTTAGATCTGCAAGAAGTGCTGCCCCAGTCAGCCTTGGGGAAATCAGTAGAGGATTAGTTAGACAGCAGAGCAACCACTGGAGGGCACTCCTGAAATCTAGAGGTTTCTTCCTCCCAAGAAAAGGGTTGCTCGAGTCCCTGCCTGAGGCTGTGGGTTTGTTTAACAAGGAGTAGTTTCCCTGCCCTAAAAATCCTGTATAGTCTGTCTGTTTATTCCTCCTTCAGCCCTAACCACTGGTGACCACTAATATATTTACTGTCTCCATAGTTTTGCCTTTTCTTTAATTTCATGTAGTTGGAATCATCCAGTATGTGGTTGTTTCTTATCAGCGTCTTTCACTTAGTAATATGTACATAAGTATCCTACATGTCATATTGTGCCTTTACAGCACATCTCTTTTTAGTGCTGAATAATATTCTATTGCCTCAGTGTACCACATCTGTTTTATCCACTTGCCTACTTAAGTACACCTCAGATGCTTCTAAGTTTTGGCAATTATGAAATAAAGCTATCATAAACATCCATTTGCAGGTTTTTGTGTGGATATGTTTTCAACTTTTTTGGATAAGAACCAAGGAGCATCATTGCTGGATTGTATGAAAAGAGTATGTTTAGTTTTGTAAGAAACTACCAAACTGTCTTGCAAAGTGGCTGTACCATTTTTGCATTCCCACTTTTACATCCTTACCAGTAGCTGATGCTGTAATTGTGTTGGGTGCTGTTAATGGCCATTTTAATATGTGTGTAGAAGTATCTCATTGCTCTTTTTAATGTGTAATTGTCTGGGGATGTATGATTTTGAGCATTTTTTTCATACGCTTATTTGTGTAAATCTATGTCATTTTTGGCAAGGTTTCTGTTCATGTCTTCTGTCCATTTTTTAATCAGTTTGTTTATTTTCTTACTGTTGAGTTTTAAGTATTCGTATATTTTGGGTAAGACTCCTTTATCAGATTTGTTATTTGCAAATATTTTCTCTTAGTCTTTGGCTTCTCATTTCATTCTCTTGACATTGTATTTGCAGAGCATAAGTTTTTAATTTTAATGAAGTCTAGCTTATTTAGCTTTTTCCTCTACTTTTATTTTAGCTTCAGAGTTTACATGCACAGGTTACCTGGGTGAATTGTGCATCACTGAGGATTGGTGTACAAATGATTCTATCACAGAGGTAGTGAGCATAGTACCTGATAAGTAGCCTTCCAGCCTGTAACGCTTCCCATCCTCTCCATCCTCACATGCATGTGGGGGCTGCAGAGTGATTTACATGTCAGATAGTTCCATATAAGCATTTGGATTTCAGGTTTTTCTTAGAACTGAGCCATCTGTAACTTCAGGCTCACATCGTCCCCTCCTGGGCACCTCACTGGGGGCAGAGTGGGGACTGTTCTCTCACTCCTGTCCAGCCCCATTGTACCCCTGGACAAATGGATACAATACTATTAAGGCTGTGAACTTAAAATAGCTCCATAGCTGACAGAGGTGTTGTCCGTGCTGCTGCTGCCTTTGAGAGGCCCCTGGCTACCGTCTATCCAGGCCCTGCCTCAGACCAGCACATTCCCAGCTGTGGTGGCTATGGTAAGAGACTCCATCTCCTTGAAAAAAGCAGAGGGAAAAGTAAAAGGGACTTTGTATTGCACCTTAGGTACTAGTTAAGCGGCAGTAGGATAGAACACACAGCGGGATCTTGGAGTCCCTAATTCTAGGACTTGACTCTCAGATGGCATTCTTGGACCTGTCCTGGGCCAGAGGGAAGGCCACTGATCTGAAGAGTGAGTCTGAGGCAAGGTAGCATTTCCCACAAGCTGACTGAAGAGATTTTGAGACTTAAGTGACCATTGGTAGTAGCCTGGCAGTACACATGTGGGTCTCTGGTGATGGTGGCCAAGGGTAGGGATTCTTCTGCCTACAGAAAGGGGAGGGAAGAGTGGGAAGGACTTTTATTTTGTGGTTTGAGTACTAGCTTAGCCACAGTAGAAGAAAGCACCAGGTAGATTTCTAAGGTATTTGACTCCAGTGCCCAGCTCCCAGATGGCATCTCTGGACCCACCTGGCAAAACTCATTGCCCTGAAGGGAAGGACACAAACCTGGCTCACTTCACCAACTGCTGGTTGCAGAGGCCAAGTGCCTTGAGGTAATACAGGAGGTAGCCAGATAGTGGTTACAGTGGGCTTTGGGTGAGACACAGAGCTGTGCTGACTCCAGGTATGACCCAGTGCAGTGCCAGCAATAGTGAACAAGGAGTGTTTGTGTCATGACATCTCTAGCTCCAGGCAGCTCAACACACAGAGAGAATATCTGTTTGGGAGAAAGTAAGGGAAGAGAGCAAGAGTCTCTGCCTGGTAGTCCAGAAAATTCTTCTGGATATTGTCCCAGACCATCAAGGCAGTACCTCACAAGTCTGTAAGAACCACAGTGTTACTGGGCTTGGAGTGCCCCCTAAAGCAGATACAGCTTAGATGACAACATCAAGTCCTTTCAAATATCTGGAAAGCCATCTCAAGAAGTATGGCTGCAAATAAGCCCAGACATTGAAGACTACAATAAATACCCAACCCTTCAATGCCCAGACACTGAAGAACATCTGCTAGCAACAGCACCATCCAGGGAAACATGACCTCACCAAATAAGTAAGACTGGGACAAATCTGGGAGAAACAGAGATACGTGACCTTTCCAACAGAATTCAAAATAGCTGTGTTGAGGAAACTCAAAGAAATTCAACATAACGGAGAAGAAATTCAGAAATCCATCAGAAAATTTAACAAAGAGATTGAAATAATTAAGAAGAATCAAGCAGAAAATCAGGAGTTGAAAAATGCAATTGGCATGCTGAAGAATGCATCGTAGCCTTTTAATAGCAGAATTGATCCAGCAGAAGAAATAATTAGTGATCTTGAAGACAAGCTTTTTGAAAATACACAATCAGAGGAGACAAAGGAAAAAAAGAATAAAGCATACCTAAAAGTTCTAGAAAATAGCCTCAAAGGGAAAATCTTAAAGAGCTATTGACCTTAAAGAGGAGGTAGAGAAAGAGATAGGGGTAGAAAGGTTATTCAAAGAGATGAAAACCTAACACTTCCTAAACCTAGGGGGAAAATATCACTATTCAAATACAAGAAGGCTATAGAATACCAAGCAGATTTAACCCAAAGATGATTACCTCAAAGTATTTAATAATAAAACTCCCAGATACCAAGGATAAAGGAAGGATCCAAAAAGCAGATAAAGGAAATTTTTTTAAAAAATAGCATACAGTGGAGCTCTAATATGTCTCACAGCAAACTTTTCAGTGGAATCCCTCCAGGCCAGGAGAGAGTAGAATGGCATAAAGTCCTGAAGGAAAAAAACTTATCCTGGAATAGTATGTCAAGTAAAAATATCCTTCAAACATGAAGGAGAAATAAAGACCTTCAGAGACAAACCAGAGCTAAAGAAATTTATCAATGCCAGACCTGTATTACAAGAAATGCTTAAGGAAGTCCATCAGTCTGAAAGGAAAGGACATTAACAAGCAATAAGAAATCATCAGAAGGCAAAAAACTCATTGGTAATACTGAGCACACAGAAAAATACAAAATATTATAACACTATAATAGCGATGTATAAACTACTGGTAAGTAGAAAGACTAAATGATGAACCAATAAAAAACAGTAACTACAACAACTTCTCCAGACACAGACAGTACAATAAGAGATAAATAGAAAAATACAAAAAGCTAAACAGGGGAACGAAGTTAAAGTGTAGAGTTTTCCTGAGTTTTCTTTTTGCTTCTTTGTTTATGCCATCAGTGTGAAGTTGTCATCAGTGTAAAGTAATGGGTTATAAGACTGCATTTTAAAGCCTCATTGTAACCTCAAATTGAAAAACATACAACAAATATACAAAAAGTAAAAAGCAAGAAACTAGATCATAGCACCAGAGAAAATCACCTTTACTAAAAGGAATATGAAGGAAGGAAAGAAGAAGATCAGGAAACAAGATAAGGAAGGAAGGAAGGAAAAGAGGAAGGAAAGAAGGAAGGAAGGCAGGCAGGCAGGCAGGCAGGCAGGAAGGTCGGCAGGCAGGCAAAACAACCAGAAAACAAATCACAAAGTGGCAGGAGTCAGTCCATATATATCAATAATAACATCGAATGTCAATGAACTACACTGCACAATCATAAGACATAGAGTAGTTAAGTGGATAAAACAAGAAAACACATTAATCTGTTGCCTAAAAGAAACACACTTTACCTATAAAGGCACATATAGACTAAAAATAATAGGATGGAAAAAGATATTTTATGCCAATAGAAACCAAAGAAAGATCAGGAGCAGCTATACTTACATCAGACTAAGGAGATTTCAAGATAAAAACTGTAAGAAGAACCAAAGGTGGTCATGATATAATGATAAAGGGTTCAATTCTGCAAGAGGATATATCAATTGTGGATATATATTGACCCAACATATAGGTGAAGTGTGTTTCTTGTAGGCAACAGATCAATGTGTCTCCTTTTTTATCCACTCATCTACTCTATGTCTTTTGGAGAGTTTAGTAGATTGACATTCAATGTTATTATTGATACGTATGAGCTGACTCCTGCCACATTGTGATTTGTTTTCTAATTGTTTGGTTGTCGTCTCTTTTTTCCCTCCTCCCTGTCTTCCCTTCAATGAAGGTTATTTTCTCTGATGGTACGATTTAGCTTCTTGCTGTTTACCTTTTGTGTATCTGTTGTATGTTTTTTGATTTGAAAAACAATGAGGCTTTTAAATACTATCTTATAACCCATTACTTTAAACTGATGACAACTTCACAATGATTGCATAAGCAAAAAAATCAACATGAAAAAGAAAACAACAAATCTACACTTTAACTTCATCCTCCCACTTTTAAATTTTTTTTGTTGTTTCGCTTTATGTCTTATTGAACTATGTCTTTAAAAGTTGTTGAGGTTATTATTTTAATTGGTTCATCATTTAGTCTTTCTACTTAAGATAATAGTAGTTAACATACCACAATTACAGTGTTATAATATTCTGTGTTTTCCTGTGTGCTAATTTTTACCAATGAGTTTTGCACCTTCAGATGATTTCTTTTGCTCATTATCACCATTTTCTTTCAGATTGAAAAACTCCCTTAAGCATTTCTTGTAGGACAGGTCTGGTGTTGATGAAATCCCTCAGCTTTTGTTTGTCTGGGAACATCTTTCTTTCTCCTTCATGCTTGAAGGACATTTTCCCTGGATGTTCTACTCTAGGGTAAAAGTTGTTTTTTTTTTTTTTTTTTTTTTTCCCTCAGAACTTTAAATATGTCATGCCACTCTCTCCTAGCCTGTAAGATTTCCACTGAAAAGTCAGCTGCCAGCCATATTGGGGCTTCATTGTATAGTATCTGTTTCTTTTCTCTTGCTGTTTTTAGGATCCTTTCTTTATCCTTGACCTTGGGGAATTTGATTATTAAACACCTTGAAGTAGTACTCTTGGGTTAAATGTGCTTGGTGTTCTGTGACATCCTTGTACTTGCATGCTAATAACTCTAAGTTTGAGAAGTTTTCTGATATCCCTTTGAACAAACTTTCTACCCCTGTATCTCTTTTTCTATCTCCTCTTTAAGGCCAATAACTATTAGATTTGCCATTTTGCAGGAAGTGTGCTGTTTACTCTCCAAGTATTTTTGTATTTCCCAGTTCACTTTTTAGATGGCTATTCCATACATACTCTCTAGGGTATTTAGTTCCATTCAGTTAAAGACATAGACTGGAAATTGCTTACTCCATTTTGACTGGAACTAAAACCTGTGATTATTTATTATTCATCATTATTCATGTTAGATCTATTTAGCAGCTAACATGTGCCATTTATTTTTTTATATGTGAAAGATGATATAGAATCATTAGCACTGTATCAAAAATGACATAATCATGATTCCTGCTCTTTTGGAACTTACACTGAGAAATTACCATATTGTAAGCAAAGATATGTCTTTCTTCTTTTCTTGCCAAATTTAAGCTGGGTCTTGCAGGATGAGGTTTTTGAAGATAAAAAAAAAAGGCTGGAAGGCTTTTACAAATTAGTAGCCAGGGACACAATCAATAGTGAAAAGTGAAGACCTGTTTGGAGTATAGTAAAGCACAAATGTAGGGTATAAAAATGGGAATCAGAAGGTGAGTCTTTTGAAAGACTGCAAATGCCAAGCTGTGGAGCAAATTGCAATAACCAGATACAAGAGACTTTTTATTGTGGAATCAACAGGTCTCATAAACAACAGGATGTAGAAAGGAAGGGAAAAGAGGAGTTGATAATGACAACAAAAATTCTAGTCTAAGGAATGAGGCTAATCTGTGGTCATTTTAAAAAGTGATTTTGGTAGTTATCTAAGCTTGGACATTCAGACCCCCCAGAAAGGGAGGAGTTGGGACATTTTAATTTTTCTCCTTATGAAAATGAAAGCGAGGGCCATAATAATATTTAAAGTTTAGATAGTAAAAATAGTCTGACCCCAAATATAGTATGAATAAAAAATATTTTCCTGATCAGCATGACCCAGACAGGAATGTGTTCTAATTTATTAATATTGCCTCTCTAAGATACAGCAGTTCATAATTAGTAGATCACTTTAGTAGCTTATTTGGAGCACATAAGTTAGTAAGAAATAAAACCTGACCCTTTCCAAAAACTGGTGAAATAGTTTAAAGTAGCAGTATCCAACCTTTCTGGCATCAAGGACTGGTTTCATGTAAGACAGTTTTTCCATAGCCAGGATGGTTTCAGGATGTAACTGTTCCATCTCAGATTGTCAGGCATTAAATTCTCATTTAATGCCTGACTCATTTAAGGAGTGCACACCCTAGATCCCTGGCATGAGCATTTCACAATAGGGTTTGTGGTCCTATGAGAATCTAATGCCACTGCTGATCTGAAAGGAGGCAGAGCTCAGGTGGTATCACTTGCTGTCACCTTCTGCTGTGTGGCCTGGTTCCTAATAGGCCACAAACCAGTACTGGTCCATGGCCTGGGGTAGATGAGAAGCCAGTGTATGTCTGATCAAAAGGATCTGGCAGGATAACAGTTTTTGAAGTCTAAATCCTTGCCATAGACTAAGCCTGCTGTAGTACTAGTTAGCCTCACATCTAAGACATTTTCCAAAGATAGGAAGGAAGAATCTGGAGGGATTAGGGGAAAAAGGAGATGGCTGGTGCTGAAAGAGGCAGAGGATCCTTATTGTCATTAGGAGGTGGGGAAATCAAAACAATTATATTTTCAAAATTGTCAATAAATAGGCCTTGACTTTTAGAATTTTTTTCTCTTTATATCAATTCCTATTGTCATTGGAGTATCTAATTCTCCTAAACCATGAACATGGGAATTAAAATAGAATGGATGCAAATAACTAAGGTCAGTCCATTGAAAAGCATCCTACAAAGCTAGTGACAGTATTAACCCAGGTAATGAAATAAGGGTAGAGCCTTTCCTGGTGGAGAACATGAGTTCAGATTTGGAAGCACTGTGGTTGAGAGATCTGATGCATATTAAGATGAAGATTTACAATAAGAAATGGGGAATATGGGTCAGGGTTTCAATAGAGAAGTCAGTGCTACAGTTCTACATTTGAGATTAATTGCCATACTGGAAATCTTAGGCATGTTGCAGATCACCCTGAGAAGATATACGGAGCAGGATTGGAATAGGACCTAGCGGAGAATTCTGAAAGTCACCAAAATTTAAGCAGCAAGAAGAAATGAAAGAATACAGAAAGGAAGCAAAATATGAAGAGCTAAAAACATAAAAGTCAGAGTCCTTTCCTCTCATTGTTTTATGAGACAGACACATTATGATAGTGTTGACTTTGTTTTGCAGTAAGTGGACAGGAAAATGGAGACAAGAGCTCTACTTATAGATTAATTCCAGGAAATTTGAGTATGGAAGCATGTCAATCACAACATTCAAAGGACACTGAAATTTTGGTGTTTTCATTAAGATGAATGGGAAGATACCAAAGGAGAGAATTCTATATGGTAGGGTGCCCTTAGTATTAACTGTTAGGGAGAAATTCAGGAGAATGAAAAGTGGAAATAGCCTTTGGGATTTGGAATGTAAATAACTGGGGATATTAGCATGACCCATGTTCACATTCCATGTTAATGGAATCTGAATTCTTAGGGAACTATCATTTTTCATCTCTCTATGCACAAGCAATATTTTTTTTCCTCATATATAATAGAATCACTAAGGAGAAATCCCACTCATATCTCCCATTCCCTTTGTGGTTTGCTGGATATTGCATTGCATATTCTTGATACCTGTTGTTCCCTCCTGGGGCTTGGAGGTTGTTGGCCACCACTTCTGTCCCTCCAATCACAAGTAATGGTTACAACTACTTTTCCTCTGTGCTCCAATAGTAAATAATAAAAATTCTATTCATGGCACATGCAAATTGATGTCACAATTATTAATTAGTCTGAAAGAACTAGTTCATCATTTTGTGACTTTGTAATAGTACCCCTCTTCTCAGAACTCCTTTCTCAAAGTGAAGGAGAGACAGGGCATTATACCACCTGGACAAAACAAAGGGTGGTGCTTCCCCCTATGTGGTTCAGGAATTTGTAAACTTGGTTGGGTGGCAGTCCTCAACTTCACTGATTCCTCAGACCCCTCAATCCAACAGAACCAGAAATAACCTGCTGTAGAGGAATTCGAATACATCACCGGACACATGCGCTTTTTCATAGATACCCTGCAGAAGCTTTTACTCAGGAAGCTTTCCTGTAGTGTGGGTAAGTACCCTGTCTGGGAAGGAAGGCTATTTTGAAAACAAATTACTTATTCAAAATGATCATAACTGGAAGTTAAAGATTCTTGTGATTACTGTTGAATATGGGGAGAAATTGGCTTCACCAATTTCATTCCACAAATATTTATTTTTCACTTGCTAGTGCAGAAGCAAACACAGATCAATGCACTTTAAGTGTTTGAAATGGAAACTCATAGTATTAGCAAGTTCTACACTTGCCATTGTGACAAGCTTATCTCTTATTTTTACCAACAATTGTACTTTTAACACCTCATGTGAGCACAGATTGGATTCCAAGCTACATTTAAGACTTATGCATATGGTGTCCTTTCCCCACTTAATGTTTTGGTTTGTTTTGTTGAAGATCAGTTGGCTGTAAGTATTTGGCTTCATTTGTGGGCTTTCTATTCTGTTCCATTGGACTATGTGCCAGTTTTTATACCAGTACCATGCTGTTTTGGTGACTATGGCCTTATAGTATAGTTTGAAGTCAGTTCATGTGATGCCTCTAGATTTGTCCTTTTTGCTTAGTCTTGCTTTGGATATGTGGGATCTTTCTGGGTTCCATATAACTTTTAGGATTGTTTTTTCTAGTTATGTAAAGAATGATGGTGGTATTTTGATGGGAATTGCCTATTCAACAAATGGTGCTGGGATAATTGGCAACCCACATGTAGAAAAATGAAACTGAATTCTCACCTCTCACCTTATACAAAAATCAACTCAAGATGGACCAAAGACTTAAATCTAAGACCTGAAACCATAAAGATTCTAGGAGGTAACATTGGAAAACCCCTTCTAGACATTGGCTTAGGCAAAGATTTCATGACCAAGAACCCAAAAGCAAATGCAACAAAAACAAAAATAAATAGATAGGACTTAATTAAATGAAAAAACTTCTGTACAGCAAAAGAAATAATCAGCAGAGTTAACAGACAACCCACAGGGTGGGAGAAAATCTTCACAATCTATACATCTGACAAAGGGCTAATATCCAGAATCTATACAGAACTCAAACAAGTCATCAAGAAAAAACAAAGAATCCCATCAAAAAGTGGGCTAAGGACATGAATAGATAATTCTCAAAAGAAGATCTACAAATGACCAACAAGCATATGGAAAAATGACTAACATTACTAATTATCAGGGAAATGAAAATTAAAACCACAATGCAATACCAAGTCACTCCTGCAAGAATGGCCATAATAAAAAAATAGATGTTGGTGTGGATGTGGTAAAAAGGGAACACGTTTACACTGTTGGTGGGAATGTTAACTAGTACAACCACTATGGAAGATAGTGTGGAGATTCCTTAAAGAACTAAAAGTAGATTTACTGTTTGATCCAGCAATCCCACTTCTAGGTATTATCTACCCAGAGGAAAAGATGTCATTATACAAAAACGATACTTGCACATGCATGTTTATAGCAGCACAATTTGCAATTGCAAAAATATGGAACCAGCCCAAATGCCCATCAGTCAATGAATAAAGAAAATATGGTATATATACTGTGGAATACTACTCAGCCATAAAAAGGAAACATATAATGGCATTTGCAGCAACCTGGATGGAACTGGAGACTATTATTCTAAGTGAAGTAACTTAGAAATGAAAAACTAAACACTAAGCTAAGCTATGAGGATGGAAAGGTATAAGTGATACATTGGACTTTGGGGACTCAGGGGAAAGTGTAGGAGGTGATGAGGGATAAAAGACTACACATTGGGTACAGTGTACACTGCTCAGGTAATGGGTGCACCAAAATCTCAGAAATCACTACTAAATAACTTATTCATGTAACCAAACACTACCTGTTTTCCAAAAATCCTATTGAAATAAAAAAAAATTTTAAAAGGTTAAAAGACTCATGGACACCAAAATCTAAGCTTGTTTATGTTTCCAAGGCACAGATGGCCTTTAGAGCATCAGTAGTGAAATTAAAGAAAAAAATCTATTAGTTTTCTAAGCAACATAAACTCTTTGTAACTTTTGTTGTTTATTTTGTGAACACAATTTCTGATGATGGTCATAGGAATAATATCCTTCCAGAAAGGGCCAGCCAGAACAGGAGAACTGTAGTGCTTCTAATTCTGCAGTGACTTTGATTGAAAAATATTTACTATAGCTGTGTAACCCACTGGGTCATTATAAGTATATTTTAAGTAAACAGTCTCTGCCAGGTGATTAGTTGCTTCCACTCAGGGGACTATATTATATGGCAATTGAGATAACTGATATTTCCTTTTCAAATGATATATAATTATTTTTCAGTTTTAAGAGATGAAACAACAAATTACCACTAAGTTATTTCTCTTATTCTCATTGTGTTGGTCTCAAGAGTGATTATTATCAGTTAGAGGCTTATAAACATTCTCTTTAGCAAAGTGAAGACTATACCCTTAGTTAGCAGTGAAAAAACAGTGAGCCAAAAAATAAGACAGATTTTTATGTGACTTATGTGATTTATACTTTAATGTCCACTTGTAAATCTATTTTCATGAACATCCCATGCCATTTTGGAGCTTATATATCAACACAGTAACACAGTGAGTACATTTAACAAAGGGAATTTAATCTCCTAATCTCATGGCAATTTCTCTTTTACTATATACTTAATATTTTCTACATAACCAGTGCTATTCTTATAGAAATAAGAAAATCAAAAACTAAGATGCAACAGTTCTCCAGGATGGATGTGAATACTATGTAAATAAATATTAAAATAAATAAAAATAACTGATAAATGTGGTATATAAACAAACTTATCAAAAAGGCATAAAATGGATTCTAAATAAATGTTTCCTTATACTCAGATACGGCATCTACTGAAGTAGAATTCACATATAAAAAAGGAACACTGATTATTAAAAAAAACTATAGACAGTAGCTCAAAATTGAATGGAAACAAACAGGAAAAGATAATTCTTTAAAAATGACATTCTCGAAAAATGGCATATTCACTATAGTGAATATGTATCTGCTTAGTGTTTTCACTAATCTACTCACTTGAACAACAGCAAATGCAAGTTATGGAGTCAATGCTAGCAAAATTTCAGCAAGATGTAGACCCTGGAAGAATACAAGTTTGTCATGTGCCTCTGTTTTCTGGTTCGCCATTGTCTTTTATTTGCAACACACCCCATTTTAGAACAAGTGCAGCTATACATGTGCAGCTAACAGAACTCACCAGCCAGCAAAAATCTCTATCACTACCCACCCCATGATATTATCCTATAAACCTATCTGATTATCATTGAATTTCCTTGCCTCAAAGGTTACAAAATTTTTTAACTAAACATTAATATATGGTTTTCTCCATCTAATAGTTTAATACAAGGAAAAATCAATGTAGCAATCTGAAGCCCTTTGATAGATGGTGTTTAGAACAGTTTTAAGTTCATCTCCTCGTGGGATGAGCAATGAAATACTCGGTGCCTTTCCCATGTCATTTTTCTTAGCTTCCTGAAAGGACTGGTCTATGTATCCAGGACACCTATGGCAGGTCTTGTACAGATCAGGAAAATAAATGTGAAACAGATGGAATTAACATTTTTGAGCATCTACCATGTTCCACACAGTGCTAGGTGCTTCTGACGTACATTACTTAAGTAATCTTAGTAATCATCACAAACACTTAAGAATTCTATTATTAGCATCTTTATAGAGATGAATAAACAGATTTGAAAGATCAAGTGACTTCTTTTTGCTAGTATTAGCACTTTAAATCCTAGGATTTCAACTCAATTTATATTGTTCCCAAGCCCAGGCCATTTCCACAAGGGTGTATGGACACTTAATTAAATAAATGAATATTGAAACAGATCATTTCAATATAGTTAATTAAATATACACACATGTTCATATATACACATAGGTATATACATATTTACACATATACATGCACACATACTTATGCATTTTCATAAAGAGCTATGGGAGAAATATGAATTAGGGCCCACCACAACTAGAGGGGAAAAATAGAAAGGTAAATCATCCATATGAAAGTCAATATTAATAGAAGAAATAAAACCATATGATCACCTCAATAAATGCAAAAAGAAATGTTTGATAGTAATCTAACACCTATTCATGATTTTTTGAAAATCTCAACAAATTGGGAATTGAAGGAAACTTATTCAACCTAATAAAATGCATTTATTAAAAATCTACTGCTGACATCATATGAATGATAAAATACTAAAGGCTTTTCCTCTAAGATTAAAAACAAAATAAGGATGTCCTCTATCACTACTTCTATTCAACATTATACTAGAATTTCTTGTCAGTGCAATTAAGCAAATAATAATAATAAAAGGCGTCCATTTTGGAAAGAAAAAATAGAACCGTTCTTATTTTCAGACATAATCTTGTATATAAAATATCCTAAGAAATCCACAAACACAACATTCAAAATAAAAAAAGACCCCAATGGAAACCAAAACACAACCAAAACTAATAAATAAATTCAGTAAGTTCAAAGGAAACAAGATCAATATATAAATATCAATTGTATTTCTACATAGTGGTATTCTGTATTTATTCTAAAAATTTAAAAATGATATTAAGACACTTTCATTCACAACGTCATCAAAAAGAATAAAACAGTAATAAATTTAATAAAAAGCAAGCTGAAGTATACTGAAAACTATAAAACATTTTTAGAAGAAATGAAAGAAGAGCTAAATATAGACATCTCATGTTAATCTTTATCGTCATGAAACACAATAGTGAATAGCATATGAATAGAATGCTGTCTCTAATCACTAGATTTAACACTATTGATGATTCTTGCCAATAAATATATGTGTCTATAGAAGAGAAAGAATACTGAGATTTTACTGACAAGTGATATGATCACATAGAATACTTAAGCGAGCACACGAAAAAATAATTTTTAGGGTCAGTATTGCCAGATACATGATAAAACACTAATATACAAAAATATTCTTCCAACCTGCCAGAAAACATATTTAAAATATATTTTAAAGCAAATATAGCAGAAAAGTTAGAAAATGTAGAAAATAACCTAGAAATAAATATTAATATAAAAAATACTAGAAAAGTTCTTAATGAAGAAAATTATAAAGCTTTATTCAAGTACATTTTTTAAAAAAGATCTAAAATAATAGCAAGAGTACATCCTTTTCAGATATAGAAAAACTATCATAAAGTTATTATTTTTCTTAAATGTACAAAACTATTGCAGTTCTGATCAAAATATCAAGAAGATTTTATAATGAACTCAATAAATTCTTTCAAAAATTCATGAGTAAAAAAATGCAAGAGAAGCCAGAACTACTTAATATCAATGTTTATTATAAAATGGTGGTAATTTTAATAGTGTTGTATTTATGTAGGAATTAACTAGTCATCCCATAGAATAGAACAGACCCAAACATAAATGGGGACTTTTAAAAGAAGAGATGTTATTTTACACAAGTTGGGGGAGAAATAAATGGTGTTAAACTTTTATATGGATTAAATTTTGATGTCTAGCTCACAGACCTAATTCAGATACAATAATGAGCTACACATAAGAAATGAAAATTACAAACTTTTGAAGAAAATATAGAATAATGTTGCTGATCTAGGAATAGGGCAGGTTCTCTTAAAAATAAGCTGTAAAAATTAATAAATTTTACTACACCAATATAAGAAATGTCTATATGTCTAAAGATATATTCAATGTTAAAAGACAGAGAACCATTTAGGAATGTATAAAATCAAACTGAATGAATCAAATAGGAAAAGACTAACAGTCGACACAAAAATACTACAATAATTTAGAATATTAATCATATACTAGATTCTCTTAAAAAATAAACATTTGATAAAGTAACATTCCTATTACTAAAGAAGATTTCAACTATACCAAAAATTATATACCATTTAACACTACGGGCGAATACCAAAGTCTGACATCAAATATGGATTAAAATATTCACTTATTTGGTGATTTAAAAAAGACTGGCTTAGCCTTTTTAAAGTATAATTTGGCGCTGAGAAAATATAAAATGTAAATTACCTATGACGGAACAATCAAACCTATACAAGTATAACAAGGAATGTATTGGCTCACAGAAATGGAAAATCCAGTACATTTATCTGGAATTTAGGTATGTTTAAACCCAGGAGTACATCCAATATCAAAATGCCAAAAGTGGAATTAGAGGTGAAGCAACACGGTTGAATAGAAGGCTCCACCAATTGCCCCTCCTCCCCCCAACAAAGGTACCAATTTAACAACTATCTATACTGAAAACACCTTCATAAGAACCAAAAATCAGGTGAACACTCACAAGACCTGGTTTTAAGTTCATGTTGCTCATAGAGGCATTGAGAGGTAGGAAAAACAATCCTGAATTGCCAATGCCACCCCTCCCCCATCCACTGGCAGAAGCCTGCTGTGCAGAGAGAGAATCTGTGTTTCTGGGAGAATCTGTGTGTTTCACACAATTGTGTGACATCGCATTTAACTCAGAGCTGCCCTGTTGTAGCAGAAAGCAAAACTGGCCCAAACTCCACTGATGCCCACCCAGGGAGGGAATATTTAGACCAAATACTTAGCCAAAGGGGAATTGCTCATCTCAGTGGTTGAAACTTGAGTTCAGCAAGCCTCACCACCTCAGGCTGGAGTGCTCTTAGGTCCCTAAATAAACTTGAAAGACAGCCTAGGCCATGAGAATTGCAATGCCTACGGGTGTCCCAAGAGGCTGAACCAGACTCAGAGCCAGTGGACTGAGGGTGCACATTATCTACTGATAGCCAGGGGAGTACTGGCTCCATCACTCCCCTAATCCCAGGCTCCTTCCATTTGTTTGAAGAGAGGAGAGGAAAGAGTGGAGAGGTCATCATATTGCTTCTTGGATAACAGCTTAGCCACAGCAGGATAGGGCACTCGTCAGAGTTGTGAGGCACCCTTTCCATGCCCTACCCCCCAAACAACATTTATAGACACACCCTGGGCCAGAAGGGAACAGGCTTCCTTGAAGGAAAGGACCCAGTCTTGGGTCCTGCTAATTGAAGAGCCCTTGGGCCCTAAATAACCAGCAGCAATATCCAGGTGGTACAATATAGATCTTGGGTGAGACTCAGACTTGCTGGCTTCCGATGAGACTCAACATATTCCTGGCTGTGATGACTATGGGGAGGGATTCCTTCTGCTTGAGAAAAGTGAAGGGAAAAATAAAGAAGACTTTGTCTTGCACCTTAGGTATCAGCTCTGCCACAGGGAGTAAAACACCAAGCAGTGTCCTAGGGTCCTGATTTTAGGCCTTGGCTCTTGAATGGCATTTCTGGACCTGTCCCAGACTAGAAGGGAGCCCACTGCCCTAAAGGATATGTCCAAGACCAGTCAGGATTCATCACAAGCTGACTGAAGAGCCCTTGTACCTTAAGAGAACATTAGCAGTAGTCTGGCAGTACTTCCTACGGGCCTGTGGTCATGGTGACCTACTCTGCCTTTGCAAAAGAGAGGGAAGAGTTGGAAGGACTACATCTTGTGGTTTGAGTGCCAGTTCAGACACAGTATAATGGAGCAGCAAGTAGACTTCTAAGGTTTTTGACTCTAGTTCCTGCCTCCCAGACACCACCTCTGGACCTGCTAGGGTCTTGGGGGAACTCACTACCCAGAAGGGAAAGACAGGCCTGGCTGACTTTTCCACCTGCTGACTGTAGAGCCCCAAGGCCTTGAGCAAACATAGGTGGTAGCCAGGGTGTGGCTATAGCAGCACTTGGGTGAGACCCAGTGCTGTACTGGCTTGAGATCTGACCCAGTACAGTGTTAATGGTGCAGGCCACCAGAGTGCTTGTGTCACTGCACCTCTAGCCCAAGTGGCTCAGAACAGAGAGAGAGAGAGACTCCATTTGTTTGGGAGAAAAGTAAGGAAAAGAAACAAGAGTCTCTGCCTGATAATTCAGAGAATTCTACCAGATATTGTCCAAGACCATCAAGGTAGTACCTCTATGAGACTGCAAGAACCGCAACATTACTGGACTTGGGATGGCCTCTATTGCAGATACAGCTTAGATCATAACACCCATTTCCTAAATATCTGGAAAGTCTTACCTAGAAGGATATGTATAGACAAGTCCAGATTGTGAAGACTACAATAAATACCCAACTCTTCAATGCCCAGACACAGAAAACCATCCACAGTATCAAGATTATCCAAGAAAACATGACCTCACCAAATGAACCAAATAAGGCCAAATAAGAAAAAGAGAGATATGTGACATATCAGATGCAGAATTAAAAATAGCTGTTTTAAGAAAACTCAAAAGAAACTCAACATAACATAGAGAAGACATTCTGAATTCTATCAGATAAATTTATTAAAAACATTGAAGTAATAAAAAGGAATCAAGTAAAAATTCTGGAGCTGAAAAATGCAATTGACATACTGAAGAATACATCAGAGTCTCTTAATATTAGAATTGATCAAGCAGAAGGAATAATTAGTGAGTTTGAAGGCAGACTATTTGGAAATACACAGTCAGAGGAGACAAAAGAAAAAAGAATAAAAAAGAATGAAGCATGTCTACAATATCTAGAAAATAGCCCCAAAAGGGAAAATCTAAGAGTTATTGACCTTAAAGAGGAGGGAGAAAAGAGAAGGGGCACACAGTTTATTCAAAGGAATAATAAAATAACTCCCAAACCCAGATAAAAATATCAATATTCAAGTATAAGAAGGTTATAGAAAAACAGGCAGATTAAACCCAAAGATGACTACCTCAAAGTATTTAAAAATCAAATTCCCAGATATGAAGGATAAAGAAAGGATCCTAAAAGCAGCAAGAGAAAAGAAACACATAACATACAATGGAGCTCCAGTATGTCAAGTGGCAGATTTTCAGTGGAATCCTTCCAGGCCAGGAGAGAGTGGCATGATATATTTAATAGTGCTGAAGGAAAAAAACTTTTACCCTATAATAGGATATGAAAATATCCTTTGAACATGAAGGAGAAATAAAGACTTTCCCAGACAGATGGAAACTGAGGAATTTCATCAGCACTAGACTTGTCCTACAAGAAATGTTTTAGGGAGTATTTTAATTAGAAAGAAAAGGATGTTAATGAACAGTAAGAAATCATGTGAAGGTACAAAACTCATGAGTAATGGTAAATACACAGAAAACACAGAATAATATGACATTGTAACTATGGTGTATAAACTACTCTTATCATAGGTAGGAAAACTAAATATGAACCAATTAAATATAATTGGAATGCTATGCAGCCATAAAAAGGAACAAGATCATGTCCTTTGCAGGGACATGGATAGAGCTGGAAGACATTGTCCTCAGCAAACTAACACAGGAACTGAAAACGAAACACTGCTTGTTCTCCCTTATAAATGGAAGCTGAACGGTGAGAACACATGGACACAGGGAGGGGAACAACGTACACAGGGGCCTGTTGGAGGCAGAGGGGTGGTGGGAAGGAGAGTGTGAGGATAAATAACTAATGTATGCAGGGGTTCAATACCTAGGTGATGGAGTGATAGGTGCAGCAAACCCATGGTACATATTTACCTGTGTAACAAATCTGCACATCCTGCACATGTATCCAATAACTTAAAATAAAATTTAAAAAATGCAACATCCTTTTAATGATAAAAACCATAAAAAACTAGTTATAGAAGGAGCATACCTCAATTTAATAAAAGCTATATATGACAGAACCACAGCTAGTATCATACTAATTGGGGAAAAGTTAAAACCTTTCCTCTAGATCTGGGACATGACAAGGATACCCATTGTCACCACCATTATTCAACATAGTACTAAAAGTCCTAGCTAGAGCAATCAGACAAGAGAAGGAAATAAAAGGCATGCAAATTGGAAAGGAAGAAGTCAAATTATCCTGTTAATATAGTATAATCTTATATTTGGAAAACCCTAAAGAATCCACCAAAAAATTTTTAGAACTGATAAACACATTTGGTAAAGTTGCAGGATACAAAATCAATACACAACAATCAGTAGTGTTTTTATATGCCAACATGAAACAAACTGAAAAAGAAATTTAAAAAGTAATCCCATTTACAATAGCCAGAAATAAAGTTAATTATGTAGAAATTAATGTAACCAAGGAAGTGAAAGTTTTCTACAATGAAAACTATGAAATACTGATGCAAGAAATTAAGGAGGACACACAAAAAATGAAAATATATTTCATATTCATTGATTGGCAGTTTCAGTATTGTTAGAATTTCCATACCACCCAAAACAACCTACAGATTTAATACAATCCCTATCAAAATACCAGTGACATTCTTCATAAGAACAGACAAAAAAATTCTAAAATTTATATAGAACCACACACACACACACACACACACACAAACAGAATAGCCAAAGCTATTCTGAGCAAAAAGAACAAAACTAGAGATATTACATTACCTGACTTCAAATTATACTACAGAGCTACAGTAACCGAAACAGCATGGTCCTGACAGAAGAACAGATACATAGACCAATGGAACAGAATAGAGAACCCAGAAACAAATCCATACACCTACAGTGAACTCATTTTCATCAAAGGTGCCAAGAACATATACTGGGGAAAAGACAGTCTCTTCATTAAATGGTGCCTAGAAAATGAGATATCCATATGCAGAGTGAAACTCGATCACTATCTCTCACCATAGAGAAAAATCTGATCAAAATCAATTAAAGATTTAAATCTAAGACCTCAAACTATAAAACTACCAGAAGAAAACTTTGAGGAAACTCTCCAGGACATTGTAGTGGCAAATATTTCTCAAGCAATACCCCACAGGCACAGGCAACCAAAGCAAAAATGGAGAGATAGAATCATAACCTAAAAAGCTTCTGCACAGCAAATGAAACAATGAACAATGTGAAGAGAAACCCCCACAGAATGGGAGAAAACATTTGCAAACTATTCATCTGATAAGGGATTAATAACCAGAATATATAAGGACCTCAAACAATTCTATAGGAAAAAAATCTAATAATTCAATTTAAATATGGGCAAAAGACCTGAATAGATATTTCTCCAAATTTGTATGTCTATACAAATGGCAAGCAGATATATGAAAATTGCTCAACATTATTGATTAGAAAAATGCAAACCAAAACTACAATGAGGTAGCATCTTATCCCAGTTAAAATGGCTTTTATCCAAATAACAGTCAATAAAAAATGCTGATGAGAATATGGAGAAAAGGAACCCTCATACACTATTGGTGAGAAGTAAGTTAGTACCACCACTATGGAGAACAGTTTGAAGGTTCCTAAGGAAACTAAAAACAGAGCTACTATGTGATCCAGCAATCCCACTCCTAGGTATATACCCAAAAGAAAAGAAATCAGTATATCAAAGAGATATCTGCAGTCCCATGTTTATTGTGGCAGTATTCACAACAGCTAAGATTTGGAAGCAACTTCAGTGTCCATCAACCGACTAATGGATAAAGAAAACATAGTACATATCCACAATGAGGTACTATTCAGCCATAAAAAAGAATGAGATCCTGTCATTTTCAACAACATGGATGGAACTGAAGGTCACAAAGTTAAGTGAAATAAGCCAGGTACAGAAAGACAAACATCATATGTTCTTACTCATTCGAGGGAGCTAAAAATGAAAACAACTAAACTCAGAGATAGAGAGTTGAATAATGGTTACTAGAGGCTGGGATGAGTAGTTGGGTTTGGGGTGTGTGTCAGTGTAGAGGAGGAATGGTTAAGCGGTACAAAAACATGGTAAAAAAATAAGTAAGACCTAGTCATTGCTAGCACAAGAGAGTAACTATAATAAAAAATAATTTAATTGTTCATGTAAAAACAACTAGAAGAGTATAATTGGATTGTTTTAAATACAAAGAATGAATGTTTGAGCAGATTGATACCCTATTTACCCTAATGTGATTATTACATATTTCATGCCTGTATCAAAATATCATGTAACTCATATAGACACCTACTATATACCCATAAAAATTAAAAATAAACAATACAAAAACAGAGGGTAGTGGTAGTGTTTACCACTCTTTTGGTTAATTTGAAAGATACAGTTTTTTACCAGGTGGCAAAAAATCTACTGACCCTACTATAAAACAGCTCTTTCCCAATAGCTTCAGCAAAACTCCTAGAGTGTACTTCAACCTAACGGACATCGTATGGTAACCAATTTGTCCCAGTTTGCTTAGGACTTTTCTGGTTTTAGCACTGAAAGTTCTGCCTCCCAGGAACCATCTTTAACCAGGAGGGTTTACTCAGGACTGTCCAGTTTCAAAACAGAAAATCTTGTACTCTGAGAACCCTGTAAGTGCTATACAAACTGGGACCGTCGGTTGCCCTACAATATGGTGACATGATCTACAGCCCTGCCTAAAGTGTATGAGAAGTTTATGAAAGGTTAATATGCTGAGCAAATAAAATTTTAAATTGCTTATAAGGCATCTATATTGCCTGTATGTGCTATTCATTCAACCCAATCTTCCTGTATACAAGAAACAGTGCAGCTAGGAAAAATGTACACAAATCTTTAAAGTGAGAGTTTTCAGCAGTTTTATCTTTCTTTTCTTTTTAGAGCACCATCCATAACATATACACACATTTTGCTGTGTTCTGTCTCTCCTGGTTTACTTGTTTTTTTAAGAAAATTGCCTAAATGTGTCATCGAATGTGTCGTCCATTGTTGTTTCCAGGTTCTTACTCACACAGTGGTCTAAGCCTATTCTCGGTCCTGGCCTCTTTTCAGATTTCTCTCCTCGTGACTGTTTTTCATTAAACTTTAAATTGTCAACGAAAGCTAAATTTTGCTGTTTACATTAACGGAGCTGTTGTCATTTCTGAAATCTAACTCGCCCTGCTTTTAAGCCAATCTGCTTGCTTGCCTGCTTTCCTCGACCTGCGTCTGCTTTCTTCTTCCTGCAGTAAAGCAAAAAACCTGTAGCACTACAGGGTGATGAACTCCTCATCTTCCCATCATCTAGCTGATAACAAAGACTGATTCATAGTCTGCAAGAATTGATTTCTACAGACTTTGGAGAAAAATCAGAAGTTGAAGGTAAAAATGAGGAAACAAAGAACTGTTCATAGCACTGAAAAAACTGCAAATCTGGTAAACACTGGAAGCGGTATGGTTTTATTTACATTTGTTGTAAGCCAGAAGAGTCTAGCAAACTTTCTTAAAGGAAACTAAGTTGTCTGTTATTAAAGTAAAATTTAAAAAGTAAGTTTTAAGTTCTGGGATACATGTGCAGAACATGCAGATTTGTTACATAGGTATACACACATCATTGTGGTTTGCTGCACCTATCAACCCATCATCTAGGTTTTAAGCCCCGCATGCATTAGGTATTTGTCCTAATGCTCTCCGTCCCCTTGCCTCCTACCCTGACAGGCCCTGGTGTAAGATTTTCCCCTCCCTGTGTTCTCATTGATTAAAACTTATTTTTAAGCACCACAGGTAAAATTTTTTGCTTCAAGACTGGGAAGTCAATCCTCTTTTGAATGAGTGCTAACTCTGAAGCCTCCTAGAACATCAGCTACACTGAGTTATTTGAACTTTAATTCTTGAAAATGAAGTTTCTTTCAAAAAAATATTGAAATAAATACTATCTATTCAGGAGTTTGCCTTACAAGTTTCTAAAAGCTGAGAACCTCTCTTGGCTATGGTCAGCGAGAAGTATAACTGGAGTAAGGGTCACAGAAATGCAATGTTGCCGGCTTTGAAGATGTAGGAAGGGACCACAAGTCAAGAATGTAGGCAGCCTCTAGAAGCTGGAACAGGCAAGCAGATCGATTCTCTCCTAGAGCCTCCAAAAGAAAAACACAGCCTTGCTTACATCCTCATTTCAGCACAGTGAGACCCATGTTGAACTTGTTACCTAAAGAATTACATGATAATAAATGAATGTAATTTTAAGCCACTAACTTCATGGTAATTTGTTATAGTAGCAATAGGAAACTAATATCCACTTATATTAAAATTTAACACACCAGTATCATGACAGCTATAATTCTGCCAATTTTTATGTCTATTTTCCTTTCTCCTCTTCCAGCATCTAACCTTATTAGAATAGTTTTGTCACAATATGAAAAACAAGTTTGTAGCTTATCTAATTTCCAATTTCTTTAAATATCAAGTTGAGATCAAGTTACTTTCTATATGAGGTTTTGAAATTTCAAAACTTCACTGTTGACAATAATCAAATCCTTTAATTCTATATATATTCTTAATTTAATTCTATATGAAACATAATTACATGTCACACTGAATAACTTACATTTAAAATTCTACAAGATACAAATTATCCTCACATAAAGCAAATAATATAGTCAAATATTATCTGAAGATTTCATCAGTATAAACCAAATTCCTTTTAAAAGACAGGTATGTACAGATGATGGAAATAGATCCTCACCTTCTAAAAATATGATACAGGAAGACACATCTAATATAATTCCAATAACATTTTGAAATCTAAATATATAGATATAATTTTTCTTTGAGACAGTCTTGCTCTGTCACCAGGCTGGAGTGCAGTGGCACAATCTCTGCTCACTACAATCTCCAACTCCCAGGTTCAAGTGATTCTCCTGCCTCAGCCTCCGGAGTAGCTAGGATTACAGGTGCACACCACCACAGCCAGGTAATTTTTGTATTTTTAGTAGAGACGGGGTTTCACCATGTTGGCCAGGATGGTCTCGATCTCTTGACCTTGTGATCTGCCACCTCGGTTTCCCAAAGTGCTGAGATTATAGGCATTATAGATAGAATTTTTAAGACGGCTATTTAACCCATTTATGCTGGAGGCTGCAATTTTTTGAATTGTAGACGTATCAAAAATCAGACCTTGGCAATAACCTTGAGCAGTAGGATATAAATAACTCCCACATGCTTAGTTTTCCAATAATGGAACACTGGCATATAATCACTCAACGGAACAGTCACCTATTAGCCACATTGGTGGAAGAAAACAGCCCTCTTCTGAAGGAGAGGAGAGCTTTGAAACTCATTTCATCCTCTACTACACAAAGCCTTTCTCACCAAGGTTACTCAGTATTAGAATGTCTCCATCTCCATGAACATGGAAAAGATAAGGCCTTTTTTCATTTTTGGAAGGTTAGTACCAGAGCCTGGTTAAGAGTGAGAGATGTAAAGCTTTACTGAACTTTGAGTATTTGAATAAAATTACCCTTAACAGGTTCTACCATCCTAAGCAAAACAGCAAAAATGTTCCATATATATATATATACACACACACACACAGACACACACACACACATACACATATGTATGTTCATACCAAGGACATAGCATTTTTGTTGTTTTCTGATTTTGTATTAGTGTCAGCAAAGAATTTAATTAAGCAATAATTTTATAATAAGCAGTATTTTTATGATAAAGTACAAAGAAATCTTCTAAAACAGCTGTTGCCTTATTAGAAGACTGAATGGACCTCATCAAGAAATTTGATGCCTAGCAATTCCAAGATTGAAAGTGACTAGCCTTTTTAAGCACTGCACGTAAGCTTTTAAGGAAAATTTGTAAGACTACTTTAACAGTGGGTTTCCACTATGACATGAGATTTAACTGATTCTCAGAAGGAAGAAGGGACTGTCACTCTTGTGCCTCACAACTGCAACAATACTAACAAAACCACTTTGAGAATATTCTTCTGCTGAAAATAAAGTAGAACGATTAGAGAACATAAACGTGAAAAGGAGGAATCTGCAAATAACACTAGAAGAAACCAAAGAAAATCGTGCACAGGATAGAACAGTCTTAAAGGCTTTTTTCCAAAAATACACAAACTTTTTTTCAAATACTTTGAAGTAACACTACTTGGAAGGTGAAAATTTTGTTGTTGCTTTTTATTGGCCTTGTTTTTCAGTCTAGTTCAACCAAAGTCGACTTCTATGCTTAGAGCTTTTACTCGTTTTACAGATATTTCAGGGATGATTCTGTAGAAAGATGCAGTTCTGTATCCCACTCCTGCCCCGACCTCCCACCACTCACACAAGGTATCAGCAGGGCTGCATTCCTTATAGAGGCTCTGAGGGAGAATACATTTCCTTGACTTTTCCAGCTTCTAAAGGCTGCCCTCATTTCTTGGTTTGTCGCCCCACATCACTCCAATCTCCGCTTCTGTCATCACGTCTCCCTCTCTCACTTTAACTCTCCTGTTTCCCTCTTACAAAGACCCAATCTTCCTATCTCAAGATCCCCAATTTGATTACATCTGCAAAGTCTTTCTTATCACAAAAGGTAATGTATTTACAGATTCTGGAGACTAGAATGTGAACATATTTGGGAGTCATTATTCACCTTACTACACGGTCATATCAAAACACAGTGGATATTTTTAGCTTGTATCACTTATTTGCTGTTTTTCCCCTAAAGTAGGAAATGGCTAAAAATGGGGAGAAGGGGTGAACAAAACTCCTTCAATTCAGTGTTCTTCTTAATTGAGTTCCAAGATATGTCTCTTTTCTATGTTTGGCAGAGAAAGCTACTTACATAAATAGACATGATGTCGAAACAATACCAGTAAGAAAAAAACGTCCAGATTCAAGTTTTGTAAGACAAAATGTTTTAATGATAAACTCTCAGAGACTTGACTTTACCATATAAAGCTAGACTAGCCCAGGATTTTTGTCATCAATTTTTCTAGGACATAACAACATCTATAAAAGAAAAAGAAAAGGACAATCAATATCAGAAACAAAATAGCTACTAAAACCACAAAAAATGTTCTAAGAAATGTAAAACACAGGCTGATATGTTTGAAAAGCATTTTTCCTACATTGCAATAGACTCAGAAAGTATAAACTGCTCTTCCAATATTGTTGATATTAAATTCTGGAGCTGGACACATATGTAAGCCTTTAGAATCAAGTTTGTATACCCTCTGAGTGAGTAGGGGTAGAGAGAGTTTCAGGAGTGGGAAAGCAGGGAAGCAATTGGTCAGCCATGCTTCTTCTAGTCTCTGAATTTCCAGGATAATAAACCAGACAGACTGAACAGAGCCTATGGAAGCAAATCTCTAGCTGCTGAGGGAGAGAACAAATACTTCCAATGGTGAAGCAAAGAAAACAGCTGCTGAATTTTTGGCAAATATTTTTTCCTCTTACAACAGCATTAGATAATGAAATTGTATGTGGATGAATAAACCATTCTTCAGTTCTGGAAAGGAAAACAACACACATTTCACCCAAATCTAACTTAGAACAATGCAGGTCTTTCATATCCTTAGGGAACACATTTCTCCTAAAGATATGCCAATTGCTGAGGTTTTATGGTCTTTTTCAGTGAGGTTGTCTTTTCTAAAGAACACCATCAGTGAGAATCTAAGAAGTCCTAAAACTACTCTCCATGACTGATAAAATCATATTCATAAAATCTTAGAAAATACAAGTTATTTGGTCCATTCTTTCAATTCTCCTATTAACATACGCTCTAGTAAATCCAAATACTCCCCTCTTTCTACTTGCTCCACATTTTCCAGTCCCTCTGCCTTTGCCCATGCCATTTCTGGTACCTGTAATTCCTTTCTTAATCATCTCCTTTCCCTGCCCTAATCTTCATCTGCCTGGTTACTAAGAGTCATTTCAGAAATTACCTCCAGTTTTATGTCTTTTTAGACCAGAACAGTACAGTGGTTAGGAGGAAGACTCTGGAGTCAGACTGAATTTGACACCTAGCCCAACTACTTTCTAGTCATGGATAAATTATCTCTACTACAGTTTCTTCTTCTATTAAATGACTATTAAAATTTCAACCTATCACAGGTCTATAGTGAGGATTAAATGAGTTAATACATGTAAAGTACTAGAACACTGAGAGACAGATGCATAGTGAGCTTTCAAGAAGGGTGCAACTGTAATGATCCCAAAGCGAACCAATCACTTCCTCTTCTCCCACTGCACTTTATTTGTTCTTCTTTACCAATCTTTCCAGTTTGAATTTGTTACTAACATGTAAATCTTATCTCCATGCCAGATAGTATCTTCTGTGAGCATAGAATGAAAGTCTTCATTTTTTTTATCCTTCTATAGCCCTTGCGCATGGTAATAATTAGAGAGCTAGCATTGAGTACACAATATGTGCCAGGAGTTATGTGAGCATCATCTCATAATCTTCATAACAACCCTATGTGTCAAGTGATGTTAGTCATCCCTACTTTACAGATAAACAGGCTTAGAGAGAGTAACTTTCTTCCTATTACATAAATAATAAGGAATTTCCTGATTCTAAATTTCCAACTCTCAGTTACTATTACATATCTCCTATTCACTATACCATAAGTGTGTTGAATGATACAATTAATGATCAAATCTTTAAAGATTTTTTTAGCCCCTTCTTTGTGGGGTGGGACATTATAAATAATAATCCCCACCTGTCTTAGAAAGTCACATTTGACAATTTTTACTGTGAAGGATAAAATTAATAAAGTCTAAAGACTTGCATAATTGAGTCATAGGGAGGACTAAAGCATGTTTAATTTACATTGTCATACAGAGGCTTGCTATTCAGGGTGGTCCATAGACCAAAGGCATCAGCATTACCTGGTAGGTGGCTACAAATGCAGGATAATCTTGGGCCCCATGCCAGATATATTGAATCACAATATGTATTTTTATGAAATTACCAGTTTAAGGATCATTTTTAATAGGGGTCATGAACTAGCAATTCTCCAATTCTTAGGAATAGAATAAATGAAATTGGCTGGACTTAAAAAATTTCTAAAATAAATATTGAGATAGTGGAGTAAAATACAGAAGAATTTATATTGCCCTTCTAAAAATAAATATCGAGATAATGAAGTAAAATATAGAAGGAATGTATAATGCCTTTTTGAGAAGTTATTTTTAATTGATAGATATTATCATTTATCTAAGAAACCTCAGCTAGGAAAAGAGTTCTAGTCCCTGAGTATATGAAAGACTACAATTATTCTAGAATTAAAGCTTCCTGAAAGTAGGCTCTTTGTCTTGTTTATTGCTGTATTCCAAACGCATAGGAGAGTTTGTGGCACATAGCAGGGACACAACAAACATATATTGAATGAATAAATATTTTTGTCAAAAATCTTTGAGTAATCAGAATATATTACTTCTTAGAGCAATTGGAGTATATCCTTCAAAGAGTAGGATTGGGAATAGGAATAACTTCCAGGATTCTACCTGCTCAAACTTGAAAGATGTGATTTCTTTTTAGTGTCCCAATATGGAAGATATTTTCTGCCACTGAGAGGCCATAAGGTGGTGAAGAGAACACAAAGTTAATATCTTAAAATGTCTTTCATAAGGGACAGCTATAAATTACATATGTGAAAGAAATATTTTTCTTGATGGCCTAGTATCAGTTCCATTTTCTTGTTTTAGAAGGCTCTTGGGTAAAATAAACTCTGAATTTTGGTCTTTGAATATTATTCCCAGAGTTTTGCTGAGTACAAGATGATTAATTCAGCACCCATTTCTGGACATCAGGGAGCATATCTCACAACAGGCCCATAACAAAGCCAGACCTCTAGTTCAGTTAGTACAAAGATAACAGATGTTTTCACTCCAGCATCTACTCACAGTGATGAAATCTTACAGTGTGGTATATCTTCTTTCTGAATTAAGCCTCAAGGTCACAGATACAATCCTGACTATATTATAGAGAACAACAATAAATATGTGTCCAGATGTCGAATCACAGACAGTTAAAATAACAAATGTAGATACCAAAGGCCTTGTCTCACTTATTATATGCTGGACAACCAAGATTTCTTAAGTATTAATGATAAATCTGGTTCACTTACCAATGGCATTCTTCAAATATAAGAAGGTTGCTGACATTTAACTACTTTGCATTCACCATAAGTGCTGTGAAGGAAGAAGTAATCTATTCTAGAAAATATGCTATTTCTGTTTTTCTATTATGTTTTTATATTCTAGAAGTTTTGAAATGCTTTTAGCTAAATAGCTGGGTAAAAAGCAGGACAATTTCTATTATTGTCCCACAAAGCCACCTATATTAATGCAATTCATGACGATAACGAACAATTTTCATTTTTTTATACAACTTTACTTCTAAAGAAGATAATTTAGTGTGTGTGTGTGTGTGTGTGTGTGTGTCTATGTTTAGTAAAACTACCATTGCAACTAGAAATATAATTTACAAAAGAAATAAATTATTTTGTAAAAATTTAATGCTTGCAAAGGACTTAAACAGGGACATTGTTTTTCACAGATGTTCTTGGCATTTTCCTGATTGTGCCTGCCTCTGAAAACCATATGCTAACCTCTCAAATGACTCTCATGGGTAAAACCAGGGCAGTATTCCTGTGACAAGGGAAAACTGAAAATATCCGCAAAGGAATGAAGTAGTATTTCAATCTCCCAAGCAATGTAATTCCAAAGGGTTGATGGGTGAGAGGTCAAAAATGTCAAGTGCTCCAAAAATTAAATATTGCACCCATAAATCATTCAACTTGGGCAACAGCAAGAATAATAATGCTTGTCCTAACAATCACCAGAAAGAAGGGACACATTCCTGCCACAGTGACAATATTGCTTTCTTCCATAACTTCTAACAGCATGTTTGGGAGCACAGCTAGAACAAAGAATAGAAATATTCAGCATTATGTGTGGGACCCTATAATATTTTCAAAGAAAACAATTTAAAAAGCAGCCCATGTAGAGAAAAAAAGGCCATACCCCCAAATCAAACAGGACTACATCTTTCTACAGTGAGATCTCTGAAATACCTATAAAGCAATAAGAGCACTGAGCATAACAGTCAACTTTGGCTGAACCAAACAAAAGAATTGCAAGGGCATAGGGGGTGGGACAGGACTGCTCCTCACCTGATGTAAACCCACCAAGAAACCAAAACTCGTCAAACAGGTTCAAGGTAAATAACTAGAGGTCAGGTTAATCAGATAGATATCAGTCACTGTGTGCACATACAAAAGCTGTCTGAGGCTACTTACCTAAATGGGCAAATGTCATACGTCTATTCTTTTTTTGAACTAGAATTTTGATTGAAAGATAACACTGCTATTGGTATATACTTTAAAATTTTATATATGTGTGCATACATACATACAAACACAATCTTAGAAATATATAGTTCTTTTACTTCTTCAACAAGTGAATGAATGTCTACTGTATATACACACGTAGATACTATTCTGAACCTGTTCTCTTTTTGCTGAAAATATATTCTGAAGACATTTCTATGTTAGCATATAAACATCTGCCTTGTTTATAAGAAATTATCATATTTGTTGGATATCTCATAATTTACTCAATTAGCTATTAACACTAAAATTGTTTTTGTTTTTCACTATTAAAAATAATGCAGTGATCTTCTTTGCAGAGATATAGTTGTACATGTGTATGAATATCTGTAGGATAAATTTACACATATTGAATTATTATTTAAACTCTATTTTTGTTCTTAATTATGATAATCATTATTTAATTGCCCTTTCAGGAGAGTCAGTGAGTTTAATCCATCACTAAAACTGTATGAGAATGTCTGTTTACAATTACCCTCACCCACACTGTATTTGAGTTTTGATAAATCTGATAGCCAAAATAGGATTTCATCTTAAAAAAAGACTTTATCTTGAAAATTATGAATAACATCAATCCCTGTTCATATCTTTAAGAGTCATTTGAATTTCTTTAAATATGAATTTGGATTATCTCTCATGGATTTATAGAAGTCCATTATGTTACATATTTCAACAAACCTAAGACATCACCTATGGTACTATGCACCACGTAGGGGGAAAAAAATCCCTGTCTATTAAATTAAGAAACAGTGCTTTCTTATCACATTTTTAATTTGAACATATTAAAAAATCCATTTATATACGTAAATGGATGTTTTTGTCATGTTTCGCTCTTGCACATATACAAAAGAACAAAACACACTTCTTCAATTAAATGTCGGACTCTTCAGTATCATTTGGCAACACTGAGTCTTTTATATCCATGTTTTGCCCCATAATAGTGTCTGCTGTGCAATCAAGAGCACAAATATTAAAGCATTTTTTTAAACAGTCCCTAAAACAACTAAAAGTCACTGAGCCTAATCTACCCTTCACTCCAGCTGCAGGAAAGTTACTATACTTGTCTGATTTCCCACCAACCACTGGCCTTCCAAGTCATCTGTTTCTTACAGTGATGACATTTTAGGAAGCTTCTTGACATTCCAATTTGAGAGACATTAAAATGTGGAAAAAATGTGAATTACAATTAACAAAATATTCAATAAGAAAACTGGCCCTTGCATTAGGTGTCGTATTTAATAAACATTTTTCGTAGAGTGACATTTTTTATCTTGACTTTATTTGTGTCATGTAGAACATTTAAATTTTCATGTAGTCAAATGGATCTTTTTTTTTTTAAAATTTATAAGATAGAGATTTCCTGTCTGGAGTTTCCTCACTCCGTATTATGGAAAGAATGCCATAGTTTTTAATGAAGAGTTTTGTTTTTTAACTTTTAAATTTGTGATCTAATAGGAGATAGGGTCTGTGTGTATGTTGTGTGTTCAATAGAACATCTGAGATAGAGTTTCAGGGTTTTTTCTAAGTAACCACCCAGTTAAATACCATAGTTATTATATACTAAATTTCTACATATGTGTGAGCTTATTTTATAATGTATCTTTTTATACACTGATCTATATTTTTATGAAGTGCAAGAAAATTGTCTTAGTGAAATATTTTGAAACATTTAAAAATTTTTCAAGCCTAATGAACTTTCAATACCCCTTTTTAAGTTTTCTACGTTATACTTCAGTGCTTATTTCTCCAAAAAAGCATCTAATTCGTTTGCTGCAAAAATTACTTTCCTATTTTTGTCACAATATTGAACTTACATAATTTAGAGAGTTGCAATCTCTAGAATACCGATTTGTTGCCTAAAAACAATGAACTCATTCTATTTACAAACCTCATTCTATGGTTGAAATCGTTTATTGCACAAGTCATATAAATTATGTTATTAAATGTATACCTCGGTATTTTACTATTTTATTGCTTTTGTGAAAAGGAGATTTTATCCATCACATTATTTCACCAGTTATAATACATAAGGAAGCTATTAATTTTATAATCAGGCAAATGACTCTCAATTTGTTTTTATTTCTAATTTTTCTCCACTGGACTATTTGGTGTTTTCTAGGAATAAAATGGCATTTTTTAAAAATAAAAAATAATAATTTTGGCTTCAACTTTCCAATAGTGAAAATTCTTTGTAAAATTTTTTGAATATCATTTACTGATATGTCCACAATATTACATAAAATTAAAGATAAAAGTCACATTGATGGAAGCACTTCAAGTAGATCACTATTGAGCATGATACTGGAATTTGCTCAGACATGTATATTTTACCCAGTTAAGAAAGTATGCATCTCTACCTAATTCACAGGTTTTGTTTGTTTGTTTGTTTGTTTGTTTTGGCAATAGAAGTAGAAATTTCCAGCACTTTCTTTTAATATAATCAATATTTTCCTTATTAAGATATGCTAAAACAATCTAGTAGAATCATATTAACAGCAGAATTAGCAAAAGGAAATAGAATATTGAACTATCCTTACAAGAAAATGTCCTGACTTGGTTATGGTGTGTGTTTTTAATGCACAGCTGAATTTGTTAATATTTTAATTTTGGATTTTTTTAATGTGCAGCTGGATTTTGTATTATTTTATTTTGGAATTTTTGCAGTTATATCCATAAGTTATACTTATTGGCAGTGGTTTTTGTAATGTTTATGTGTTTAATTTTGATGCTATCTTTGCCAAGTTTTAATGTCAACATTGCTCCGGTTTTATATAAATGCAAGAGTTTTCTTTTTCTTTAGTGAATAGTTTCAACAGATCATCAGAACTCCCCTGTGAAATCAAATGCGACTGAAGCATTTGCTGTAGTCACATGTCCATAATGTTTTCAAGTTCTTCCAGGTAATTGTTCTGCTAAAATTCTATCTTTTGGTGGTCACATTTGATATTTTACCATTTGTTGGAAAAATAATTTTATAAAGGTTTTCCAATTTATTGGAATACATTTGAATAAAATATACTTTTATAATTCTTTCAATCTAGTTTCTGATTTTTACACCTCTGCTTCTTACTATCTGATATATCTTTTGCTTCAATAGTGGTTTTAGGAATTGTTTTCACTTTTAATATATTGGGGTTTTCAAATAATCATGATTCTGATTTAATTAATTCTACTTTTTTTTCCAGTTATATCTAGCTTTATCTTGACTAATTCCTTCTCGTTGTTTTCTTGGATTTATTTTGTTTTCCACAATTGTTATTTGATTCTAATTTTAATGCATTGTGTTTAAGAGAACGAGGTATATTTTCTATTTAATGGAATTGATTGAAGTTTCCTTTATGACATAATATGTGGTCAGTTTAATAAATGTCCCAAGGCAGATTAAATAAAGATGTATGGGGATGGGGAGTACAAGGGAAGTCTTTGTGAACTCAGCAAATTTGGGTATATTCTGAGTTTTCAGGATGCACAATTACATACAATGCATGGTACTTCCCACTATGGAGCAATTCCATGGCTTTCTCAGGCCCCCCACATTTCCCTGTTCTAAGTAAGGATCTCTTGATTGGTTCTTCAATTCTTAGAGGAAACTATGCCCAGGATACATCAAAATATATACAATTTTCAATGTTTCTTCATTTGGTAAAAATTTAGCACTACTTGGATACTGTTGTTTGAAATTGGTGGATTGGGTTTTGCTGTCTACTAGTTCTCTAAGGATGGAGCTTTGTTTTTTATTTGTCACCTTAATTGATATATGAAATGGAATAAAAATGCTTTAACTGTTCTTGTATTAGTTTGCTGAGAATGATGGTTTCCAGCTTCATCCATGTCCCCGCAAAGGACATGAACTCATCCTTTTTTAATGGCTGCATAGCATTCCATGGTGTATATGTGCCACATTTTCTTTATCCAGTCTATCACTGATGCGCATTTGGGTTAGTTCCATGCTATTGTGGACAGTGCCGCAATAAACATACATGTGCATGTGTCTTTACAGTAGAATGATTTATAATCCTTTGGGTATATACCCAGTAATGGGATGGCTGGGTCAAATGGTATTTCTAGTTCTAGATCCTTGAGGAATTGCCCCACCACACTGTCTTCCACAATGGTTGAACTAATTTACACTCCCACCAACAGTGTAAAAGCAAACAGAAAACCAGACACAGTGTGTTCTCACTCATAAGTGGGAGTTGAACAATGAGAACACATGGACACGGGGGTGGGGGGGTCATCACACACTGGGGCCTGTCAGGGGATGGGGGGGCTGGGGGAGGGATAGCATTAGAAGAAATACCTAATGTAGATAACAGGTTGATGGGTGCAGCAAACCACCATAGCATGTGTATACCTATGTAACAAACCTGCACATTCTACACATGTATCCCAGAACTTAAAGTACAATAATAAAAAAAAATTACTTTAACTTTGCCATCTATGACTGGAAGTATCCCACTTTTTGCTCACTAAAATATTTATAAAATTTTTTCTTGATGGAGTTTATGAATTTTTGAAACATTTAGTAGGGAGAAAAAAAATCTTGTCAAACTTTTCATGTTCTTCTACCAGAAAATACTTGGAGGCTTTCAAATGACTCATTAATTTTCATCTCCCATTAAGACATTCAGAAAACTTTCTAACATTATGGAAGACTGAATAGAATCCCATACCAATGAAGACATGTAGACATTACATATAACATGTCACCATAAATGAAATATAAGGCCGAGCCAAGCTTGAAACCAAGAAAATTATCTAGGTGTCAGAAATAAAGAGGGACCTCAAAGTCAGAAAGGTAATAGGGAACTAATACAGAATGATTCACAGGAATATTAGACATGCTACCTATTTAAGGAATCTGGGCTTCATGTCAAGTGGGAAAGGTAGCTAGAATTAAACCACTTTCCTAAAAGTGAGCATCACCAAGGGTTACCTTATCTGTAGAATAAAGACTAAAAACTCAACCAGCAAGCCTGGAAATTTTGCAAACATTGTGACAGGAGGTTAAATGGGACTTCTATTGCCCCAGAGTTGATAACCTGGCCCAGAGGTGGAAACACAGGCATTAAGCATCCCTCATTCTAAAAAGAGCCATTAATGTCTGGTGCTGGAAAAGTCCCCTGTTAATCTTTTTAAAGTTTCCAGAACTGGCTGTACTGGAATCAACCACCATCCCATATCAAATATAAATACAAAACGAAGCAGAACATTTATTGGGTGGTAAGTTGAAGCCATCAGCATTGTAGGGACTGGGATATTCCTAATGAATGGTATTATTTACACCTCCTCATAGGGAAGAAATGTAAGCTTAGTATTATCTTCATTTTTCATAGTAAAGAGTAAATGCATATGGATAAATTATATCACCACCGATTGCACAGAAATAGAAACTACCATCAGAGAATACTATAAACACCTCTATGCAAATAAACTAGAAAATCTAGAAGAAATGGATAAATTCCTGGACACATACACCCTCCCAAGACTAAACCAGGAAGAACTTGAATCCCTGAATAGACCAATAACAGGCTCTGAAATTGAGGCAATAATTAATAACCTACCAACCAAAAAAAGTCCAGGACCAGACAGATTCACAGTCGAATTCTACCAGAGGTACAAGGAGGAGCTGGGACCATTCCTTCTGAAACTATTCCAATCAACAGAAAAAGAGGGAATCCTCCCTAACTCACTTTATGAGGCCAGCATCATCCTAATACCAAAGCCTGGCAGAGACACAACAAAAAAAAGAGAATTTTAGACCAATATCCCTGATGAACATCAATGCAAAAATCCTCAATAAAATACTGGCAAACCGAATCCAGCAGCACATCAAAAAACTTATCCACCATAATCAAGTGGGCTTCATCCCTGGGATGCAAGGCTGGTTCAACATACACAAATCAATAAACATAATCCAGCATATAAACAGAACCAAAGACAAAAACCACATGATTATCTCAATAGATGCAGACAAGGCCTTTGACAAAATTCAACAGCCCTTCATGCTAAAAACTCTCAATAAATTAGGTATTGATGGGACTTATCTCAAAATAATAAGAGCTATTTATGACAAACCCACAGCTAATATTATACTGAATGGGCAAAAGCTGGAAGCATTCCCTTTGAAAACTGGCACAAGACAGCGATGCCCTCTCTCACCACTTCTATTCGACACAGTGTTGGAAGTTCTGGCCAGTGCAATCAGGCAGGAGAAAGAAATAAAGGGTATTCAATTAGGAAAAGAGGGAGTCAAATTGTCCCTGTTTGCAGATGACATGATTGTATGCTCAGAAAACCCCAGCGTCTCAGCCCAAAATCTCCTTAAGCTGATAAGCAACTTCAGCAAAGTCTCAGGATACAAAATCAATGTGCAAAAATCACAAGCATTCTTATAAACCAATAACAGACAAACAGAGAGCCAAATCATGAGTGAACTCCCATTCACAATGGCTTCAAAGAGAATAAAATACCTAGGAATCCAACTTACAAGGGATGTGAAGGACCTCTTCGAGGAGAACTACAAACCACTGCTCAATGAAATAAAAGAGGATACAAACAAATGGAAGAACATTCCATGCTCATGGGTAGGAAGAATCAACATCATGAAAATGGCCATACTGCTCAAGGTAATTTATAGATTCAATGCCATCCCCATCAAGCTACCAATGACTTTCTTCACAGAATTGGAAAAAAACTACTTTAAAGTTCATATGGAACCTAAAAAGAGCCCGCATTTCCAAGACAATCCTAAGCCAAAAGAACAAAGCTGGAGGCATCACGCTAACTGACTTCAAACTATACTACAAGGCTACAGTAACCAAAACAGCATGGTACTGGTACCAAAACAGATATATAGACCAATGGAACAGAACAGAGCCCTCAGAAATAATACCACACATCTACAACCATCTGATCTTTGACAAACCTAACAAAAACAAGAAATGGGGAAAGGATTCCCTACTTAATAAGTGGTGCTGGGAAAACTGGCTAGCCATATGTAGAAAGCTGAAACTGGATCCCTTCCTTACACCTTATACAAAAATTAATTCAAGATGGATTAAAGACTTAAATGTTAGACCTAAAACCATAAAAACCCTAGAAGAACACCTAGGCAATACCATTCAGGACACAGGCATGGGCAAGGACTTCATGTCTAAAACACCAAAAGCAATGGCAACAAAAGCCAAAATTGACAAATGGGATCTAATTAAACAAAGGAGCTTCTGCACAGCAAAAGAAACTACCATCAGAGTGAACAGGCAACCTACAGAATGGAAGAAAATTTTTGCAATCTACTCATCTGACAAACGACTAATATCCAGAATCTACAAAGAACTCAAAAAAATTTACAAGAAAAAAACAGCCCCATCAAAAAGTGGGCGAAGGATATGAACAGACACTTCTCAAAAGAACACATTTATGCAGCCAAAAGACACATGAAAAAATGCTCATCATCACTGGCCATCAGACAAATGCAAATCAAAACCACAATGAGATATCATCTCACACCAGTTAGAATGGCGATCATTAAAAAGTCAGGAAACAACAGGTGCTGGAGAGGATGTGGAGAAATAGGAACACTTTTACACTGTTGGTGGGACTGTAAAACTAGTTCAACCATTGTGGAAGACAGTGTGGCGATTCCTCAGGATCTAGAACTAGAAATACCATTTGACCCAGCTATCCCATTACTGGGTATATCCCAAAGGATTATAAGTCATGCTGCTATAAAGGCACGTGCACAGGTATGTGTATTGGAGCACTATTCACAATAGCAAATACTTGGAACCAACCCAAATATCCATCAATGATGGGTTGGATTAAGAAAATGTGGCACATATACACCATGGAATACTATGCAGCCATAAAAAATCATGAGTTCATGTCCTTTGTAGGGACATGGATGAAGCTGGAAACCATCATTCTCAGCAAGCTATCGCAAGGACAAAAAAACCAGACACCGCATATTCTCACTCATAGGTGGGAACTGAACAATGAGAACACTTGGACACAGGAAGGGGAACATCACATAATGGGGCCTGTTGTGGGGTGGGGGAAGGGGGGAGGGAAAGCATTAGGAGATATACCTAATGTAAATTACAAGCTAATGGGTGAAGCACACCAACGTGGCACATGTATACATACGTAATAAACCTTCACGTTGTGCACATGTACCCTAGAACTTAAAGTAAAATGAAAAATAATAAATAATAAAGGAAGAATAAAGAGGAAACAAAACAAATTATAGTTGGTTTTGATATAAAAATGCATATGTGTGCTAATATACACATTCTTATGCATGTAAATTATTATATTATGTGAGTATACACCCTTTCCAATTTGGCCTTATTGATCTATTTAACCAATAGAACAAAGGTTGGCAAACTACATATGGCCTGTGGGCCAAAACCAGATCACCAGTTGTTTTTGGGACCTCAAGCTGGATATGGTTATTAAAGGAAAATTTTTGCAGTCAATTTTGATGATAGGGCACATTAACTTTGAGCCCAATTAAGTGAAATGTCATCCCAGAAAAAAAGAATTCTGTTCTTCTCATCAGAATTGTATTACCAAAAAGTTGTATTCAATTATTATATTTTGAATTTTGTCAATAAAAACTTGTAGAAATAAAAAAAAACAAGAAACAGGGAATATTAGAAAGCAAGCAAGATATGAAAGACTAATCAAATATTTTTAAATGATACACAAATGAACAAGCGCCCATTAGCCCCATTGTGAAAAATAGAAAAATTTGAGTGTCTGATGAATGAATACAATTGAACGTACATTGAATATATTAAAAACTCTTTAGTTCATGATTATCCAAAACAAAATACTAATTCAGTATCATTGGAAGAAGTTTGGTAATGAACTTAATAAATATAGAAGGAATGATAGGTAGTGTCTATTTTGTAACCCTTAAAACCTAATTTATTTAGGTAATAATTATCAACAGGTCAAACAGATGGAAGACTGATGGGAACACTTACAACAGAATTCTGATTGTGACTTGATTAATTGGAATCACGAAATGTGGGACAAGTCAATGTCAAGGGGAAGGTGAGAGGAAGTAGACAGAGGGACATTCTAGAATAAAGATCCTTAAGAAAAATCATCAAATGAAATGCATATATCTTGTCTAGATCTTAATTCAAATAAGCCAACTATTTAAAAGCCATGTTGAGAAAACTGAGAAAATGTATGCCTTGGTTGTTATATAAAAATATTAATGGTAATATTATTAGGTGTGATATAATTGTGGCTAGGTAAGAAAATATACATATGTATTAGAGATGTGTATAGAAAATACATAGGCAGAAAATTATATGAGAGCTAGAATTTTAAATGATTTAAGTACAAAATAAAAACAAAAAATGAATAGAACAAGAGGCAAAATAAAATTGATAGTTATTGAATCTGGATGATGTGTATATAGGGAATGGTTCATTGATCTATAATTTTCACTTTTATGTTTAATTTTTAATTAAAACTTAAGATAATGTATGATGCTTACTAACTGCTTTAATCAATTGCCTAGCAGTTTAGAATGTTGGTTCATTACCAAAGCTAATTTTATTCACCTGTAGATACTCCTAAAATGGCAAGCAGATTTCCTAACAAGGCAAACTCAGTCTCTAGGCTTAACTTTGCAGAACGCTAATGTGAATATTGAAGCCAAACTCATCACCTGAAAACTTAAGAACAAGAACAAATTCTACTTGACAACATAATGGGTTAGTTGCTTGAATCAACTCTTCCACTAAAACCAGTAATTATTCCTTAATATAATATAGAAAATACCTTCCGAGATATGTCAATTAGTTGGTATGAGAGTAAGAGATTATCAGATTTTTTTTTTTTTTTAAGCAGGGACCTAGGGATGTAAGCAGAGAACTGCGACCTGCAGTCACTCCAAAAGCATTTGGAGTGACTTTGAAAGACAGTATAATAGTATGTTCTCTTCCACTGAATTTCAACACCAAGGACTGCACTTTCCTGTAGGAGTTACCTGGAAATTCTATCACTGCCTCAGGAATTGCAGAGAAAATTGACTCTTCAAATCTGGGTACAAAGTTGAAGGAAATTATCACCATTAATAATTTGGAAACAAAATCTTATTAAAAGCCCAAACTGAAATGATTCTCAGTGATTGGGGAAAGCTCAGGTAAGAATTGTGTTCAGAATGACTCTAATCCAGTAATACACCTGAGCATCAGGAAGAAGAAACAAAAGTTCTCTCTGGAGTAGCCCTTTCCTTTCAAGGCCACAAAGAATGCTCAAAAGTAAAATTCTAAGGAAAATAAACTTTATGCCCAACATAACCAACACTCAAGAGTCCTGTCAAAAGGTACAGCAATCAGAGGCTGGACGCGGTGGCTCATGCCTGTAATCCCAGCACTTTGGGAGGCCGAGGTCGGCGGATCACAAGGTCAGGAGATCGAGACCATCCTGGCTAACACGGTGAAACCCCGTCTCTACTAAAAATACAAAAAAATCAGCTGGGCATGGTGGCAAGCGCCTGTAGTCCCAGCTACTGTGGAGGCTGAGGCAGGAGAATGGCGTGAACCCAGGAGGCAGAGCTTGCAGTGAGCCGAGATCACGCCACTGCACTCCAGCCTGGGCGACAGAGCGAGACTCCGTCTCAAAAAAACAAACAAACGAGCAAAAAAAAGTACAGCAATCAACAGAAGCAGACTCAGATATGGCCCAAATACTGAAAGTGGAGATAACTATGATTAATATGTTAAAAAGCTCCAGAGAAAAAGGTATACAATTAACACGACTACGTTAAGGAAGGCTACCAGAGAAAAAGAAATTATTTTTTTAAAAAAACTATCAAATGGACATTCTAAAAACAAAACACATTATAACAGAGATAAAAAATTACCTCGCCAGTCCATCAGTAGAGTGGACATACTTGAGTAGAGTTAGTAAATTAATGATAAATCAATATAAATTACCCAAACTGAAACACACACAAAAAAGGTGGGAAAATACAGAACAAGAGCATCTAAAAATTGTGAGAAATGATCAAATGGTCTAATATGCAGGTAATCAGAAACTGAAAGGAAGAAAAACAGAAGGAACATTTGAAGAGAAAAAGGCTGAGAATTTTGTCTTAAAAGGCTATCAATCACAGATCCAGAAAACTCAGCCTTATGGTTAAAAAATATTCTTTCCCCCAAATTATATTCAAACTGCTGAAATTCAGACATAAAAGGAAAACCTGGTAGGCCATCCAAAAAAGATACAGTACTTCTAGAGAAACAATAAAAAAGGACCCCTTAGCCGCAGACTGCACATAACATTATATATATAAGTAAGCTCTTCAAGAAAAATGAACACAATCCAGACAAAAACTTCTGTCTATGCAAATTGTGAAAGTCTCTTAAAATGGTAAAAATGAAAATAAATATAAAATGTCTTATGTTTAAGAAGACATTATAATTGCTCTAAATGATAATTGAGTGTCTAAAGTAAAAATAGAGGACAGTACTATGGGTGGACCAATGTGGAAGAGTAAGATGCAGTATGAAGATAACACAAAATGTGAGAGGTAAGGCCAGGCGCGGTGGCTCACGCCTGTAATCCCAGCATTTCGGGAGGCTGAGGTGGGCGGATCACCTGAGGTCAGGAGTTCAAGACTAGCCTGGCCAACATAATGAAACCTTGTCTCTACTAAAAATACAAAAATTAGCCAGGCATGGTGGTGGTGGGTGCCTGTAATCCCAGCTACTTAGGAGGCTGAGGCAGGAGAAATCACTTGAACCCAGGAGGCGGAGGTTGCAGTAAGCCAAGATTGTGCCACTGCATTCCAGCTTGGGTGACAGAGCAAGACTACGTCTCAAAAAAAAAAAAAAAAAAATTAAAAAAAAAAGATGGGAGGAGAATTTGAAATATACTGTTGTAAAGTTTTTATGGCACATAAAATGTAATAATATTAAAAGACTGTTATTTTTTAAAGTTGTATATTGTAAACCCCAGGGAACCCACTTTAAAAATGAAAAAAGTAGTATAAATAATAAGTCAATAGTAGAAATAAACTAGAAGCAATAAAATGCAGGCAGAAAAAAAGAACAAAGGAGAAATGAAGAAACAAACAGAATTATCTAGAAATATGGTAACTTTTAGCCATGTAAATAGATTAAATGTAAATGGTCCAAAAACATCAATTAAAGGACTGTCAGATTAGATTTTAAAATGAAGCAACTATATGCAATGAAAAACATTTCAGTACAGAAGTATAGTGAAAGTAAGACAACGGTAACAATATATTGCTCAATCATTAATCAAGAGACACCTGAACTGACAATATTTAGATAAAAGAAAGTAGACTTCAGAAAAAGGAATATTACCAGGAATAAAGATGAACATTACATAGTGATAAAAGGTTCACTCACCAAGAGGACATAGAAATCCTAAATATGCACACATCTAACAAGAGACTTTCAAAATACATGAAACAAAAACTAATAGAACTAAAAAGAGAAATCAACAAATCCACAATAATGGAGATTTCAGCACTTTTCTCTCAGTAATTGACAAAAAAAAAAAAAAAAAAAAAAAAGAAAAAAGTAGCCAGTCATTAAGGATTATAGAAAGCCTGCAAAATACTATCAACCAATTTGGCCTAAATGACATTTATAAAGCAACCTACCAAACAACAGGGAATACACATTGTTTTCAAGTACACATGTCGTTAGGGTGGGTAAGGTAAAACCCTTATCTTTATTAATCCTGGGACATCTCCAGGGTTCTCTCTCTTTAGGGAGACATGATCTCTAATTTCTAAGACATGTTTGTTGAACAGAAATGCCTTTTGCTCATATGGCTTGAAATATGCAGGAATCTAAGAATACAGGGAGAATTGTTTCCCCACACCAGAATGCCAGAAAAAAAAAAAAATACTTCAAAGTATTGGAGTTGTAGAATTTGTGTTCTGTAATTATGACGCAATTAAGTTAGAAATCATTAGCAATCAATTAAGTCAAAGGTCAAAAGTGAAATTAGAAAACATTTTCTGTTAAAATGAAAGCACAAAGTATCAAAACGTATAGGATGCAGCTAATTTATGGAATTAAATGCTCGTATTTGCAAAGAAAAAATATTTCAAATAAATTGTTTTTACCTTGAGAACAGGCAAAAGAGCAAGTTAACCTCAGAGCAATTAGAAAAAGAAAATATACAGAAATTAATGAAATTATAAACAATGAAAATAGAGAAAAAACAATGAAAATCTGGTAGAGATCAGTAAAACCGAGAAAGTTCTTGACAGATTAATCAAAAGAGAAAAAGAATCATGAAACACCAATATCAGGAATCGAAGAAGAAGTATTTTTTGTAGTTCCTAAGACATTAAGAGGATAATGAATAGTATCAAGAATTTTTTGCTCATAAATTTAACATCTCAATGAAATATGAAAACCTCTTAAAAGGTACAACCCACTAATGATCACTTATGAAGAAATAGATTATCTGAATAGTCCTATTTCAACCAAAGGAATAAAATTAATAGCTAAAATACTTCCAAAGAAATTTTAAGAACCAGATTATTTCACTGATGGACTCTACAAAACTTAAGGAAAAACTAATACTGATTATATATAAACTCTTAAAGAAATTAGAAACACAAAATATTTTAAGAAGACCAATGAAAGATATAAGAAGAAAATGTAATGTTCTTCATGAGCATAAATGCAAAAACTCCCATCACAACATTAGCTAATTTAATCTAACAAAGTATTAAAAATAATGCTTCATGATTAAAAGTGATTTATCCTAGGACAATAAGGCTGGTTCGACATTGAAAATGCAGTCAATAGAATTTATTATAGGAGGAGACTAAAGAAAAGCCACATATTCATTTCAACAAATACAGAAAACTTTAATATTCAACATCCATTTATTATAAAACCTCAAATTAATAACAGAAGGAAACTTGATAAAAAATCTGCAAAAACCTTACAGCTCATATGATAGTTAAAAGGAAAGATGGAATACTTTTTCCCCTGATATCATGAATAAAACAATAATGTTCTCTTTCATTACTTTTCTGCATTGTCCTAGGCAGTGCAATGAGGCAAGAAAAATAAAAAGCTCACAGTTTTTTAAAGAATAAATAAAACATCTCTTTTCACAGATTACATGATTGTCCCTGGAGAAAATCTCAAGGATGGACAGAAATACTACTAGAACTAAAAATTGAGTTTAGCGAGCTTTCAAGATACAGAACCAATGTATCTCAATACACAAATTATTACACAGATGTTCCTCAACTCAATAAACCCAGCATAAGCTGAAAATATCTTAAGTCAAAAACGCATTTAACACACCTAACTTTCTGAACATCATAGTTTAGCCTACTTTAAATGTGCTCAGAACTCAATGCTTAGATTAGCCTACAGCTGGGAAAAGGTCAAACTCCAAAATTGGAAGAACAGTTTCTAATGAATGTGTATCACTTTCACATCATTGTAAAGTCAAAAAATTCTAAGTTGAACCACTGCAAGTTGGGAAATGCCTGCATACTAATTATGAAATAATTAAAATAGAAAGTGAAATTTAGACAAAAAAATGTACCATTCCCAGTGTCATCAAAATAAATGAAAGAATTAGGTAGGAATGTAAAACATACAAGTATATTAAATGAATTAAAGAAAACCAAAGTAAATGGAGAGATATACTCATTATTTGTAAGATCAATTCTTCCTGAATTAATATATAAATTCAACACAATCCATTAAAAACCTGAGAAAGAATTGTTTTATATATTGATAAGCTTATCATAAAGTCCATATAAAAAGTTAGAGGAGCTAGAATATCCAAGCCAACACTGGAAAACAACACTGACAGACTCAATATTACTTGACTTCAAGACTTAATATAAACTGTAGTAACTATCACAGTGTGGAGTTGGTGTAAGCATAAACACATAGATTAGCTAGAACACAAGAGCAATCCCAGAAATAGACACACACAAAAAACCCGAACCATACCTCACACCATCTACAAAATGGACCTAAGTATAAAGCCAAAATTATTTAAATTTTAAAATACCATTTATCATATCATCTAAAAATATGAGATACATGGGGGTAAATTTAACAAAACAACATACAAGACCTATACAATATAATCTACCAATTATTGCAGAGATATAAAAGACAATCAAAATAATTGGAGAGGTAAGATTCAATATTATTAAGATATAATTTCTCCTCAATTTGATCTGTTAATTTAGCAAACTCCCAAAATTCCATAAGACTTACTCTTATAAAAACCCAGTTCTTAAGTTTATATGGAAATGAAAAAGATCTAAAATAGCCTAAACACATTTTTAAAGGAACCACGTTGTAAAAATTTTATTATTTAATTTCCAAATTACAATAATGCTATGGTTATCAGGAATGCATAAAGACAATTATAAATATCGATGAAACAAAATGGGGGTTTGTAAATTTATCCACACATATTTGGTCATTGGTTTTCCATTATGTTTTTAAGATAATTCAACATATGAGGGAAAATATTCCTAACAAACAACACTAGAACAATTGGATATTATGCACAAAAATAGTAAATCTTTACCCTTATGTCACATCATATCAAAAAATTAAATGTATCATAGATTTAACATAAAAGTTACAGTTATAAAACTAAAACAAAACAGTGGAGAAAGTCTTCACAAACTCAAGTAAGAAAAATTGTTTTTATTTGGGACACAGAAAGCATGAATGATGAGAGACAAAATAAGTGCTTTTCAAAAGTCACCATAAGAAAATGAAACAATAAGACACAGGCTAGTGAAAACTATTTGCAATGCAAATATCAGTGTATAAATTATAGTTCAGTAAAAAGTTTTAAAAACCTAAGCAAATGTTGACAATATAAAATAAAATGACACTAATGTTTTCTAGTTAATGTAAAATAGACATTAATTATTGGTGATTAGTTAAGATAAAATTAATTAGAGCTGCAAGACAAAAATGCATAGCAATTTTGAGTTATTAGATTGATGAAGAGATAAATAAAGTCAACATTTTCTAAGGTCTTTATATTGTCTTCATGAGAATTCTAAAAATTGACTTTGGATTTTGATATGGTTTAATATGGAAGAGGAACTTCTTATATGAGAGAACTATAGTATATAATTTGCAAACTAGCAATGTGAAAAAATGAAGTGAGAAACAGTAGTTAATCAATTCAAAAATCAGTAAGTGAAAGAACGAGAAACCTACAACATGAAGAATGAAGAATACAAAATAAGTCTAAGATTGGCAGACTGGCTTTTTGAAAATCAACTTTAATGTACTTATAAGAAGACACATCTAAAACATAACGTTGAAAGTAAAATGAACTAAGTTTTACCATGCAAGTTCTCACCAAAAGAGTCATAGCATTAATATGGAAAAAATAGACATCAAGGAATCAAAGCATTAATTAAAGATGATTGTTTCATGGTGATAATTCTATTCCTAAAAAAGATATCGATTCTTCATTTTTTTTCCATTCTACATTTTAAACCTGGATGAACCTAATGATGCAACATCAAATTTATAAAAACCTAGTGAAAGGAAGAGAGGATTTATGTTCTTACCAAGTTGGCCAGGGTTCAATGCTCCTAAAATAGAATATTTTTTCTCCTGAAAAATGCCAACTACACTCTGCTAAAATCCACTTCTTTTTCTGATTTAAGGATTTTTCCCACTTACACATTGGCTAAATCACCTTGTGTCCACTTGGCCCCCAAACCAGTCACCCTCCTTTTCACAAAAGCTCCAAAGATGGAAAGCATACAGGATGGCTATGTTTCACTCCATTCATTACTCCTACTAACTCTGTCAGTACAGTTCATTCCTGAACTAAAACCCTCTTTAACTGATGTTGCAGAACAACTGTGACATAAAAAAGATCAATGTTGTGCCACTGAAGTCTAAAGATGAAAAATGAAATTGGAAATATTTATTTTGAATTCAATAGTGAACACACTGAAAAAGATTTAAAATGTTGATAGAAATCATTTTTCTTCTCTCTCTCTATACCTCTGTTTTTGTAACAGGCTAATCATCTGCCATAAAGCACCTGATCCACAAGGGTCTATAGTGCTTGTCAATCATAAACCAAAGAAACTTGCTGGTATTTGGGTGGTAGATAATCTTTAAATGATATGTCCACTAGCAGTGGCACAAATCTGGAGATATTTGAAATTTCTGCTTATTGTTCTAAATTTCTGAGTTTTACAATTTTTAAAGAGTTATTAAAATGCATTAAGCATGATTATAAAAATTCAACTATGGCAACAGCAATCTATGCAGTTTTATGCCTTTTATATAATAAACATTGAAAAGTTGAAATAATTCGGTAAACTAAAAAGAATTCCTAATGTTAACATTTTTTTTCTGGCAAATCCTTTGGGGGATCCAAATAATTATTTGAATATAAATAACCAATTCATAATGTATATCATTTTGATGTTCAAGTTTTTGTATTATATACCTACTAAAACCATATTGGCTGCTGTAATGATGAAAGGATTAGATAATTTTTAAATCAGAATTTAACATGAAAGTTCATATAGAGTGATTTAAGCATTTTTCCTACATACTTGTTTTACTTTGGTGTGGTAAAAATCCAACTTAATATGTTTATCACAACAATGTGATAAACAATTTTTTCCCAAGTCTTTACATGAACATTTTATCTTTGAGACCTTCACCTTCCTTTCCTGAAAAAAAAAAAAAAAAAAATAGAAAAACTACTGATTAAACCTACCTTTCAACCTTTGTTCAGGAATTTGATTAAATTATCTCCAACTTCTCTTCTTGTTATCATATCATTAAAACATTGAGAATACTGATTTTAATTTCCTCGATACACTTTTTTAAGATCCAAAATCCTCAGTCATGAAATAAATACCAAGCAAGAATCTTTGAAACAATCATCAATTCTCTTCTCAGAGATGTTGCTCACTCATTGGGTGAGGAAGAGCTTACAAGTCATTGATATGGCATGGCTCAAGCATTAGGGTTCTCCAGAGAAAGACAGCCAATATAATATTCATATTCAACACTGGCAATAGCAGCCTGTGGAGCAGCATATATACATATGGAAAAAAAAAGCAGCATATATACATATAAGGAAAAAAAAAAGGAAAGCACAGATCAACAAAACATCTAATCCAGTCTCTCCTATATATATATACACACACACACACACATATATATGTGTATACACACACATATATATGTATATATGTGTATATATATATAGATTTATTATGAAAATTGGCCTACATGATTAGGAGGTTGAGAGGTCCCATGATCTGCTATCTGCAGGCTGGAGACTCACCAAAGCTGGTAGTGTCATTCTAGTTCGAGTCCAAAGGGCTGAGAACCACGGGAGCTAATTGGGTAAATCCAAGTCAAAGGGAAGGGGAAGAAAAATGTAGCTCAGCTCAAGCAGGCAGGCAGGAAGAAGAAAAAAAAGAATAAATTTCTCTTTCTTCCTTCTGTGTTATTCAGGCCCTCAAAGGATTGAATGATGCCAACCCACACTGGAGAGAGCAATTTACTTACTGAGTCCACAGATTCAGCCATCTGGGAACATCCAGAAATAATGCTTAACCAGATATCTGGGAATACTCTGGTCTAAATTGACACATAAAATTAACTATCACAGCTAGAAATGGAAGGATCAAGGGAATTTTAATCAAATCTCATATCAGTGTAAAACAACAGCCAAAATCAGTAACTACCTCTCCACATTTCAGTAAAGCACACTAACATTAAGGGCTTAATTTAGAGTAATGACAGAAACAAGAGTCAAACTAGCTCAATCAGAATGTGGAGTCTCCACAAAATCAAAAGAAAAACAGCTTCAGGAATCAAAGGGATCACTGGAACCCAGGAGTCACACATAAGACTCACTGCTCATCTCTGTTCTCTTCTTCCTGCACACGAGCTTTATGCTCTCCTATACATATTAGTTTGTTTTATACCATCAGGCACATGGCCACATGAATGTAGATTTCTACATTCATACCTCAATTAGATAAGTAATACATGAAGGCAGCAAAATTACAAGAACAAAACATAAAATGGAAAGCAAAAGACTTCCTCTCAAATTTTAAGAAAATACGCAAAGAAATTTTATCAGAAGGACAAGAATTTCCAAACTGTAAATGGTCAAAAGTGCCTGGCATAATGAATGAAAGAAAAAAAGATATTATGTGATTTTACCACGTGAGTGAAAAAGATCTCTAAATCTCTCAGGGCAGGGCGGGGAGGGGGAAGAAGAAGGGAGGCATCTATGAAGAGAAATGAGAATTGCAAAGCCTTTTGACTTCTGAATAAAATGCTTGGTACCGGAAAGCAATATGTAGTCCGAAGCCGAGAATTCTACACACATACAAATTATCACTCACAAGGGAAGAAAGACTAAAGATAGTAGTTTCGAATCCTTGCATGATTGAAAAAATATCTCCCATGCTCTCTTTCTTATTTACCAAAAAGCGTTTTTAAATAAGGGAATAAGGAAAAAAAAAAAAAAAAGGAAAGCACAGATCAACAAAACATCTAATCCAGGCTCTCCTTTTTGGTTTCCAAAATTTGATATTTAAACTACTGGAAATTGATTTAGAGCATATACCACATCTTGAAGAACAGACTAGAGAAGAGCAGGCAAAAAGAATCCCAAGCCAAGAGCTAGAGCAACAGGTCTAGTTTGGAGCAGGAAGATGTATGAGTGTGCAAGAGTGGTCCTCAGTAAGGAGAAATAAAAACTGATAGAGATTTTGAAACTGCATTTGAGCATTTGGGTAAATAACCACAGGGTGACTGACTGAGCTGTATGTGTATTTAAAAAGAAAATACTAAATATACAGAAAATAATTATAAGCAACATAAAAAATGAAAAGTTATAAAAGGCAAGGAAACAGGTATAAGCACATTCATTGAATCAGCAAGGAGCAATATTTTCATAAACACGTAAAACACTAAATTAATGATAAATGGTAATAAGGTTGTGTTGAGAAGAATAAGTAGGTGGTAAAGAAGTTAACCTTTACTCCAAAGAGAAGTCTCAGATAATATCTAAATATAGCAGTGTACACATATGATTTTTTTAAAAATTGATTTAAATATGAATGAAAATAAGAGTTGAAAGTGATTGCCTTCATAAAATTTATAGAATGGTTTATTAACTATGTTCACTTTATTTGATAAAAATAAAAATTAATAAAAAAGTTGTCTTCTTCACTCCATTTGTACTACTCAGAGACAACCACTGATAGCAGTGTCCATTTTATTCATTTTACTGCTTGCTATTTAAGTAATCTGCCTACATTGTACAGTTTGATTTATCAAAATTTGAGATGATTCTCATATGCAAAATATGAGGAATTTCAAACATTTGTGCTATCTTCCAATTTTTCTGCTCCTCTCAATTTTTTAGTTATATTATTGTTTATTCATATATTCAAAAACATTTATTGAACCCCTGGCTATATTCCAGTCCCTTAGGATACATAAATGAACAAAATAAATATTTCTGCCATTTTGTAGTTTACATTCTAGAAGAACAAAAAATAAACAAACATTGAATTTAAGCAAATAATATGCTAATATTGGAAGATGATAATGATGTATCCTTCTTAGGCCATAGATGTTGCAGTTCATCATTATTGCTAGGCACAGAAGAACCAAGAGATGCCCCAGTGAATCTCTTAGCTTCCAGACAAATGCTTCCCAGCACCCATTGTGTAGCATCATCCATGACTCATCATGGCAACCAGAGTCAATCATCCTGGCCAGTATGCTAACCCCTTTCTTAGTCTGATGGTCCACTGGCATGATGACTTGAAAGTGTCTAGGTGTGGTATTCATACCTGCAAGTTCAGTAGATCCTTTACTGTGTTCTCTGTTAGAAACAAGCTTTTGGAAATATAGAAATGACTATGGTTTCAGGCACAGAAATAGCATCTCTACACAGGGGCCACTGTGGGTGGCATTAAGAGAAGGTAATCTTCTATTCCTTTGGTTCCCAAAGTAATATATTCCAGTTATTGGGAAAACACTAACGTATATCCTAATATACGTTATATCCTAATATACTTGGTTTAGTACGTGTACCACAGCCTGGAATACATCAGTCCTAACCCTCAGGGTTTTGTCCTCAAGCTGATTTTTTTTTTAACCTGAGCCTATAATGGATTATTTTGCCATTATTCTTCTGGGTTATGAGGTATATGGAAAGACAAATAGATCTCAAGTCATGAGCCAATTATCACATGTCTTGCATATAAAATGTGTTGTCTCTAACTATGTTGCATAAAATGTTTATGACATTCTTTAAGTTCTGGAAAGGTGAAGCTTGCAGAGGCACTGTGGACAGACAAGAAAAATACATGTCTTTATAAGAATAAAATTGCTGCCTTACAGATGGAAGAGATAATCTGCCACTAAGTGGCTAGATTATGTCCTCAAAGGATAGTAATATACTAAGAAGTCAGCATGGTCTCTGTTGCTGGCATGCTGGACATTCAAGTATCATTTGCTAGTTCAACTCTGGCAAGAAGAAGTCCTTGCTATCAGTCCTCACAGGCCATGGGCAGCACATTGCGCCAGCACTATAAGGGCCAAGTGCAAGGCTGGACTATCTCACAGGACAGGAAGTCATCCTATCTTTCCACTTATTGATGACTTCTCTGCATGTGTAGACTATCTGTTGGACATAAACCTCAAAAATCTACATCTTGTATCCACTCTCCTAAGACTATCCGCACTCCAATTTTTCAGACAAGCTTGTCTTGAATCTTCAGATTTTATTCCTTCAAGGCTTCTGACTAAACACTCTGACATCATTAGTCACTTGCCAGGTGTCCACATATATCCATACTGCAGGCCACTTCATACATGCAAAATGAACTTCTAAGTATACTGGTCACAGCTCTTTCTCCTAGGGGAATTGCTCTTAGCCAAATGGACTGAGTGAATACTGATGGTGACAGTTTACTTATGGCTAGCACCAAAATGGTGTTCAGTTCTGACTCATGTGAGAACTGGACTCAAGTGTTTTCTTCTCTTCAGTTGATCATAGGATGTAACCCAGAAGTAGGGTGACTTTATACCCAGCTTGCCAGGGATAATTCCAGCATATGCCAGGTATCACAAAGTAATTAATAGCATTAAATTTTACTCTCAAATGCATCTCAGTTTGGATAATTCATTATAAGGTCACTGTACTTAAGAGACCAGAAATAAAATTGAGAAAGAGGCATCAATATAGCACAAGTACATGTCATGGACTGTATGTTTATGTAATTTACTGATATATATTTGAACCTGCTCAGCCTTGATTCCAAATACTCCATTTCTACCTTTTGATGGATTGATGCTATGCTCATCTGTTTTTTGATAGGTATAATCAAATACAGGTCACGATAAAAGCTGCAGTTACATAGTTATTTGATGTTTCATGGTCAGACACTTGGTCTTTACCAAGGCCCAATAATATATCAAGAGCCACTTTTGAAATGGTTAACAATTCTCTGTTGCAGAAGAAAAGGCCTTGCTGTAGAATCCTAGAAGTCTGTGACTCATCTCTGTACTGGGGATTGCCATAGATAACACAAAGCATCCTTTACTATCATGAAAACGTCTAGCACTATCAGATATTCTACGGTATAAACCTGCCATACACCTTCTCCATGCTATGGGACCTGCTCTAAATTGACAGTCTTCCGATACACTCAATAAATGGCACTGAGCATTATTGCCAGGTATGGAATGTGCTGCCCTTTTGTTAGTAGTAAGTAGTAGGGATGATTTACCATGTTGCAGATTTCATTGATATGGCTAGCCCCTGAATCTTCATGGGATTTATTACTTATCCTCTGGAATGTGTGTGCCTTTCTGGAATGCTACTATAATACTTGCCATCTCCTGCTCACCAGGTCCAATTAGCATGATATTATCAGTATAGTTTACCAGCATGATATTTCATAGAATATCAGTAATAAAGGCCTCTGCAAACGTCATGATAGGAGTCAGGGAGAATTAACATATCCCAAAACAAGAGAATAAATGTATCCTGCTTCTCTTCCCTTTTAAATGTAAATTATTATTGATCTTCCTTATGGGAATTAAGAAGAATATATTTAACAAATAGTACATTCCAAATGTCGGAGGCTTTGTTGATTTATTTCAGTAAATATATTAGGTCAAGTATAGCAGCTATGATTGGAACTACTGTTTGAATCAATTTAGAGATATCCACCATCATCTACCTAATACACCTGTTTTTTCCCCAAGTGTCAATAGGTAAATTAAAAGGGGCACACTGGGGACTACTGCTCCCATATGTCTTTGAAGACTGGGATAATCTCTTGAAATTCCTTGCAAAATGTGATATTACTTTAGACTTAATTTTATTGAAAAAATGAGAAGTTTTCCATTTGGCCCTTCTTATTACTTGGCTCTTATTGGTTCTTACCTCACAGGTCCAGGGAAAAATATTAGGCTTTTATCACTTACTAAGTGAATGAGTGCGAATATTCATGTGTGTATGTATGTATCCCCATTTCTCCATTATATACACTGGTACTCACTAGAATCACTGTAAGATTAACTCATGCTGAAACTCCATTTAACACCTCTATTGCCTCCTCTATAACCAGTGAATTATGATGAGATTTCAGATCTTCTGGTAGTAGTGTCAGTTCAGAAATCATATACAAGAACCCTCGAATAGTCTGAATAGTCCACTTACTTCAGTAAACAGTTAACCTGGTAAATGACTGTACTTTCCTTTGAGAAAGGATGAGAAATGTTTATCATATATACTTTTGTGGCCTTTACAAGATCCTTTCAAAAGGATCTTCCACCAATCCATTCTGGAAGAGTGACCTGGATATCACCTGAAAACTTGATGAAGAATGAATTTTTTCCATTGCAGTGGCTGATATTGGACTTCTGCAGGCAAATTCTAATACGCATTTGTCACACAAGCCAAATCACACCCAAATTAGTCATTTATCTATCTCATGATTGGAACACTAGAATTTATTACCCATCTGCAGATACCTGTGGGTCAAGGAATCTTAATTATTCTCACCTTGTATTGGATAGTTAAGTGCCACACTAAGTTAAGTCTCTGCAATTCCTGAAGAATATCATTCCATTGATACAAACGCGGGAATCAATATATCTTCTGGAGTCAATTTTATACTTCAGAGAAAACCATCAGGCTTCTCAGAGATGCTGATGCTCCTTTTCAGTACAACATTCCACTGCCTAGTGAATCCAATCTGTGCAATGTACTACAGTGGAAGGAGTTTGGGCTTTGTAATTATGTGGGCAATATTTTAATACTGACTCAGCTGTTTATTAACTGTAATATTAACGTCTATGAATTTCAAATATGGAGATTAGAATATGTTTCTTTGCTTTCAAGGATCAAAAAAAAACTTTAGCATAATGCCTAAGATGTGTGCACTTACAAAATGATTTTCCCCTTCTTTGTCATAAGAAAAAACATGCTAGCTCTTCACTTTCTGTATCCCCCTCTTACCAGTTATACACAATCTATCCACGTTGTCTACAACTTTGACCTACAATTCTCAAAAACAGTGAAAGCGTTAAGAAATCTCAGTGATTCCTTTCCCTCTTTTCCTGGTGTATTTTTCCATATTTTTCCAAAAATTTCACTAAGAGTAGAAGAATACATACCAAATTTGCTGTGAAGGCTTGTCATACAATTTTAGCAAACTAAAATAAGAAAATTAAGGTATTGTAAGGATTTGCAGAAATTGGCAAAGATTATATATATTATACACAATCTAGAATATAATATTTTTCTGGCTTATAAATAGATAATATTAAAATTTAAAAACAGAAGGGCAGAGCCAGATAGTGTAATAGGACTCTCTAGTGATCATACCCCTACAGAAACATTGATCTGAAAAACAGTCTATAAATGAAAATACCTTCACAAGAGCTAAGGAAACCAGGCAAACAATTACAGGACCTGTTTGTAGCACAATAAGAAAAGACACACTGAACTGAAGAGGGTAGAAAAGAGTTTGAAATTAACCATGTCACCTCTCTTCCAAACCCAGGCAGCACAATGCAGGAACAGATACTCTCTGCTTGCAGGAAAGAGAGGAATGTGAGCACAGGACTTTGTTTTGGACACCAACACCAAGCTTGCCTCAGTGTAAAGCCCAGCACTGAGCAGGCCACCACAGCCCCAGAATCCTGGCTGGCACCTGAAGACTGAGCCTACAGACCTGTCCCAGCACCAAGCAGGACCCCCAAAGCCCCAGACTTCAGGTAAGAAAGGTGGAGTCAATCCCGGGTTTATACCATCACTGGACAAACTTCAGCAGCCCCAGGATCTGGAAATACCTCAGCAGCAGCAGGCCTCAGTAGCCGCAGGCTTCTAGCTCATCCCAGTGGCCCTAGGCTTTTATCCTACCTCAGCGTTGTGCTGGCCTCAGCAACCTTGGGCTTTGGGACTATGCCAGACAGCCTTCCAAGAATTTCTAGATGGGCTGACTGGTGAAGGGAATTCCCAGATAAAGCCAGTCTACGAAGACTGCAATGACGTAAATGCATGACCACAACAATAAAGAATAAAGAAAAATAGTATAAACAAAAAGATAAAGTGCCAATGACATGCCCCCCCCAAAAAAAATGAGACGTATAAACTTCCTAAAAAGGAATTCAAAATAACTATTTTAAGGAAGATCAGAGAACAAGAAAATAGAGAAACTCAATGGAAATACAGAGGAATTCAATGACATGAGGAAAGAAATAAATGACCATAATTAGAAAATTAACAGAAATTAAAATAATAAAATATCAAACAGCCTGCAGCTGAAAAATACAGTGAAAAGTCCAGTAGACAGCATCAACAGAAAAATTGATCAAGCAGACGAATGAATCTCTCAACTTAAAGACAGATTAGAAAGCTTACTTTTAAAAAATAATAGCAGAAAACTTTCCAAACCTGGAGAAAGATAACTATCCAGGTAATGTAAGGACAATGCTCACCAAAAAGATTCAACTCAAACAACACTACCTCAAGATATACTAAAATGAAACTGTCAAAAATCAAAGACAGAGAAAGGATCCTGAAAGCAGTGAGAGTAAAGAAGCAAACAACATATAAGGAAGTTCCTGTATGGCTAGCAGACAACTTCTCAGCAGAAGAAGGCCAGGAGAGCATGAGATAATCTAGTTAAAGTGCTAAGGAAAAAATGACAACCAAGCATACTGTACCTAGCAAAACTATCCTTCACTAATGAAAGTGATAAAGATTTTTCCAGACCCCACCTCTGCCAAAAAAAAAAAAAAAAAAAGCCACAAAAAGCTGAGAGGGTTAATCACTACCAGACTTGCTTTACAAGAAATGCTAAAGAAAGCTATTCAATATTAAAAAAAGATGTTAATGATTAACACAAAACAGCTGAAACTATTAACTGGTAAAAGCAAATACACAAATTCAGAGTAATTTAATACTATAATGGTGATATGGTGATGTGTGAAACACATATGTTTATGAGACAAAACTACTATAAATTATAGATTTGTTAAGCGATAAATATTTTAAAAAGTAAATTTAAAAATAAAAAATGTAAAATATTGAGGAAGAGTGAAGTAAAAGTCTGCAGTTGTAATTTTTGTCATCACAGTTGATTTTAGCTTAAAATATTCTATTATAATTACAAGATGATTTTGTAAGCTTCACGGTAACCAAAAGCAAAAACTTACAGTAGAAACACAAAAAGTTAGAAAGCAAGGAGTCAAAATATACCACTAAAGAAAATTACTTAGCCACAAAGGAAGACAGCAAAAGAAGAAAAAAACAAAGTATCTACAAAACAACTAGAAAACAATCAAATGATGGTAGTAAGCACTTAGCTATGATTAATTACCTTGAATGTAGCTAGACTAAATTCTCAAATTAAAAGACAACATGGCTAATGGATTAAAAAACCAAACAAACAAGACCCATGTCTATGCTGCCAAGAGACTCACCTCAGCTGTAAGGACACACATAAACTGAAATGGAAGGGATAGAAAAAGATATTCCATGCAAATCAAAACCAAAAGAAAGCAGGAGTAGCTACACTTATGAGATAAAATAGACATTAAGTCAAAACTTGTAAAAATAAACAAAAGAGGTCATATATTGTGACAAAGAGGTCAATATAGCAATACCACCGAATTCTGCCAAACACTTAAAGAACAAGTCCAATTCTTCACAAACTCTTCTAAAAATTTGAAGAGCAAATACTTCCAAACTCATTTTATGAGGCCAGCATTATGCTGATCCCAAAGACAATCAAGAATACTACAAAAAAAAAGAAAATTACGGATAAATATCCCGATGAACATAGATGCAAAAGGCCTCAATACAATACTAGCAATCCAAATTCCACAGCATATTTGTAAAGATTATTCACTATGATCAAATTGGACTTGTCCTAGAGACACAAGAATGGTTCAAAATATACAAATAAAAAATGTAATGCACTGCATTAACAAAATGAAGAAAAAAATTTATATTAAATGCAGAAAAGAGCATTTGAAAAAAATTTATATTTTCTCACAATAAAAAACTTCCAACAAATTAGCTATATTGGCAATGTACCTCAATACAATAAAGGCAATATCCACATGACAAACCCCCAGCTAAAATCATACACAACTTGGAAAAGTTGAAAGATCTTTCTTTAAGATCGGGGAGAAAACAAGGACACCCACTTTCACCACTTATTCTCTACATAGTACTGGAAGTCCTAGCCAGAGCAATTAGGCAAGAGGAAAAAATCAAAGGCAGCCTAACTGGAAAAAAAAGAAGGTAAATTGTCCCTATTTGCAGAAAACATTCTCATATATAGGAAACCCCAAATACCCCACCAAAAATCTTTTTGAACTAATGAATTAATTCAGTAAAGTTACAGTATACAAAATGAACATTTTAAAAATCAGTAGAATTTCTATACACTAACAGCAAATTATCTGAAAAAGAAATTGAGAAATAATCCCATTTACAATAGCTACAAAAAAACTTAGAAATAAATTTAAGCAAGAAAGTGAAAGATGTCTACACTGAAAAATATAAAACATTGCTAAAAAAATTGAAGACACAAATAAATGGAAAGATGTCTTGTGTTCGTGGAATTAGTAGAAATAATGGTAAAAATGTCTATACTACCCTAACTACCTTAAGGAATCAATAGATACCATTCAGTTCCTCTAAAAATATCAGGGCATTATTCACAGAAATAGAAAAATGAAACCTAAAATTTGTATGGAGCTACAAAAGACCTCAAGTAACCTAAGCAGTCCTGAGCAAAAGAACAAATCTGGAAGCATACTGCCTGACTTCAAAAAATATGACAAAGCTATAGTAACCAAAAGAGCATGGTACTGGCATTAAAATAGACACATAGACCAACGGAACAGAATAGAGAGTCCTGAAATAAATTTACACATTTAAAGCCAACGAATTTTTTTTGAAAAAAAGTATTTACAATATGTAGAACAAATAATTTTTTTAATTATACTTTAAGTTCTGGGATACATGTGCAGAATATGCAGGTTAGTTACATAGGTATACGTGTGCCATGGTGCTTTGCTGCACTGATCAACCCATCATCTACATTAGGTATTTCTCCTAATGCTATCCCTCCCCTAGCACTCCCAACTCACTGACAGGAGCTGCTGTGTGAAGTTCCCCTCCCTGTGTCCATTTGTTCTCAACTTTCACTTATGAGTGAGAACACGTGGTGTTTGGTTTTCTGTTCCTGCGTTAGTTTACTGAGAATGATGGTTTCCAGCTTCATCATGTCACTGCAAAGGACATGAACTCATCCTTTTTATGGCTGCATAGTATTCCATGATGTGTATGTGCCACATTTTCTTTATCTAGTCTATCATTGATGTGCATTTGGGTTGATTCCAAGTCTTTGCTATTGTGAACAGTGCCACAATAAACATACACGTGCATGTGTCTTTATAGTAGAATGATTTATAATCCTTTGGGTATATAACCAGTAATGGGATCACTGGGTCAAATGGTATTTCTGATTCTAGATCCTTGAGGAATTGCCACACCGTCTTCCACAATAGTTGAACCAATTTACACTCCCGCCAACAGTGTAAAAGCACTCTTATTTCTTCATATCCTCTCTAGCATCTGTTGTTTCCTGACTTCTAATGATCACCATTCTAACTGGCATGAGATGATTTTGATTTGCATTTCTCTAATGACCAGTGCTGAGCTTTTTTTTATATGTTTGTTGGCTGCATACATACCTTCTTTGGAGAAGTATCTGTTCATATCCTTCTCCCACTTTTTGATGGAGTTCTTTGTTTTTATTTTTCTTGTAAATTTGTTTAAGTTCTTTGTAGATTCTGGATATTAGACCTTTGTCAGATGGATAGATTGCAAAAATTTTCTCCCAGCTGTGGGTTCCCTGTTCACTCTGATGATAGTTTCTTTTGCTGTGCAGAAGCTATTCAGCTTATTTAGATCCCAGTAGTCAATTTTGGCTTTTGTTGCAATTGCTTTTGGTGTTTTAGTCATGATGTCTTTGTCCATGCCTATGTACTGAATGGTATTCCCTAGGTTTTCTTCTAGGGTTTTATAGTTTTAGGTCTTACATTTAAGACTTTAATCCATCTTGAGTTAATTTTTGTATAAGGTGTAAGGAAGGGGTCTAGTTTCAGTTTTCTGCATATGGCTAGCCAGTTCTCCCCAACACCATTCATTAAATAGGGAATCCTTTTCCCATTGCTTGTGTTTATCAGGTTTGTCAAAGATCAGATGGTTGTAGATGTGTGGCATTATTTCTGGGGCCTCTGTTCTGTTCCATTCGTCTATATATCTGTTTTGGTACCAGTACCATGCTGTTTTGGTTACTGTTGCTTTGTAGTATAGTTTGAGGTCAGGTAGCATGATGCCTTCAGCTTTCTCCTTTTTTGCTTAAAGTTGTCTTGGCTGTATGATCTCTTTTTCGGTTCCATATGAAATTTAAAGTGGTTTTTTTCTAATTCTGTGAAGAATGTCAGTGGTAGCCTGATAGGGGTAGCATTGAATCTATAAATTACTTTAGGCAGTATGGCCATTTTCACAATATTGATTCTTCCTATCCATGAGCATGGAATGTGTTTCCGTTAGTTTGTGTCCTCTCTTATTTCCTTGAACAGTGGTTTGTAGTTCACCTTGAAGAGGTCCTTCACACCTTTGTAAGTTGTATTCCTAGGTATTTTATTCTTTTTGTAGCAATAGTGATTGGGAGTTCACTCATGATTTAGCTCTCTATTATTGGTGCATAGGAATGCTTGTGATTTTTGCATATTGATTTTGTATCCTGAGACTTTGCTGAAATTACTTATTAGCTTAAGGAAATTTTGGGCTGAGACAATGGGGTTTTCTAAATACACAATCATGTCATCTGCAGAGACAATTTGACTTCCTCTCTTCCTATTTGAATACCCTTTCTTTCTTTCTTTTGCCTAATTGCCCTGGCCAGAACTTCCAATACTATGTTGAATAGGAGTGGTGAGAGAGGGCATCCTTGTCTTGTGCCAGTTTTCAAAGGGAAGGCTTCCAACTTTTCCCCATTCAGTATGATATTGGCTGTGGGTTTGTCATAAATAGCTCTCATTATTTTGAGGTAGGTTCCATCAATACCTCGTTTATTGAGATCTTTTACCATGAAGGGGTGTTGAATTTTATTGAAGACCTTTTCTCCATCTATTGAGATCATCATGTGGTTTTTGTCATTCATTCTGTTTATGTAATGGGTTGTTTGTTGATTTGCATATGCCAAATGAGCCTTGCATCCCAGGGATGAAGCCAACTTGATCATGATGGATAACCTCTTTGATATGCTGCTGGATTCGGTTTGCCAGTATTTTATTGAATATTTTTGCATCAATGTTCATCAGGGATATTGGCCTGAAATTTTCTTTTTTTGTTGTGTCTCTACCAGGTTTTGATATCAGGATGATGCTGGCCTCATAAAATGAGTTAGGGAGGAGTCCTTTTTTTTATCATTGGGAATAGTTTCAGACGGAATGGTACCAGCTCCTCTTTGTACCTCTGGTAGAATTCGGCTGTGAATCCGTCTGGTCCTGGACTTTTTTTGGTTGGTAGGCTATTAATTACTGCCTCAATTTCATAACTTGTTATTGGTCTATTCAAGGATTTGACTTCTTCCTGGTTTAGTCTTCGGAGGGTGTGTATGTCCAAGAATTTATCCATTTCTTCTAGATTTTCTAGTTTATTTGTGTAGAGGTGTTTATAGTATTCTCTGATGATAGTTTGTATTTCTGTGGGATCACAGCAGTGATATCCCCTTTATCATTTTTTATTGTGTCTATTTGATTTTTCACTTTCTTCTTTATTAGTCCAGCCAGTGGTCTATCTATTTTGTTAATCTTATCAAAAACTAGCCCCTGGATCATTGATTTCTTGAAGGGTTTTTTGTGTCTCTATCTCCTTCAGCTCTGCTCTGATCTTAGTTATTTCTTGTCTTCTGCTAGCTTTTGAATTTGTTTGCTCTTGCTTCTCTAGTTCCTTTAATTGTGATGCTAAGGTGTTGATTTTAGATCTTTCCCACTTTCTCCTGTGGGCATTTAGTGCTATAAATTTCCCTCTAAATACTGCTTTAGCTCAAAGTGACAGGGAGAATGGAACCAAGTTGGAAAACACTCTTCAGGATATTATTTAGGTGAACTTCCCAAACCTAGCAAGACAGGCCAACATTCAAATTCAGGAAATACAGAGAACACCACGAAGATACTCCTTGAGAAGAGCAACCCCAAAGCACATAATCATCACATTCAGCAAGGTTGAAGTGAAGGAAAAAATGTTAAGGGTAGCCAGAGAGAAAGACTGGGTTACCCACAAAGGGAAGCCCATCAGACTAACAGCGGATCTCTCTGCAGAAACCCTACAAGCCAGAAGAGAGTTGGGGCAAATATTCAACATTCTTAAAGAAAAGACTTTTCAACCCAGAATTTCATATCCAGCTAAACTAAACTTTATAAGCTAAGGAGAAGTAAAATGCTTTACAGACAAGCAAATGCTGAGAGATTTTGTCACCTCCAGGCCTGCCTTATAAGAGCTCCTGAAGGAAGCACTAAATATGGAAAGGAAAAACCCATACTAGCCACTGCAAAAACATACCAAATTGTAAAGACCATCGACACTATGAAGAAACTGCAGCTACTAATGGGCAAAATAACTGGCTAGCACCATAATGACAGGATCAAATTCCCACCATTTGACCCAGCCATCCCATTACTGGGTATATACCCAAAGGATTATAAAACATACTGCTATAAAGACACATGCACACGTATGTTTATTGCGGCACTATTCACAATAGCAAAGACTTGGAACCAACCCAAATGTCAAACAATCATAGACTGGATTAAGAAAATGTGGCACATATACACCATGGAATACTATGCAGCCATAAAAAATGATGAGTTCATGTCCTTTGTAGAGACATGGATGAAGCTGGAAACCATCATTCTCAGCAAACTATCACAAGGACAAAAAAACCAAACACCGCAGTTCTCACTCATAGGTGAGAATTGAACAATGAGAACACATGGACACAGGAAGGGGAACATCACACACTGGGGCCTGTGGTAGGGTGGGGGGAGGGGGGAGGGGTAGCATTAGGAGATATACCTAATGTTAAATGAAGAGTTAATGGGTGCAGCACACCAACATGGCACATGTATACATACGTAACAAACCTGCACGTTGTGCACATGTACCCTAAAATTTAAAGTATAATAAAAAATAAAATAAAATAAGAGATACTTAATGAAAAAAAATAATATTAACCTTAAATGTAAATGGGCTAAATGCTCCAATTAAAAGACACAGGCTGGCAAATTGGTTAGAGTCAAGACCCATTGGTGTGCTGTATTCAGGAGACCCATCTCACATACAAAGACACACATAGGCTCAAAATAAAGGGATGAAGGAATATTTACTAAGCAAATGGAAAGCAAAAAAAAAAAAAAAAAAAAAAAAAGCAGGGGTTGCAATCCTAGTCTCTTATAAACCGACTTTAAACCAACAAAGGTCAAAAAACACAAAGAAGGGCCATTACATAATGGTAAAGGGATCAATACAACAAGAAGAGCTAGCTATCCTAAATGTATATGCACCCAATACAGGAGCACCCAGATTCATAAAGCAAGTTCTTAGAGATCTACAAAGAGATTTAGACTTTCATGCAATAATAGTGGGATTTTTTAACACCCCACCATCAATATTAGACAGATTAACAAGACAGAAAATTAACAAGGATATTCAGGACTTGAACTCCGCTTTGGTCCAAACGGACCTAGTAGACATCTACAGAACTCTCCACTGCAAATCAACAGAATATACATTCTTTTCAGCACCACATCGCACTTATTCTAAAATTGACCACATAATTGGAAGTAAAACACGTCTCAGCAAATGCAAAAGAATGGAAATCATAGCAAACAGTCTCTCAGACCACAGTGCAACCAAATTAGAACTCAGGATTAAGAAACTCACTAAAAACCGCACAACTACATGGAAACTGAACAACCTGTTCCTGAATGATTACTGAGTAAATAATGAAATTAAGGCAGAAATAAGTAAGTTCTTTGAAATGATTGAGAACAAAGACACAACGTACCAGAATCTTCAGGACAAAGCCAACCAATTTCTGACAAAAATGCAAAGAACACACAATGAGGAAAGGACAGTCTTGTTAATAAACGGTGTTGGAAAACGGGATATTCATATGCAGAAGAATCAATTTGAAAATTTCTCTCATATAATATACAAAAATCAACTCAAATATTTAATGTAAAACCTAAAACTATCAAATGATTTGACAAAAATATAGGGGAAAAGCTCCATGATGTTGGTTCAGGCAATGATTTTTTGGGGACAGGACTCCAAAAGCAAAAATAGAAAAATGGGATTACATCAAAATTAGAAGTGTCTGCACAGGAAAGAAAATAATCAATAGAATGAATAGACAACCTATGGAAAGGGAAAAAGTAACTGTAAACCACACACATGATAAAGGGTTCATACCCAATATATACAAGAAACTAAAACAACTCAATGGCAAGAAAACAAATTACAAAATGGCAAGAAAACAAATTATAAAATTAAAAAGTGAGCAAAGAATCTGAGTAGACATTTCCCAAAAGAAGGTAAACCAATGGTCAATAGGTATATGAAAAAATATTCTACATCACCAATTATTAGGAAAACAAAAATTAAAACCACAATGAGATATTACCTTATACCTCTTAGAATGTGTATTATTAAAAAGATATTAAAACGATGAAAGATAACAAGTGTTTGCCAGGATGTGAAGAAAAAGAGAACCTTTGTACACTGTTGGTGGGAATGCAAGTTACTATAGCCATTATGAAAAACATTATGGAGGTTTCTCACAAAATTAAAAATGGAACTACCATGTGATTCTGCAATTTCACTACTGGGTATATATATAAAGGGAAAAAATCAGTATGTTGAAGAGATGTCTGTACATCCGTGTTTATGGCAGCATTATTCATAATAGTCCAGATATGTAATCAACCTATATCTATCCATGGATTAATGGATAATAAAAATGTAGTTCATATGCACAATGAAATACTATTCAGCCCTAAAAAAAGAGTCCACAATTTACAACATAAATGAATCTTAAGGGCATTACATTAGCAAAATAACCCAAGCACAGAAAGACAAATACTACATAGTGTCATTCATATATAGAATCTACAAAAGTTAATTTCATAGAACTAGAGAGAAGAACGGTAGTTACCAGGAGCTGAGGTGATTGGGGGTGGGGTGATGCCAGTCAAAAGGTAAAAAAAAAATTCAGTTAGATAAAATTAAGTTCAGCAAATCTATTGTACGACACAGTTAATATAGTATATTCTTGAAAAATGGTGAGTGGGTGTTAAGTGTCCTTACTAAAAAATGATAAATACATGCAGTTATGCATATGTTAATTAGCTAGATTTAGTTATTATTCAATGTACCTATACTTCAAAATATCAAGTTTTAAATGATAAATACCTATATTTTCATCTGTTGATTTAAATAAAATTGAAAAAGAATTTTATCTTTATGAAAGTATTAATGCTTGTAGAGATTTTTTCCTAAATAATATATTTAATTCATATTTTTAAATTACACTAATACCTATTTAGCACTAAAAAATATAGAGGCATAAGAGAGGCCATGGACTGAAACTCTGAATTACCCAACAACCCAATTCTTTGTTTCTTTCACTTCGGTCTCTGTTTAAGGTTCCTTTAAAATGGATTAAGGTTTGGCAAACTATAGTCTGCTGGGCAAATCTGGCCCACCATCTGTTTTTGTAAAGTGTTATTGGACCATGTTCACGCTCACTAATTTACCTATTGTCTGTGGCTGCTCTTGGACTACAACAACAGGACTGAGTACTTATGACAGAAGCCATCTAGTCCTTAGAAAGTCTAAAAATATTTATTTGTTCCTTTATAATGGTCATCAGTCTCTAACACAGCTCATGAGAAGCATCACAGATAGCCTTGCTGAAGTTCATATTACAAATAGTTAAACCAACAGAAGCAGAATGTAAGCATTGCTTAATAAATCCTAATCCATTGAATTAAATCCTACATTAAAAGTATCTTGAGTTTTTATTTTTCTTTTATTTATAATATTTTTCAATTTGTGTGAACGGTCATCTTTCTAAAGGTCAACCAAATAACGAGTTATTCCCTAACTCTATACATCTGTAATTATATGTATTATAGATAACGTCTTTTACCAGACTAAAAAGTTATCTTAAACACAGCTTTGCTACCCTAAATAATATACGGATGCTCCTTGACTTGTAATGGTGTTACATCTGAAAAAACCCATCATACATAGAAAATACATTTAATTCTGGCAACATAGTAAATGGTTCTGACTAATCAGATGGTTCCATTATGAATTTTCAACTTCATGATAGTGAGAAAGAGACATGCACTCAGTAGAAACTGTTACTCCCTTATATGTCATAAGAAGCTCCTTAAGTTACAATGGAGTTATGTCTCAATAACCCATTGTAAAGTAGAAAACTCATAAATTGACCCATTATAACTAAGGGACCATTGGCATATGAAGACTATGGATAAATGACCAACTTCACATAAAAAAATTTAAAGTATACTTAATGAAAGTTCTAGAACACAACTTTCTTTTTTGGGATTGCCACAAGCAAACTATGTAACCTCAAAGACTACACTATCTGAGCTTTAGCCTTCTCCATTCCCAGCCAAAGTTCTATAACTTAAGACGTAAGGCAAGTAGTGTAAACGTCTCAGAACTGCAGTAAAACACAGGAGCTGACCACACAAAATGTTTTGCTGCAGCAGAACTGGGGTAATTTATGGCAAAAGCTTATTCCCATTCTCATCAATCGTTATCTTGAAACGTGCTGTTAAGATTCACATTTTTTTAAGAATCAATGAAAATACCGAAGCAGCACCCTTTATTTGATTTTCATGGCTGAATTTGGCATCTACTAATTTTTTGTAGAAAGGGAACTCTCATTTTGTCCATTGTCATTAGGGTTGCCAATTTCTTGAGAATTCTGAGTCCCAGTTTGATTTCTATCTAACTGCCTTATCTCACTGGTTTTAGTCTCATTTCCTAACAATGCTTTTCCTGGAACACATGCCCCTGCTGATTCCAAAGCATGCTTACTCTTGGCATTGTTTGTAGGCCTTTTCCTACCACTCGTAATTCTTTATTACCTTCCCTCTCTCCCCCTTGCCCACCTTCCCTCACTAAAATATCAATTGATTGGATAGCATCTGCAAATGGAAGAAATTATTGCTGAATGAGTCAAAACCCACATCTAATACCAGGTAGAGAAAATGTTTCTGGTTTTTATTTGTAAATTAGCCTGTGAACAGACTGATTCACAGATTGACTTGCAAGCTTGGAATTTTGGGAGAGTGCTTCCTCATATGTGTGGTATGTATACCACACATATAATATGTATGCCACACATATAATTTATCCCTTGTTTAGGGAAAAATTTTCCTCCCATGTAACTTCCGTAAAGACTTTGCCAACTGCTACCTAGTTATCACACTGCCAGGATCCCTTGAACACTGTATCTCTTCTACTCCCCAGACACTTATGTGCTACCTGATAATCTTTCTCATTTCCTGTATGTTGTCTAATCTCCCTCAATAAGATTAAAAATTTTTAGAAGACAAGATATGTGCCTTTTATTCCTTTCCATTCTCCTGTTGTAGCCCACATAATTTGCTGCACAAATTCTATTCTCAATAATTGATGGCTGATCAGTCCCTCTGATGAGTGAACCCCTATAATGAGAGTACCTACTGATCTTGTCTGTTTTACCTGGAAATGCATCAAAAACATCTAACCAACTTTTCCTGGAAGTTTTAACATTGGAGTTGTACTATAAATATTGTAGATAGTGTCTTCCAACAGACTATGAAGTTATCTTAAACACTGCTTTGCCACCCTAGATATTATATATGAAAACTAGGAATAAATGGCCAGTTTTATTTAAAAATTTTAAGGCATAATCAAAATGCTAAAAATTGGTATTAAAACAGAAAATTATAGCCCATCTCTGCATTGTAAAAATTTTAGATACAAAATGCTGCTATAAATATGTAGCATTCAAGATTTTTCCAAAAAAAAAAAAATGGCTAAAGGAACTGGGTTCTAAAAACCAGTTTTAAAAGTTAAAAATAACTTAGAAAAATGTTTCCAGTTATACGGTTTTTTAAATAAAAGGATACAGTTCCTATGAAGCACATGCAGTTCCAGAAACAAGAGCCCCTGGAATGCAAGAAAACACATTGGAGGAAAAGTGTTATATAAAATATTATTTTACATTAATCAGATCTTTTAGAAAAAAGGAAATAAATATGATAGAGAAAAGTTGAAACAAAATGGTGATAAAGTTATGTTTTAGAAGAAGATGGAGATATTGATATTTTCAAGCTGGAGAATATAAAGCAATCCATTATCAAAAACCTTAGTTATGTCAATAATGTTTGGTAATTGCAAATATCCTAAAGAAATAATTATTAAAATAAAAACTTAAACAATTAGAGGTTCTTAAAAATATCATTTATAGTCACAAATAGTCAAAGCAACCTAAATATCCAAGAACAGGAGAATTCAGCATTTGGTATAATGGAAACATTAAAATATACATATTTTTAAGGCTAGCGTGAGGAAATGCTTATAGAAACAATAGCTGCTCAATTTCTGTGCCAGCAGCATATTGGGCACATTACAGGCATGATCTCATTTAATCTTCAGATTTTCACATTGGAAATCATTACCCCACTTTCTTAGATAAAGAAACTCTCACCGAAAGAGTTACTCAACTTGTCCAAGATAAGAAAGCTAGTTAGTAAATGTCGTAAGTGGAAAAATCTGTACTATACTTTGTTACCACTTATTCTATATTGTTAAGTGACAAAAGCAAGTTATAAAGTTATATATTTATTCTGTTCTTAACTGTAAAAATGCATTAAATATATTACATTGAAATATAGCAACATCTAAACAAAGAAATTCCTAATCAGTAGAATGCGAAAAAAAAGTTATTTTCTTTTTTGCAAATCTGTGTAATTTATAATACAAGCATGTATATTTTTCATAAGACAGGAAACTTAGGTGAAAAGGAAAATGAATTAGATACCTCAGTGCATTGGAAATTATGTCCACTGCTCTGTTTAATGATCCCTCTTATTTATGTAATTACTGGCTCCCTTTTTCCTCTATTCCCTACTCTCATTCTCCTCCTCTCCTTCCCAGGAGTGTTTACTTTGTGTTTATGGTGTGACTTTTAGTTTCTGTGTGCTCTTGTGAAAACTTTACTATCTTGTGTGCATTTACTTTAATATATGGTATTGGGCTTTAGGTTTCATTCTGTTCTTTTTTTTCCCCCCTCGAGTATTATGCTTTAAACTGCATCCAGATTTCTCTGTGTATATGTATTTCATTGCTTCTAACTACTGCACAATTCTCCATCATTTATGTGCAACACTTTTGGCTATCCATGTCCCCAGTTGGCCTTCAGCAACCTTCCACCACAGACACACACTGCTATGATTTAAATGCTTGTCCCCACCAAAACTCATGTTGAAATTTAACTGCCATTGTAATAGTAATGAGATGTGAGACCTTTAAGAGCTGATTAGGCCATGAGGACTCTACTATTATAAAAGGGCAAATTCGGTTTTCTTTTGTCTCTCTCATCCTCTGCCTTTCACCATTTAACGACTCAGCAGGAAGGTCCTTGCCAAATGCCAGCACCTTCATATTGAACTTTCCAACCTCTGAAATTCTAAGTCAATAAATTTCTGTTTATTATAGATTAGTCAGTCTGTGATATTCTATTATTGAAGTACAAATAGACTAAGAGAGAAATTGGTACCAAAAGTAGGCTGTTGCTATAACAAATACCTAAAAATGTGAAAGTGGCTTTGTAACTGGGTAATAAGTCCAGGCTGAAAGAAATTAGAGAAGACTCGGGAGAGCTTGTATTGCCATAAATGGAGTGCTAAGGAGGATTTTGGTAAGGGCTCAGAAGACGAGAAGAAATGTAAGGAAAGTGAAACTTCTTAAGGATAACTTCAGTGGTTATGATTAAAATGTTGGTAGATACATGGACAATAGAAGCCGTTCTGATAAGGTCCCTGGTGGAAATGAGGAATAAGGTATTGGAAATTAAAGAAAAGGCCTTCATTGTTATAAAGTGGCAAAGAACTTGACTGAATTGTGTCCGTGCCCTAGGATGTTATGGAAGGCAAAACTTAAGAGCGATGAACCAGGATATTTGGCAGTAGAAATATACAAGCAACAAAGCATTCAGGGTGTTGTGTGGCTTCTTTTAACTGCATGTAGTAAAATGCAAAAAAAAAAAAAAAAAAGAGAAATAATTTAAAGATAGAATTTATAACTTAGAGGGAAACAGAATGTAAGGATTTGGAAAATACCCAGCCTGGCCATGGAAAGAATTAAAAGGCATGTTTAGGAGGGAAAATCAAGGCTGCAGCCAAGTGATCATTTGATAAAGAGATTGGTATAGGTAGAAGTAGAAGCCAGGCATTACTCATTATGGATAGAAATAATCTAGGTGCTACTTATTGGAGAAGGATTGGGCCCAATCCTCACCCCAATGTGCCTAGAAGTTGGGAAATGGAGTCAAACGAGATTATTCTCCAGCCTTAATATATAAGGTTGTTTGCTCTGTTGGGTTTTACACTTATTTGGGATTTGTTATTCCTTTCTTTGCTCAGGTTTCTTCCTTTTGGAATGGAATATCTACCCTATGGCCATCCCACCCATTGTATTTTGGAAGCATATAACTCATTTTGATTCCACAGGCTCACAGCTAGAGGGATGAATCGCACTTGAGTATCACCCATATCTGATTTAGAAGAGACTCTTGACTTTGGACTTTTAAATTGGTGCTAGAACAAGTTAAGACTTCTGGGGCTATTGGGATGAAATGACTGTATTTTATATTTTAGAAGAACATCAGTTTTGAGTGGTCCAGAGGCAGAATGCTTTGGTTTGAATGTTTGTTCCCTCTAAAACTCAAGTTGAAATACAGTTGCCATTGTAACAGTATTAAGAGATGGAAATTTTTAGAGGTGATTAGGCAATGCAGGATCTGCCCTCATGGATGGGATTGATACCATTATAAAAGGGCAAATTTAACTCCCCTGTGTGTGTGTCTCTCTTGCTCCTCTCTCTGCCATGTGATGACACAGTAAGAAAGCTCTTGGGAGATGATGGCACCTTGATATTGGACTTCCAAGCCTCCAATAGATTTCCGCACATTACAAATTACCCAGTCTTTGGTTTTCTGTTATAGCAGCAAAAATGGACTAAGACATACACATTTCATTAGGAGCTCATGAGAGACTATCTCACCAGAATAGATTTGCTGACATAGTAGTATCATATTTCTCTCAAAATGGTTGTCTGCCTTCTCCATACCTCCTCTGTCAGAGTATTAAGCTCCTATGTACTACAATCACAAATTACTTTTTTCTGTTTTCTAACATGAGCAGGCATTAGTTGATTGTAAGGTAAACCAGTTTAAAATAAATGGTTTATGATGCTGAGGGTTTTAATCACCCATTTCATCACCCAGGTCCATTTTGAGTTTAACCATTTAAAAGAAATCATACTGAGTTAAAATATTTCATAAATACTTTTTGGAAAAGTGAAAAGAGATTCTGAAATTGATATTAATAAGGAGTAACATTGATATAATACTTAACAGTATGGCTCCCCATTTACAGTCTGATTATAAAACTTCATTTGTTTGTAAGGATAAACAGCTAGAAGTTTAAAACTCCTACTACGAGTAAATAATATGAGAAACTAAAAGTCCATTGTGACAAATACCATACCACCTCAATATGCTTACCCTTGTGACATCTAGGGACATCTATATTGTTTTCAGGATAAGCATGTACAATAGGAAAAGAGAAACACTGGGGAAATCCCATGCCCCCAAATTTCTGCCCTATAATACCCAAAATGTTTTATTTCCCTTTGTCGTACCATCTAAGATATAATTAATAAGCTTCCTTTTGAAAATGCTTATTACTCTAACAGGTAGTGCTGATGAATCAGTTGTTCACATGATAGATTTTGTAAATTTAGTGTAGGTGGTTTACTCCTAGGTTATGCTGATTAGGGGTACTCTAAAGGACATAGAGGTTTTAATCAGGGTAAGGGAAGACAACTAGTACACAGGAAAAGTAATTTTAAAGGATGTGATGCTTTAGAGGAATGTGTTTTTTTTCTAGATTAAAGGATGCTATACCCATTCAATTGTACAAAACTAGATTCCTAAAAATCATCCTTGAAATATCTTTCATCTTTCAACCACATTCAGTTCACTATCAAGTATTCTTGACTTTTTAAGTCTTTCCTAAGTCTGTCTGCTTCTCTGGATCTAATCTATCTCAACCATATGGGTTTAAACCATATCTTTAAACCGTAAGTAATTTCTCAAGCAACCAGGAGATTGGTTCAAACGATTAAGGGCCTTTACAAGAGGAGTAAGTGTGAACATAACATGATTCCTGATTGTAAGTAGCTTACCTGCCAAGTACTATGTGAAGCCAAGCCACATAAGTCCCCCACTACCCAGATTCCTTTCACTTCTCCAATCTCCACCGCAGAGGTTAAGCAATAGGGTGAGGTTTAAGGATTAAAAGAGCCTTTAAGTCAGGTTCATTTCTTTCTTAGAAATAAAAACACCTAAAAGTGAAAAAATTGTTTTTCTTACCAAAACTCTCTCCCTTGCTAGCTTTGATGAATTAAGAATTTCTTTTGTGAGCTGTCCTAAAGACCCCTGAGTAAGAAACCAAAGCTCTCAGTCCAACAGTCTGCAAGAAACTAAGTCCTAGCAAGACAGGCATTGAAATGTAATGTAATCATAGAAGTAACATCCTGTTTTCATTGCCATATTATTTTGACTAGAAGCAAAGATCACGCCCATACTCAAAGGGAGGGAATTACATGAGGGCAAGAGTACCAGAATGCAGGGAGAAGCATCTGCCACAAAAAAGTGGGCAAAGCATAAAACATTTTTTTTCTCATCTTCTATAATAATGAGTATGTTAACACAGTCAAAACTTGAAATACGGACTTGGAAAAATTATAACTCCAAATTTCATGTTCTAATTTTTCATGACTTTAAAATGCTTTAAAAAATTAATAGCTTTTGTGGTTGGTAAAGAAATGTTTACCAAATATTTTCAACATTTACTTCAATTTCCATTGTTTAGTTATCATGTATTATATGTATGTAAAATAAAATTTAATATTTTATTAAAGATATCATATATAATTCCATTGTTTTTCTATTTATCTTTCTACCTGAATATTTGTAATACATTAATATTTGAAATAACTTATTTTGTTCCCTTTTTAGTATTTAATTTATATAAATATTATAATGAATATGTACCATTTTTAGAAAAACAAAGTATTCCTAAAAGTACCTCTGGATCATCATTAAGCCATTTAGCCTTTTTATCATTATAATCATGATTATTATACTATCAACAAGATAACACTATTACAAATATAATTATTTTACCAATATAGTGATACATTTTATAAAATATTTGATAATTACCCAGAATTCAGAGCTATTATTACCCAACCCACTCAAAATGAACATTTATTAACATTGTATTAATAAATGGCTTGGAAAGAAGGATAGAAAAAAAACAACAACAAAAAAGACGGAAAGCAGAAAGGAATGTTGGGTGCACTAAGAAAGCTACTTTTATAACAGATTACATAAATCCTAATTAAGTATTAATTCAATGATTAGAATAAATGTATTGATATTAAAAAACTTTTGAATACTATTTTACCATTGCTGAGCTTCTGAATTGTTATGTTATTAGTTTATCTTACAGGGAATATAAATTGTAGAAGTAATTTTCAAACTATAAAAATACATGAATTATTATTTCTTTGAATTTTACCCAAACTTCAAGTGTTTGTATAGTGGCTGATAAATTGTAACAGCTGCTAATAACTGCAAGACTGAGAGGTATTCATCTTTAGACACAGGTGACAGAAGTCTATGTAATGACAAGTATAAATATGATTTATGTTTTATTTGTAGGCTAGAAAGGATGCTGAAATCAAGATAGGTAATTATCATCAGAATACATCATAAAGCAGTGTTTTGGTATTTTTTTCTAAAATTTTAATTTCTGGCATATATGTTTATATATTTACATTCATACACATATATATGTACATCATTATATATAATACAGGAGTATATATATGCATAGACATATACCACTTTATGTGGCAGACAGCTTCTACGCTGTATGTTTGGAGTTAATTAAAATACTCATACTATAATCTTACTCTGCTAAAGAATACAAAAATGTTCTTACTCCTCTTGTTGGTTTTCTATTGCAGTTATAACAAATTACCCTGAATTTAGTGGCTTAAAACAACACAAATGTATTGCTTTACATTTATGGATGTCAAAAATGTGGCACAGGTCTCAATAGGCTAAAATCAAGGTGTCTGTATGCATTCCTTTCTGGAGGCTCTAGTGGAAAATTTATTTCCTTATCTTTCTCAATTTCTTAAAACCACCTGCATTCCTTGGCTTGTGGCTTCTTCCTCCATCTTCAAGCTCAGCAGCATCTTCAAATCTCTCTCTGCCTCTGATACTGAATCTTCTGATTCTTTTGTTTATAAGACCCCTTCAGGATTTCATTAACACTACCTGGTTAATCCAGGATAATCTCGCCAACTCAATGTTTTTCATTAGATCACATTTGCAAAATTCTCTTTGCTACATAAGGTCATGTATTTATAGGTTCTAGGGATTAGGGTGTGAACACATTGGGGGTGACAGTGGGCAGGGAAGGTGGAGGGGAATTGATTCTTACCACACCTGAATGAATTAAGGTTCACTTTTTTGCTTGCATTTTCAGGCAAATGTTAAAGTAAATTCCTTATTTAGTCCTCTATGAATGAGGTTTATAATTTAAAGATCCAAGAGGAAGTTGTTTGGAGTTCACTTGAGATCAAACATGTCTTTGAAGCGAGTGTTCTTTGAAATGAGGGAGACATCATTTTAAATAGAGAGATGAAGGGGACAGATAGGTCAGGTGAGCAATAGAGATGTATATGGGGCTGATGAACCCAGCCTCCACAAAGCTACTGATAAAAATCTTTCTTAACACTAAAATTTAAATAATATCCCAATACAGGATTGGTAAACATGGCCTTATGGGAGAGACAGCTTTGGATTGGATATAAGGGGAAAGGCAACTGAATTAGCTTAAAAAGTAATACTGCTTTTAAGAGTATAATGTCGTATGTAAACATGGAGATTGGGTAAAATTTGAAAGTCTGAAACTGGACATTTTTTACTTGCTGAAAGAGAAATCATATACAGGGAAGTAAGATTAAACTGGCTGGTAACAATAGGACTTACCTCCACTTAACGCCAGGAGTGTGGAAGGGCAGAGTCTGAAAATCTATAATAAACTAAAACAGTGTTTCAAGGTAAGTCAGAAACCATAAAGACAGTTCAGTCCTGGAGATGAGTGATACATTTATCTTTGTAAATTACTAGCCCATTAGTATGTTGCCTGATCCTGCTAACTGCAATAGAGCAAGAATAATCTATTTTGATTCTTTTAATATTTCTACAATAGCAAATGCATGGTATAAACACTTTTTTTGTCAAAAGATGATTGCTTATTTAACATTTTCATGTTAGAAAAAATGCATTAAAAAAGCTTTTAAGATGATGCTAAAACTTTAGGCTATTATTTAGGCTTACTGATAAATGAGAAACACTCAAAGTAAATGGAAATTTACCTTCACATCCACATATATTAAATAGAGCTACCATGTACAAATTAGAATTAGGGAAATGTGTTATCCAAGATTGACACATTTCTAAGGACTGCAGACACATATTGAAACTGAAAACTTTCCTCAGCCTCCAGAAACTGGCAGGTAGGAAGGAAAATCATGCATCAGAAGTAAAAGGAAGGGTGGATGAATTGCCTGTGAAACTTAGTCAGCTGCCCAAGGATCCTGGTTAGGGCTGTGTGGGGTCATTCTTCCTAAGCCTGATCAAGTATCCCCAGAAAGAAAGTGTTTCTTATCTACAGGTCAGTAGAAGAGGAAATATAAATGTCAGAGTCTTTTCAAGTTCACTACAGTCTTGTATTTGTAAGGTGCTCAGGTAATATTCCATATGCCACCTTACAGCTCATGTTTTCTTTTTCTTTCCTTTATGAGTAAGTTGGCTCAACAACTACACTAAGCTTCAAGAACGGTGAAAATGTTTCTTGTAGCCAAATCTTGTTCTCTGGGAGAGGAGACCACAGGCAGAAAGGCTCCAATTTATGAAAGGGCAATATTTTAAATGTTCCCTTGAATATAAATAGTTTAGTGTTTGGAATTTTTTCTCATAGAAGCCATGCTGTAAATTAGATTTATTCCCATTGCAAGTTTTCAGAAGTTTTGCACTATTTTAATGGCAACTATCTACCACTTTTAACATTAGTTCTGAATATATCTTTATCTTTTTGTCTTTCATGTTTATGTAGCTGCAGAGGTATATTGTAATATAAAGTTTATAATATCAAAGTATCTTTTCCATTCTGCTAATAGACTACCATTTATAAGGACAATGATCACAGTTAACATATGTATCCATAATCTATACCTATGCCTATGTCTACCTACCTATTTAGAATCTCAACTCAAAACTCCAGAAACACAAATATACTCAAGTCCACACCTCACCCTACTTTTCTCTGTTCTTCCTCGGCAATAACAGTCCACTACCAGAATGAGAAAGATACTCCCAGATACTACAAACTTCATACCACATGAGTTCTACAACCATGTGAAAGAAAATAACTTTATCAAACATCTTATTCAGAGGTCTCAATCTTCTGGATTCTAGTTTGCCAGATCCAAAATGGTATTTTATTTGGCCCATACATAACACTTAAAAAATTATCCACCAGTTAACATTTAAAATTGGACAGATCTTACGTACAAATCTAGATGTCTATCTTCTCTTAATAAACTGGAAGATGGAGAAGACCAAATCCCAGTTTTAAATGGCCTTTAACAATTCAGTGGCCTTTAACAGCTACTGAATTGCTGTTGTGCTTTTTGATAGGTGTACCCCTCCTCAGGTTGCAATTGTTCCTCTGTTCCTTCTCATCCTACAGAGGGATGTTCCCTGCATTTATATTAACAGATTGGTCTCAGGATGCATTTGATTTCTCACTCCCATTCTATTTGTTGTGAACTGGGAAACAAATAATGGTTCCCCTCAAAGAAGTGGGAGATTCTGGCCTCACAGTTCTGTCCTCCCATTCACAGACATAGGCTATTTCACAGACCAGGAATGCACACGTTTACAAGGTCTTGTACTGCCTAACAATAGACATGCAATAAAAACTCAGAACAACGTTATTTACTAGACTTGTAAACAAATGAGGAAGTTGCTGTAGAAACTGACACTTACTAGCCGGTCCTGGTGGCTCATGCCTGTAATCCAGCTACTCCAGAGAACCCCAGCCTGAACCAACAGAGCGAGACCTTGTCTCTATATAATTACTTTTTTAAAATATTAAGATAATAAAGATAAAGAAACTGACACAATGAACTCTTGGTTATAGAAATAAAGGCAGAGATAATTAAATAGTATATTTTCCTGGCTATCAGAGATTCTGATTTCTATACTTTGATCTATTTTCTATTTTTATCACTTTTAAAAATTATATCTTTTATCTTTTCAAAATAAAACATACAGATGGTTACATCTAAACCTAAATGGTAGTCTGAAGTAGCTTTAGACCCCTGTGATAATTCACTCCCATGCCATCTCTCTAAGCAATAAGAGTGTGTTGGCCATGCACATACATATACAAAAAAAGCCTGCCTCCCCATCTTCATGTCAGCTTAGCATCTTAATACTCTCACATATAACAATTCTGGATCCTCCTCAATCACTATGCAAACAATCCAAATGAACAAATCCTCCTCAAAGCCAAACTCCCAGTCTTTCTCCCCTAAGGCAACCACTACGAACATATTCTTTCTACCCTCCTTGAAGTTTTTTTTTTTTTTTTTTTTTTTCTCATGGAACCACCACACCAAGCAATTACTGGTGGCACAATTCAGAGGTAATAAAAATGTAGTACCTATCTATAACTGATACAATACTCCCCATTAACCTTTACCAGTTAGGTATCAGGGGAAAAACAAAATTTAATCCAAACTGCATTTTTAAGCTGAATTCCCTGATTTGAATAATCTAGGTATCTCATCGAATAAATGCTCCATCTTTTACTCTCAGACCCTTACCTTTGCCTGCCCCAAAGATGTTTCCTTACTGTTTTTACAACTGTGAGCTGAAAGTATCTTCCATGTGTGTCCTTGAACTGGAGACACTGAAATTATCACCACATCTGGCCCAGTGAAAATTGTCTTTTACTGCTGTATGATTTTTCCCATAGGTTCTGAATTAATCACTGTACAGGTAATCTGGGGTATTAAGTGTGTCCAATACACCAGACACTTTTGTAGGCATTGGGGCTAACGTGGTAAACAAAACCAAGAATTCTAACTTTCAAGAAGTGTACATTTTAATAAAGGGTATAAAGGGTATCAACAATAAATGGATAAAATAGTCTGTTAAGTGCTATATAGTAACCAAAAGTAGAGAACGGCATTAGAAAACGTGCTGTTATTGAAAGGTAACCAGGGGAGGCTGCTACTGGGGTGGCAGCATTTCAGTAAGAGTGATGGAGTGACACATAACAATTACCTAGGGAAGGGTAGCACACTCTGGTTTCTCTTCAGATCATATATATCTTTCAACTTTTAGGCGGGGAATGTTGGGAATGGGTAGCAAACAAGGCACATGGACCAAATTAAGTCCATTGCCCAATTTTGTACAGCATGTGTGCTAAAAATGATTTTATATATTTAATTGTTGAAAAAAAAATTTTAATGTGCCACATGATTATATAAAAATTCTTATTTCAGTGTCCATAAATTAAATTTTCTTGAAACACAATCATGCCTATTTATGTATTATCTATGGTGGTTTTCACATTCCATTAACTATCCCTACTTTCCCCAACCTCCGACTACCATTCCCAGCCTCTAGTAACCATCCTTCTACTCTCTGTCTCTGTGTGTTCAATTGCTTTGATTTTTAGCTCCCACAAAAAAAAAATGAGAACGTGTGATGTTTGTCTTTCTGTGTCTGGCTTATTTCACTTAACATAATGACCTCCAATCCCATCCATATTGTTGCAAATGACAGGATCTCATTCCTTTTTATGGCTAAATAATACTTCATTGTGTATATGCAGCATAATTTCTTGACCTATTCATCTGGTGATGGATACTCAGGTTGATGGATACTCAGGTTGTTTCCAAATCCTGGCTACTGTGAATAGTGCGGCAACAAACATGAAAGTGTAGGTATCTCTTTGATATATGATTTCCTTTCTTTTGGATATATACCTACGAGTATATATTTCTGGATTTCTGGATCATATGGTAGCTCTGTTTTTGGTTTCTTGAGGAACCTTCAAACTGTTCTCCATAGAAGTTGTACTAATTTACATTTCCACCAGCAGTGTATAAGGGTTCCCTTTTCTTCATATTCTCACTAGCATTTGTTATTGTCTATCTTTATGAATTCAAGTGTTTTCATTTTTAGCTCCCATGAATGAGTGAGAACATACAAAGTCTGTCTTTCTGTGCCTGGCTTATTTCATTTAACATAAAGACCTCCAGTTCCATTCATGTTGTTGTAGATGACAGGATCTCATTCTTTTTTATGGCCAAATATACTCCATTGTGAATATGTACCATATTTTCTTTATCCATTCATCTGTTGATGGACTCTTTGTTGCTTCCAAATCTTGGCTATTGTGAATAGTGCTACAATAAACATGGGAGTACAGATATCTCTTCAATATACTGACTGCCTTTCAAAAGAAAGGTATATAACTAGCAGGGGAATTGCTGGATCCTGTGGCCATTCTATTTTTAGTTTTCTGTGGAACATTTTTACTGTTCTCTATACTAGCTGTACTAATTTTTATTTCCACCAACAGTGTACAAATGTTCCCTTTCACCACAACCTCACAGCATTTGTTATTGCCTGTCTTTTGGATAAAAGCCATTTCAATTGGGGTGAGATCATATCTCATTGTAGTTCTGATTGCATTTTTCTGATGACCAGTGATGCTGAGCACTTTTTCATATACCTGTTTGCCACTTGTATGCCTTCTTTTCAGAAATGTCTAGACAGATCTTTTGCACATTTTTTAATCAGACTATTAAATATTTTCCTATTGAGTTATTTATTCTCCTTATATATTCTGGTTATTAATTCCTTATCAGATGGTAGTTTGCAAATATTTTCTCCCATCCTGTGGGTTGTCTCTTCACTTTGTCAATTGTTTACTTTGCTTTACAGAAGTTTTTTAACTTAATAAAATTCCACTTTTCCATTTTTGTTTTGGTGTTCTGTGCTTGTGGGGTGTCACTCAAAAAAATTTTCTTTTTTCTACTATTTCTATGTAGACGCTTATTGCTACAAACGTTCCCCTTAGCACTGCTTTCAGTGTATTCCATGGGTTTGGGGATGTTGTATTTTCACTATCATTTGTATGAAATCTCCATCTCCTTCTTAACTTCTTCTTTAACACACTGGTCATTTCGGAGCATATTGCTTAATTTCCATGTGTTTGCATAGTTTCCAAAGTTCATCTTGTTATTGATTTCTAGTTTTATTTCATTGTGATCAGAGAGGACACTTAAGTTTTTTTTTTAATTTAAGACTCGTTTTGTGGGGTAACACAAGATATATCATTGAGAATGATTCATGGGCTGAGGAGAAGAGTGTGTATTCTGCAGCCATTGGATGAATTGTGCTGTAAAAAATCTATTAGGTCTATTTGGTCTATAGAGTAGATTCAGTTTGATGTTTCTTTGATTTTCTGTCTAGATGATCTTTCCAATGCTAAAAGTGGGATGCTGAACTCTCCAGATATTATTATACTGGGTTCTATATATTTCTTTAGCTTTCTTTATGTATATCTAATGATATTTGCTTTATATATCTGGGTGCTCCAGTGTTGGGTGCATACATATTTATAATTATATCCTGTTGCTAAATTGACCCCTTTTTATCATTGTATAGTGACCTTCTTTGTCTCATAGTTTTCGTCTTGAAACCTATTTTTCTTGATATAAGTATCAAGTATTTAGCCCATTGTGGTGGGGCTAGCTGGAACTCAAGTTCTGACCACTGGGATAGGCTACTCCTGTTCTTTTTTTGGCTTCCATTGGCATGTAATATCTTTTTCCATCTCATTATTTTCAGTCTATGTGTGTTTTTATAGGTGAAGTGTGTTTCTTGCAGGCAGCAACTTATTAGGTCTTTTTTTTTTTTCTCATTCAGCCATTCTATGTCTTTTGATTAGAGAGTTTAATCTATTTATATCGAATGTTATTGATAAGTAAGGACTTCCTCCTGCTATTTTGTTATTTGTTTTCTGGTTGTTTTGTGTTCTTCTCTTTGTTCCTTCTTGTTTTTATGAAGGTGATTTTCTTTGTTGGTATGTTTTAATTTCTTGCTTTTTGTGTATCTGTATAGGTTTGTTGATTTGAGGTTACCATAAGGCTTGCATATAACCTATTATTTTCAACTGATGACAACTAGACACTGACAGCATAAACAATAAAAAAAACTAGTAAAAGCTCTACCCTTTAACTCCATACCCTTGCTTTTTAACTTTTTGTTATTTCTATTTATACTTTATTATACTAAGTCTTGAAAAGTTATTGTATTTATTATTAGATTGGTTCATCTTTTAGTCTTCCTATTCAAGAAATGAGTAGCTTATACATCATAATTACGTGCTATAATATTCTGCGTTTTTCTGTGTACTTACTATTACCAGTGAGTTTTGTACCCTCAGATGATTTCTTCCTGTTCATTAGTGTTCTTCTGTTTCAGATTGAAGTACACTGTTTAGCTTTCTTATGGAACAGGTCTGATGTCGATAAAATCCTTTAGCTTTTCTTTGTCTAGGAAAGTCTTTATTTTTCCTTCATGTTTGAAGGATATTTTCACTGGATATATTATTCTAGGGTAAAAGTTGTGTTTCTTTTTTTTTTTTCCCTTCAGCACTTTAAATATGTCATGCCACTTTCTCTTGGCCTGTAAGGTTTCCATGGAGAAGTCTGCTACCAGAATATTGGAGCTCCCTTGTATGTTATTTGTTGCCTTTCTCATGCTGCTTTTAGGATCCTTTTTTAAATCCTTGACTTTTGGGCATTTGATTATTTAATGTCTTGAGGTAGTCTTATTTGGATTAAATATATTTGGTGTTCTGTAACCTTCTTGTACTTGAATGCTAATACCTTTCTCTAGGTTTGGAAAGTTCACTGTTCCCAAAGTTCCTTTGAATAAACTTTCTACCTCAATCTAATCTAATCTAATCTAATCTAATCTAATCTAATCTAATCTCTCTCTCTCTCTCTCTCTCTGTCTCCTCTTTAAAAGCCAGTAACTCTTCAATTTGTTCTTTTGCGACAATTTTCTAGGTCCTGTAGGTGTGCTTCATTGTCTTTTATTCTTTTCCCTTTTGACTGACTCCCCTGACTGTGTATTTTCAAATAGCTTATCTTCAAGCTCACTGATTCTTTCTTCTCCCTGATTAATTCTGCAAATGACAGACTCTGATGCATTCTTCAGTATGTCAATTGATTTTTCCAGCTGCGAAATTGTTGTCTAATTTTAAAAACTTACTTCAATTTTATAATTTTCCATTAATCTGTTTATATACATTTGAGGTTGACCAAATTTGGGGCTACTATAAAAAAGCTGCTGTGAATATTAGTGTAAAGCTCTTTGTTAAATTCATTGATAGGATTCCAAATTCTATCTCTGTGTTATCTTGAATTTCACTGAGCTTCATCAAAACAGTTATTTTTAATTCTCTGCCTGAAAGGTCAAATATCTCTGTCATTCCAAGACTGGTCACAGCTTTCTTATTTAGTTCTTTTTGGTAAGGCCATGTTTTCCTAGATAATCTTGAAGCTCATGGATGTTCATCTTTGTCTAGGCAATGAAGAGTTAGGTATTATTGTTCTCTTTGCAGTCTGGGCTTATTTGTACCCATTCTTCTTGTGAAGGCTTTCTAGGGATATTCATAGGGAAGTGAGTGTTATGATCTAAGTTTTTGGTTACTGTAGCTGTGTCTGCATTAAGGGGGCACCCCAAGCCCAGTAACACTATCACTCTTGAAGACTCATAGAAGTACCACCTTGGTGGTCTTGGGTAAGATCCTTGAGAATTCCCTGGATTACCAGGCAGAGACTCTTGTTCTCTACTTTCTACCAAGCAAATTGAGTCTCTCTCTGTCTCCTTGCTGAGCTTCTTGGATCTGGGGGAGAGATGACAAAAGTATGTCTGTGTCCACCACCACTGCTATTATGCTGCATCAGACCTGAACCCAGCATAGCTCTGGATCTCACACAAGGACAATGGCAACCACTGCCTGGCCACTGCTGCAGTTCACTAAAGGCCCAAGGGATCTTCAGTCAGTAGGTGTGGAATCCAACCAGGCCTGTGTCCTCCCATTAAGGGCGATAAGTTACCTATCCCCATCCCAGCCCTGGAGGGGTGCATAAGTCAGGGACTGGAGTCAGGAAACTTTGGAATCTGTATCATGCTTTATTTTAGTACAGCTGAGTTGGCACCTAAACTACAAGACAAAGTCCTTTCCACTCTTCCTTTTCCCTTCCTCAAGCAATAAAAGTCTCCTTCTTGTGGCCACCACCACCCAGGCCTACAGAGAGGACTGGTGTTCACTCAAGGCCCAAGGGCTCTTCAGACAGCTTTTGATAAATGCTGCCAGGCCTGTGTCTCTCCCTTGAGTGTAGTGGCTACCTCTGTCACTGTCACGGGGTAGTCCAGAAACACCATGCCAGAGCTAAGGCATGGAGTCAGGGACTGCAGGGCACCACTTGGTTCTCTACCCTACTGTGGCCGAACTGGTACCCAAGCAACAAGACAAAGTCTCCTTTGCACTTCACTCTCTTTTCCTCAAGTAGGAGTCTCTCCCTGCGCTCACCACAGATGGGAACATGCCAGGTCACACCTGAAACCAGTACAGCACTGGGTCTCAGCCATTGCCTATGGCAGGGAATCTCTGGCTGCCATTTATTCAAGGCCCAAGGGCTCTTTATCTAGCAGGTGATGAATCCTTCCAGAACTAGTTTCTTCCTTTTAAGGCAGCAGGTTCTCTTCTGGCTCAGGGTATGTCTAGATATGTCATTTGGGAGATAGGGCTTGGAATGAGACCTCAGAACTCTGCATGGTGTCCTATTCTACTGTGGCTGAGCTGATAACCAAGTTACAAGACAAAGTCCACTTTACTCTCTTCTCAAAAAGAAAGGAGGAGTCTCTTCTGATGCTATGAGCTGCACTCCCTGCGGTTGGGGGAGGGATGACACAAGTACTCCCTTAGCTGCCCTGGCTGGTGTCTCACTATGTCATGTGCACCACAAGTCCACTGCAGTCTTTCTGGTTTAGACTGCTTTCAAGTTTATTTAGGACCAGAGTGCTTTGCTTTTTTAAATTTTTAATTAAAATATACATATAAACACACATATGTATATATGTGTGTGTGTGTATATATATATTTGGTATAGATGGGGTCTCACTATGTTGCCAGGGTTGGTCTCAAACTCCTGGGATCAAGCAGTCCTCCAATCTCAGCCTCTCAAAGTTCAGTGTGCTTTAGCCCATGGTGGTGGGGCTAGCTAGAAATCAAGTTCTGACCACTGGGTTAGGCAATTCTTCTCTAGCTAGGGCTGGTCTAAAATGCTTCCTCCATGAGCACAGGCAGAATTCTGGTCCATGTTGTTTTCTGCTCTGATGGGTAGCACTGAGTTCCAATGCAAAGTTCCACAACTGCTGAACTCTCCCTCCCCAAGGCACACAGATTCTCTCTCCAAACCATGCAGCCACTGCCGGGGGACAGTGGCAGTGATTGCATGGTGTGGAGGGATGATGTCGGGTGTCATTAATTGAAGACTGTCTTTTCTACCCCCTTCTTTGCCTCTTTCCTTGATAATAAAGCCAGGTACTGTGATCTCTCATCTGATTTTTGGTTTTTGTGAAGGAGCTTTCTTGTGTGAATAGTTGTTCAACTGGTGTTCCTGTGAGAAAAAACATTACTGGAGGAGTCTATCTGGCCATTTTGTTCTACCTCCCTCATTAGCATTAATCTTAAGGGGCACCCGCCATTGCCAAGGCTTGAGTAGGTAAACAAAGCAGCCAGGAATCTCAAACTGGGTGGAGCCCACCACAGCTCAAGGAGGCCTGCCTGCCTCTGTAGGATCCACCTCTGGGGGCAGGGCACAGACAAACAAAAGGCAGGAATAAGCTCTGCAGACTTATATGTCCCTGTCTGACAGCTTTGAAGAGAGTAGTGGTTCTCCCAGCACGCAGCTGGAGATCTGAGAATGGGCAGACTGCCTCCTTAAGTGGGTCCCTGACCCCCGAGTAGCCTAACTGGGAGGCACTCCCCAGTAGGGGCGGACTGACACCTCACACGGCCGGGTACTCCTCTGAGACAAAACTTTCAGAGGAACGATCAGGCAGCAGCATTTACAGTTCACCAATATCAGCTGTTCTGCAGCAACCGCTGCTGATACCCACACAAACAGGGTCTGGAGTGGACCTCCAGCAAACTCCAACAGACCTGCAGCTGAGGGTCCTGACTGTTAGAAGGAAAACTAACAAACAGAAAGGACATCCACACCAAAAACCCATCTATACATCACCATCATCAAGGACCAAAGGTAGATAAAACCACAAAGATGGGGAAAAAACAGAGAAGAAAAACCAGAAACTCTAAAAATCAGAGTGCCTCTCCTCCTCCAAAGGAACACAGCTCCTCACCAGCAGTGGAACAAAGCTGGACGGAGAATGACTTTGACGAGTTGAGAGAAGAAGGCTTCAGAAGATCAAACTACTCCAAGATCAAACTTTGCCATTGGTTCAGAAGTTCGAACCAATGGCAAAGAAGTTAAAAATCTTGAAAAAAAATTAGACGAATGGATAACTAGAATAACCAATACAGAGAAGTCCTTAAAGGACCTGATGGAGCTGAAAAGCACAGCACAAGAACTACATGACGAATGTACAAGCCTCAGTAGCCAATGCGATCAACTGGAAGAAGGGGTATCAGTGATGGAAGACGAAGTGAATGAAATGAAGCAAGAAGAGAAGTTTAGAGAAAAAAGAATAAAAAGAAACGAACAAAGCCTCCAAGAAATATAAGACTGTATAAAAAGGCCAAATCTACGTCTGATTGGTGTACCTGAAAGTGACGGGAGAATGGAACCAAGTAGGAAAACACTCTGCAGGATATTATCCAGGAGAACTTCCCCAATCTAGCAAGGCTGGCCAACATTCAAATTCAGGAAATACAGAGAACGCCACAAAGACACTCCTCGAGAAGAGCAACTCCAAGACACATAATTGTCAGATTCACCAAAGTTCAAATGAAGGAAAAAATGTTAAGGGCAGCCAGAGAGAAAGGTCGGGTTGCCCACAAAGGGAAGCCCATCAGACTAACAGCTGATCTCTTGGCAGAAACTCTACAAGCCAGAAGAGAGTGGGGGACAATATTCAACATTCTTAAAGAAAAGAATTTTCAACACAGAATTTCATATCCAGCCAAACTAAGCTTCATAAGTTAAGGAGAAATAAAATACTTTACAGACAAGCAAATGCTGAGAGATTTTGTCACCACCAGGCCTGCACTAAAAGAGCTCCTGAAGGAAGCACTAAATATGGAAAGGAACAACTGGTACCAGCCACTGCAAAAACATGCCAAATTGTAAAGACCATCAAGGCTAGGAAGAAACTGCATCAACTAACGAGCAAAATAACCAGCTAATGTCATAATGACAGGATCAAATACACACATAACAATACTAACCTTAAATGTAAATGGGCTAAATGCTCCAATTAAAAGACACAGACTGGCAAATTGGATAAAGAGTCAAGACCCATCAGTGTGCTGTATTTAGGAAACCCATCTCACATGCAGAGACACACATAGGCTCAAAATAAAGGGATGGAGGAAGATCTATCAAGCAAATGGAAAACAAAAAAACGCAGGGGTTGCAATCCTAGTCTCGGATAAAACAGACTTTAAACCAACAAAGATCAAAAGAGACAAAGAAGGCCATTACATAATGGCAAAGGGATCAATTCAACAAGAAGAACTAACTGTCCTAAATATATATGCACCCAATACAGGAGCACCCAGATTCATAAAGCAAGTCCTTAGTGACCTACAAAGAGACTTAGACTCCCACACAATAATAATGGAAGACTATAACACCCCACTGTCAACATGAGACAGAAAGTTAACAAGGATATCCAGGAATTGAACTCAGCTCTGCACCAAGCAGACCTAATAGACATCTACAGAACTCTCCACCCCAAATCAACAGAATATACATTCTTTTCAGCACCACACCACACCTATTCCAAAACTGACCACATAGTTGGAAGTAAAGCACTCCTCAGCAAATGTAAAAGAACAGAAATTATAACAAACTGTCTCTCAGACCACAATGCAATCAAACTAGAACTCAGGATTAAGAAACTCACTCAAAACTGCTCAACTACATGGAAACTGAACAACCTGCTCCTGAATGACTACTGGGTACATAACAAAATGAAGGCAGAAATAAAGATGTTCTTTAAACCAATGAGAACAAAGAGACAACATACCAGAATCTCTGGGACACATTCAAAGCAGTGTGTAGCGGGAAATTTATAGCACTAAATGCCCACAAGAGAAAGCAGGAAAGATCTAAAATTGACACCCTAACATCACAATTAAAAGAAATAGAGAAGCAAGAGCAAACACATTCAAAAGCTAGCAGAAGGCAAGAAATAACTAAGATCAGAGCAGAACTGAAGGAAATAGAGACTCAAAAAAATCCTTCAAAAAATCAATGAATCCAGGAGCTGGTTTTTTGAAAAGACCAACAAAATTGACAGACCACTAGCAAGACTAATAAAGAAGAAAAGAGAGAAGAAGCAAATAGACGCAATAAAAAATGACAAAGGGGATATCACCACTGATCCCACAGAAACACAAACTACCATCAAAGAATACTATAAACACCTCTATGCAAATAAACTAGAAAATCTAGAAGAAATGGATAAATTCTTCGACACATACACCCTCCCAAGACTAAACCAAGAAGAAGTTGAATCTCTGAATAGACCAATAGCAGGCTCTGAAATTGAGGCAATAATTAATAGCTTACCAACCAAAAAAGTCCAGGACCAGATGGATTCACAGCCAAATTCTACCAGAGGTACAAGGACGAGCTGGTACCATTCCTTCTGAAACTATTCCATTCAATAGAAAAAGAGAGATTCCTCCCTAACTCATTTTATGAGGCCAGCATCATCATAATACCAAAGCCAGGCAGAGACACAACAAAAAAAGAGAATTCTAGACCAATATCCTTGATGAACATTGATGCAAAAATCCTCAATAAAATACTGGCAAACCGAATCCAGCAACACATTAAAAAGCTTATCCACCATGATCAAGTGGGCTTCATCCCTGGGATGCAAGGCTGGTTCAACATATGAAAATCAATAAATATAATCCAGCATATAAACAGAACTACAGAGAAAAACCACATGATTATCTCAATAGATGCAGAAAAGGCCTTTGACAAAATTCAACAACCCTTCATGCTAAAAACTCTCAATAAATTAGGTATTGATGGGACTTATCTCAAAATAATAAGAGCTATCTATGACAAACCCACAGCCAATATCATACTGAATGGGCAAAAACTGGAAGCATTTGCTTTGAAAACCAGCACAAGACAGGGATGCTGCCTCTGACCACTCCTATTCAACACACTGTTGGAAGTTCTGGCCAGGGCAATTGGGCAGGAGAAAGAAATAAAGGGTATTCAATTAGGAAAAGAGGAAGTCAAATTGTCCCTGTTTGCAGATGACATGATTATATATCTAGAAAACCCCATCCTCTCAGCCCAAAATCTCCTTAAGCTGATAGGCAACTTCAGCAAAGTCTCAGGATACAAAATCAATGTACAAAAATCACAAGCATTCTTATACACCAAAAACAGACAGAGAGCCAAATCATGAGTGAACTCCCATTCACAATTGCTTCAAAGAGAATAAAATACCTAGGAATCCAACTTACAAGGGATGTGAAGGACCTCTTCAAGGAGAACTACAAACGCTGCTCAATGAAATAAAAGAGGATAGAAACAAATGGAAGAACATTCCATGCTTATGGGTAGGAAGAATCAATATCGTGAAAATGGCCATACTGCCCAAGGTAATTTATAGATTCAATGCTATCCCCATCAAGCTACCAATGACTTTCTTCACAAAATTGGAAAAAACTACTTTAAAGTTCATATGGAACCAAAAAAGAGCCCACATTGCCACGTCAATCCTAAGCCAAAAGAACAAAGCTGGAGGCATCACACTACCTGACTTCAAACTATACTACAAGGCTACGGTAACCAAAACAGCATGGTACTGGTACCAAAACAGAGATATAGATCAATGGAACAGAACAGAGGTCTCAGAAATAATGCCACATATCTACAACTATCTGATCTTTGACAAACCTGACAGAAACAAGCAATGGGGAAAGGATTCCCTATTTAATAAATTGTGTTGGGAAAGAAAACTGGCTAGCCATATGCGGAAAACTGAAACTAGAACCCTTCCTTATAATACCTTATACAAAAATTAACTCAAGATGGATCAAAGACTTAAATGTTAGACCTAAAACCATAAAAACTCTAGAAGAAAACCTAGGCAATACCATTCAGGACACAGGCATGGGCAAGGACTTCATGTCTAAGACGCCAAAAGCAATGGCAACAAAAGCCAGAACTGACAAATGGGATCTAATTAAACTAAAGAGCTTCTGCACAGCAAAAGAAACTACCATCAGAGTGAACAGGCAACCTACAGAATGGGAGAAAATTTTTGCAATCTACTCATCTGACAAAGCGCTAATATCCAGAATCTACAGTGAACTCAAATAAATTTACAAGAAAAAAACAACCCCATCAAAAAGTGGGCGAAGGATATGAACAGACACTCCTCAAAAGAAGACATTTATGCAGCCAAAAAACACATGAAAAAATGCTCATCATCACTGACCATTAGAGAAATGCAAATCAAAACCACAATGAGATACCATCTCACACCAGTTAGAATGGCAATCATTAAAAAGTCAGGAAACAACAGGTGCTGGAGAGGATGTGGAGAAATAGGAACACTTTTACACTGTTGGTGGGACTGCAAACTAGTTCAACCATTGTGGAAGTCAGTATGGTGATTCCTCAAGGATCTAGAACTAGAAATACCATTTGACCCAGCCATCTCATTACTGGGTATATACCCAAAGGATTATAAATCATGCTGCCATAAAGACACACGCACATGTATGTTTATTGCGGCACTATTCACAATAGCAAGGACTTGGAACCAACCTAAGTGTCCAACAATGACAGACTGGATTAAGAAAATGTGGCACATGTACACCATGGAATACTATGCAGCCATAAAAAATGATGAGCTCATGTCCTTTGTAGGGACATGGATGAGGCTGAAAACCATCATTCTCAGCAAACTATCGCAAGGAAAGAAAACCAAATGTCGCATGTTCTCACTCATACGTGGGAACTGAACAATGAGAACACATGGACACAGGAAGGGGAACATCACACACTGGGGCCTGTTGTGGGGTGGTGGGAGCGGGGAGGGATAGCATTAGGAGATATACCTAATGCTAAATGACGAGTTAATGGGTGCAGCACACCAACATGGCACATGTATACATACGTAACAAACCTGCACGTTGTGCACATGTACCCTAAAACTTAAAGTATAATAATTATAAAAGTAAAAAAAAAATCTTAAGCAGATTGTTTAAAAATAAGACACATATAGTAATCCTTAAAAAACTATGGAGAAGATAACTTTAAAAATGAAAACAAAAAGAATTAATGTGATACTCTAAAATAGATAAACTTAAAGCAAAAGAAAGGAATAAAAGAGAAACTGCAAATAACAAAATGGCTGATATAAATCTAACCATATCAATATTTACATTATATATAATATGGTTCATATACTCCAATCCAAAGGTAGAGACTGGCAAAATAGACATTAAAAAAAAACCTAACCAACCAACCAACAACAACAAAAAACACTCCATGATACAATCCTATTCTATTCACAAGAGATAAACTTTAGTTTAAATGACACTGTATTAGTCTTTTCTCACACTGCTATGGAGAAATACCTGAGACTGGGTAATTTATAAAGGAAAGGGGTTTCATTGACTTACAGTTCTGCATTGCTGAGGAGGCCTCAGGAAACTTAACATCATGGCAGAAAGCAAAGGAGAAGCAGGCACCTTTTTCATAGGGTGGCAGGACAGAGTGAATGCAAGCAGGAGAAATGCCAGATGCTTATAAAACCATCAGATCTTGCAATAACTCACTATTACTAGAACAGTATGGGATAAAATGCCCTCCATGATTTAATTACCTCCACCTGTTCCCAGCCTTGACACATGGGGATTACAATTCAAGATGAGATTGGGGTATGGACACAAAGCCTAACCATATCAACCAAGGAGGCTAAAAGTAAAAGAATAGGAAAACTGTACCATGCAGGCAGTATCCAAAAGAGAGATGGACTGGCTACACCAATAACAGAAAAAAGAAACACACTTTCAGACCAAAAAATTGCTCCTAGGAGAAAGAAGAAAATTTGATAATAATAAAATGATTGATTCAACAGGAAAATATAAAATATACAAACATATATGGAGGTAACAACATAGTCTCAAAATACATGAAGTAAAAATATGACAGAATTGAAGGAAAATATAAAGTACTCAACAATAATGATTGGCTATTTCAATATTGCACTCTTAATAACAGAAAGAGAAACTAGGCAGAAAATTAGTGGGGATATAGAAACTTGAAAAACAGTATCAACCCCACTGACCTAACTGATATCTCTAGAACACTCCACCCATCACACAGCAAAACGCACATTCTTCCAGTTGCATATGGAACATAATCCAAAATAAACCATATAGTAGGCCATAAAACATGCCTCAATAACTTTAAAAGGATTAACATTGTCATACAAAGCACATAATTACAAATCAACAGAGGATATTTTGGGAATCCACAAATCTTAAAAATTAATATGTCTAAATAACACATTATATGTTTTTAATTGATAAGAAAAACCCAGAAAATGCAACTATATAGAGACAAGATGCACTAGTAACTGCTTGGAGTGAGAACCAGGACCCGCTACAAATGGACATCTGGGATTTTTTTTTGTGTGGTGATGGAAATGTTGTTATCTAAATGGTGGTGATGGTTTCATACCTATGAAAACTTGCTAAAAATCATGGAATTATACTTAAAAACATGATAATTTTATAGTAGGTAAGCCATATGGTATGTAAACAATATAGTACATTACACTTATAAATAATTCAGAGATCAGAGAAGGAATCGAAAAGGTGATTAGAAAGTATTTTTCTCTTAATGAAAATGAAAAGACAACATATCATAATTTGTAACATACTGCTGAAGCTTTACTTAAGGAAAATTTTATAGAACTAAATGCCTATATTAGAAAAGAAGAAGATCTGAAATCAGTGACTTTAGCTGAAAGCTAAAAAATCACTTCAGAAATCACTAAAGAAAATCACTTAAGTGCAAATTAGGAAGATTATAAAGTTGAAATTAGGAAGATTATAAAGTTGTAACCACCTTTGCAAAAATTGTAACTGAGGAAATTATGGCAGTGTAAGAGATCAGACCTAACTGACTCCATCTTGCTTCTAACCTTTAAGCGGTCCTTGTTCATTCCTGGGCATAGGTGGAACTAACCTTGGGAAGGAATTCAGTTTCTGGTTAAACTCTAAAACAAAATGCTAATAGCCCCTTCCTGAAAAGACCCACTTCTTGCCTGGGGACCAGTCTGCCTTTGCAGAACTAACAAATTAGCTACAAGATTAGAAATTATGGTTTAGAGGTCATACCATCTCTGGCTTCAAGAGTCTGAACCTCCCCAAATTGCTCTTTGGGATAATATCACTATTGTAAAACCTAAGATCAGTGCTTGAGGTATTTTGCAGACCCCACACTCAGTGGATCAACTGACACTACCCAGACTGGTAATCTGGGTCAACCAGTTTGCAAACCCACCCAGGAACAGAAGACAGCAAGAAAACCTCACTTCGACCCCCTATGAGTCTGTCTCCAACCTGACCAAGCACTCCCCGAGCCCCTACCCACCAAATTAACTTTACAAACTCCAATCCCCAAATGCTGGATCCCTGAATGCCCAGGGAGACTGATCTGAGTAATAATAAATCTGATCTCCCACACAGCTTGCCTGCTGTCTAGGCATCGGGCAAAGAGAACCCATTGGGCAGTTACAAAATGAAGATCAGAAGTTAAGAAAATTGATAGAATAGAAATCAAAAGAAAAAATAGAGTAAAATCAAGTAGACCAAAAGCTAGTTCTTTGACATTTCAATGAAAATGATAAATATTTGGCCAGACTGAACAAGAAAAAAAAGACATTTACCAATATTCAGAAAGGAGAGATGTGGCATCAATACAGATGCTACAGATATTAAAAGGATAAAGAAATGTTACAAAAATCTTCATGGAAATGAATACAAAAGTTATGTGAAACTGAAAATGTTCTTGAGTTTCATCTAACTCAATATATACAAGATATATACAATATATACAAATATATACAAGAAAGGCTCAGAAAAATGAAGAGATTACATGAATAGCCATATACATACATGAAAACTTATAATTTAAAATCTTCCCACAATGAAAATTCCATACCTAGGTTGCTTCAAGGGTAAACTCTTATTAAACAGTTAAGAATAAATACCAATCATACACAAAATCTTTTTTAATAAGTAAAAAAAGCAAATACTTTCCAACCTGTTCTATGATGCCACAATACCAACATCAGATAAGCAGTATAAGAAAATGGCAGACCAATCTCTCTCACCAACATAGATGCCAAAAATCCTAATTTCAACTTTGGCCTTTAAAGTCAAACAATATTTAAAAAAAGATAACAATCATAACCAAGTGCAGTTCCCAGTAATGTCAGGCTGATTTAACATTCAAAAGTCAATGTAATTCATAATGATAGATGCAGGAGGCAGATAAGGGTACCTGCACAGGGTCTAGCCTAAACATGCCCATGGGGAAAAATTCCATCCCTTAACACATTTGCAGTAAGGGAAGTAAATCAACATGGAGTGGCTCAGACTAAGGGCCCACCTGCATACTGGGAGAATGAGGTGGAGCCACCAGGAATTTGCATCTTATGCAGTGGGGAGGAGCCAGTCCTCTTCAGCTCATGTGTGGTGGCCTAGTATTAAATCTGTGAGGTGGGAGCCTGTTGGCAGGACCCCCTTTTTTTGACCCCCTCTTTTTTGCTGAGAGCTTCTTTTTAATAAATTCTGCTCTCCTCACCTTTCAATGTGTCCATGTGCCTAGTTTTTCCTGGTTGTGAGACAAGAACCTGGGTTTTAGCTGAGCTATGGAGTAAAAAATCCTGCATCAGTAATATTTGCAAACTAAAAAAGAAAAGCCACGTGACTATCTCAATTGATGCACAAAAAGCATCTGACAAAACTTAACATCTACTCCAAATAAAATATCTCAGCAAATTAGAAATAGAAGAGAGCCTTTACAACATGATAAAGCACATCTACAAAATATCTACAACTCATATCTTGATTACTGGTGAAAGACTGAACACATTCTCATCAAAAAAAAAGAGTTCTCAATTGCCAAAGCTGGAAAAATTTGAGCAATTAAATACATAACATAGTATTGGATGATAACCCAAAATATAAATATGTGTGAATACATTCTGATACAAAGAAATGATTAAACAAATAGGAGAGAAGAGACAAATCTCCTGTACACAAGAACTCAATTTACTTATACTTCTGTGAACCCAAAAGTATCTGAGACAGAGCTCAATCAGTTTAGAAAGTTTATTTTGCCAAGGTTAAGAATATGCTCGTGACACAGCCTCAAAAAGCCCTAACATTGGTTTTATACGTTTTAAGGAGACATGAGGCATTGATCAATATATGTAAGATGTACATTTATTCAGTCTGGAAATGTGGGACAACTTGAAGTGGGGGAGAGGGCTTCCAGGTCATAAGTAGATAAAAGACAATTGGTTGCATCCTTTTGATCCTCTGATTACCCTTTCACTGAATACACAATTCACATGTGAGAGGTAGAAAAATAGTCACTTATGCCTTAGTCTGTCTTAGTGAAACAGAAGGGCAGAGGAAGCAATCAGAGATGCATTTGTCTCAGGGGAGCAGAGGGATAACTGAGTTCTCTGTCCTTTTTCCACAAGGAATATCCCATGGGCAAATTGTGAGGGAGCTTTTTTTTAATCATTGTAGCTATCTTATTTAGTAATAAAATGGGAGGTAGGTTTGCCTGACACAGTTCCCAGCTTGACTTTTCCCTTTGGCTTACTGATTTTGGGGTTTTGAGATTTATTTTCCTTTCATACTTCCTTTTTAAAAGAGATATAATTCCCCACCCTTAAATATGGGCTACACTTAGTGACTTGCTTCTAAAGTACAATGTAGAAATGGGGGAAAATGTGACTTTTCAGTGGCAAAAACTGACAAACACTCTTAGCCAGGCAATCAGGTAAACACCATCAGTGGGAATTCACATTGATAGGGATCTTCCCTTTATAAGCAAGGTTGAGAATGGTACCTTATCTCTGTGATTGTATTCTAAAAAAAATCCTTATCCCCAGTGTAACCATATGAAAATCATCAGGAAAACAAAATGAAGGACCTTCTCCAAAATACTTGACCAGTATGCCTCCTGTCAATGTCATAAAAAAAAAATTGAGAAACAGTCATAGCCTGGAGTAATATAAAAAGACATAGCAACTAAATATAATGTGATATCCTGTATTGGATCCTGGGCAAATGAATTTAGCAAAAACTAATGAATTACAAATAAAGTATACAGCTTAATCAATAAAGGAAAAAGTAACAAACTACTAATACATTCAACATAGATGTGTCTTATCTGAAACTCTAGAAAAGTTGTAACCGCAGGAACAGAAAATAGAATAAGGATTGCTAGGGGCCAGAGTTGGGGAGTAGGGATTGACTGCCAAGGGGCACACTAGATGACTTTTTAGTCATAGAAATGTTCTACATCATTATTATGATAGCAGTTACTAGCCTGCATATTTGTCAAAATTGGTGATATTTGAATGTAAATTAGAACTCAATAATGCTATTTTAAAAATAACTTCTTTGGCTGGCATGGTGGCTCATGCCTGCAGTCCCAGCACTTTGGGAGGCTGAGACGGGCAGATCACTTCAAGTCAGGAGTCCAAGACCAGCCTGGCCAACATGGTGAAACCCTGTCGCTACCAAAAATGAAAAATTAGCCAGGCATGGTGGCGTGTGCCTGTAATCTCAGGTACTCAGGAGGCTGAGGCAGGAGAATCGCTTGAACCCAGGAGGCGAAGGTGGCAGCGAGCCAAGATCATGCCACTGCACTCCAGCCTGGGCAACAGAGCGAGACTCCATCTCAAAAATAAATAAATAAATAAAAAATAAAAAGAACAAATTTTTCAAAAAAAATAAAAAGTAACTTCCATTGTCTTTAGGCCCCTTAGCATTTAGTCAGTTTCACAGCCCCATCTCAAAAGATAGTATCAACACAATGTGGTAAGCATGCTAATAGAAGTGTGACATATCATTACAATATTGAAGTAGTTTCCTGACACAATTGTGGGAATGGAATCTCAGGGAAATCTTCCCAGAGACTCTGACAGGAATTTTATTGTCCCATGTTTTCGCATGTTTCATGGGTGGCCAACTTATTCCTGAAAGAAGTTCTGTTCTCTTTACGTGACAAACCTACTTTAATAGAATATGAGGTACCTGGTATTTTACATTACTATACGTGACCTCAGCCAGAAATTAGTTATGTGTTAGCATCAGAAATTTTCATTCATTTCAACACAGGACATTGTTAAAGGAGGATGGGACTTTAAGAATGTGGGAAAAACCCTGCACAGCAAGAGGAAGTTGCTCTTCCAAGTTCATGAAAACAGAATTAAGCTTGTAAGTTTATCACTCTCTCAAATGTTCTGTCAGCCCCAAGGATATTCTTTCTTGGAATATACTTATGTGATTTTTTTTCCCATTTTTCCCCTATTACCTTCAAACACGCAATAGCAGCTGGTTTCAATGACCATGTTGAAACTCGGCAGATTATTCTCAACTGAAATATCCAGTCTTGATTTTGGACTCTTCTGCCTGGTGCTTTGTGTCTTTTACTGGCTCTTTCTCATGAGAATAAATATATTTGCTTTCTTCACACATATAAAACACTGCTTCTTATTTTTGCCAAAGATACAACCATCCCCTTTAATTCCCCAGGCTCACATTATTGGAATAAATTTTTAATCCTGTCTCCCTCTTGATCTCCTATCCAATTCATCATCAAGTCTTTCCAAATCCCTTACCCAAGTATAAGCTCACATTTCCTCATATCTGTACTCTTAAGATGACCCTCCTTTTCGTACCCTTATCCACCGTCTGTTCTAAAACACCCTTTATACAACTGCTATAACACCTTTAAATATCTTTTCACTGACACCTCTATTCTATGTAAACATCTATACTTCCCATTTTCTGCTATAATAAATTCAAACCTCCGTGTTTAACATTCAGTGCCTTATAAAAACTTCTCTATATATCTTATGTTTCAAGAAAATTTGTTTGCTTTTCCACATTTAGAATTTACTGTGCACTAATTGTCAGATTTAGTTCTTAGAATAACTATAAAATAGAAACTACTATCATATCCATTTTACAGATGAGGAAACTAAGAAACAAAAAAATCAGAGTAACTTGCCAAAGATTATGCAATTTACAAGTAGCAGAGTTACTACTTTATTCCAGATCATTTTGACTCCAAAGCCCATACTCTTAACTATTAAGCTGTACTGTCTCCACATCATACATCTCACTCTGTGGGTACCATATCCTCCACTAGAATCTCTCTTCTTTCCATTCACATCTCACATGTTAACTTTCTCCAGGTTGGCTTTAATTGAAATAGTCACCCAGTGATATTCGTGGTTCTTATTTTTAGCCTTATATACCACATCTGTTTGCTTTTATAGATGATCTGAAAAATTGCAACTTTGAGAATTATGCATGTCTTACATAGCCTATATCCCCAGCACCTAGCAAAGTCCCTGGAGTATTGAACATTATCAATAAATATCTACTGAATGAAATATGAAAATACAGCAAAGAATGAAAAGTTTTTCATTTTTAGGAGCCCCTGGGTTCTATATCTTTGAATCTTCTAAGTGGTTGTATACTTCTCTGTACACAACAAAGATTCAGTAAAGGTAAACTAATAGTTCACTATGCTCTTTGTATTTTAAATGTGCTACTGCACATAGATGCTATTTTTTTCTGTAAAAACACCTTGAAGTTACCATTTGGGTTCTCTTGGAGTTTTCCTCTTTAATTCACGAATGTGCACAGGTTAGACAAGCAATGTTTGCGTATGAAAATGCATTCAGAGGCTGGAACTACTTTTCCTCAGACCCCACAAATGCGAAGTTTTGGTATCTTAGAATACATGGGAAAAAAACAAAACTGAAAAAAAAGTCAAAAATTAGTTGAACACATGAGCAACAGGAAGTCATTTGACATTTATGAGTGCTGTCCTTTTAAGTTCCACTGTGATGGCCACCTTTACTGCTAATAGGGTCACATTTTAAAATATATGCCTGAATAACAAGAAACGTAGCGGGGGAAAAAGGAGAGATGATAGCTTGCATTTACCTAGCATTCTACCCCTCCCATGATTTCAAAATCATTTTCTTTTTCTACCCTAAACAACAAAAGCCAAGAGAGTTATTATCCCAATTTTACTTACAATGTTATCTAAACACTAAGATTAAATTATCTTTCCAAAGTGATTGGGCCAGTAAGTAATACAGCTGGGACCAGGAGTCAGGCTTTCTGAATCCCAATCCAATATTCTGACATATTTGAATGTTACTGCTCTAGTAGCCAATAAATTATTCACAATGGCTTGCTTTGTGATCTGGGGTATATTTGTTAAACAGTGCTACCACCTGCTGGTAAGTTTTCCAACAATACACATTATAGTAAATTCCAAAATAGCAAATATAAATAAATAAGACAAGAAATAAAATTTATTACAACTACACTTACCCACTGCATTATCTAATTGTCATTCCTACTGTGCTTATTGTATCTGCTTAGACACCTTTATGAAGTAGCCAAATTAATCTTGCCAGATTAAGTGTCCAAACATTTATATCTCCTCTCAAGAAATTGTAATTAATTTTGTCTGCTTTCTAGAATGTATATATCTTGGAATGCATTTTACTGATTTTTAAATCAACCATTAATCCTGAAACTTGCGTGCACATAAGAATCACCTACCTGTTAGTGGGATACTTTTCAAATGTAGATTTCTGATTTTCTCTCCTGAACATTCTCTCACTGTGGACGTGGAGTCAGAAAAAAAAAAAAGTTCTTTTTAATGAGAACCCCAAGTTTTTCTCATAATAAGGAAAGTTACAAAATTCTGACTTAAACAATTTGTCTTGGCTCTACCCTTAGTTGGCTCTATGAGTTTGATCAAAGAACTCTTCCAAAATTCAGTTCTTTGTGAGAAAAATGCATGTATTGTAGCAGAATCCAATCACTATATATTGTCTAAGAACTTTCCATTCTGGGCATACTCTTTCCAAATAAAAACATTTTTTGAATATCCATAAAATTAATCTATAGAAGACAAATACATTTATGATAACTGAATTTTCACAGATGAGATAATTGGAAAAAAAACTGTTTTATTGACTCAGCAATGTTGCACTTTCAATCTAGCATCCCTGTATGGTGAAAGAGTTATTAAAAAAAATTAAAATAAAGGGAAAAACAATTGCCAACATCAGTGATTTGGGAACATAAGAATTAAGGCATTTTCACACTACATGTTTTCTCATAATCCTTTATCCACTCTGAGTCTAATTGAACAATGTCAGAGCAGAAAGATAACAACCACTAGAAACTGTAAGATATTCCTGGCTATAATTCCAATAGTTAACAGCCTCCAGATGCTGAAATCCAGTGTCCCACAGTTGTAAGAAGAAAAACCAGTAAAAGATTAGCCTTACTTGGGAGAGTGTTGGGTGCGTAAATGAGTTATGTTAGAAGGGAATGGAGTCTGATTCAGAACAGGCTGACCTGAGGAAAAAGATGAAGCAATTAAGGTGTCTTGCTGACCTATTCTCTATCCCATCTTTAACTTGTAAAGCCAATGCTGGCAACATAAAAGATCCTTCTGGTGAGTGAAACCATCTGCAACTCAGTAAAAATAAAGGACGAGAATACACAAACTCTGTGAATTCTACTTCCCACTCCTTTGTCCTCAGACTCACCAGCACTTAATAGCACATGGAGAGCTAAGCCTTCCATGTGGGAAATAGGCAGGCCCTCAGGAACAGGCTGCTCAGGTCTGAGGCAGTTAGGCTGGAATTGACTATGCCACTTAGTGCTGAAAATTTTTTTGTTTCATAGATATGCCTTCACATGGTCATTAAAAATCCTCATCATCTCTTTATAAGGCTAGACATCTCTGGCCACTGTTGTACAATTTTAAAGATGTCCTTTAGTCTAACTAGATTTTACCTATGAGAGAATGTAAACCATGATAAAATAGCAAAGCTAAAACTGAGAGTTTCACAGGGCAGGTAAACTGATTATTTTTTCCAGTTGACTGAAGGACTCCACTGAACTGCTCTAAGTAAAGTGGCAATAGAGTACAATATACTTTGAAACCAGGCTGTGTTCACTCGGACATCAAACTGCTTCCCTATCTGGGTGGGAGCGGTGCCCTGGGAGTCCTGGATGAGAGTAGTTCCCTGGGTGTGCATCACATCAAACTCAAGGGAGTTAATTTAATTATTTGGTCCAAAGTACTACAATGCAAGAAAAAAAATCTCTCCATTTGTACAAAGAAGGGAAAAGTATCTTTTTTCATTTCTCTGCTGATTATATGACAGGTATCTGAATTCAGAGATGATACATAGGTATTTCTAATTGAGTGAAGAAAATAACATCTGATTATATAATGCCTATTTTTAAATCGTTCCACAGATCTGCTGTCTCACCTTGAGTAGCATTAAATTTGACCAAGCCAGATACCTAAGAATCTGTCTCTATTCTTCTGTTCTTGCTCTCGCTTCCAAAGTTCTCTAAGATTCTAAGTTTTACTTCCAAGTATATTTGAATCTGTTCAGTTTTCTCCATGCCCAGTGCAATCTAGTAGCTGAAATCTCTGTCATATCTAACCAAGTTTACTAAAATAGTCAGCTAAATTTTTTCCTGCTTCCAATCTTGCCCCTCTCCAGTTAATCTTCTATTCTAAAACCACAACATTCTTTCTAGAATGCTAGATATATGTTTATAATATTTTCTGCTCCAATTGAAATCCTTAAAGTCCTTGCTATCTTCCTTAGGAGTTTGCTATTCAAAGTGTGGTCCATGGACAGGCAGTGTCAGCCTCATCTAGGAGCTTATTAGAAATGCAGAATATGGGTGGAGTGGAGGGGATGGGGGAGGAGCTGTAGGTTTTCGTCATGCAGGAATGAACTAGAAAATGAACTACTATTCAAAAAGCAGTGCACAATATTGTAGGCAGCAACCCCAGACCCTATTAAATACAGGCTATGGCCCATCCTTTCCTGGGTCTGTGGTACCAGAATCCCATCTATGATCATCTCCATGTTACTGGGGCAGGTTTAATAAATTTAAGTCTGTGTTCTATATTTATTTGCACTCAGAAAGTATTCTGCCTTTCTAGTGCCACAATCTCCATTTCCTACCACACCTAACCATGTTCCCAGTGTCTTATCATACAGCACAGTTCCAGCACTAAAATGCCTTTGGAGAAAGAAAGAAAATCAAAAAGACTCAATCTGATTTTAAGCAGGCTGAAAACACATGTGAAAAACAAAACATCCCTGCAGAAGTCAATAGCCATAACATAGCTGGTATGGCCAGTTTCCTCACTACTGCTATTTACACAGAAGCTGACAACATTCCTGACAAAAGAGATAGGCTTTATTTTATGTTACTCATAAGAGGAGATGACATGGTAAGAGCCCTTCTAATAACCCTTCATATAGAAACACACCTTTCAGAAGCAATGCACCTCTGAGAAGGAGAAAGTGTGAATAAAAGAATAGATTCCCCTACAGTAAAATTATGGGACTTTTAAGGAAAACATCAATTTGTATGATGTGGCCTACGGTAAAGACCTGCAAGGGAAAGTGGCACAGCACAAACCCTCAGGAGGATTTCAGAGCACACCTTTGCTTTCACAGAGTTACTGTAAAAGCAAGAGTATGCTCTAAAACCCTTCTGAGGATGAAGATAACATTATAAATAAATATGAGCAAAGAGATACTATGGTTTAAGGCAGTGTCTTAAAGTTGAAGAAGACAAAGAGATCTTGAAGTCAGGTGCTGGCATAGAAATGAACATGGTTAAGAAAAAAAATAGATATAAGGCTGCCCCCCAAATCCTCTCAGTAAAAAAGCCAGGGATGAGGTTCAGTTGGTAAAAAGCCCAAAAGAGCATGAAGTTAAAAGTGTGCAAGTCTATGAATGTCAAGCAGTTCCAGCAGGAGAGGTAACTCCCCTTCAGCATGGAAGCGACCTGAGCCTACCATTCAATGCCCAGAAGCACCTCAGTGATGGGAGAAAGCCAGGCTCCCAGAGAAACCCTGTCCCTCACCAATCCAGCTGGTGCAGTCCAAAAAAGTTGACTTTATTGGACTAAAGTGATTGAATGTAATATGAGCTAGACTGAGAAGCCACATCTAATAGAGCCTTGTGTTTATGCAAATCTGAAAAGGGTGATGAAGATGAGGAACTCTGTGAAGATGAGGAGCCCCATGTAGTTGAAATGTGTCATGTGGATAAAGAGTATGATGCACATGAAAAGCATGCCATAGATAATAAAGAAATAATGGCAAATGGTGTTATCTGCCCTGAGAACATCTGTCCCTTGCCTTCCCAGCTGGCTCAGGCCAATAAAGTTGTAAAAGTGATCCAATGTGATATGAGTGCCTCTGAGAAGGACCATCTCATAATAGCATCTCAGTGATCACTGTGGTTGAAGAAGATTCAGTGCTAGACAGCCCTGTAACAGGGCAGACACAGAATAGTAAAAAGGGCTCAGTTCAAAAGGCAATCAAGAGTGGGAAACACAGTATAGAGGAAGAAGAAATGATCATGAAAGAAGAAATTGAGGAAGTCAAGGATGAGAATTTCATAAACTTTACAAAGATTTAAAAGACTGTGAAAACCAAGAAGCTGGAAGCTTTTGTCATCTCCCCAATTCAAAAGACAATATATGGGTGGAAAAGTCCTACACTGAACATGTTGTTTCCTGAGGATTTAGAAGACTGTGATGTGGAAGGGAATGCTGAAGATGACAGAGTATGCCATTTTGAAGAAGTTAATGCACAGAGTTCTGTGATTCTTCACTAGGGTAGTCTTTATCCAGAGATTAGCAGGGTGATAAACTAAAGTGTCCCAAGAACTCTCTCCCTCCCTGATACATCATCAGGCATGCCAGAAAGAAGAGCAAGTTGAATAATAGTGCATATGAGAGTATCTATATGGTTTAAGAGATGAACTGGTGAAGGACTGCTGTGAAATCACTCATGGCAGCCTCCAGAAGGAACTCACCATGGCCAAACAGGAGGGCTTGCAGTCTGAGACAGTCTCTCCCAAATCACTGCAATGTAATTGTGAGAGGTCTAAAAGCAAGGTGCCTGGAAAGCTAATAAATAAGCAAAGATTTGGCCTAGACACTGAGGAAATTTAAGAAATACCCAGTAGATATACAGGAGACAAATTGCTGAGTTCCACCTACAAGGAAGACTTGATTCATGCATATGTCATGATGGGAAAGAAGATTTTTCATTTGAGCTAACAAAACTCTGGTATATACCAATGAACAAATTAGGAAATAGGACATGTAAAACTTTCTGAACTAGAAGTTTTAAAACAGCAAACAGAAAAAAAAAGCAGAATATTAAGCTTCATTCCAAACCTCCTGAATTAGAATCTAATCTGCATTGTAAAAATATTCCTAGTGAGTTTGAATGCACATTAAAGTCAAAGAACCACTACATTAGGGTAAAATCCAAATTCCCAATTCCCTTACATGGCTGACAAAGACCTTCACAAACTAGCCCCCACTTACCTTTCCTGTTGCCTCTCTTAGCAACTCTCATCTATCCAATTTACCATGATGCTTCCTTCCATTTAGGTTTGCAAATGTCTATTTCTTTTCCTGAACACTGTCCCCCAAGCCACCACCCCAACTTCTTCCTTGCTAATCCCTACTCATTCTTTATTCTCCTAAGAAATTCCCCTAGTAGACTGAGATAGGTGTTTCAACTAGGTACTTTAATGACACCCTAATCTATTATACAACTTCTCACACTATTGTAATTGTCTATATCTTCCAAAAGACTAAGTATTCTAGAAATAGCAGTTTTGTCTGTTGTTGCATATACAACACAAAAGAAATCACACATATTAAGTGCACAATAAATACTTATATAATGAATAAGGGGGAAAAATACCCAATTACCTAGTTAATTTTTTTTTCCTGCCACTATGCAGGAAATTTTGTATTTTTTCAACTTCCAAGAAACCTAGTTTTGGAAACCCAGGCTGAGTGTAGTGAAAAGATGTATTCAGACAGTTGCTTGAACAGTTAGGGAGGAGGAAGCAATCCAAAAGGCAATGTCTCAGAAAGAAAATAAATGCAACTGAACAGGAAATTGTTAATCTAAAGGTGACAGTCAGTAGGGAAGACACTGAGTAAATAAGGTGGGAGCAAGATGCTTTGAAGTAGAGAAAAATGTGGAAATATGACTAAAAAAGTCACTTCTAGAAGGAAATCTGCAATCTTTGGAATTGAGAGTTCAAGAAGGAGTAAATACAGCACCCAACTGTTCAGAATATTATGCTTTTTTGTTCCCTTTCAAGGACATTTCTTCCTCCTCTCTCCTTTGTTTCTTTCATCTAGAAATAATTCTTACTTAGAAAGGATTTCACACTCCAAGTGATGAGATCTGCATTTTTAAAATGCTGTTCTACTCTATATAGCTGCTATATGGAGAATGAAATAGATGTCCAGAGCAGAGACTAGGAGGCCAACGACAGTAAACCAAAAAGCAATTGTAAAAGCCTGGACAGAGATAGTGGTAGTGAAGGTAGAGAGGATGGAATGCATTTGAGTGATATTAGAGAGGCAGAGTTGATGAAATGAATAATGAACTAAAATGTAACCTTCCTGGCTATTTTTTAATATTTTAATACCTGATTATATTCAACATATTGCTAAGAAAATTGCAAGTGGTTAACTTCAATATAATTATATGAATACTACAAAGAAAGTAGTGTTTGTGCTACATCACTATTCACCTTGAGATTTAACCAGAAAATTCCTTTCTAAAAATTAAATCCCTGATACATACTACTTTGACTATAAATAAGCAGAATCTAACCTAAATATCTTATGGCTGGATTTCATCTTCTAAATCAGTTTTCCTATCTTTTATTATTATGATACAGTAATAGTAAATTTGATTTAGGACTCTAAGCTCCATCTTGGAGATTCTTTAGAGAAATCCTAAGTCTCTTGTATATTTCAGAAAAAAATAAATTTCTTAGCCTAACTTCAAAGGCATTCTAGAAATAAAAGGAGGTTCTGTCCAGGAAAATAAGTCCCAATAAACTAAGGCATAACCATCCTGTATAGGCTATTGTTCTACTAGGTACGACCAAGGTCTGGTTAACTCAAAACTACTTATTACTTAGCAGAGTAGCAAAGGTTTAGAGTCCACATCATTTTGCTTTAGTGTTTTATACTGCCAAGAAAAAGTGTTAAAACATACATGTACTTACAAGCACAGCCAACACTATAATCTGCTATCTTTAATATTTAAAGAAATAAATAATATATAAGAAGTAGGAAAGATATAATTTCCAAATAAAACAGATTCCTTTAAGTTAAATAAATTTAGCTTAAAAACACACATACACAGTAACACGAACCTCACTGCAGGAGGAAATTCTGCTGCTAGCTGTGACTATGTAACTAGTACCAGACCAGCCTTTCACCTATAAATAATGATGAAAGTGGAAAACATATGTGAGATGACTGTTCGGAGGCATAAAACCGTTATGGCTGGATGACAGATAGTGCTTAGATAACTGGTAGCTCAGGACTACAGTCTTTGACAGAAAAGAAACTCATGAGGTAAGCCCTGCCATTATGCTGGCTCTGTCTGAAGAAAATTTTCTAACTGCAATGCAATAAACTAGAATCCAAAGTTTGGGCTTTCTGGTTCAGAGGTAGTTCTGCTGAATTGAAGAGGCAAACATCAGAGTTCCGAGAAGCATAGAAAGCAGAATACGTAAAACACAGCCATCTGTGTAGAGGTCGAATTCTTGGTCAAGGATGTACTATGCACATGCAGAGCAACACTACAAAAGGCTGACCAGAGAGTAGCTTCCACAGGGTAGAAAATGTAACAGAGATACTAGAGGTCAAGAAGTTCTAGGAACCTCTAGAAGTATGGCTCAGCAGTAGAAAGACCTTAGGCACACCTCCTTAACACGTTAATACTATACACATTCAGCTCCGACCAAAAGCCAATTTTGGGAGTAAGGACCAAGCCCTAGATTAAGGCCTACATTAATTTACCCTGAAACAGATTGAAGCCAAGTCCTGAAATATCTGCAAAGAAGATACAGTAGGGGAGAGGGAAAGATGGCCCACTAGACACAGCCAGGTGGAATAGCTGCCACCCAGGGGCCGAGATGACTGGCACACTCCTAACAGGTGTCCAGAGGGAAGACACAGAAGCTGGGAGTCCTGCACAGGGCTACCACACACCAGGACTCATTCCTGGCCCCCAAAAGCTTCAGGGAAATACGTGAGTTTAACTGGCAAGGAGTAACCCACTCTTGCCATAGGCCTCTGGAATCCTGGAAAGAGGCCTTGACCACCATGAACACTCAAGTTGACAGGGAGAGCTGCTTAAAGAAGTGGTAGGGGCAGCAAACCAGCTGATGTGGAGCCCAGGGGGTTTGGTGCAGGAGCGTCTGTAGTGGAGCATGGACAGGGACGCCCATTCCCCTAGGCTGAACTTGCTCCCATAGGAGACGCTAGCCCTAGAACACCTGTCAGACCTGAACTCTGCAGGTCAGTCTTGCACATCAGATAGGGCTGGCCTGAACTGAGTACCCCCTATCCTCCTGGCCTCTCTCAGGGCCCTAGCCTGGCTGTGCCTGCTTGCAGGGCAGCCTTGAGTGCCATAGGGGCCCATATCATAGTTCCTGCACTGGCAGACTGTGACTGGCAGAGAGCTCCACTGGGACAGCCCCCTTGGCCAGGCACCAGCCTGCCTGCTCCCTCCCCACACTGCAGCTTCCCCCAGGCCTGCAGCAACCCCCTACATTGCTTTGCCATAATGTGTTTCCAGACTGGTTTTGCCTTCCTTGCCCCACCAGCACACGGATGTACGTGCACCCTGCCCTGCCACTGCTGCAGCAGGAGTGCAGTCCACTCCCCACACCGTGCCCATGCCAACCACCATTGCAGTCAGAGCCTTGGTGGGCACAAAGCCAGCATCCCTGCCCCTGCTAGTGCCCCACCCTTGTGCTAACACTGCTGCTGGAGTGAAACTAGACAAAAAGAACAGCAGCCCCTCCTCTGCCTTGAGCAACCACCTCTGCCTGCAGTGCACAAAGAATACAACCAGTCTAGCACCTGCCAGTGCCCCATCCCCATGCCAACATCATCCACCAGTGCAACTGTACACACAGTCACCAGCAGAAGATCCCCACCCCCAGCTGTGCTGCCTCCCTTATTGTGATGAATGCCGGCATAGAGGCAGGCAACCAAACATCCTCCAGAACCCTGTCACAGCCAACAAATATGCACCTCCATGTGCTGCCACTGGCACATGCAAACAAAGATGGATCCTGCTGTCACTACACTATATAATGCTTGGCTGACACCAGCTATTAGAGTGTAGTAAGCAGTAGTCTGAGAGCACCCTGGCCCACCCAGCCCAGTGGATTCCTAACCTCAAGAAACCAGAGAACAAAGTTGGGGCACAAGTCCAGAGTTAGGGCACACAGTCCAGATGTTGGGAACCAAGCCTTGACCTCCTAAAATCTTTCAGAAATGAAGGCAGTTGGCTGAATCTGCCTTATACCTTAAAGTTTGATTGGATAACGGGGCACCAAATATGATAAAAGAAAAAAATCCAAAGGTCAGCAACTTCTAAGACTGAAGGAACATCAGCCTACAAAGATGTAAAAGAACAAGCACAAGAACCCTAACAACTCAAAAAGCCAGACTACCATCTTTACTCCAAAAAATTGCATCACATCTCCAGCAAGGGTTCTGAACCAGGCTCAGATGGTTGAAATGACAGAAATAGATTTCAGAATATGGATAGGAAAGAAGATCATTGAGATAGAGTACATTGAAACCCAATTCAATGAAGCTAAGAATCACAATAAAACAATGCAGGAGCTGACAGACAAAATAGCCAGTATAAAAAAATGGTAACCAATATGATAGAGCTGAAAAACACACTACAAGAATTTCATAATGCAATCACAGGTATTAATAGCAGAATAGACTAAGCTGAGGAAAGAATCTCAGAGCTTGAAGGCTTTCTGAAATCAGACAAGAATAGAGAAAAAGTAATGAAAACGAATGAACAAAACCTCTGAGAAATGCAGAATTATGTAAAGAGACCAATTCTATGACACATTGGTGTCCCTGAAAGACAGTGTAAGCAATTTGGGAAACTTATTTCAGGATATAATCCATGAGAACGTCCCCAGCCTAGCTAGAGAGGCTAACATTCAAATTCAGGAAATGCAGAGAACCCAAGTAAGATACTTCATAAGAAGATCATCCCCAAGACACATAATCAGATTCTTCAAGGCCAAAATAAAAGAAAAAATATTAAGCCAGGTACAGTGGCTCACGCCTGTAATCCCTGCACTTTGGGAGGCCTAGGCAGGTGGATCATTTGAGGCCAGGAGTTCAAGACCAGTCTGGCCAACATGGGGAAATCCCATCTCTACTAAAAATATAAAAATTACCCAGGTGCAGTAGCATGCACCTCTAATCCCAGCTACTGAGGAGGCTGAGGCATAAGAATTGCCTGAACCCAGGGGCAGAAGTTGCAGTGACCCAAGATCATGCCATTGCACCCCGGCCTGTGCAATAGAGTGAGACTCCATCTCAAAAATAAATAAATTAATAAAATCAAAGGCCACTGGACAGAAAGGAAACGTCAGGTCATCCACAAAAGAAAGCCTATCAAACCAACTGATTTAAAGCAGACCTCTCAGCAGAAACCCTACAAGCCAGAAGAGATTGGGAGTCAATATTCAACATTCTTAAGTTCCAACCTAGAATTTCATATCTAGCCAAACTAAGCTTCATAAGTGAAAGGGAAATAAGACTCTTTTCAGACAAGCAAATGCTGAGTGAATGCATTACCACCAGATCTGCCTTACAAGTGCTCCTGAAAGCAGCACTAAATATGGGGGAAAAGAAGACTGTCAGCAACCACTACAAAAACACACTGAAGTACATAGACCAGTGACAGTATAAAGTAGCCACATAAACAAGTCTGCCTAATAACCAGCTAACACTGTGATGATAGGATACTGTTAGCATTCAATATTAACCTTGAATGTAAACAGGCTAAATGCCCCCAATTAAAAGGCACAGAGTGGCAATGTGGATAAAGAACCAAGACCCATAGGTATGCTGTCTTCAAGAGACCCATCTCACATGCAGTGACACACATAGGCTCAAAATAAAGCAATGGGGAAAAATCTGCCAAGCAAACAGAAAACAGAAAAAAGCAAAGATGGCAATCCTAATTTTAGACAAACAGTCTTCAGACCAACAAAGATAAAAGACAAAGAAGGGCATTACATAATGGTAAAAGGTTCAATTCAACAAGAAGACCTAACTATCCTAAATATATATGCAGCCAACACAGGAGCACTCAGATTCATAAAGCAAGTTTTTGGAAACCTTCAAAGAGACTCAGACTTCTACACAATAATAGTGGGAGACTTCAACACCTCACTGAGAGTATTAAGCAGGTCACCAAGGGAGAAAATTAACAAAGATATTCAGGATCTGAACTCATCAATGGATCAAATGGACCTGATAGACATCTGCAGAACTCTCCACCTAAAAGCAACAGAATATACATTCTTCGCATTGTCACATGGAACTTACTCTAAAAATCAATCACTTTATCAAGCATAAAACACTCTTCAGCAAATGCAAAAAAACTGAAATCATAAAAAATCACTTTTTTGGACCACAGCACAATCACATTAGAAATGAAGACTAACATTTGCCCAAAATCATACAGTTGCATGGAAATTGAATAAAATTCTCCTAAATGATATTTAGGTAAATAATGAAATTAAGGCAGAAATCAAGAGAAGTTCTCTGAACGTAATGAGAACAAAGATACAGCATACCACACTCTCTGCGACAGAGCTAAGGCAATGTTAAAAGGGAAATTTATAGCACTAAATTCTCACACCAGAAAGGTAGAAAGATCTCAATTTAACAACCTAACATCACAACTAAAAGAACTAGAGAACCAAGAGCAAACCAACTCCAAAGCCAGCAGAAGACAAGAAATAACCTAAATTGGAGTTGAACTGAAGGAGACTGAGACACAAAAACCCATTCAAAAGAAAAACAAATCCAAGCATTGTTTATTTGAAAAAATTAATAGTTTGCTAGCTAGATTAATAAATAAGAGAAAGAAGATCCAAGTAAACACAATTAGAATCAACAAAGGGGATATTAGCACTGACCCCACAGAAATACAAATAATCATTAGAATATTATAAACACCTCTATGCACATGAACTAGAAAATCTAGCAAAAAAGGGATAAATTCCTGGACACATACATTCTCCCAAGACTGAGCCAGGAAGAAATGGAATCTTTGAACAGACCAATAACAAGCTCTGAAATTGAATCAGTAACAAATATCCTACCAACCAACAACCAAAAAAAAAAAAAAAAAAAAAAACCAAAAAAAAAAAACCCAGTGCTCAATGGATTCACAGCCAAATTCTACCAGATGTACAATGTACTGGTACCATTCCTACTGAAACTCTTCCTCCAAAATTGAAGAGGGAGTCCTCCCTTACTCATTCTATGAGGCCAGCATCATCCTGATACCAAAACCTGGCAAAAATACCAAAAACAAAAAACAAAAAACAAAAAAAAAAAACAACTTCAGGCCAATATCCTTGATGATCATCAACACAAAAATCCTCAGCAAAATACTGGCAAATCAAATCCAGCATCATATCAAAAAGCTTACCTACCATGATCAAGTAGGCTTTATCCCTGAGGTGCAAGATTGGTTCAATGTATGTAAATCAATACACGAGTCATCACATAAACAGAACTAAAGATGAAAGCCACACAATCATCTCAATAGATGTGGAAAAGGCTTTCAATAAAATTCAACAGCCCTTCACGTTAAAAGCTCTCAATAAACTAGGTAGTGAAGGAAGATACCTCAAAATAAGAGCCATCTATGACAAACCCACAGCCAACATCATACTGAATGGACAAAAATTGGAAGCATTCCTCTTGAAAACTGGCACAAGACAAGGATGCCCTCTCTCACCACTCCTTTTCAACATAGTATTGGAAGTCCTAGCCAGAGTAGTGCAAATACCTTGCAGTCCTTGCTGCAAGAGAAAGAAATGAATGGCATCCAAATAGGAAGACAGGACATCAAACTATCTCTGCAAATGACATAATTCTATATCTAGAAAATGCCATAGTCTTAGCCCAAAAGCTCCTTAAGGTGATAAACAACTTTAGCAAAGTTTCAGGATACAAAATCAATGCACGAATATCACTTATAAGTGGGAGCTAAATGACGAGAACACAGGGACACATAGAGGGAAAAAACAGACACTGCAGCCTACCTGAGGGTGGAGGGTAGGAGGAAGGAGAGGAATGTTTTCATAAACTAACAACAGCCAAGCTGAGAGCCAAATCAGGAATGCAAATCCCATTCACAATTTCCACAAAAAGAATAAAATATCTAGGAATGCAGCTAACCAGGGAGGTGAATGATCTCTACAAGGAGAACTACAAAACACTGGTCAAAGAAATCAATGATGACACAAACAAATGGAAAACTATTCCATGTTCATGGATAGGAAGAATCAATATCATTAAAACAGTCATATTTCCCAAAGCAATATACACATTCAATGCTATTCCTATTAAAATACGAGTGCCATTCTTCACAGAACTAGAAAATAACTATTTTAAAATTCATGTGGAAACAAAAATGAGCCCTAATACCACAGGCAATCCTAAGCAAAAATAACAAAGCTGGAGGCATCATGTTACCCAACTTCAAAGTATACTACAGGGCTACAGTAACCAAAACAGCATAATACTTGTACAGAAGAAGGCATATAGACCATTGGAACAAAATAGAGAGCCTAGAAATAAGGCCACCCACCTACAACCATCTGCTCTTTGACAAAATCTACAAAACAAGCCATGGGAAAAGGATGCCCTATTCAATAAATGGTGCTGGGATAAATGGCTAGCCATATGCAGAAGACTGAAACTAGACCTCTTCCTTACACTGTATATGAAAATTAATTCCAGATAGATTAAAGACATACACGTAAAGCCCCAAACTATGAAAACTCTGGAAGACAACCTAGGTCATACAATCCTGAACATGGGAATGGGCAAACATTTCATGGCAAAGACACCAAAAGCAATTGCAACAAAAGCAAAAGTTGACAAAGTTGATTGAAATAAACTTAAGAGTTTCTGCACAGCAAAATAAACTATCAACATAGTAAGCAGATAACCTACAGAATGGGAGAAAATATTTGCAAACTATGCATCTGACAAAGGTCTAATACCCAGCATCTATAGGGAACTTAAACACATTTATAAGATAAAAGCAACCCCATTAAAAAGTGGGCAAAGAATATGAACAGACACTTTTCTAAATAAGACATACCTATGGCCAACAAGCATATGCAAAAAAGCTCAACATCACTGATCATTAGAGAAATGCAAATCAAAACCACAATGAGATACCATCTAAAACCAGTCAGAATAGGTATTATCAACATGTCAAGAAATAAGATAATTGTGAGGTTGTGGAGGAAAAGGCATGCTCATACACTGTTGGTGTGGGTATAAATCAGTTAAACAGTGTGGCAATTCCTCAAAGATCTAAATGCAAAACTACCATTTGATCCAGCAATTCCATTACTGGGTATATATTCCAAAAGATACAATTTGTTCTGCCATAAAGACACACACACAAATATATTTATTGCAGCACTATTCACAATAGCAAAGACATGGAATCAACCTAAATACCCATTAGTGGTAAAATGGATAAACAAAATGTGGTAAATATATACCATGGAATACTATGTGGCCATAGAAAAGAATGAGATTATGTCTTTTGCAGGTACGTGGATGGAGCTGGAGGCCAACATCCTTAACAAACTAATGCAGGAACAGAAAATCAAATACTGCATGTTCTCACTTATAAGTGGGAGCTAAATGATGAGAACACATGGACACATAGAGGGGAAGAAGAGACCCTGGGGGCTACCTAGGATGGAGGCTGGAAGGAGGGAAAGGATCAGAAAAAATAACTAGTGGGTACTAGGCTTAATACCTGGGTGACAAAATAATCTGTATAACGTACCTTCATGACACAAGTTTGCCTATATAACAAACCTGTACATATACTACTGAACTTAAAAAAAATCATGCCTTTAAAAATTACAATTAGGAGATATAATTTAACAGTTGACTACACTAGTAAGAGGAACTTGAGAACACCTGGGTTTTCCAGAGATTCTCCCTAACAAAACATAAAAGTCAAGTCTACACAAGCCTAATGTGGTCAATTGATAAACTTATCTACATGCACGCTAAAAGAAAAAAAACAACAATCCAGAGTTTCTACAATGTTTCATCAACAATGTGCAGTACACATGGAAAAAAATAGAGACATATTCTGAGGAATAAACAAATTCATACGAAGTGCATTTTCTAGTTTCTCACTCATTAACCATTGCCAACCAACACAGAAGAGTTCTGTGACCAAATATGTGGGAATTTCTTCCGATACACCAAGCAAGCAATCAACTCTGCAGCAGACACCAGCTTGATATTCTCAATTCAATTAAAAAATGGTCTACCTGGAGATAGCATCAGGTCTTATTGGTTGAGGACTCAGTTCCACAAGACCACCCCTTCTAGATGTCAGTCACAAGCCCAGGTATCTGGAACTCTGGAACTCCTGACCAACTAGCTTCAAGATGGGATCCCTAGAACCCTTTCTGGGCTTAATTTTCTAGAGTGGCTCACGAAACTCTGGAACTCTTACAATTACCAGTTAATCATAAAGAATGTTACAAAGGATATGGATGAAAATGCATAGGGCAAGGTATTGAATGAGGAGTGTAGAGCTTCCATGGCTTTTCTGGGCACACCACCTCCAGAAATCTCCATGTGCTCAGCTATCTTGATGAAGGCAATTAACTTAACCTTCATTCCCTCTCCTCTGCCTAGAGGTCAGGGATGGGGCTGAAAATCTCAATGTTCTAACCATGCCTTGGCTTTGTGATGATGAGACTGCATTCTGAAGCCAGCCCAGAGCAGCCAGCCATCACTCAATTATTAACACACAAAAGACATCACTTTGAAGATCCTAAGGATTTTAGGAATTGTATGCTTATAAAGAGGATTGAAGACCAAATATGTATTTCACAATATTACACATACAAAAACCAAAATTTTGCTATATATAGTTAAAGAAGAAGTCTGGGCATGGTGTCTCACACGTGTAAGAAAATGAAAAAAAAAAAAAAACAGTCCATAGAAACCAACCCTAAAATGGCCAAGATGGTGAATTTGGCAAAGACTTTAGGATGAGTATTATAAAAATGCTCAAAGAACGAAAGAAAAATGTGCTCAAAATTTTTTAAAAATAGAATGAATAAACACATAGGAAATATGAGCTTAAAAATGAAAATTATAAAAATGAACTAGGAGAATTTTACTTCTGTCTATGGATGATTAAAGGCAACAGTAATTTCCCTTCCTCAATAACTAGAAAACCCCACAAAATACATAAAACAATTGATCTTAGATATTATAAAATAGCAAATGACTATTACTGTTATAGGTAGTGAGACAGGCATTAGCAGGGCAGAAGGAGGCTCTTCCCCCATCCACTAGAAATGTTGGGTGATGGTTCAGCAATTATCACATTGCCTCCCTAAAAGTAATAAATTGGCAGCTGGTTTCAGGGAGAGGCCATTTCCTGATGGTCCACACCTGTTGCACTAAAGTGTTAATTGAATGCAGATGCCAAAGAGAAGCAACTTCCCAGGCATGTGCATTAAGAGACAAAATGGCGGAGTATGACCTTCCAGAGGCATATGACCGGAAAAAGGAAGAAAGCCTCAGATAGACATGTGCACAACTTCCTAAACACACTGTGCATGCTCACCTGCCAAGGGTAAGGAGGACACTGTGCATGCAGGCAGTCCAGCCTAAGGGAAGAAACATGGGAAAGGGGCCAGCTTATAAAGTCCTAGGATCATGATTAAACATCACGCCTGTCCTTCAAGTCACCTGCTTGGGTCTCTTCCAAGCACACTTTACTTTCTTTCCTATTCTAAAATCCAGAATCTACAATGAACTCAAACAAATTTACAAGAAAAAAACAAACAACCCCATCAAAAAGTGGGCAAAGGATATGAACAGACACTTCTCAAAAGAAGATATTTATGCAGCCAAAAGACACATGAAAAAATGCTCATCATCACTGGCCATCAGAGAAATACAAATCAAAACCACAATGAGATACCATCTCACACCAGTTAGAATGGCAATCATTAAAAAGTCAGGAAACAACAGTTGCTGGAGAGAATGTGGAGAAATAGGAATACTTTTACACTGTTGGTGAGAGTGTAAACTAGTTCAACCATTGTGGAAGTCAGTGTGGCGATTCCTCAAGGATCTAGAACTAGAAATACCATTTGACCCAGCTATCCTATTACTGGGTATATACCCAAAGGACTATAAATCATGCTGCTATAAAGACACATGCACACGTATGTTTATTGCGGCACTATTCACAATAGCAAAAGACTTGGAAACAACCCAAATGTCAAACAATCATAGACTGGATTAAGAAAATGTGGCACATATACACCATGGAATACTGTGCAGCCATAAAAAATGATGAGTTCATGTCCTTTGTAGGGACATGGATGAAATTGGAAATCATCATTCTTAGTAAACTATCGCAAGGACAAAAAACCAAACACCGCATGTTCTCACTTATAGATGGGAATTGAAAAATGAGAACACATGGACACAGGAAGGGGAACATCACACTCTGGGGACTGTTGTGGGGTGGGGGGAGGTGGGAGGGATAGCATTAGGAGATATACCTAATGCTAAATGACGAGTTAATGGGTGCAGCACACCAGCATGGCACATGTATACATATGTAACTAACCTGCACATTGTGCACATGTACCCTAAAACTTAAAGTATAATAATAATAAAAAAAAAACTTCCACTCCTGCTCTGAAACTTGTCTTAGCCTCTTTTTCTGCCTTATGCCCCTCAGTCAAATTCTTTCTTCTGAGGAAGCAAGAATTGAGGTTGCTGCAGACCCAACAATTTGCCACCAATAACTCAGTTACTTCTTACCAGTAATATTATTCCTTAGCAAAGACAAACAAAGTAAGCCAGATAACTGTCAGAGCTTACAGCTTGGAGTCATTTCTATGAGACACCACAGAAAGGGGCAACCCTATCAGAGTCTGTTAGTTTTACTGAGTTACAGAGACAAAAATAAGAGTCCAGGGAGATAAAGATAGAATTTGTGGGTGAGAGTATTGGAGAAAACAGAGTTGGAGAGAGAGAGAGAAAGCATACGTGCGAGAGAGAGCACACACAACATGAATACATGATCACACTGAAATTCATATACAAATGGTCATAAATCTTTAATAATATATCCAAACTGGAAATAATCTAGATATCCATGAGCAGAGGAATAAACAAACTGTGATAAATTTCAAAGAAATACTACTCAGTAATAAAACATTAAACTATGATATATGCAAATGAACAAATTTCAAAAACATGCTAGGTAAAAGAAGCTAGATACAAAACAGCATATGTTTTATGATTCCAGTTATATGAAGATTTAGAACTGGCAATACTAAGATTGGTGGTTCCTTGATGATGGGGCAGGATGGTAGGTAGATTGACTGAAAAGGGAATCAGGAACTTCCCAGAGGTAATGGAAATATTCTGTCTTGATTGGAATGATAGTCATATGAGTAAATAACATTTTTAAAAACTATGCACATAATGCAATTACCTCAATAAAGTTTATTTAAAATAAACTTTAGTTTTTCTTATTTTACTAGACAGTGGTAAAAACCAGTATAAGTGTGTGATTTGCAATATAATAAGAAATATATATTCCATTTCTTCAGAAATGAAAGAGATAGATACTTTCTCAGAAAGCAATAGCTGAGGGATTTCATCACCACCAGACCTGTCCTACATGAAATTCTAAAGGTAGTCGTTCAAGCTGAAAGGAAAGGATACTAATTAGTCATACAAAAACAGCTGAAAGTATAAAACTCACTAGTAAAAATATACAAATTCAGAACACACTAATATAGTGATGGTGGTGTATAAATCTTTAGTATGAAGATTAAATGACAAAGCTAAAAATAACAGCTACAATAATTTTTAAGAAATAAACAATATGAAAAGATGTACATTGTGACATCAAACAAAAACCACAAGTGGGTAGAAAGAAAGTGTAGAATTTTTGTATGTGATCAAAGTTGTTATCAGCTTAAAGTAGCCTATTACAACTATAGATGTTTTATGTAATCTATGGTAATCACAAAGCAAAAACGGATAGATACCCAAAAGATAAAAGGTAAGGAATCAAATCATACCATTAGAGAAAATCTTCTAATCACAAAGGAGGACGGCAAAACAGGAATAAAGGATCTAAAAAACAGAAAATAATTAACAAAATGACAGTAGTCAGTGTTTTCCTATGAATTTGGTGTAAATAGATTAAATTATCCAATCAGAAGAACATAAATAAAACATATGTTCATAGCTTTGAATAAATAATATTGTTAAAATATCCATACTACCCAAAGTGATCTACAGATCCAATGTAATTTCTAACAATATCCCAGTGACATTTTTTCACAAGTATAGTAAACTAAGTATCAAGGCATTGGAATAAAAACAGATACATAGACTAACAGAATACAATAGACAACAGAGAAATCCACACATTTAAAGTCAATAAATTTTCAAAGACACCAAGAACATACAATGTGAACAGAATAGTCTCTCTGACAAATAGTGCTGGGAAAACAAATATCCACACACAAAGCCGCTTTAGCCAGACTGCCTCTCTAGATGTCTCCTCTCTTGGCAGGGCATCTCTGAAAAAAAGGCAGCAGCCCCAGTCAGGGGCTTATAGATAAACCCCCATCTCCCTGGGACAGAACACCTGGGGGAAGGAGCAGTTATGGGCTCAGCCTCAGCTGACTGAAACGTCCCTGCCTGGTGGCTCTGAAGAGAGCAGCGGATCTCCCAGCAGTGTTTGAGCTCTGCTAAGGGTCAGACTGCCTCCTCAAGTGGGTCCCTGACCCCCATGTCTCCTCACTAGGAGACACCTCCCAGCAGGGGCCAACAGATACCTCATACAGGAGAGCTCCAGCTGGCATCTGGCAGGTGCCCCTCTGGGATGAAGCTTCCAGAAGAAGGAACAGGCAGCAATCTTTGCTGTTCTGCAGCCTCTGCTGGAGATACACAGGCAAACAGGGTCTGGAGTGGCACTCCAGCAAACTCCAGCAGACATGCAGCAGAGGGGCCTGATTGTTAGAAGGAAAACTAACAAACAGAAAGGAATAGCATCAACATCAACAAAAAGGACATCCAGACACAGAAGCCCCATCCGAAGGTCACCAACATCAAAGAACAAAAGTAGATAAATCCACAAAGATGGGGAGAAACCAGCGCAAAAAGGCTGAAAATTCCAAAAACCAGAACGCCTCTTCTCCTCCAAATGATCACAACTCCTCACCAGCAAGAAAACAAAACTAGATGGAGAATGAGTTTGAGAAACTGACAGAAGTAGGCTTCAGAAGGTGGGTAATAACAAACACCTCTGAGATAAAGGAGCATGTTCTAACCCAATACAAGGAAGCTAAGAACCTTGTAAAAAGGTTAGATAAATGGCTAACTAGAATAACCAGTTTAGAAAAAACAAATGACCTGATGGAGCTGAAAAACACAGCACGAGAACTTTGTGAAGCATACACAAGTATCAATAGCTGAATCGATCAAGCGGAAGAAAGGATATCAGAGATCAAAGATCAACTTAATGAAATAAAGCGTGAACACAAGATTAGAGAAAAAAAGGATGTAAAGGAACAAACAAAGCCTCCAAGAAATATGGGACTATGTGAAAAAACCAAACCTACGTTTGAGTGGTGTACCTGAAGGTGATAGGGAGAATGCAACCAAGTTGGAAAACACTCTTCAGGATATTATCCAGGAGAACCTCCACAACATAGCAAGACAGGCCAACGTTCAAATTCAGGAAATAGAGAATGCCACAAAGATACTCTTCCAGAAGAGTAACTCCAAGATACATAATCGTCAGATTCACCAAGGCTGAAATGAAGGAAAAAAATGTTAAGGGCAGCCAGAGAGAAAGGACAGGTTATGCAAAAGGGGAAGCCCATTAGACTAACAGTGGATCTCCTGGCTGAAACCCTACAAGCCAGAAAAGAGTGGGGGGCAATATTCAACATTCTTAAAGAAAAGAATTTTCAACTGAGAATTTCATATCCAGCCAAACTAAGCTTCAAAAGCAAAAGAGAAATAAGATCCTTCACAGACAAGCAAATGCTGAGAGATTTTGTCACTACCAGGCCTGCCTTATAAGACCTCCTGAAGGAAGCACTAAATATGGAAAGGAACAACTGGTACCAGCCACTGCAAAAACATACCAAATTGTAAAGACCATCAACGCTATGAAGAAATTGCATCAACTAACAGGCAAAATAACCAGCTAACATCATAATGACAGGATCAAATTCCCACATGACAATATTAACCTTAAATGTAAATGAGCTAAATGCCCCAATAAAAAGATACAGACTGGCAAATTAGATAAAGAGTCAAGACCCATCGAAGTGCTGTATTCAGGAGACCCGGTCATGTGCAAAGACACACATAGGCTCAAAATAAAGGGATGGAGGAATATTTACCAAGCAAATGGAAAGCAAAAAAAAAAAGAAAAAGAAAAGCAGGGGTTGCAATTCTAGTCTCTGATAAAACAGACTTTAGGCTGGGTGTGGTGGCTCACGCCTGTAATCCCAGCACTTTGGGAGGCTGAGGCAGGCAGATCATGAGGTCAGGAGATTAAGACCATCCTGGCTAACATGGTGAAACCCCGTCTCTACTAAAAATACACACAAAAAAATTAACTGGGCGTGGTGGCAGGTACCTGTAGTCCCAGCTACTCAGGAAGCTGAGGCAGGAGAATGGCATGAACCCAGGAGGCATAGCTTGCAGTGAGCCTAGATCGTGCCACTGCACTCCAGCCTGGGCAACAGAGCGACACTCTGCCTCAAAAATAAAAAAAAAAGACTTCAAACCAACAAAGATCAAAAGAGACAAAGAAGGGCATTACATAATGGTAAAAGGATCAATGCAACAAGAAGAGCTAACTATCCTAAATATATATGCACTCAATACAGGAGCACTCAGATTCATAAAGCAAGTTCTTAGAGACCTACAAAGAGACTTAGACTCCCACACAATAATAGGAGTTAACACTTCACTGTCAACATTGGAGCGATCAATGAGACAGAAAATTAACAAGGATATTCAGGACTTGAACTCCACTCTGTTCTAAGCAGACCTAATAGACATCTACAGAACTCTCCAACTCAATTAAACAGAATATACATTCTTCTCAGCACCACATCGCATTTATTCTAAAATTGACCACATAATTGGAAGTAAAACACTCCTCAGCAAACGCAAAAGAATGGAAATCATAACACTCCCTCAGACCACAGTGCAATCAAATTAGAACTCAGGATTAAGAAACTCACTAAAAACTGCACAGCTACATGGAAACTGAATGACCTGTCCCTGAATGACTACTGGGTAAATAACAAAACTAAGATAGAAATAAGTAAGTTCTTTGAAACCAATGAGAACAAAGACACAACATACCAGAACCTTTGGGACACAGCTAAAGTAGTGTTTAGAGGGAATTTTATAGCACTAAATGCCCAAAAGAGAAAGCAGGAAAGATCTAAAATCCACACCCTAACATCACAATTAAAAGAACTAGAGAAGCAAAAGCAAACAAATTCAAAAGCTAGCAGAAGACAAGAAATAAGATCAGAGAAGAACTGAAGGAGATACAGACATGAAAAACCCTTCAAAAGAAAAAAATCAATGAATACAGGAGCTGGTTTTTTGAAAAGATCAACAAAATAGATAGACCACTAGCCAGACTAATAAAGAAGAAAAGAGAGAAGAATCAAATAGATGCAATAAAAAGTGATAAAGGGGATACTACCACTGATCTCACAAAAATACAAACTATCGTCAGAGAATACTATAAATACCTCTACGCAAATAAACTACAAAATCTAGAAGAAATGGTAAATTCCTGGACATATACACCTTCCCAAGTCTAAACCAGAAAGAAGTCGAATCCCTGAATAGACCAATTACAAGTTCTGAAATTGAGGCAGCAATTAATAGGCTACCAACCAAAGAAAGTTGAGGACCAGACGGATTCACAGCCAAATTCTACCATAGGTACAAAGAGGGGATGGTACCATTTCTTCTGAAATTTTTCCAAACAATAGAAAAAGAGGGACTCCTCCTTATCTCATTTTATGAGGCCAACATCATCCTGATATCAAAACTTGGCAGAGACAGAACAAAAAGATAAAATTTCAGGCCAATATCCCTGATGAACATTGATGCAAAAGTATTCAATAAAATACTGGCAAACCGAATCCAGCAGCACATCAAAAAGCTTGTCTACCACGATCAAGTTGGCTTCATCCCTGGGATGCAAGGCTGGTTCAACATACACAAATCAATAAATGTAATCCATCACACAAACAGAACCAATGACAAAAATGACATGATGATCTCAATAGATGCAGAATAGGCCTTCAGCAAAATTCAACACCCCTTTATGCTAAAAACTCTCAAACTAGGTATTGATGGAACATATCTCAAAATAATAAGAGCTATTTATGACAAACCCACAGCCAATATCATACAGAAAGGAGAAAACCTGGAAGCATTCACTTTGAAAACCAGCACAAGGATGCCCTCTGTTACCACTCCAATTCAATATGGAATTGGAAGTTCTGGCCAGGGCAATCAGGCAAGAGAAAGAAATAAAGGGTATTCAAACAGGAAGAGAGGAAGTCAAATTGTCTCTGTTTGTAGATGACATGACTGTATATGTAGAAAACTCCATCGTCTCATCCCAAAAACTGCTTAAGCTAATAAGAAAAGTCTCAGGATACAAAATTATGTGCAAAAATCACAAGCATTCCTATACACCAATAATAAACAGAGAGCCAAATCATGAGTGAACTCCCATTCACAATTGCTATATAGAGAATTAAGTATCTAGGAATACAACTTAAAAGGGATGTGAAGGACCTCTTCAAGGAGAACTACAAACCACTGCTCAAGGAAATGAGAGGACATAAACAAATGGAAAAGCATTCCATGCTCATGGATAGGAAGAATCAATATTGTGAAAATGGCCATACTGCTCAAAGTAATTTATAGATTCAATGCTATCCCCATCAAGCTATGGTTGACTTTCTTCACAGAATTAGAAAAAAAACACTTTAAATTTCGTATGGAACCAAAAAAGAGCCTGCATAGCCAAGACAATCCTAAGCAAAAAGAAAAAAGCTGGAGGCATCATGCTACCTGAATTCAAACTATACTACAAGGCTACCATAACCAAAACAGCATGGTACTGGTCCCAAAACAGATATATAGACCAATGGAACAGAACAGAGGTCTCAGAAATAACACCACAAATCTACAACCATCTGATCTTTGACAAACCCGACAAAAAACAAGCAATGGGGAAAGGATTCCCTATTTAATAAATGGTGTTGGGAAAGAAAACTGGCTAGCCATAAGCCAAAAACTGAAATTAGACCCCTTCCTTATACCTTATACAAAAATTAACTCAAAATGGATCAAAGACTTAAATGTAAGACCTAAAACCATAAAAACCCTAGAAGAAAACCTAGGCAATACCATTCAGTACATAGGCATGGGCAAAGACTTCATGACTAAATCACCAAAAGCAATGGCAACAAAAGCCAAAATTGAAAAATGGGATCTAATTAAACTAAAGAGCGTCTACACAGCAAAACAAACTATCATCAGAGTGAACAGGCAAACTACAGAATGGGAGAAAAAAATTTTGCAACCTGTCCATCTGACAAACGGCTAATATCCAGAACCTACAAAGAATTTAAACAAATTTACAAGGAAAAAACAACCCCATCAAAAGGTGGCAAAGGATATGAACAGACACTTCTCAAAAGAAGACATTTATGCAGCCAACAAACATATGAAAAAAAGATCATCATCACTGGCCATTAAAAAAATGCAAATCAAAACCACAACGAGACACCATCTCATGCAATTAGAATGGCAATCATTAAAAAGTCAGGAAACAACAGATGCTGGAGAGGATGTGGAGAAATTGGAATGCTTTTACACTGTTGGTGGGAGTGTAAAGTAATTCAACCATTGTGGAAGACAGTGTGGTGATTCCTCAAGGATCTAGAACCAGAAATACCATTTGACCCAGCAATCCCATTACTGGGTATATACCCAAGGGATTATAAATCATTCTACTATAAAGACACATGCACACATATGTTTACTGCAGCACTGTTCACGATAGCAAAGACTTGGAACCAACCCAAATGCCCATCAATGATAGACTGGATAAAGAAAATGTGGCACATATACACCATGGGATACAATGCAACCATAAAAAAGGATGAGTTCACGTCCTTTGCAGGGATATGGATGAAGCTGGAAACCATCATTCTCATCAAACTAACACAAGAAAAGAAAACCAAACACCGCATATTCTCACTCATTAGTGGGAGTTGAACAATAAGAACACATGGACACAGGGAGGGAACCATCACACACCAGGGCCTTTCATAGGGTTGGGGGCTAGGGGAGGGATAGCATTAGGAGAAATATGTAAACTATGTGACAGGTTGATGGGTGCAGCAAACCACCATGACACGTGTATACCTATGTAACAAACGTGCACGTTCTGCACATGTACCACCAAACTTAAAGTATAATAAAAAAAAGATGGGCAAGAGATTTCAGTGGACAGTTCACCAAAGAAGATGTAATCATGGCAACGTGGCCTTCAAACAATGCTCAGCATTGTTACTAGGGAAATGTAGATAAGAACCACAGCAAGATATCACAGCACCCACTAGCATGGCCACAAAAAATAATAAACATAAAACAGACAGTAACAGTGTTGGTGAGGATGTGAAGAAATTAGAACCCTCACAAGCTGACGGTGGAGATAGAAAATGGTGCAGTCACTTGAGAAACACCTCAGCAATTTCTCTAACATGTTGAATAGAACTTATCACATGGCCTAGCAATTCCAAAGACCCCTAGGCATGGAACTCAGACAGACCAAGAGGAATGAAGACATATGTCCATACGGTGACGTATGCATAATGTTCACAGTAGCCCAAATTGCAAAGTACACAACTGTCCATAAACAGATAACTGGATAAACAAATGGAGGTATATCTGTACAGTAGAATGCTACTCAGGAATAAAAAGGAACAAACTAATGATACTCACAACATGGATAAGTCTCCAAACAATTCTACTGAGTGAAAGAAACACAAGATAGAATATACACTGTGTGATTCTGTTTACAGAACATTCTAGAAAAAGCAAACTAGTCAGTAGTGACAGAAAGCAGACCAGAGTGGGCCTGAGGATGGGGGAGCATGGTTGGAGGGACAGGTTACAAAGGGCAGGAGCCTTGGGGGAGTGGCAGATGTGTTTATTATCTTGATTGTGATGGTGGTTTTACAAGTGTGTATGTACGTAAAAACTATCAAATCATTTACTTTATATATGTAAGGATTATTGTATAGCAAATACACCTCAATACAGCTGTTCAAAGATGAAAAAAAACATAATAAAAATGGGTAAAGGAACTGAATAGACATTTTTCGAAAGACAACATACAAATGGTCAATAGGTATATAAAAATGCTTAACATCATTAATCAAGAAAATGCAAACTAAAACTACGATTAGATATTACCTCACACCCATTAGAATAGTTTTTATCAAATAGACAAAAGATAAGTAAGAGTGAGGATATGGAGAAAAGGGAATGCTTGCACACTGTTGGTGGGAATGTAAATTAGTATAGCCATTATGGAAAAAGAGTATGGGGGTTCTGCACAAAATTAAAAATAGAACTACCAAATGTTTCTGCATCCCATTACTGGGTGTATAACCAAAAGAAACAAAATCAGTATGTCAAAGAAATGTCTGCACTCCCATATTCATTTCACCATTATTCATAATAGCTAAGATATGAAATCAAACTGTGTCCATGAATGGTTAAGTGGATAAAGAAAATGTGGTATATATACAAATGGAATACTACTCAGCCTTTAAAAAGAAGGAAATGCTGCCATTTGGAATGATATGCATGAACCTGGAGAACATTATGTTAAGTGAAACTAGCCAGAAACAGAATGACAAATACCACATGATCTCACATTTATGTGGAATCTAAAAAAGTTGAATTGATAAAAAACAGTAAAATGATGGTTACCAGAGACTGGTAGGAGTGTGAGGTTAAAGAGATAGATGTTGGTCAAAGGATACGAAACTTCAGTTAAACAGATGGAATGAGTTTAAGAGATCTATTGTACAAAGTGGTGACTACAGTTGATAACAATGTATTGTACTTTGAAAATCACTGAGTAAATTTTTAAGTGTTCTCATCACAAAAATGATATGTGATTTGATATATGTTAATTAGCTCAACTAAGCCATTCTACAATGTGTATGTATACATATTTCAAAATGTCATGTTGTACACAATAAATATATTCAAGTTTTGTTTGTCAACTAAAAAAAAAAAAAACCTGGCATCTTCATGTGGAACCAGCTGGACATTTGGCCTTCTCCTTGTTTGACACACCCTCACCCCGACTCCAGGTCTTCACACTTCTTTGGTTTTAATTTCCCCTTCTTTAGCCCCTCTAAATTATGATTAAAAAAATAGGACAGGAATGAGGGTGAGTATGTGATAAAGGAAGCAGATGACACTGAATTATCAGTGGACATCAGAACAAAGTTTTATGTACCTAGCAAATAGGGTGTGCCTTTTAAAGTGATGAGCAAGGTGACATCATCGTTGTGATCTCCATCACAGAAACACACCCATGTTCATCACCCTTCTGTCACTTAACTTCACAGTAAATAATGTAAGCTTGACTTAGGAACTCAAGTTTAAAAAAAGTCTAAGCCCTTTTCCTAAAATTATGCATTTTAATTATCCTCATGTTTATTTCAAGAATTCTTTGAAAAAAATATGAACTCTTGGCTGACTGGCAAAGAAATTTATTGGCTTGTCCACAAAGTACAAAAAGTTTAAGAACCATCTTATCCTCAATATCCTGTATCCAGTTTAATGAGGAATTCCAGATGTACAAAATTAGTTCTTTAGAACTAACTGTACAGGGCAGAAAACTTAAGACAGAAAAAAGAATAGAGTTTGATTTGGTGGGAAAAGACAAGAGAAATGTGATATGTTCCATTCTCTACTTCCCCAACATAGAGATGGCTGCCAACAAAGGGCAACAATTTAGTGCAAATGCAGGCTTCTTACAGCTTTGGGGAGCCTACAACTGGAAATAATAGCTCCTTTTTCATTGTTTTCATGGAACTTTGTACTTCCGTAGAGTTCTTATGTTCTACTTTATTCTTATTTCTTCTACTAGACTACATGCAGTTTAGAGATCAAGGATAATATTATCTCTGTAATCCTTGTAGCCAACACAGTGCTTTGTACACAGAAGACAGTAAATAAGCATTCATTGAATACAATTCATTTATATAACCCTTTCTCAAGAAGCCCCCAAATCAAATGTTCCCATGGTTCTTTTCAAAAGGTTGAGTGATGTTTAAGTTCTTCAAAGTAAATAAAATGTCAATAGCTTTATTGTAAAAAAACAAGTATTTTCAGCATCTTGTCTGGATATCATAAAACACCAAACAACATACAGAACATAAATGTTATTTATAAACTACACGAAGGGCTTAAGACTCTTGGCCTAAGAACATAGTCCACGTAGGTCATCCTAAAACATCAATCACCAGTAGTCTCCTAAAGGTACTCTTCTGAAATCTGTGCTCATAACTTTTTATCTTAAAAGGCTTTCACATAAGCTACGATAAGAACATAGATGATTATGATTAAACATAAAACTTAACTGGCAGCAGATTTAAAATGCAGCTATTAGAAATTAAATTAGATATGTTTTGACTCTTTGGAGACATATTCCAGGGCACTGGAATGACTTGCTTAGGTATATAAGGGCATATATTCTCTTGATAAGATGGAACAGTCCTTACTACTTTACCCAATGTTGGGAGAACATTTAAATGACAATTTGAGGTTCCTAGCTTCGAAGGGGTCAGGAGAAACTAAGTTGTAAAACAAAACAGTGTCGTCTTAAATTAAATTGAGTATTGGGTAGGAGATTGATTTTCTATTTCCATTCTCATCGTACCAATTTTTAGCCCTTTCTTTTCATTGATCAATGAAGAATTCAAATAGTTTTGGTAAATGTAAACTTCTAGGAAAACAAGAGATATTACATATTAGTTAAACAAATTTTGGGAGAACAGGGGAGGGAGGCAATGTGAGGAGGCAGTGGTGGTAATCTGTTTTCAGAAATCAGTAACACGGTTCTGCCCATAATGGCCCTTATAAACTCAAAGTAGAGAATGAGAAGACATTTTTGTTGTGAATAACTTGTACAAGGATAAAAACTAAAAGGAAAAAACAAAAACAAAAACAAAAACAGGCACATCTCTAGGAGAGGCAGCACAAAGAAAAGCCTCCTCAGAATCTGTCAAAAATGGTGTTATTTACCATTTATTTCAGTTTGCAGATGCCCATAGTAAACATTTCTGAACCCTGAAATATCAAACTTTTCAGGGTAAGAAGGAGTGTTCTAAAGTCTATAGGGACAGGCAGAAACATTTCAGGTAAGGTCAAGTCAGTGTGCATAGTAATATAATTAGTGGGAAGGGAATCCAACTACAGTACCCATTATCAGTCAGAGGCCAGGACAGGGCGCTCGCCACCATGTTTCCTGATGTCTGAACCCAACATAGGACAGTGGTCACAAAAGCTAACAAAATGCCAGAATCTCTCAGAGATAGTGCTAGAAACAAAACAGAAAATATAATCCTATTCTGCTTTTAAAGATATGGCATATCTTTAGCTTGGAACTTACATGCAACTGTGGTTATTCTGCTACAGAAAACCATAAAAAGGTGCTAGTAGATTTATAGAGGGCCAACCAGAAAGATGAAAAAGAATAAAAGCAACGCTTCCTGCTACATAAAAACAGATTAAAAATTCAGGACTCTTTAATGGATTGGGTATGGGCTCATGGCACAAAATAATCAAGAAGGAAACACACATGAAAGGAAAAAGGACAAAAACTCCAACTAACAGAACACCTGGTCTGTGCCTTGTAAAATGCTTAAAAATAGAACTACTTTATAAACAGTAGTAGGTTTACAGAACTTATTTTTTCCTTAATTAACGATGAAAAAAATTTAATATGAAAGTTTTAGATATACATATATATGCTGACATTGACATGGGATATTAAGGGAATCAATGTATTTTGGCTCTTCAACTAATTTTCTGAGATGAAAAGCAAGGACAACAACCAAGCCCTCCCACAATAATCCTTTAGTGTCTCTGCCAGAGACAGAACCCAGACCAAGATGGAAATGATTCATTTAGTTAATCCAAACCTTGGAAACACATAAAGGAACATTTAAAGATTATACCTCTTCTTTGGTCAATTGTCTGTAAAAATTTTAAAGATTACTAATAAAAACTGAGGTATTTGTGATATAATTTATTTCTCCCTATATAGTTCTTCTATGAAAAGATATAGCAAGAAAAACTCTCCCTATTGAGACACCTTTCTACTATCAAACAAATGGAATAAAAACGTTTCCTGCCTGCTTGAGAAAGTCCAGAAAATGCACCCTGCTGTTTCACGGTTAATTAATTATGCAATGATTCATCAAGTTCTTATTTAGTCAACAGAATTATAAAAAGAAATCATAATGAAATCAACACTGAGAATAAGTTATACCAAGGGGCAGGATTTAGAAAGTTATATTCTTCCTTCCTGGCCCCTAAGACTAGCATTCTGGATGTTAGACAGGAATTACTCACCAGTGAGAATGATGAAGAATTTTCAAGATGTGTTGATGGAACATTGGAAGGTGAACTCAGTTTACCTCTGCCTTCTGGCATTCTTCTGTGTCTGATTACGGTTTTTATGACAGAGAAGCTTATTTTAAAATCATAAGACAGTTTTAGAAATGCAATGGCAGTGAAAATGCATGAAGTCATTCTCAGATTACTCTGTGAAGTAGACAACAGTAATAATCTTAATTATGTCCTGGCCGAGGCACACATTTTAAGCAACTCCCCTAAAGCAATATATCAGATAATTCCAGAGCCAGGCTTAAAACCTGGTCCTGTAACTACTACCACTGCAAAACATACACATATAAGAACATTGGCTATAGATGGGTATAACAGAAAAAGAACTACAAAGGCATGAGGCTAACGAGTTAGCCTGGAATTGGCAGTGGCAAGTTATGATTTGAAAGGGAGCTCTTTGTTGCTAGTTTTAAAATGTGCACATATGCTTACCTCTCCTCCTCCTTCCTGAAGCAATAAGGGAACACAAAAATGAATAAACTCAGAAGTGTGGATGTACGTGGGGAGATCAGAGTCTTTCACACGTTTCTCAAAGTCTGAAAGTACATGGAAGTATGTTGATGAAAAAGTAATACCATGGGGGAACCTAAGTGGAAGTAAAAGCCAGCCTTCCCAGTAGAAGCCCAGAATGACCTAAGGTTAGAGTAGCCAATAACGTGAGAGTGGCTCCTGGAGGCTATCCCATCACATTCACATGTCCAGCCCACACCCAGTGGGAAGTGACTATATGCAGTAGATTAGGGGGTGGAAACCCTGGGGGACTGAAAACCATTAAGGTCATTGAAAACAAGGAAAGACTGAGAAACTGTCATAGACCAGAGGAAAATCAGGAAATACGGTGGCTAAGTGAATTGTAGTATCCTGGATTGGAACCTGGAAGAGAACAGAAGGGGTACATAGCAGAAAAACCTGGTGAAATACAATAAAGTCTGCAGTTGACAGTAATGTACCAATGTTGGTTTTTAGTTTTGACAAAGGTATCATGGTTATATAATATGTTAATAGGGAAAACTGTACTATCTTTGCAGTGTTTCTGTAAATCTAACATTATTTCAAAATTTAAAAAAGGGATTTAAAAATATAGGCAATGGAAATTAACAAACGAATATAGAGAATAACTTGTATTTACATGTAACAGAGAGAGAAGGAAAACTGCTTATTAAGTTGACAAAGCAAGAAGACATAAAAGATTGTTAATTTACAAATATAACCAAGCAAACATAATTTAACCATTAGTTTTTTGAGGAAGGTGAAGAAAGATAAGCTGGGGTGCAGGGTAAGTGAACAGAACAAGTTTATTATTTTAAAGCTTTTTAAGATAGACAGATACTATTTACAGAAGTGAGCTACCAGAAGTAAAAACTTTTCAAAGTGATTGATTCTTCTTATATATTGCTGCTAGGCATATAAAGTGATATGATGACTTCAGAAATCTGTTTAGTAGTCTCTATTAGAGCTCTTAATATTTACAACCTATGACACAGTAATTGCACTCTTATAAACCTAAAAGAAATGTGTGCACATGTTCACCAAAATGAAATCTGTTAGATTGACTGTAGCAGCACCATTCACACAGCCCAAAGCTGAAACCATTACACAAATGTCTATGAATAGCAGAGTAGCTAAAAATTTTTTTCAAGTTCCAAAGCAGCAAAGCTTATCTATAGTATTAGAAGTCAAGGAACACCTTTACACTGTTGGTGGGACTGTAAACTAGTTCAACCATTGTGGAAGACAGTGTGGCGATTCCTCAAGGATCTAGAACTAGAAATACCATTTGACCTAGCCATCCCATTACTGGGTATATACCCAAAGGATTATAAATCATGCTGCTATAAAGACAGATGCACATGTATGTTTACTGTGGCACTATTCACAATAGCAAAGACTTGGAAACAACCCAAATGTCCAACAATCATAGACTGGATTAAGAAAATGAGGCACATATACACCATGGAGTACTATGCAGCCATAAAAAGGGATGAGTTCATGTCCTTTGTAGGGACATGGATGAGGCTGGAAACCATCATTCTTAGCAAACTATCACAAGGACAGAAAACCAAACACCGCATGTTCTCACTCACAGGTGGGAATTGAACAATGGGAACACTTGGACACAGGATGGGGAACATCACACACCGGGGCCTGTTTTTGGGTGGGGTGAGGGGAGAGGGATAGCATTAGGAGATATACATAATGTAAACGATGAGTTAATGGGTGCAGCACACCAACATGGCACAGGTATACATATGTAACAAACCTGCACGTTGTACACATGTACCCTAAAACAAAGTATAATATTAAAAAAACAAAAGTCAAGATAGAATTTACCTCTGAGGGGAGATACAACTAGGAAAGAACACAAGTGGGGAGCTTTGGAGAACTGATCATACTGTACTTCTTAATGTGTTACCGGAATTTGGTCACTGTGTGAATCCATTGAAATGTTCAGGTATGGATTGTGTAATTTTCTGGATATATGCTAAAGAAAGTTTTGTGTTTTAAGAAGTCGGCATGTGAGAATGAGGATGGGAAGGAGTAGGGCAGGCATGATTTGCTTTTTATTATAGACCTGTTATACTATGTTAAAAAAAACACATGCATATATTTGAGTTTTAAACTGAAGCCAGAAATTAGAGTTTATTCTTGTATCTCCAGCATAAAATATTGTGCCTATCAGACAGTAGGCACTGAATATACATGGAATCAATGAGTGAATGCGTGAAAAAATGGCAATCGGAGTGTTATCAGAGACTGCAAATAAAGAACTGAGAAGAGAATGAAAAGGTTTCAACAGAACCAAAAACTATATGTATTTATGATTCACTTAGAAAATAAACACTCATATGTATTTGACTTAAAGACCTGAGGGAAAACGTAGGCATGGTAGTAAAGCATAAGGTTAACGGAATGAATGATTCTAACGTACCCTGATTTAATAGATCAAATGGGCTTAAACCTTATCATGTGATATTTTGGGTTTAAAAATTCCTACGATTTATGTGTGGTCAAACATTGGAACAAATTCTCAAAGGCAGTTCCACTCTGGGGATCTTTAAAAGAATAGAAATTCCTTTTTGTCATCAGTGGTTTAAAAGTGGCTCTACTTTCTTGGATAAATAGATCACTGACACTCTATTCTGTTTTTGTGTAAGACTGTTCCTCAAATTTCTACTATTTGGTTTAAAAATCTAGAAAAATACTTTTGCAGGAATTTTGCTGAATACCACACTTGCTGTTCCTAAAAGTGATTTGCCAGCCATCTAGATTGAAAGTCCTGTCTTCATTTTCCAGGTTTCTGTTAGATAACACCTCGCTCTGACAACTGTAAATGACATCTATGTTCTGGTTTGTTGTACATTCACAATCTTCGGTAGAAACACAGCTTTGTCCTTCCTGCACATGTGCCATATACAACTTTTCTAGGTATTTGTTCACTGTCTCTTAATTATCTTATTGATAAACACAATTTATTTTAGTAAGAGTCCCAAGAAGGAAGCCAGGGTGCCAGGGTTAGCGCTGGCTTGGCACCTGTATGTGAAAGATTGGACAAGGTACTTTAGATCTCTAAGCCTTTGTCCAGAAGTAACCTGAGAATATTGACTCAATAACCTCCCTTTCTTAAATTCCATAGAATATATTTTCATCATGAATGGTGAAACATGATTTTCTTTGGAATGTGTGTGTGGATATCATAATAACATTAGCTTAAACCCTACCACTCATGTAAAACATTCTTATAAAATGTTATGAAATAATTTGTATTCTATTTTGGAGTCTTCATATTCTGGAGGGGAATGTATACTGCCTTTATCCCTTCAAGTCATCTAGCTACTTCTGGACTTTTTTTTTCCTATACTAAGATCTGTGGTCCCACAATACATCTTTTTAGAAGGGAAGCAAAAAAATATATACCATGAAGCTGAGAATCATCTTCACTTTAAGATCTGATTTCCTTTGAACACTTTAGCAGAATAAATTTGGCCTAAATTTTTAAAAAATTATTTTTTCATTCTTCCAAGCAACCTAAGTTTTAAAAATCATGTCAATGAATCATCTTTTTGTTTAATAATTTTTATTCTTCCAAACTATCTATCTTAAGTTTTAAAAATGTCAACTAATCATATTTTTGTCTCCAGAAAGATACTGACAAGTTTATACTCACAAATTTTAGAATGTCAGATATTTTAAATTCCAGAATGGCAAAGCCTATTAATTTTAACTACTAGAAAGGTATGTATGTGTATTTATTTTCAATCTAGCTTTTTTTATTTGATTTTTTAAATTTTAAGTTCTGGGGTACAGGTACAGGATGTACAGGTTTGTTGCATAGGTAAATATGTGCCATGGTGGTCTGCTGTACCCATCGACCCATCACCTAGGTATTAAGCCCAGCATGCATTAGCTATTCTTCCTCCTTCCACTCCCCTGACAGGCCCCAGTATGTGTTGTTCCCCTCCCTGTGTCCCTGTGTTCTCATCATTCAGCTCTCACTTGTAAGTGAGAACATGTGGTGTTTGGTTTTCTATTCCTGCATTAGTTTGCTGAGGATAATGGCTTCTGGCTCCATCCATGTCCTTGCAAAGACATGATTTCATTCCTTTTTATGGCTGCATAGTATTACATGGTGTATACGTACAACATTTTCTTTATTTAGTCTATAATTGATGGGCATTTGGGTTGATTCCATATCTTTGGTATTATATTTTTGCTGCAGTGAACATACATGTGCATGTATCTTTATAACAGAATGATTTATATTCCTTTGGGTATATATTCAGTAGTGGGATTGCTGGGTCAAGTGGTATTTCTGGTTCTAGATCTTTGAGGGATCACCACACTGTCTTCCACAATGGGTGAACTAATTTACATTCCCACCAACAGTGTAAAAGTGTTTCTATTTTCTGCAACCTTGCCAGCATCTGTTGTTTGACTTTTTAATAATCACCATTCTGACTGGCATGAGATGGTATCTCACTGTGGTTTTGATTTGCATTTCTCTAACGATCAATTGATATTGAGCTTTTTTATATATGTAATTGTCGTAGCTGTATAAATATCTTCCTTTGAGAAGTGTCTGTTCATGTCCTTTGCCCACTTTTTAATGGAATTGTTTTTTACTTGTAAATTTGTTTCAGTACCTTATAGATACTGGATACTAGCCCTTTGTCAGATGGATAGAGTGCAAAAATTTTGTCCCATTCTGTAGGCTGTCTGTTCACTCTGATGGTACAAATGATACTTTTGCTGTGCTGACATTCTTTAGTTTAATTAGATCACCTTTGCCAATCTTCGCTTTTATTGCAATTGCTTTTGGCATTTGTCATGAAATCTTTGCCTGTACCTATGTCCTATATGGTATTTGCTAGATTTTCTTCTAGGATTATAGTTTTGGGTTTTACATCTAAGTATTTAATATATCTTGAGGTATATGGTGTAAGAAAACGGTCCAGTTTCAATCTTCTGCATATGGCTAACCAGTTCTCTCAGCACCATTTATTGAATAGGGAATCCTTTCCCCATTGCTTGGTTTTGACAGGTTTGTCAAAGATCAGATGATTGTAAATGTGCGTTCTTATTTCTGAGTTCCATATTCTGTTCTATTGGTCTTTGTGTCTGTTTTTGTACCAGTATCATGCTGTTTTGGTTACTGTAGCCTTGTAGTATAGTTTGAAGTTGGGTAGCATGATGCATCCAGCTTTGTTCTTTTTGCTTAGGATTGTCTTGGCTATATGGGCTCTTTTCTGATTCCATATGAATTTTAAAATAGCTTTTTCTAATTCTGTAAAGAACTGTCTCTAAGTTTCAGAATGAGATGAAGTACATGTTATTTTCCAAAAGATTAAAAGGGAAACATCTTAAAGTACTTTCTGTTACTATAACTGAATACTTGGGTTGGGTAATATATGACGAAAAGAGGTTTATGTTGCTCATGATTCTGAAGGACAGAAAGGCCAAGAGCATGGCACTAGCATCTGCTTGGCTTCTGGTAAGGGTCATGTGCTGTGTCAAGACATGGAGAAGTAGAAAGGTGAGTAGGTGTGTATACAGGGCCAAACACAAGAAGCAACCTCACTTTATAAGTCATTGTGGTTGTGAAAACTAATTCACCCCTGTGAGAGGAAGAACTCACTCATTCCCACCAGATGGCACCAATCCATTTGTGAGGGATCTGTCCCCATGACCCAAACACCTCCCACTAGGTGTCACCTCCTAAACCTGCCACACAGGCAATTAAACATCAACATGAGTTTTGGTGAGGACAAGCCATATTTGCAGGAAATCTAAATATTTCCAAATATGGCAACCTTCACAATAGTTCAACTGACAGACTTAAAAGCATTGCTCACACAACAAGAGGGAATACCATAAAGAAGAAAGAGGAATGTGCTTATAATCCTACAAAGCATAGGTCCTTGAATGAGTCTAACTTCCTCAGTTTTCACATTGGTCAAATGGGGATGTTATTAAATTCCATCCACACATAGTTGAGGGCATACAACATGAGCTCAGAAGTATTAGAATTGTGTTGCACATTATAGAAATATAAAGGCAATAGTGAAAGCATACAATTAAGAGACGGGATGAGGATTTGTGGCAAAGTTTTACTTCTAATTACAGCAAGTTACCTGGCCCCTCTGGGCCTCAGATCCCTCATCTGTAAAAAGGGGGGCTATAATAGATAATATGTGATTTCTCTATCAACTATGAAATTTTGTGACTCAATAATTGCAAGCTGGACAATTGAATGATTGGGAGAATCTGGGTGAAATTACTGTCCTGCTCTCACATAGGGGCAGGACTTAATCCAGACTTAATCCAGTTCACTTTCCACTTGACCCTCTTCTATAGCTCGAAGATGCCTAATACTTCCTAAGCCAATCAACAGATATCTATTGAGGATACCTATATGCCAGGCAATAGGTTAAGCTTGGAATTTAAAACATTTATATCTAAAACGTATTAAGAGTGGCTTATCTCTTCTATTGCTCTTTCATAAAAAAAGTTCAAAATAAAACAAAAGCAAGCTATTTGAGGAATAAAATCACAAAGTACATTTAAGTGCACCAATGTCTGAGTTTCCAAACCAAATCTCTGGTGTTTCATTACTTAGTGCAGCCGTTTTCTCACTTTTTCATCCTAGTACAGTTTTTCAACATGACACATGCCTCTATTGTCTTATGTCTCCATGATATAACAAGCATAATTCTTATGCAACTATTTAAATTATGCTAATTAAATTATGCAATAATTTAAATAGTTCACGCAAAAATTACTTGAAAGTAATCTCAATTTTACAGCAATTTACAGAAAATATGGGAATATGTACACACTTTAACTTTCCATATAAATTCATATTTGTATGTTTAAGAAACTATAAGGGGAAAATAAAAATAAATGTATTTAGAGACAGATTTTCATGTCTATTATGGGCATTTTTTATGAATGCCATATCATCAAAATATTAAGGAATATTAAAAGTCAGGATTGGTTTCACAGGAAAAAGAATAGCCTCAGGGAGGTTGAGTTCAGAGGAAACCCCTAAAACCCCCACAAATGTTTTCTGAACTCATGCTAATATCTGACATTCCTTTTGAATAGAACAAAACCTTCCATCCACAAAATGTGCAACTCCCAGGAAAAAGTAAAGCATCTATTTCTAAGTTGCTGTTAGCAGCTAAGAAAGGCAGATTTGAAAGCAGTTAGCAAGCAGAAAGAACATCCATAGGACCTGGTGCCAAACAAAGAAAGATGGAAGGGGACACTTTATTAGATAGAGTAGAATCGGGAAGCAAGGTGTGAGTTAACATTTTCATAATTGTATCCAAGGTTAGGTCATGAACATTGAAGTAGATTTAAAATGGACCTTAACCTGACATCTCAGGATCCACAGGGATTTGTATACATTAATTTAGGGGTCCCTAAATGCTGAGAGTTTTTAATTTTCATCTTTTCATTTCAATGCTGAATACAAGGAAATTTGTTTTGCTAATTGAAAAGCCAAAAATTGTTTTTGTTTTGTTTTATTTTGCATTCTCTGAATTTATTTATTTTGCATTCTCTGAGAATGTCTTCCAATTGGAAATATCAGTTGCTCAGGTTAGTATTTGTCAAACGGGAGTGTTTGGAAATCAAATAGCCTGAAAGATTTTTTCCCTTGAGCACAGATTGCTCAAGTTTGAGAAAAGAGTAAATAGGAAAACCCTCAAAGAAAACAACTGCTAGAGGTGACCTAGTCATTTCCATTCAGTCTAAATCTATTAGACTCAGAAAAGGAGAGCCCAGAAAGGTGAAGCTCCCCAAGTGGACCTTCAAGAAAGGCTCAGCATATAATTGTGCAGAGGACTTAGAAACCCACTGCAGAAATGTGATATGTATCTGAAAGCTAGACTAAAGGGATTCGTTTCTTTAGAGATTAATTTCAAAACGATAATTTAATATCTTGAAGCTTACTGGGATATATGCTTCAAGACCCAAAGGTATTTATTCTCAGTGTTTTCTAATGTGTCCAATGTCATCAGAATCACCTTGATAAAAGTACATAGGCTTGGCCCAGCCACAGACCTCCTAAATCACAATTTCTTATGCAGGGTCATGAAAATCTTTTTAAAGTTAAGCTTTCTAGGTGATTCTGATACACACGAAATTAAGAACTTCCACTCAGGTTTTAACAGGTAATTATGCAACAATGTGCCATGTATCCCTGAATTACCCCATTTCTTCCTCCCCACCACCCCTACTTTCAGATGTAGCGTGTATTGAAGATGGTATAAATCTCAGGTAAAACTCAGGATTTTTTTATGATCCAGTGGCATCAGTGATGAGGAAAATAAATTTCTCCAGAAACTTTTTATGTGTTTTCTCATTCTCAAAATGCTTGTCAGAAAGAAATTGAAAAGGTTATTTCCTTTTAGAAAATCTATCTGCTAGATGAGATAATGCTGGTAATTAGAAAAATATTCAGTCATATTTTTGTATACAACTAGAGCCTTTGTGGCCCAATTCAATAAAATGTCAAAACACTAAAGGACCACAGCAGAGAATGGTTTATTTCAAATATTTCAGTATGACATCATAGACATTTAGATAGATCAAATGTTTATCTTTTTATTAGAATTAAGTAACCTGCATTTCTGGTAACGCAAGAAAGTTTATTCACTGGAAAAATTTGGAAAATAGCAAAAAGCATATGGAATGAAATAGACTACATTTCAGCTCCAACTGGAATGTAAGCTCTGTAAGGCAGGAATCATCTTGAGCACTGCTGCATCCACAGTATTTGACTAGTTCCCGGCCCACAGTTTGGCCAGTCAATAAATATTTGTTTAATGTGATTGAAAAATCTATAACCAATATTGATATTTTGGCAAATTTCCTTTAAAGCATTTATATTCAACCAGTCCTCCATCATAAAAAAAATCCATTTATATGAGTATTTCTTGATATTTCATTCCCTAAAAATTCATTGAACTAGAATTCAAAGAACATGAATTTTGTTTTTTCTTTAATCACCAACTGCTTTCTAGAACGCTTGTACCAATTTATATGCTACAATACTGTATCGAACTGCCTTTAGGTTTGCTTGTTTTTGCAAGTATTGTGAACAATGGCAGTTTTCTATTATATTTACATTTTTTGATGAATAACAACATTTTTTGATGCTATTATCATTTGCATTATTTTTGGTAAATGCCTAGTAATTTTCTGTGTCCTCATATTTTTGATGGAAAAAAATGCCATTTTTAAAATTGGTTACAAGTCTTTCAGTAAAAAAGAATATGTCCTTTTAAAGTAAATGTTGAAGAATAATTACAATCCTATATTGTACAAAAAGTCTGTAATTTTAAAATTACAGACTTTTTGTACAATATAGGATTGTAATTATTTTGTGTCCACATTTCTTAGTATTTTCTTATGTGACTTTTTTTTAAACCTCTGAGATAAGCCTACCTATTTACACATCATATATGGAAGATAATTATTTTAAATTAGAGCTCACTTTGAAGGTATCTTTATTCTGGAAAATGTGAGCTGAACTTGCAAAATTAAATCATGAATGAATACAGTTATTTTATAACTTCAAAATTATGAGAAATTTATCATTAATATATTTAGTGGGTTAATACATTTAATGAAAGAAATATGAGTAATAAATGAACATTTTGAATAATCTTTTAGTGTGGCCTTTAAATATCTAATATCTTATTATCATTCTTCCCGTCCTTAAGATTGGATAAGATAAGCTTAGAAATTAATCATTCATTATTTGGTCTCAGTGGCCATCTTTCCAAATCTGCCTTGTTGATGGATACTCTATTTCTGTCCTTCTGTCACTGTGAGTGAACTTTAAATCTAAGCCTAGTTGACTTTGTTAATTAAACTCTGAATGTGGTACCTTGAAAAATATAAATACTATATTTAGAGGCTCTAGACATGTTTGTATTTAATATTTCCCAGGTGTGGTGGCTCAGGCCTGTAATCCCAGCACTTCAGGAGGCTGAGACAAGCGGATCACTTGAGGTCAGGAGTTTGAGACCAGCCTACCCAACATGGCTAAACTCCATCCCAATAAAAAATACAGAAGTTAGCCAGGCATGGTAGTGCACACCTGTAATTCCAGCTACTCAGGAGGGTGAGGTGGGAGGATCACTTGAGCCTGCGAGGCGGAGGTTGCAGTTAGCCAAGGTCATACCACTGCACTCCAGCCTGGGTGACTGAGTAAGACCCTTTCTTAAAAGAAAAATTCAGCTATCTTGAGAATGCTGAGTTTTATAATTTGTTTTTGAAGAAAAAAAGAAATTGGCCCCTCCACACTTTGAAAATGACCTAGAAAGCAGGTCCAATACAAGATAAAGAAGAAAGGACAATCTGTTCAACAAATGATGCTGGGAAAACTGGATATATCCACATGCAGAAAAATGAAATTGTACCCATTATCTCATATCATATACAAAAATCCACTCAAAATAGATGAAAGACTTAAACATAAGGCCTGAAACTGTAAACAACTAGGATAAAACAGAGATACATTTCTATGACATTGGTCTGGGCAATGATTTTTGGAATATGACCCCAAAAACAAGGCCAAGAAAGGCAAAATAGACAAATGGTATTGCATCAAACTAAAAAGCATCTGCATTGCAAAGGAAACAATTGAGTGAAGAGACAACCTACAGAATGGGAGACTGTATTTGTAAAGCATATGTCTAATAATGAGTTAATATCCAAAATACATAAAGAACTCAATAGCAAGAAAATGCAAGTAAAAAAAACGGGCAAAGGACCTGAAGAGCTGTTTCTTGAAACAAGATATACTAATAGTCAACAGATATACGAAAAAAATGCTCAGCATCACTAATCAGGGGAATACAAATTAAAGCCACAATGAGATGTTACCTCATAGCTGCTAAAATGGCTGTTATTAAAAAGACAAAAGTGTTGAAGATGTAGAGAAAAGGGAATCCTTGCACACTATACTTTAGAATGCAAATTAGTAAGGCTTTATGGGAAATAGAATAGAGGTTCCTCAAAAAATTAAAAATAGATCTACTTTATGATCCAGCAATTCTACTACTGGGTATATATTCAAAGGAAATGAAACAGTGTGGGGAAAAGATATCTGCACTCTCATGTTCATTTCAACATCACTTGCAAAGAGCAAAGATATGAACTCAACCTAAGTGTCCATCAATGGATATGTGGATAAAGAAACTGTGATACAGATACACAATGGAATGCTATTCAGCCTCAAAAGAAGGAAAAAATGCTGTCATTGGGGAAAACATGGGTGAACCTGGAAGACAATTATGTTAAGTGAAATAAGCCAGGCATAGAAAAATGCCACGTTCTCCCAAATAAACAATATGGCCTCAAAGCTATGGGGAATCTGAAAGGCTTTGATGGAAACTGTTTAGTAAGACACTAAAGCCAAATGAACAGATCACTGGCTGAGAACTTAATTCTATATCTCAGCATCTCATCTGTAAACGAAATTGGATAACTTCTAAGCTTGCATTTGCTGTAAAACCCTTAGATTTCTAATTAAATATTCACAATATCTCAATATATCTCACCATCTAAGGTTTACTAAAAGAAACAAAAGATATATGCCTTCCTACAAACAAGAGAATTTAAAAACCAGGAGAAAAATTCCTAAGAGTCTATTATTAAAACAGATTTCAAACAGACTACTGAAAATATCTCAGAGTGGAGCTCCAATATTTTCATTTTCTTCAAATGGTTTCTAGGTTATCTGATCCACTTTTATAAAAGAAGAGTTGACGTATCACCAGAATGTAAGTTCCACAAAGGTAGGGAGTCTATTTTTCTACAAATGAAGATTTAGGTACAAGATAAATAATAAAACAGAAATGTTAAGCTGTTGTGGATAAAGCAGTATTTAGAGTTATTACCATGGCAGGCCCAGAGGGGACACCATAGAGTTTCTAGCATAGGTGTTCTGTGCATAGAAGTGCCTCTGGATATAGGTGTACTTGTATCCAGATATGGATCTTTTTGGGCAGCCAGAGTAACGAAGCATGTTGTCCATGCTAAATAAGCTTTAACTGTTTATTCCAAAGTACCCTTTGGAGATGTTAGCTTTTCTTTATTTCCACACACAAATAAGTGAGCCGGTTAAACTTGAGTAACAGGCATGACTTGCTGGCTACTTTGACCAAAGAACCTTACTATGAACTTCAAGGTCAGGCTCATCCACATAATTAGGTTTCCAGCATGCCCCATATAGCTGAATAAATTGAATTGCTTAGTTTACTGGGGGGGAAAGCACCTTAGTTTTCATCACAACTAGGATCATTTGACTTATTAGAGATTACTTCTGATTCTTGCATGTAAGCCATGCCATCTTCACAGGAAAAGGTAGTCACTTTTCTGTTTTATGATTGAAGGGCATGCAACATTAAATAAATTAACAAAACTGCTACATGTAGAAGTTGAAGACAGAAGAGCCAAGATCCTTGATTTATACTACTTAAAATGAATGTCTTCTGTCAGGAAAAAAACCTGCCCTGTTAAGTTAGGCTTTAAGTATTGAGGAGTTGACACTGTGCTAAGCACTTTATAAACACTGTATGAATTCTTCTTATAAAGAATAACACAAGAGGTGTTATCTCTTTTTATTTTTATTTTTTAACAGATGAAGAAATTGGAGTTCATGGGAGTAATTTGATATTTAATTTATTCCTGGTGGTCTCTAAGTTCCCTCAAGTAAGAGACCTGGTTGATTTAGCCATTCCTATAGCTCATTATGGGCCTACGTCATAAGGGACTGGAGCAGTGATTTTGCCCTTCACCCCATCACAATGATCTCTTGGGCTCTGTGAAAGTACTGTATATGTGGATACATCCTGTCATCCTTATTTTCTGAAAGAGTCCCTAGATGATTTTGTTGTGCAGAAGCCTTAAAAACCACAGAGAGGAAGACTACCTATTTTAAAACTAGGGCAGAAAAACCCCTTAACTCCAGCTTCAAGAGTGCTACCTGAAGACTTAATTAGAATAAATAATCAGAAAACATTCACGGCCAGATATAAGAGCTACCATAGCTTTGGTAGCAGGTACAACTCTCCCAGTGACTTTTTCTAATATGAATTATCAGATGACTATATAGTAAAAAGATTTATTGGGTGATGACAAGTTCATGTTACTGCAAAATGGGAAAAAATTGAACTAAGGCAATTAGTTGTTTTCAACCCTGGTGGCAGATTAGACTCATGTTGGTACGATTTTTAAAAACATTAATATCCAGGACTTACCATAGATCAATTAAATCAGAATCTCCTTGGCTAGACCCAGTAATGGTACATTTAAACTCTCTGGTGATTTTAATATGTAGCTATGGTTAATAATCACTGTCCAAAGGCTTAAAAGCGAGGTTCCATGAGTCACTTGATAATTATTAGGCAATGCTTCCTAAACATTTACCTTCATAGGAACCACCTGGGAATTTTGTTTAACTACAGGTCCCATCTCAGGAGTACTGAAATTGGGCTTAAGATTCTGCATTTGCCACAGGCATGATGATGCTGGTGTCATTTTGAGGTGCACACTGAGTAGCAAGGTCTGAGAGCGCTGTTTTTCAAACTTGACTTCACACTGGAATCACCTGGGGAGTTTTAAAAATAGATCAACAATATCTAGGTCCTACCTATAGAGATTCTGATTTCATTGGCAGGGAACATGACCTGGGTTTTGGATTTTTAAAAGCTCTTCAGCTGATTCTAATAGGTAGCAAATCTTGAGACCACTGCCTGAGAGTGCTTACATAGATTGAAATAGTGGTCAGACGTGGTCCCTCATGCCTGTAATCCCAGCACTTTGGGAGGCTGAAGCGGGTGGATCACCTGAGGTCAGGAGTTTGAGACCAGCCTGGCCAACATGGTGAAATCCCATTTCTACTAAAAATAAAAAAATCAGCCGGCCATGTTGGCAGACGCCTGTAATCCCAGCTACTTGGGAAGCTGAGGCACGAGAATTGCTTGAACCCGAGAAGGAGGAGCCAAGATTGCACCACTGTACTCCAGCCTGGGCAATGGAGCAAGACTCTGTCTCAAAAAAAAAAAAAAAAAAAAAAAAAGTCCAGGTGCGTTGGCTCACGCCTGTAATCCCAGCACTTTGGGAGGCTGAGGCAGGCGGATCACGACTTCAGGAGATCAAGACCATCCTGGCTAACATGGTGAAACCCTGTCTCTACTAAAAATACAAAAAATTTGCCGGGCGTAGTGGCGGGCGCCTGTAGTCCCAGCCGCTCCGGAGGCCGAGGCAGGAAAGTGGTGTGAACCCAGGAGGCGGAGCTTGCAGTGAGCTGAGATCGCGCCACTGTACTCCAGCCTGGGCAGCACAGGGAGACAAGGAAGGAAGGAAGGGAGGAAGGGAAGGAAGGAAGGAAGTAGGAAGGAAGGAGCAAAGATTCCTAAACTATGAATGAGGAAGAATGAGAAGAGTACCACTTGCAGTTGATGAGCTGCACCTCAGACTGGTCTCATGGCCTACAGACCAACATCTAAAAGTCAGGATTGTCATTTTCTTTAGAAGATTTGGAGTCTCTGTAACCACTGGGTCTGCATTTTCCTTTGGCAGCAACCAGGTGGCGCTGAGTAGAACTTGCCTGTTTAATATGTACATGCTTACTTTCCAGTGTGCCAGGCCCCACCTGTCTCATTTCATTTGTTTGGATTATCTGCCTTGCACCGTGGCCAATTGAGTTTGAGAGCTCTGGGTTAAGCAATGCCTACTGCACATTGACTCCAGGTCACTTGGCCTGACTAGAAACTCCCCAGCATAGTTATCTTTAATCAAGAGTGACTGTACATAAATCATTACCCTTCAACAGAAATTTTAGACATTGCCCTGGGACATGTATTAACAAGCCATCCTTCTTCATGGCTGATACTCAGTCGTTCTTAAGGCCACACAGCTAGTAGCAGAGCCCATAAAACAGTTCACATATGGCAACTCCTAGCCGGGTACTCTAGATACTTAACTTCTGTGTTCTGAACTATCTGAAAAAGTTCTGAGAATTAAATTAGATAACATAAGTCAAGCACTAGTCAAAGTGCCTGGCTCATAGTAAAGTGTTTGATCAATGCCAAGCTGCTTTTATTACCCATCTTGTATGCTCTTCACCTGTGCATAGGAGCTGCATAAACCGTGTATGTAGAACAGTTGTTTTTAGATAATTAGACTGTAAGCTCCTTCAAGAGATGATCAACTTGAAGGAAGATTTCCTATCCTGTTAAAGAAAAGGCCAGGAAATACTTTACACATTCAACTGATGAACCAAAACCAAAACCGAAAGAAAAAAAAAAAAAAGCTAAAGTGAAAAGGCTCTGGTCTGAAAAGCCCTAATCTATCTGAGAAGAATTTGTCATCTGACTTTCCGTAATTGTGTCCAGTTCCTCATCTTTGCACTAACCACCCTAGGTGGCCTTTATTTTATCTCTCTCATTAGACTTAGTTCCTTCAGAAACAGTAGCTCTCTCTTATCCAGACTGTCTCCAGCAGAGGGCTTCCCTTATGTAGGTAATCAATAATGCAGTACTGAAAGGATAAACAAATGAATCCATATACTCATTCTAGAGAACTCTTGGTAGCTAAAGTTTGCCTGCATTATGTTTTTTTGTGTACTAAAGTCCTTTAAAACTTCTGCCTCTACAGGCTATCGGTGACACAGCATCTTGTGCTGTTGGACAATTTTAATATAAATAAATCCCTATGCACCTGGAATTAAATATTTCTACATTCCAGTTAGCCAAAATAAGGCTTATTGGTGTGGAATCCAAATTTTATCAATAATGATAGCAGGCTTGATTTTTCCAGAACCATGCTTTGCGGTTTTGCAACTTAGTGTGCACTGAAATCATTTAACGTCCTCCCTTCCCAAGTATCTTTTTAAAATATCTTTATTGGATCTTTCAAGAGAGTAAATGTTTTCAACAGGTAAAGAGGAGATCTTGAACCTATTTTGAGAAGTGTTGACCAATCAAACTGATCTAAACATAGTACTATTTAGCAAATCCATATTTTCACAGAAATTATTTCAATATCAAAATAAAAATCTATAAAATATGCTTCAGAGAATAAGCTTTTCATTCATGAAAAATAAATTATTTCTAACATTTAAAAAATAAACATTCTAAAATAATTTTTAAAATGCTCACAACATTCTCATATCTTGTCCAGTCACTTGATTTGTTTTTTATTGAAAAGAAAATGAGGTAACATTTCTTAGTCATGCACTTACAATTGTGTTCACATTTTCTATATTAGTTCTTAAAATTATAAATGGTATCCTTCACTGAACAATTACAGTGATGAATTTTCTCTTCCAAAAATCCATTTAACACTTGTAGGCGATATTGTATTTATATTACTTGGTTATGTGAAAATTCTCTGTGGCTCAAGTTTTAGCCCCAAGCAAGCTGCAGGTTTTATTTTAAAGGAAGGTTTACAGAAGAGTATGACATTAATACTTATTCTTGAGATGAAAGGGTAGACATTTTTTGTCATTTCATGCAACTCTATTTTCTCTGTGAGAATGCTTAGAGATATCTCAGACAGACCTCTGGAAGGCTGCTAGCAAGAGCTACAAGAACCAGAACCCTGTCACAGACTCTGCCCTTTCCGCCACAGTACACTGCATCTGTCTGTTGGGAGACACTTCCCCTTGGGCTTCTTGTGGTCTTACCTATCTGGCTGGTGTGCCAAGGCTTCAAGGCCCTGAACACTTTTATCCAGGGCATTTTTATTTATGTTTATGTAGCTGATAACCTGGAGAGATGAAGTAACAGCTCCTTTTGGACAAAGAGCAGGCTTGCTTACTGCTTGCTACGAAAGCTCAGTATAAATCCACTGCATGAATGGCATCTGTCTGGCACGTACTCCCTCACCCCCATGGGACTTGGGGGGCAAGGGGAATCGATGCAAATATGCTAATGTTGATGCTGCTTGCTGTGCCATGGGTAACACAGTCCTGTTTCTGATCCTGAAATCTCATGTCTAGTGCCAGCATCCATGAAACAGTAATAGGCTAATTGATCAGCTTGTAAGAAGAGTAAAATCAAATCCAAGGCCTGAAACTGTCTGATTTTGGCTTGAAAATTCATGTTTAGAGCTCATTATCATAGCAGCTGATTTGATTATAAATACTCAAGACATAACAGATTGGTCAGTATGAAAACAGGGGCCCATATATATGTTCCCAATTCTCTGAATTCTAATAAACTCATACTAATTTACATCACAATCATTTATGTCACTGACGAATTTATATTTTACTAACCTTAATGCTAATTAACATACTCAGATACTTAGAAGAGTTAAAGATTTTTACTTTTAGATAAGTATGGAGGTATTTTCTCAGCAAAAATAAAATATGCAGAAAGTAATTTCTCAAAGTCAATGAGTATTCCCTGTAGATAAAATAAGCTATTTATCTCTGAAAGATTTGAATACATGGGTTGAGTGAGTCGACGAAAATATTTCTAAGAACATTGCATTTTTGAATGCAAATCTAAAGCAAATTAATGAAAGCTTAAAGGAAATTTTAAAAGAGCAAGATAGTTGGCATTCAGTGGAACTTCTATATTTCTTAATGAGCTCTCTAAAGAAAGAATTTAATGTAAAATCGAAGTCTTGAAAAAAACAAGTTATGTATAGCATATCTGAGATTATAGATGGTTGTCTACATATATCAAAAAGAAACTTAGAAATAAAAAGCTCCCAATATGCCACCTATGCTTCCTGCATCATCATGACTTTCTCAGAGGTTTCCCTAGTGCCTGGCAAGGTGTCTGGCTCACAGGATGGGAAAGAGTATAATACAACTGTTACAGGCACAGTTACTAAATTCTAGACTAAAATCTCAAGTTAAAATTTAAGCCTCTCCACTTCCAACCAAATGGATGATCTTGGGCTACTTATTTACTCTGTTCTTTAGCTAGATCGTAGGTTTATAAGGATTATTGAGTTAACAGATATAAAGCATTTAGGTACATGGCACATAGTAAATATCTAGTGAATAGTTCCTAATATGATGGGCACTCAAATGTTGAAATGAATTTTATTAAGTCAAAAAATCTGAAGCATAGAATTTAGAACTGCAATGAATCTTAGATATGATGAGTCTAATCTCTTTATCTTATAGATAAGAAATTTGCCCCAACTGTCAATGTTATTAAGAATGAGAGCGGGTCTGCCATTTCAATGCTTTCCATCATACAGGGCATCACATAACCACTGGCTCTTTCTCCAGCATAAAGAGGGAAATCTCCCATTTTTCTTATGTACTTTGCCAACTCCCTTCAGCAACCCCAACCATTTTTAAATTTGAAAAGGTATGTGTATATGTGTATATATATATATACAGCCATGCACTGCGTAATGACATTTCAGCCAACAAATATACCACATATATGACGATGGTCCCATAAGATCATAATGGGGCTCCTCTATACAGGTGTACCTTATCTTTTACCATATTTTTACTGTGCCTTTTCCATGTTTACATATGTTTAGATATATAAATATTTGCCATTGTGTTATATTTGCCTACAGTATTCAGTACAATAATATGCTGTACAGGTTTGTTGCCTAGAAGCCACAACACAGGCTAGGTGTGCAGTAGGGTACACTATCTTGTTTTGTGTTAAGTACACACTATAATGTTAGCACAATGACCAAGAATGAGATCATTTAATCATTCATTTCTCAGAATGTATCCCTGTCATTAGGTGTCATGACTGTATACATGTGTGTATGCAATGTTTGATGTAAACCATGCTGTCTACCTACAGAAATAAATTGCTGAATCCAATATTGACATCATGAGACACAGGTAAGTAAAACACATGTAAGTTTTGCTTGGCTGTGTGTGTCTTACTTACCTGTGTCTTATGATAAAGCACTTACTTATTGGCATACCAACAATAAAACCAAAGACATGCTAAAATTCGGGTGGTGACTAACAATTTATTCTTGAATTATTCATTCATGCTTCATTTATTCTTTCTAGAGTGTTCATTTCTTGCAAAAATACGAACATTTCAACATTATAATTTATAAAGCATTCCATATTTTTAGTTGGGGCTGCCAAACAGGCTATTTTAAAAGCACAATATGAATTTTCCAGAAGCCCAATTTAAAGCTACGTGTAATCAACATACATTAACAATGAGTGCCTATGTATTAACTATAGGTTCTGTGACAAATCACCTCTCATTTCTTGCATCTACTGTCTGAAGTGGAGGAATGATTTAACAAGGAAGCAGCTGCAAGAACAATGAACAAATCTGAATTCAAGTGACTTTTAGAGTTAAGCAGTAAAATATACTGTGCAACTAACAATTATATGAAGAAATTAAACTTCAGATATGACAGGTGTGTTCTAAGTTGACTATTTTCTGCAGTAATACAAAAAGCTAACCTTAAAAATGAAAAATGCCACATTATTTAACACAATGGACTACAGGATATACATTTTTCCTCTCTGCGTGATTTTTCTGGAAACAAATTCAGAACTAACCGGAATGTAAAAGACAGGCTCATTTTAGTCTCCTAATGGCATTCAGCTTCTTGTTTCCCTCCTCCTTTTCCTCATTATTAGAGATTGACCATAATGAAAGCCTCAGAACAACATTATTACATTCATAAGTCAATCTGCTTGGCTCTTCTGTGTCAACGATTCCATGAGTAACATGGTAGCCAGTCTTGCAATAATTGCATATGTTTGGCTATCAGACAACAAACTAAGAATGCATGGGTTTATTTAATAAATCTGAGTGGCATAAAAACCTAATACCACTATGGGGGAAATGCAGATCAAAGTATTGCTGGTGAAGAGTCATAAATATCACCTATTACTGAGTATGAGACATTTAGCACAAAAATATCTCTCCTCGTCTTCCCTATGACCTAATGGGTATTTAGGGAAAAAACCATAATTAGGTGAACTTCATTATTCAAAAACAAATTGAGTATTTTTAAATTTGTGAGATAAAACTTATAAGCCAAGAAGCAAGCAAGGTGTAAGAAGCTTCTTGAATCTTCCCATCCATTCAAAAATATTTACTGAGTGCAACTTCTGTGATAAATGCAAGTTCTAGGAGCTGAGGATATGGATAAACAGTGAAAAAACATACAAAAATCCTCATGCACATGAAACTTACTTGGGCTAGGCATGGAGGCTCATGCCTGTAATCCCAGCACTTTGGGAGGCCAAGGTGGGTGGATCACCTGAGGTCAGGAGTTCGAGACCAGCCTGACCACTGTGGTGAAAACTTGTATCTACTAAAGATACAAAAATTAGCCGGGTATGGTGGTGGGTGCCTGTTGTCCCAGCTACTCGGGAGGCTAAGGCAGGAGAATCGTTTAGAACCCGGGAGATGGAGGTTCCAGTGAGTCGAGATGACGCCACTGCACTCCAGCCTGGGCCACAGGGCAAGACTACATCATCTTAAAAAAAAAAAAAAAAAGAAAAAGAAAAAGAAAGAAACTTACTTGGAAAGAATCAAAATTTTTAAAACAAAATATACGTTAGATATCACCAAATGGGATGGAAAAAACAAAACAGAAAAGTGGGTAGGAACTACACATGTAGTGGTGGGAAGAAGGACCCTAATTTTAAATAGGGTAGTCTGCAAAGGTCCACTGAAATGATATTTGAGTAAAGATATGACAGTCGTAAGCATGGGGATATCTGGGAGAAGATAGGGTCAGGCAGGGAGTACAGCAAAAGCCAAGGTCCTAAGGCAGAGTGTACCCAAGATGTTCAAGAACAGTAAGAGGCTGGAGTGTGCCTTGGATAAGGTAAACAGGGAGCAAAGGATTAGAGATAAGGTCAATAAGGAGAATTACAGATGGCTGCAGATTTGCATCAAAGACTGGGGACTCCGGCTTTTCCCTTGGGTCTGGCTAGCTATGACTGCTGTGATCATTGGAGCGTGGGGACAATGACACCAATCCAGCTCCACACCTCCTCTTTAAGAGAACTGGCATCTTCTGCTGTGGTCTCCTGGAGCCCTCAGATACCATGTAAGAAAGTACAACTCCCCTGAAGGAGAGACAACGTGGGGAAGCCCTAAGACCACATGGAGAGAGATGGGGAAACCCAACTGAGCCCAGCCTTCCAGCCATCCCTGCCAAGGTATCAGGTGTGTAAGTAAAGCCAGCTCTGACCCTCCAGACCTGCCCAGCTATCAGCTGAACAGCTCAAGTTACTCAAATCAATACCATGTTGGAGGGTAGAAGAGTCAAAAAGCTCTAACCCAGTTCCTGACTCACAAAATCATGTTCTGTAAGTTCTTGCTTTAAGCTACTAGGTTTCACGATAATCTATTCCACAGCAATAGATAACAGAATCGGTCAAGCAGGTAGGGGAGGATGGACAGATGGCCTAAGGTCTATCACAATCAGAAGGCAACAAATACTATAAACAAGAAAGGTTATTATTTTGGAAACAAAAACTATGCAGGGGGATGTTACCAACTGGGAAGATGCTAGACATGGTCTCTCCTGCAGGGGAGTTGGAACTTCTTACATGATAGCTCAGGGCTCTAGGAGTTCACCCAGAGGCTGTCAGTCCTCTTAAAGACAAGGCCCGGAGCTTACATGGTGTCATTGCCCCCATACTCCAGTGGTCACAGCAGTCACAGCTAGCCAAGATTCACACAGTAGAAAATGACTTGTTAGACACAGGAATAGAAGCTAAGTTTTTCTGTCAAAATGCTTGCTGTGGTCTGAATATTTGTGCCTCCTTTCCCCCACCCAAATTCCTGTTGAATTCATATACCAATGTGATGGTATTAGGACATGGGTGGTCTTTAGGGGGTGATTAGATCATAAGGGCAGAATCCTCATGAATGGGATTAGCACCCTTATGATAGAGACTCCAAAGAGCTGTCTTGCCCTCTTCCACCCGTGAGAGGCAAGAACGCCCTGTGAACCAGAACTGGAGCCCTCACCAGACACAATCTGCTAGCATACGGGTCTTAGATCTCCCAGCCTTCAGAGTTGCAAGAAATAAATTTGTTGTTTATAAGCTGCCCAGTTTATGGTATTTTGTTATAGCAGTCTGAATGGACTGAGACAATGTCTTACTCTAAGTTCTCAGGCAGAGATTGCTATTGAATAATAATTCATTCAAGGGTCAGCTTTATGTGTCAACTTGGCAGGGCGCTAAGTTCTCAGCTATCCAAACACTAGTCTGGGTGTTATTGTGAGGTTATTTTGTGGATGTGACTGAAGTTCATGATCTTTAAGGAATAGCGATTATCCTTGATAATCTTAGTAGGCCTGATTTAGTCAGTTGGAAGCTCTTAAGAGCAGAACTGGGGTTTCCTAGAAGTTCCAACCTACAGACTGCAGTGTCAGCTTCTACCACAGAGTTCTATCCTGCCCTTCCTGATGACCTGCCATACTAATTCAGGCTTGTCTAGACAGCCCTCAAATTGGGTAAGCAAATTCCTTGCAATAAATTACTTTATATCTCCTACTGGTCTGTTTCTCTTATTCAACCCTGACTGATATGGTTTCTAATGAACAATTGGGGAAAGAGAGCAAGAGGAAACACCTGATAATGTAAAAAAGCTTAAGAGCCGATCCATACTTCAATTTTCATTAAAGCCCCTTGGAAGGGATGACCTGGCACAGAGCCCAGAGCATCCTTCCTTACACTTCTCCCCTCTCAGCTCCAGGCTGGTTCAGGAGATAATCCCAAATCTTCCCAAACTCCAAAGTTTGAATAAGGCTGAGAAAAGGCCAGAGGCCCTAGAGAAAATCTGTGGTTAACAAAAGGCAGAGTGAGCTGTAAAAATATGAAACTGGGGAGGCAAGGGGAATACACAATTCAAGCAGTATGACAGGGTCTGTAACCAGAAACCTGTGAAGACTGGACATTTGGAGAAAAGCCAAAGACCAAGGGCCAGTCAGCAAATAAGCCTCTGAAGAACAAAGCTATTTACCCCAAAAGAAACTCAATGAGATCTTGGAGTGATTATATTTAGCTATGTTTTCCACATCAGTAGAAACACAGGGCTAGAGAGTTCAGTTCAGTAAATACAGACGTTTGATTTTACACACCTCAGATAAGAATTATCCTTCTCTTTAGGGGAGGAGGTTTCTGCCCTTTCCTGTTCTGCAGTTATCACCTGTGCTGTGACATTTCTCTCACTCTCTGAATCCAGGACTTAAAGAATGCTGGAGAGGGGAGCGCATACCAGGAAACCAGTGATAAGGAGCCCGACTTGGGACCTGAACCTTCAGGGAGATTTCAGTTATTGTCTGTGGTAGGCAGATGGACAGTCCACAAAGATGTCCATGTCCAGGACAAGAAAGACAGGTCGATTCTACCAAATAACATAGATAGTACAACTGAAAATATAACTAAACTGCATGAATGATGATACATGCAGGAGGAGCAATGTGGAGATAAGATAATGTAAGTAAGCCAAAATCCTGATCTTCCAGGGGAAACAATTAGTAGACATTACCTAAAAGTTTAAATAACACCTTTCATAAGCATATTATTCAGTTATGAAGGCAGCTGGCAGAGGAAGACAAAAAGGCTGTTAGAGTGGTTTCTTCCAGGGAATAAGAATAAGGGTAGGGTAGCAAAGGGAAGGAATAGGAAACTCTTGCTTTTCACAATACAGTTCCACACTCTTGTTTTCTTAAAACACCCTTGCCTGTTATGCTATTAAAATTTTAAAAATCAATGAGTAAACCCAGTATTCTGGCAAGGACTAATTTCAAAAACAATGCTTTTATTTAATTGGGGAAAAAAGTTCATTTTATTACAAACACTAAGTGAGCCTGATAATATCCACCTGAAGTCCTGCGTGTTTAGTAAGACAGCTCTCTCCAAATAAAAATGATTGCCATTTTTTTAAAAAGCCAAATACAAAAGTATTCATTTTTTATTGCTGCATAGCAAATTACCACAAATTTATTAGCTTAAAACACAAATTGATTACCTCATGGTTCTGTAGGTCGGAAGTACAGGCACAGCATGGCGATTCTCTGCTCAGAGTCTTACAGGCGGAAATCAAGATGTCAGCCAGACCTCACTTCTATCTGGTGGCTCTGGGGAAGAATCTCTTTTTCAAGCTCCTTCACATTGTTTGCTGAATTAAGTGATGGTGGTTGTACGACTTAGGTCCCTGCTTCCTTGCTGGCAAAGGCCTGCTTCCAAATGATAGGATCCTCACATCTTTACCATGTGGTCTCTTACATCTTCAAAGTCAGCAAGGGAGAATCTCTCTCCTGCCGGAGACCTCTCACTCTTAGAATCTCTTTCGCCAGCTAGAGCCCAGTCCCTTTTAAAGGCTCAGCTGATTAGCTTAGGACTACCAAGCTAGTCTCCCTATTTTAAGGTAAACTGCTTTGAGACCTTAATTACCTCAGCAAAAACTCTCCACACCTGTTACCTAGGTACCTAGATTAGCATTTGATTGCATAATCGGGAGGAGGTGTGTGTATACCAGAGAAGTGGGACTCTTGGGGTCCATTTCAGAATTGTTTCCTATAGCAAGCAAATCAAGATTATAATCTCTCCAATAGGAATTAATAGGTTTACATACTGCAGGTCAAAAATCTTTAAGTATATAAATGCAATGCTGAATTTTTTTCCAGCATTACTGAGAAATAATTGACAAACACTGCAAATATTTAGGGTGTGTGCTGTTTTGATATATGATATATACTGTAAAATAATTGCCACAGCAAAGCTAATTAACATATCCATCATCTCACAGGTGTGTGTGTGTGTGTGTGTGTGTGTGTGTGTGTGTGCATGAACATTTAAGAACTACTCTCTTACCGTATATCAAGGAGCCTGTCTTCCAGAAATAAGGTTTCTTGATAAGATGGTCTACTGTTAAGGTACAGTAAGTAAAACTTAGGAACAACTTAAAGGAAAGCAATATGACATAAAAATTCTGAAAGCCAACTCCACATATTTAAAAAACTCAGTTCAATCATATCTAGGTAATTGATAAATCTCATTATGGTAGCTTAATGATTTTTAAAATATTTTAAATCAAAGTTTACATGGTGAAAGAATGCTCTATAGAGGACTAAGGAAGCACTAATCAATTTAATGATGTGGGAAAATTAATTCAAAATTAATAATGAAAATGACTAATTTTCATATATTTTAGCCATTTCCCCAAATTAGTTAGGAAATGTGCTTTAGAGAAAATCATCAAGGAAGAAATAAGACTAGATTTAAGGTTACAGCCAGGGAAAGTTATTAATTAGTAGCAAGAGTATATCCCATTAGCTTTGCCAATCAAAATTATTGTTACAGAAATTATAAAATGCATACTCTTTTGTATATATTTATTGTTCCTCTCTCTTTGATAATCCTTAGCATTATCACTTAATGTAAGAAAGAACAGGACAGGGAATTAAGTAACCTCAGTTCTCATCCTGCTGTGCAACTTTGGAAAAGTCATTTATTTCTGGGCCTCACTAACTGTGTCTGTAAAATAAAACCATTTTAGAATTTGGGAGCTGAAATGGACCTTTGAGATCATGATCTTTATAGTTCCACCCAGTTCTAAAGTCATATTTACACAAACATCAACTTTTAGAGAGGGAATATATTCCACGTTGAGAAATGTATTACTTTAACGGATGTAACAGGATATTTTGTTTCCTGATTGGAATAAGTTATCACTTTTAATTTTAGAATAAGTTTCTACAGATGTTTTAGCATTTCAATAAGTGAATCCTCTTGCTCCTGCTCCCATACCCTTGCAATTCAACACAATGACTACTCTTTTGCTTATGTAGTCAAGTTCTCTATTTACATCAGTTGAAAGAATTTCATTATCCTACAAAGTTACAGATGCTTCCAATTTTAAGGCATAATGTATTATAATCAATTTGGTTTTCTTGTAATAATAAAGCCTTGTCAGTGACCTGCTTGGCATGATGTACAAAAAAAGAGAGAAGGCAGAATTCACAGTTATTCTGAACTTTAGTATTATATTGACATTCCTGGACCTCTGATATAATTTAATTCAATTCACATTTACTGAGAATTGTATCTGATTTTGTGCCATAGCATAAGTTTCCTAGGGGCATCTTTTTATCCTAAGCACAAAGCACAATGTTTAGAACTTAGTGGGTTTTCAAAATGTTTCCAGAATGACTATATATAATTCACGGTCTCTGCTTCCAGAGAGCTTATAATATAGCAGGAAAGATGGAAATATGACAAATGACAAAATGAAATAAAATACTAAATCACATGGCGGTGTCTGTGTTATACAGAGTGGCCACCAGAGATGTTAATGTTGTAAACCCTGGAACCTGTGAATATGTTGTTACACAGCAAAAGAAAACTTAGGTTGCAGATGGAATAAGGTTCTGATCAGATGACCTTAAAGCACATGAGCTCTTAAGTCAGAATGAGAAAGACAGAAGAGTGAGTCAGACAGATGTGACATAAGAAAAAACAGATACACCTTCATTGGCTTAGAAGAGGTAGAAATGGGGTCAAAAAAGCCAAAAAAAAAACCAAAAAAAAAAAAAACAAAAAAAAAACATGGGTGAATGCTAGAAGCACAGAGCAGCAAGGAAACAGTTTCTTCCGTACAGCCTCCGGAAAAGAACACGGCCCTGCTGATACCTTGATCTTAGCCCACTAAGACTCATTTCAGAATTCTAACCTACAGAACTGCGAGAATACACTTGTGCCGTTGTTTTACGACACTGTTTGTGGTATAATAGTTTGTTATGGAAGGCAGGGGAAACGAAGCTGACGTCACAGAATTAGTTTCACCTGTGAAAAGGCTTCACTGTACTGGTATTTCACTGAGCCCTGAAAGGTTTGGGTGCAGTGGAGGAAAACAGTTGTCTGGAGTTAAATTCTCGCTATTTCAAATATGGTCCTTTCTGAACAGCACTGGTGGAAAATGCCCAATTTTTGGAAATGCGAAATGTCACCTTGGAAATGCAAAATGTCACCTCAGGCTGCACAACAGACCTACTGAGTCAGCATCAGCATTTTAACAAGATCCTCAAATAATTTGCATTCATATTAAAGTTTGAGAAGCACTAGGTTAAATTTAATAAAAACTTTTTAAAGGTGCAGAAATCTTTGATTCTTCTTTTTTGACACACAAATGGTTGGAAAAAAGTATTTAAACACACCAGGTTGCTATTTGTTACCACTGCCAATAGGAAAAATAAAAAAAATCTGCTCTTAATGAAGAAGGCCTTTCACCCTTTAGTAAAATCCATCTGCCCCTACGTACAAAGGATTTTCCTTCTTTGAAAACTCCCATGAGTTGAAAGATTATAAATGTCAAGATTTTATTACCTTAAATAAATATTAGAATCCCTGGAAGAATACTCATAGAGCCATCTTGTGGAGGACAAAATAATTTCAATCACAATACATTTTCTTTAATTACTTTAATATAAAAGACAGCAGTTTCACATTTCACATATTTGAAAAACATTTCAAAACCCTCTAACAAGTATTTAATGAAAATAAATTTATCGAAGAGAAACAATGACCACAAAATTAATACTACCAAATCATTACTGAGACTTTTTGCATTACAATATTTGGAGAGTAGGTGAAGAAAATATAGAACAGAACATGAACATTTTAAAATGATATTCCACCCAAGCTTTATCTTTTTGCTAAATCTTGTGGACACTAGAATATATATTCAAGATGTTGGTAAAGATATTCAGCAAGCCATACTTCAAAGATGTTAAAACAGCCCTCCACCAATAATATGGCATTGCAAACCCTTCTATCCCATCCCTTTTCAGTTAAAAGAGAGAATATTAACAGAGATTTAGTAATAGTGACCAAAATAAGAAATCAGTATAGTCAAGAAAGATATGTAATTATTCAACATCATTTGGTACGGATAGATCAATGCAACTCACTAAGTGGACAACATTGTGAGGGGAGTGGGTAACATGATTCAGAGTCCTGTGGGTAAATTCATATGCAATAATCTTATTCCAATCAATCTGTAAAGTAAAAGCACTACATCCACATTAACATTATAACATCTTACAGTAATATAAAAGCCAAATCATTGTTGGTACGTCATTTTCTTTAAAGTGAACAATTTAAGAAAACTTCACAAGAGTCTGCACTTTGGAAAGATACGATCAGAGTACACAGTAGAGACAAAACAGGCATCTTCATTGTAATTTTTTTTAATAAATAAAAGCACATTAACAAAAAAGGAAGGTAAGCAGCACCGGAAGCCTTTGACGTTTGTAACTAAATGCTGGTACTCAAATGGTCTAGCTGGTTAAGTTTCACTAGGAGGCGCAAAAAAGGAGCCGTTTTTGACTTAACATTTTAATTCTAGTAGAGATAAGAAGAGCTTGTGTGGGCTTACAGTCCTTCACCTGACTGTCCTTCACCAGTGAGTAGCATACCAGTTCTTCAAATGTCCTATACTTTGGAAAGCAGACCCGACTCTGGAGCACTCGCCTTAATTAGATTCTGAATTTCCTTGAATTTTGGATGGTCCTTATCAGCTACCAGCTGAAGCAGAACAGCCTCACTCGTGGTCACTATGATCCCGGTTCGAGCGAGACGCTTGAACAAAAAGATAAAGGCAAATCAAGAAATAAGCATGAGAATGAACACTATTTCAGAAGAGTAACACTATGCTGGGATGCAATAATTAGTGTCCTCTACTGAAACCGTGGTTCCCAGCCATACCATCAAGTTCAGTGATGGGGATGGATTTCAAGACCAGGCATACCACAAAGTCAATATGATTATTCTTAATATTAGTAAAATGGAGTAGAACGAGTAAAAGGGAACAGGTAGCCAAAGTTATGACATATATGTGCCCAGAACAGGAAAGTCATCAAGGCAAATGACTGTAAAACATGAGATGAGAGAGAGAAAAGGAATGGTTGTTACTACGTGCCCATCACTGAACATCTGGACATTTAGTTGCTGCTATTTCCTGAACACTCCTGGCAGGTTTGTGCTTCATGTCTTACTCATTCATTGACTCAAATGAGGGCTGCTTGTGACTTCTAAATTTATTAAACTTTTATTTCTATTTCTACTACTGAGATTTTTTAAAAGGTGCCTCTGTCCACTTTTCCCCCTCTGTAGTTTAACTGATAATACATGAGATCGTGATGCATATTAATACTTATGCCTGGCACCCCTGGCATTTTGTAGCTCTTCATGTTTTAAAAATCGAGGGGAGCGTAATATTTTAAAGCTCCATTAGCTGTACTACAGATATAATTGTAGCTGCTAGAACATTACATTAGTAATTTACTATCAAATTTCATATAAATTGTTTAATTGGATTAAAACTACTATAAGAATTAAAATGATGGTTCTTAATTTCTTTTTACTGCACCCAAACATCTGACCTATAGCATATGAGTCCTTCCTATAATTAACAGTTCCCTTGTCTAGAAATGACTGGTGCTAAAAGAGCTCTCTCTGTGTCAGGAGACTCCCTGGATGATAAGAGAACCACCACTACTGCTGCCATCATGAACATTTTAATACCACTAAACAAGAGTGTAAAATTCAAGGTTGTGTAAAGTTTCACTGACAGGTCAAAGAATATCCTTGCCAAACTGCCCCAGTGGAATCATAATACTAAGGACAGAAAGCTCAAGGAGGAAAAGAGAGACAGAAAGGAGAAGGCAAAGGGGAAAGAAGGGAAGGAAGAGAGCAAAGAACAGAAAGTCGGGGGTAAAGGGTAGAGAGAGGAAAGGAGGAAAATAGAAGAATTCTATAGCACAGATTCATTCTCTGGATTTATGTGTTATCAGAAATCCCAGGGAAAAAAAAGACACAAACTGTTATCACAAAAAGCATATATGTAAAAAGCATGAAAGAGGAAGTGGTTGGAAACAATTCCTAGGTAAGTCAGAGGCAAAAACCCAGGAAGCCCTTGCATAGCCAAAATATCCTTGCAGAGTGTAAGTCAGTCTTCCTTCAATGGCTGTACATCAGCAGACTGAACCTTTCCACTGGCAGACTCTTTATTTTTATCCGTAATGAAGTATAAGGGAGTATAAGCCATAACCTACTTGTCAGAAAGCAAGCTTGGACCTTAATGACCAGTACAGAAAAGGGTGCAGAGCAGCTAACCAGAACTTTGCAGCAATTTTTTAAAAAAAACAAAATAAAACAAAACAAAAACAGCAGCTATTTATGGGGGGGTTGGGGGCCTGGAGTAAGGCCATAAGCTCAGACACACACCAGGGGTGAGTTATCTCTGAGTATTTTTTTAAGACTTCTGGAAGCCCTAATTTCCTCCTCCTTGCTTTATAGTCAGCTGATTAATCATATCAAAACCATTCAAAAATATGAAAAGATCGTGTGCTTGCTTCAGACAGAAAGGCAGATAATAAATATGATAAGCTGCAGTCCAGTTGTGTGAAAACAGCACTGAATGTCAAGTCATTCATGTCCAGCTCTCCCCATCACCAGCTGCCTGCCCTGCTCAGCCCTGCCTTCCTTACTGCTCACTGTTGAATCAATGGACTTGCAATGATTCAGTCTGAATCAAGGACTAAATCACAGGCTTTCAATGTCTGTGAGAGTGCTTTACACTGTATACTCCAATGTGCCAATAAAGGTTAGTTCTCGATAATCTCCCCAGTTCCTTAGTGAGACAGGAAAGATAAATCTGTTCCCAGGTCTAAGGAAGGAATCTGGTGACGCTACAAGAAGCCTGTCTACAATGCCCAGCACTCCCTAGTGCTCTACTGACCTGAGCCTAACAAGCCTCAGTGATGCTGAGACTCAGGTGGCCATAGCAGGGGCAGAGTGGGAAGTGTACATCACAGAAATACATTTTAGGAAAGTGACACCCATACACTATCACTTTGCTTCAAGATTGAAATGTGGCCAACACTGACTGGGTTTTAAAATCATCTAGCCAGGAACCTGTGTTAGGGAAAGGTGTAGCTTAGCAAATGCAATGGTTTTCAATCTGGCTCTTAGCCATTCCCACAATGCCTGCCCTTTCCCAACCAAAGAACGTGCCTGAGCAGAGAAAGAACAGCAGGAGCTTTCCAGACATACCTAGCAAGTCCCTGCCCACCATCCTGACAATGCTGGTCCCAAGTCCACTTTCTCTCCTGGCTTAAAAAGGGGCAGTTAAAACTCCAGCCATTTAATGCACACAGGTACATGTGCATTAGACTTCTGAAGTTCTCCCCTTACACTTGCAAAACTAATCCAACTAGGCCAAAGGAAAAGAAGGATTGCTCTGACCCACAAACCTAAAAAATGCATGTGCACTAAGTCATGAAAGCCTCAGAGAGGGGGGAAAAAGACTAAACCCATTAGATTTCCAAGCAACACTAAAACTCCCCGGAAGTACAAGGACATCAAGGTCAAGAGAGGATTTTATTCTCTTATTCTTCATGCACTCTACAATTGTTAATTGAAAGGAGTAATGTCTTTCAGATGACAAATACCCAGAAAACATTTCTTGAATAAAGCACATGCCACAGACCCTGGTACAGTGAAGTTTCAATAATGCAAACTATGAATCTTAAAATAATCTTAACAGGCAATATAGCTAGTCTTGGGAATTATCTTCAGTAGTTATGTTCTACAGGAATAGAGAGGAAGGGGAGAGGACCACAATGGTATTTTAACTTTCACACTTATGGAAACAAACCAGAACACTTAACATTGCCCCCTTCCTCAAATTTAGGAACAAGGTATATCGCCTCCGTATCAAATCAAGACTAAAAGGAAAAAAATCTGCAATATGGCAGGTGTTCCCTATCAATCACCACCTGACTTATCTATGATCGGTTTTCCCTTTCAACCTCAACACTTTAACCCCAGGCAATGTTGGTGCTCCAGGCCCTTCCAAATCCACCCCAGACAACAGATTCTTTCCCTCCCTTCTCAGAACTTCCAAGAACTAGTCCCTTCTGGGTCTTAGAGGTTATATACTTACACATTTCTGGTGACTAACCACGTGAAGACAACAATCAGTAACAACAAAAAAAGCAGCAGCTAACATCTGAGTATTTACTATGTCATGCACTGTCCTAACTGCTATCAATATATTATCTCATTCCATTCTCACAAAAATCCTATGATCTTGTTGCTATTATCATTTCCATTTCACCAATGAGAAATCTGAGGCATAGAGATTACACAACTTGCTCAAAGTCACAAATTTACAAAACACCAGAACCTGCCTTCAAACCCACATTATCCCCACATTGTGTGGATTCCTAATCCGAGAGATTACAGATTGCCTCTAAAAAGAATGGTTCAGATGGGAATTGTTTTTAATCTTGAGTCTTGTGCAAAGACAGAATTGCCAATCAAAATTTTGTCATTAAGTTGCCATAACAAAGACATATCTAAGAAAATATGAATGTAGGAGAAAAGTCCTTGAAAAAAGTCCTTTTTTACAAGCAAGGAAGTTTGTTTTGTGTTTTTCATTTTTTATTTCCAAAGTTCTGGACCTCAGCATTACAATAAAGGTTTATCCACAGTGGCTGAAAGAGCTGCTGGCTGAGGTGGTGAGGACCTGACAATGAAGTATTTAAACTCAGGTTACCAGGAAAACCTGAAAAGTAGGAATTGATTAACTCATGACTATAAGAATAGATTAAAGGTCTGACCGGGCACAGTGGTTCACACCTGTAATCCCAGCACCTTGGGAGGCCGAGGCAAGTAAATCACCTGAGGTCAGGAGTTCGAGACCAGCCTGGCCAACATGGCAAAACCCCATCTCTACTAAAAATACAAAAATTAGCCGGGTGCAGTGGCAGGCACCTACAATCCCAGCTACTCGGGAGGCTGAGACAGGGAGAACTGCTTGAACCCAGGAAGTGGAGGTTGCAGATGAGCCAAGATTGTGCCACTGCACTTCCAGCCTGGGCGACAAAGCAAGACTCCATCTCTCAAAAAAAAAAAAAAGAAATGGATTAAAGGTCTTTGTTGAGATTGGAAGAAGCAGCAATACTTAGTACCTAACTACCAGATAATCTAATAGCCTAATGGACTTGAAAATAGCTAAACAAAATAAATAATTTCTATTTGTAATCTCAGTATAGGATTCTGCTTCAGCAATAACAGAGAAGGGAGAGCCAATAAGGACCCTAAAACACCTGCTGTGGCCAGCTACCTGCCTGCTTCCCACCACCCTGTGGCCCTGTACTCATCCCTTCTTTCCTCTGATAAGGCCCTCCCCTTTCTCATTTGCTCTACCTTACCACCCTGGGGAACACAGTAGGCTAAAGGGATGAGTTAGCATTCCTACTACAGACAAGGCAGTTCACAGGCCAGACTGTGCATAGAACACTGGAGGGTCTCAACAAAACAAACCCATGTATTTCCCATTCTCAATAAACAGTTAAAGAACTCAGCAATTAAATTCACATGCACATTGCTCTAAAATTATTACAAAATTAGAACTAAATATGAGAGAGAGAGAGATCAAACGACAATATGGAGTGAATATTTCCCAAGATTATGTGGTAGTTTGCTTTTTAACAGTCTTGAAAAAGAAAATGCTTGACATCCTACTGTTGGGCAATGTTGACAGAGAATTACAGACTCCCTGATTCCATGGGACATGGTGACATTCTAATGCCAAGACTACCATGAAACACTGGATGTGAGTGGTGTCCACAGTCAATGACACACCACTTAGTCCCAGAAATTCAAGTCTGAGGAAATCTAATAGTCATCTCTGGTTCCTGGATGCCACCCCACCCCATACCAAAATCCATGGATGCTCAAGTCCCTGATATAAAACAGCATAGTATTTGTATATAATCTATGCATATCCTATATACATTAAATCATCTCTATATTACTTATAATACCCAATACAATGTAAATGCTATGTAAATAGATGTTATTCTGCCCTATCATTCTATTTTTATTTTTATTGTTGTGATGTTATTTTTTATTGCTTTTTATTTCTGATATTTTCTATCTGTGGATACAGAAGGTCCACTATATATTAAACTGGGTTAGGCCTGCTCTGCTCTAGCTTTTGGCTAAATGAGTTAAACCCAACTGAGCTATTTTTAATTTGCAAACCTCTAAACAGTTTAGGTTAGGCTTCTTGGAATATCTCCTAGTTCACGTATAAAACTAGGGCAAACGTATGACGAAAGATGTAAAGGAGTTTGTGGCAACGCTAGAAACCTTGATCTAAGGAGGAAACGAGACATAAAATAGGATATGGTGGTGAAGCCTTAAGGGTCAGTCAGTGCACAGTTGAAATCAATTAGTCTGATATTGCCAGACCAACTCAAATTTAGGAGGTAAACCTTTCATTACTGTTAAATATCCAGTATTCTTCTCATTTATTTGGAAAACTTGACAAATGATCTATTCCCAAGCAGGACAATTACCTCGAGGGCAAACATCCTGTCCATCATGCTTCTTGATGAGGTGGCATCAGCAACAATGTGAACCTCGACTCCTCGGCCAACTAGCTCCAGGGCAGTTTGTTGGATGCACACATGAGTCTAGTAGGAAAGTACAAGAATCATATGTAATAACATAATAAACTAAAAGTAGTTTACAAATGTACAACAACATGATAAAGCAGACAGAGCACTACAGATCATCTAAGGACCTTGTTCTACATCTAGTTTTGCTTCTAATTAGCTAGATAATCTGGAGCATAAAACAGTATCTCTGGCTTTGGTTTATTCATTTGTAAAATCAGGAACTGAATTAGGCCAATGTTTCTGATACTAAGAACCTTAAACATATTCTTAGAGTTTTACAAGAATTTGTTAAAGATTTTGCTCCATGTGATCTGGATGACCTTCACATAGCTGATTTACTAGCACTCAGTTTTGGTGCGACTTTGAGTTTTTTTCTTCATTCACCCTAAGTGTCCAACATGAAGAATGAGTCTTCAGTCTTGCAGACTGAGAACTTAGTGGGAAAACTGAGTCATTATGAGGCACTCTGTAGTAAAGGTAGGCCAAGTGAAAAATAACTTATGACACGGGAAAAAAATACCCAGTTCATATCATCCGCAAATGTATTATACAGATTCCATCTTTGTAAGTACTAACTTGTGTCAATTCATTAACAGATACTATAGAGTGAAAACAGGCTGCAACAATGACTGAATCATGTATTACAACCAATGAAAGTACATTTCAATGATGCCACGTCAACTTTATCTTCACATGACAAGAGCGTTTTGGAGAATTATCAAATGACACCTCATTAAAATTAGCATTGAAGGACCACTCAAAGATAATTGTGATTGAGCATAAGGTCTAATGATGATGAACAAGCAAAAAAGGTGCAAAGCCAGCAACAGCACTTGGTACGACATATTTATACAAAACAGGCTTCTTCTTTACTGTGCCAAAATACAGAAATATTGAATATACATCTAAGCCTGAGGAAATATCTTTCTACTGTTAAAACCTACTACTATAAAAGTTACCTTCAAATTGTCATAATCACATTAAATTAATATTTTGATTTCATTGTTTTAGTGGTTTTTTCTTAATTTTTAAAATTTTAGTTTAATAGTTGTTTAAAAGCTAGGAATAAATCAATTGAAATCAGCAATAGGAATCCATTAGTATTTTTCCCCTGTAAAAAGATACATACATGATTTGAAGGACAATGAACTACATGACCTCCAAGGTTCTTCTAGCACAAAAATATGACCTAACTGAAATCCTACAACACATACATTAAAATAATGCCTTTGGTGAAAATGTATTCCAAAAGTAGTAGTTAAAAATACAGGACCAAGAATCAATCAGCTTACATACATTCAAGTCAGTTACACAACATCTCGGTATTTTAGTATCCTCTTTAATATGGGGAGACTACTGAGTATTTAGCTCTTACTTGGCTTAAGGGACTTAATAAATAAACAGCTATAAAATGTTCAGATCAGTGCCATGCAAATAGTGAACATAATACATGGTGGCTACCTTTCCTCATTATTACTGCCTACCTGGCATACCATATATGAAATTACATTCCACAAATATTGAGTTTTCTATAAATAATATTGTGCCTAAATGATAGTAACAGGTACTTACTTCTACTCCAAATAATACAACACTCCTGACTCCGGGAATCTCTGCTAATGCCGCTTCTACTTCTGGTAATACCATTGAAAACTTGGTCTTTGGAAGTACCAGTTTTACACCTGTTAAATCAATTTCTTGAACCGTGCTCCCAAGACCTTTAGGGTATTGTTCTGTTACAATAACAGGAATTCCTAAAATCCGGGCCCCTTGCAACTGAAAAAAAATAACCAAACACAAAAACAATTAGCTATATACATATATGTGTATATATGAGTGTATATGATGATTCAGCAAATATGACCAAATAAGTAAACAAGCATACCAATCTCTGTCCCACGCTAATAATATCCCCAAAATACTTGATGGCTGGTCTGAACCTTTCCTGCATATCACAGCAGAAAAACACAGTGCTTGAAGGTGTAAGATTTCCCAGGGTAGTGAGCTGAGGAAAAAAGAAAAAGAATGATTTAGCACTTGTTGTACAATGACATTTATTTTCAGTGGAGGTCAATAAAGGAAGAAAAATGGTCCTATTGTTTGAGCCAGTAAGTCAATTTCTACCGCTATTATCCAAAAAAAGTATCTGAATTACAGGAAAAAAAAAAACTCAAAAAGATGTTCTCTGAATTGCTTTTAATAGCGGAAATTAGAAATGAACCAGCCAACAATACAGATATGATATAACACATTTTAACACATTCACATGACAAAACATTTTTTAGCCAATTAAAAAACATATGTATATGTCTTCAAAGAATTCATACCATCCATGGAAAAATACTCATAATGTTAATTTTTAAAAAGTGCAGTTCAATAGTATTTCAATAATGTAAAAATATGAATAAAAGTAGTAGTACATTACAATATTAACAAGTGGTTATATAATTGGGGTGTTGGTAATTTCTTTTTTTATACCATTCCTATATTTTCCAAGTGTTATTTAAACACATTTCCTGAATGTTATTTAAAGAAATTTCTTTATAATCAGAAAAAGTGTTACAATAGAAAAAAAATCTGATGTTGCTGCTTGTAAGTATAAAAAGTAAAACTTAAAATATCTGTAGCAGGAACATAAAAACTAAAAACAAAAAACAGACAGAAGCAAATCCAGAATTACTGCTATCATCAAGACAGAAATATGAAAATGCTATTCTCAAGAATAATTTTTAGAGTTCAAACAAAATGCAACGAAATGATACCAAGCACACCACTGCTGTTAAATGAACTGTCGTTTACTTCACAAGGAAGAGACCTATATTTGACATCTCCATTCTTAAACTATAGTTATCACGATAAGGAAAGTCAATGAATTAAGATGAAAAGTGGATATTAGATTACCAAACCTCATATTAGCTGCTGTAGTTGGTCTATAACAATTTGGGCCCAATATGGATCCACCAAAAAGCAAAAATCACCATTAAATATGAGAATTTACTCTCACTGGATTCTTAAAAGTCTGAGGTGCTTTTCTTTCTTTTGCAAATTGCAGGAAGTACTGTAAAGGATGTGTTCTGGTCCTGAATGAACCATTATCAATACCCTTACTAGCCGCTCCCTTAAATCATCCCTCTAATTATCCTACTTTGTTTCCCCTAAAACCACCTACAGATAACTATTATTAATAATATTCTAAAGGAGTCTGTGTCTGGATTACATGGTGTGGCTTCACCACCAACACAGCCTTAGACTCTCCTTAGTATCTCTGCAGGGGTTGACTCTCTGGAAACAATTACTACATGAATTAAATTAACCATTAAGAAATCTTTAATCCTTAATGATATAACTGTTCTAATTGGTTTGCACTTTGTTTTATCTATGTCCTGGTCTGAAGTACCCTGGCACTTTAATCTCCCTCTGGTACTGACTCTATAGATGTGTATTAACTAGCTATGCACAATCCAATACCAAATTCATGTTAGAATGTGAGAGCCATCTGTAATTCTTACTCTATGTATAGGGTTTTCCTACTTTTCCAATAAAGCATGATTAAAATAAATTCTCAAGCATATTATATGTTCTAGCTTTGGCTGTTTCTTTGCTTAATTTTAAATGCAAGTATTATGCCTCTGCTTTGGTCATTTTCAAAAGCAGTGACTAGGATCTTATATACAAATATAAATGCATTGCTGGGAAGGCTAATTTTTGTGCATTTAGGATACTATTTTAAAAACCAATCACTAAATTCTCTGTAAACATCAAATATTGACTCAAAAGGCTCAATATCTACATTTTTATAAATTTGAATCATGGACTCGTAGGCATCCACAATGTGTTTAGGGCACACTACATAAAGCAGTTTGCCTGCAGCAGGCCTACTGAAATAACCATAATGCAAGTAAGCCAGTCTCACCGTTTCACAACAGGTGAGAACCAGCAAAAACAAAAAAAAATTTGAAAAATAAAATTCCTGGGCAGTTGCGTAAATGTGGTGGAGGCCATTCACTAACATGCTTAGAGCTTACACTTGCTTAGAATTCCAGCTCTCAGATCCTATTTTATACTGTATTGACTACCTCTGTATACATTCCTAACAAGTTTCATTGTCTGGATTCTAAATTAACAGAAGGCTATAAACAGCAAATCAGAAAGGAAACTGCTGGAGGCAGGCAAACTGATAGCAGCAAGAAATGATGGCTGACAGAGAAAAGATTCAAAATACAATAAAAACAGATCAAAACTCAAATAATGCTACAGTCTAGACCTCCAGTGGAAGAGTAAAAAGCTGTTCTAACTTATAAATTAGGAAAACATCATTCCAGCACACTCATTAAGAAAACTGTTAAATTATATATTTCAGAAGGACTACATTATAAAATGGTCAAGATATTTTTAAGTTGAGGTGTTTAAAAGAATAAATCCTTACCTACCCAGGAATCCTAATATCCAGAGTTGTGGTCTCCAGTTCTTGCTAGCTGGTGTTTCCTGCCCTTCATTTTAGCTATGGGTTCTGGACAGGGGACTGCATCAGATGTGTCATATTAGACACACATTGAGGAGGTCAAAAATACAGCCCTAAAATCCTCACTGCCCTGGGAAATCTCTCTAGTATAGGAACTTACCATCCACAAACTCAGTAAACAAAGAAACCATAGAGAATACAGTGGCAAGGCATGTTTTTAAAGCAGAGTACAGGTTACAATTTACTGAATAAAAAATACCCTACCTTTCATAGACATTCTCCACATGCTGTTGAATATGATGTGGAGAGTATCTATGTAAGGTGTTTAACTCCCAACATCCTCTTGAATGTGGCTGCACTTAGTACTCTGCTTCTTATGAGGAGAGTATAGAGGGGGAAGAGTAACTTTACAATGGAGAGACCTGACGACTGTGTCTCAGCCAGGTGATCAAGATTAATGTCATTAATGACATCATGTTAATAACATGTACCTTTGATATGATGTAATGAGAATGACCCTTGTGACCTTCCTCTTGAAATTTCACAACCCCGATCCAACAATGAGAAAAACATCAAATGAATCAAAATTGAGGGACATTCTACCAAAATATCTGACCAGTGCTCCTCAAAACTGTCAAGGTCATTAAAAACAAAGTTGAGAAACTGCTATAGACTAGAGGAGCCAAAGGAGACAAGACAACAAAATGTAATTGGTATCCTAGTTTGGATTTTGGAACAGAAAAAGGACATTAGGGAAAAGCTAGTGAAATATGAATAAAGTGTGGTTTAGTTAATAGTAACGTACCAATGTTGGTTCTTTGGTTGTGACAAATGTACTGCAGGAATATCAAATGTTAATGTTAGGGAATCCAGCTGGGCATGGTGGCTCATGCTGGTAATCCCAGCACTTCGGAGGCCAAGGTGGGAGGATCACTTAAGCCCAGGATTGCAAGAGCAGCCTAGGCAACACAGTGAGACCTTGTCTCTACAAAACATATTTTTTTGAGACAGAGTCTCACTCTGTCGCCCAGGCTGGAGTGCAGTGGCGTGATCTCGACTCATTGCAACCTCCACCTTCTGGTTCAAGCGATTCTTGTGCCTCAGCCTCCCAAGTAGCCGGGATTACAGGCGTGCACCACTGCACCCGGCTAATTTTGGTACTGCTAATAGAGATGGGGTTTCACCATGTTGCCCAGGCTGGTCTTGAATTCCTGGGCTCAAGGGATCTGCCTGCCTTGGCCTCCCAAAGTGCTGGGATTACAGGTGTGAACCACTACACCCAACCCAACCATATATATATATATATTTTTTTTTTTTTTTTTTTTTTTTTTTTTTTTGATTAGCTGAGCTTGGTGGCCCAGCTCCTCAGGAGGCTGAGGTGGGAAGATCCTCTGAGAACGGGAGGTCGAGGCTACAGTCCAGCCTGGGCAACAGAGCAAGACCCTGTCTCACAAACAAACAAACAAACAAACAAACAAAAACAATAGGGAATCTGGGTACAGGAATATAGGAACTCTCTGTACTATCTTTACAACTTTATTGTAAATCTAAAGCTATTCTAAAATAAAAAGTTAGTTTTTTTTTTTTAATGGCCTCCCTATGCTATGATATTTGGGGGAATAACGTCTATACCTTACAAACAGAAAGGAACTTTTGTGGCTACCAAAAACATACTGAAAAACTTTAATCATGTCCAACCAATCCTCCCAAATCCTCACCCCAAATCCACATGAATTCCAACAGGCTGTTAAAATCATACAACTCTCTAAATTTCGGAAATTTCTTACTTTGACTCATGAAGTTCTCTTAAACCAAAATCTTTAAGGTAATTAAAAAATATCGCCAGTAGCCAAACATTTACATGTTGCAACTGTAAGACAGCCAGTCCTGCCTCAGCAAATTAAAAGTGGACTGGACCAAATGTCACCAGGAGTAAAAGCATAGCAATTACAGATCTATGCATATTTAAGGAATATAAACAAATCACATATAAATATATGTATCCACACACCTTCGTATATCTATATGCCTACACATAGTCCTACACACACATTTGCACATGATACATATACAAATATATATATATTTAAATATAAAAAGTTGATCATAGCCAATGGCTTCCTCAAGCAAGAGTTTAAGAGATCAGATTCAAGTATAAATATTTTGTCTACTTTCTTAAGAATTGTCATAGCTGGGATTTGACCTTAGATTTCATACTCAAAAGACTTTTCACATCACCCAGCCCATAGCAAATTACTATAGGGATTTGGAATAATTAAAATTTGAAACTGTAAATGCGATGTTTAAAAAATTTGGTAGTCAATTAGAGTCACAAAATAGGCATGATCTGTTTGGGAGAAAGTCTGGAAGGGGACCTGGGGCATCGTTATTTCACTCCCAAGTGTTTCTGAGGAAATCCGATGACCACAGCTATAGTAAGGCCTGGCTCCAATGTCAACTCACTTACAACAGAGGTCTGTGATGTGACTCCCCCAGGTTACAAAGATCCCCTTTATAGCACAAGCCTCAGTAGGCATTAGAATCTGAGTGCAAATCTCAATTTCACTAATTTCGATTACATGAACTTAGGTAAATATCTCCATATGCAATTTCCTTATCTGTAACACAGCAAGAAAAATAGTATCTACATCATAGGGGTATTTCAAGGATTAAATGGGCTTCATATAATCAATCAATAAATGTATTAGGCTATTCTGATGTCCCTCATATATTAAACACTACACTCTAAAACTTAGCATATGTTAAAAAACTTACCCTCTAATGAGGATAAATATTTACAATTAAGATCCCTTTAGAAACCTATAAATATATTTATAGGAATGCTAACATTGCATAACTTGTTATGTTAACATAATATGCAGAATAAGGAAAGTGAATCATAAAGTGATTTATAAAGTAGATTTCCAGATGTTACCAAGACCTTACCAAATCACTAAGACAAGATTGTTCCTGGAAAAACAGATCAGGGACTTTTTAATTTAGGCTGTGAAATAATACTTATTGGCTCTTATTTTTACAACATATTCACCTATTGTGAACATTGATGTCACTGGCATAAGGTTACAACCCTAGCTTATCAGTTAAGGTATGAGTTTTCTAAATCCCCAAGGGACGCCAGCTGTCTCCACCCACCCCAGGGGTGAGGACTGAAGGATTTCTTAAGACTGTGCCTCAGACTGGGGTGAAGGTGAAGCTAGACAAGCCCAGGACCACAATGACATTTGAATCTACATTGGGATTCCCTTGGTTAGCTAAATGCAAGAAAAAAAATTCAAAATTCAGATCATAGCTCCTACTCTCAAACACAGTTTATTTATAGGTAGCTCTAATGTATTCAGAAGGAGCAAAAAAGGATACAATGCTTTAGGTATTATTCTGGAATGTTAATTTTTTTTTAAGTGACACACATCAAACCAATGGGGTAGAGACAATACAACCACCTCAGGATCCAGCTGTCTCCTCTCTGAGCATTAGCTCATCTACCCCCTCTTCCTGCCACGCTCCTGAGGCAAAGGTTTTGTAATCAAAAACCACTACCTTCAAACTATCAAGCCAAAGGCGAACAAGGTTCCTTTCCTCCTGCCTTCCCTCCCTTCCCACCATGAACCTGTCAGTCTCTTCTAGCTATAAAATGTTCATGCCCCTGTTTAAAATAATAATAATAGTAATAAACTTCCAAGAAAATGAAAGCTGGAGCAAAATGCCCTGCCAGTTAACCATCTTGGGAAAAGGTCAAAATAACCTTCCCTGGAACGCCCTTATCTTCTGGCCACAGAAAGCTGCCAAAGCCTTCCCTGCTATGTACAGAAGTAAAATCCCCTCACTGGCATCCTTCTTACACTGTCCATTTCCTCCTCTCTTCTCTGCAGGCTCTGTCTTTCCTGGCCACAGGCTGGAAAATGCACTGGTGGTAGCATGATACAACATTTATGTAAATTTCCATAGTTAAATGTTTCCTTTACCTAAAACTTACAAAATACCTTTTGAAAAATTAAAACTTTTAAGTCATAAAAATGACGTAAATCCCCACTACATAATCCTCTCATTTATATTCTTTCCCGTGTCTCAAAATTCATCAGATCTCAAGCATTTGGCAAAGCTGCAGACATACAAACCAAGCATGAAACATGAGCTATGCCTTCATCTACCTGAGCTGTCGGCAGACATTGTTACTTTGACAGAATATTTAAGAAAAGAAGTCACCAAAAACTTACCACAGCCTAATACTGGCAATGGGGGGTCTTAAAGATCAGTTCTCATAGAACCACTAACAAGCACGGGTGCAGTGTGGCAAAGGCAGCCACTGTGTTTCACAAGGTCATCAGCCACAGCTGTCAGAATAAGCACGAAGGCAACTCATACCACGGCGCAAATGAAGAATACATTCTAGACTAACAGTACGTGAGCCAGGGCCACAGAGGCTCCAGGGCCCAAGTGTGGAGAAATAATAAATCACTATTTACGCAATGAACTACATGTGGCCAAACTTGTGCTCTTTGTCCCTGCCTTCAAGAAGGGGCCAACCATCCCCAGTAACATGGACTCACCGATAGGCCACCTTGAGTCTTCCTAAGTGACAAGCATTTATTCCAAAGAACAAGGAGCAGCACCAAGACAAATGAACAAACAAGAGCTCAAGTTTGTGACTTGTTTTCCAGACTGCTCAATTCTCATTAAACATGCAAGCAGTAGTGCTGTGTTCGGCTGTAAGTGACGCTCTGCATATGCCTGGCTAGCTCCTCCACACGCATTTGTGGAGGAGCTAGCCAGGCATATGCGGAGACTTGCCATGTAACCTGCAGCAAGTTACTCACCTCCACCTCCCTATGTTCTTCTGCACTTCCTCAAAGTGAAAGTTCATTTATTAGGTAAGGAACAAGAATTGAATCCAAGTTTGCATTCACTGTGCCAGGCATTTAAAGCTGCCACTCACATGTTGTGGAATGAACTGTATGGTCTCTTACAGCCATAAAACATCCAAGTCTCTAGGATTATGCTGTTAGGTTCCAAAGAATATAGTGTACAGTAGTCATGAGAAATATCATGACTTTCTGAGATTATACACACATATGCATATATATGTATGTGTGTATATATATCTCTCTCTTCTCATATAGACATAAATCGGTATCAGAAGGTATATACGATACACAGTGTGTGCATATTTATGTATCTATCCCCTTCCTTTATCTACCTCTAAGCTAGGAGAGGCATCAGGCTGAAGAAGTCAAAGTATAACTACTAAAATGAGATAATATAGAAGAGAAAATATTTTTAAAGAATTAAAAATATAAAGCTATATAAATGCAAAAATATAACTAATGCTTAAGAATTATTAGACTAGTTGGCGGAAAAATTTCTTCTGAAGAGGGAGTAGAGTAATGCTATTGTTATTTTAAACCTCACCAAAAAAAAGTGAACTATACATAATCTCCTATACCAAGCAAAACACTGCAAAAGCTACAGGTGACCAGAATTATATAACGCCTTTTGAGAATGTACAAGCGTTTTCAGGTACATACATTTCATTAATTTCTAGAATGTTTTTAAGAGTTGCCAGACCAAGGCCCTGAAATTTTCAAATATAAAAATCCTATCTTGGAAGGCGGGGACTCTTACAGAGCTGGGGCCTAGTTTAGAATAGCATTATCTTAGATAAGAGCCCAGCCTCCCTCCAAGCCGTAACAGGAAATGCTTCATAAAGAAGTCTGCATCCTTAGTCCCAGACCTCCGCAGTTAGTATTTGGATTCTAGCCTTTATAAATGGACTTCTCAAAGGTGCATCCAACATCTGAGTATTCTGGCAGCAGTAACGTAAAAGGACTGACAAGGAAGGCTGCAGAGAGGTGTCAGACACGAAAACGCTTGAAGACATAAAAATGAGGAGTCTTAAGCACCTAAGAACTGCAATTCCCTATCTGAGCAGCAGGTAAGATTCTGGGGTATCAGATCACTGTATCCAGTTCCAGGTTCTCCACTGGCAGAGAGTGCAGTCTCTGACTTTGTCCTCTGAATGCAGGAACTTTATCGAAGCTAAAGTACCTGCTTTGGACACTTCTGGCACAGGTGTTGGGGTGACAGGAAACATCATCAATTCAGCTGCCAACTACAGCGGAAAAAAACTAGGGAATAATCCTCAGAAAATGGCACTGTTAATGGGTACAAAAAACACAGATAATAGGAATAAGCTCTAGTGTTCAGTAGCACAATAGCGTGACTATAGTTAACAATAATTTATTGTATATTTCAAAATAACTACAAAAATGAATTTGGAACAAAGAAATAAATGATAAATGTTTCAGGTAATGGATATTCCAATTACCCTGATTTGATCACTACACTGTATGCTTGAATCAAAATATCACGTCTCCTATAAATATGTACAACTATTATGTGCCCATAAAAACTAAAAACAAAAAAGAAAGAAAATGACACTTAAATATTAAAATACCTTTTATCCCCGAATCCCACATTTCAGTTTGGTCTTCTGAAAAAATGACTTATCAGTTTCTCAGCTAAAGAAATGATATCGACAGTGTACTACCTAAATTATACCTTATATTCTTTCCTTTCCAAAATATAAATTCGCCAGTGAACAATCTGATCCTAAAGAGGGCGGAAGATTAACCCGCCTAGCATGAGAGCACAGCTTAAAATAAATGCTGTTAAGTAGTCCTCAGGTAGAACAACTTTCCCAGCCAGCAGGCCCAGGAACTCAAGGTCTAGCTTAAGTTGGGTATTTGTATTCAAGAAGGAATTACAATCATGGAGTCAAATGACTTTTTCAATGCAGACGACAAAACGTAATCAAGTCAGTAGACACTTTACTAAGAGGAGGCTAAGCAAATGGTTATTTGCTTAAGGTTAGGGAACTCTTAAGCCCAAGGACCTGAGAGCCTGGGAAGGCGGGGGGGAATGGGTTTGACTCCCAAAGTTTGCGTTTCCGCAAGTGGTTAACACAACTCTAGGAACAAACCCTAAGACCAATACTCCCCACAATCTCATTTCCCCCCATTCTGCATCACCCATCACCCCAAAATAAAAACAGCTACTACAGCACAGCCCTTTGGTTACGCAGGAGGCTGGGACCTGATCCTGGCATAAAAAGCGGATGCGGGCGACCGAGGACCACACACGTGGGGGCGTTCGCGGGCGCTGAAACCAGCTACGAGGCCCACGCCCCCGCCGGGGACAGCTGGTGACCATCACCTTTGGACAGGGGCATTCCCCAGCCGGCCCCGGAACTTGCGAAAGACGCGCAGCCCTTCGGACTCAGCCACTCGCGCAGGGCCCGGGTCCCGGGCGGCTCGGGGCACCTGAGGAGCGCGGCGAAGGCGGGGACAGGGACGGGGACGGGGACGACTCGGGAACAGGGAAGCGCGCGGCCTCCCGCAGGACCCACCTGGATCTGCAACGGCACGAGGCGCACCTTGCAGCGCTCGCTCACCGCGAAGCCCTTGGGCAAGTCCACGTACTGGCCCCACTCCTCGGCGAACAGCTGCACCACGAATTTGCGGTGCATGTCGATCTGGTCGCCGTACAGGCTGAGGAACTTCTGGATGAGCAGCTCGTAGCCCGCCCCGTGTGGCACCGACGAGGGTCGCGCGAAGACTGAGAAACAGAAGAGCACCGGGACTGTGCCCGACGGCGCCCCCGCGCCCCCGGCGCCGCTGTTGGGGAGCGCAAGGACCGCCGGCTCCGCAGCCGCCATGTTCCCCCGAGCGTCTGCGAGCTCCGAGGCCGCCCAGTCGCACCCAGCCGGCTGCCGCGGCCCCGCCTCCCGGCGATGCCAGCCCGCCCGCCAGCTCGCGGAGGCGAAGGGGCGTGTCCTGACGACCGCTGCTCGCGCGCTCTCTTACCCGCCCCGGAGGGCGGGCCGCGGCGTAAGGGTGGGTGGTGGGGCCGGGGTGCGCGCGTGAGCCAGGGAGCGCCTGCGCTCGCCGGCCGGGTCCGCCCCCTCCAGCTTCCCGGGCCGCTGCGTTCCCGCAGTTCCCCGCTCGCGCCCTTTCTGCCGCGGTTCTGACTGCCGGCAGAACGCCTAGTGGTCTCGCAGACCCAAGACCCGCCTGGGCTGCCCGTTGTTCTTGCCCCGGTGCTGCAGCTCACACAAGGGTTTGTACCACCCTTCCCCTAACGCTGGCCCTCTTCGCGGCTTCGCTCGCCTTCGAATGAGCAGTGTTCTTGGCAGTCTAGGGTTGTGGTTGGGTACACAGAGCCGCCAGGACGAGTTACCTGTTGGCTCTGTGCAGAAGCATGCAGTCCTCCTCGAGATGGCAGTGGTATCTTACAACCAAAGGGACAGTCCGATAGATACCCTAAGAAGAGCAGCAGAATTTAATCCTTAGAGGGCCAGTCAAGGTTCAAGTTTTGTCTTTTTTCGGTCCCACAGAACACAATATCTCTAGGAATGGATTTGATATCTGGCCTCCCTTCATCTCAACCTATTTCTGGGAGGACTTGGATTTGGGAATATAAATACTATTAAAAGCAAAAATCTGAACTTTATATTGAAACTAAGGATATCTGTTTTTAAGTAAGTAAAAGGGATCACTTTCAAATAAAACAATCCTCTGCCTTCTGCACACTGTAAGGCGCTATAATTAACTGGAATTAGAAAGCATGCATTATGAACAGAATTTCCTTGGAATTGAGTCCTGCGAAGATAGGCATGGGCCTAAACATAAAATTAGATTTTAGGTATTAAAGCTGTCCTCTTCTAAGAAAATAACCTTTAAAGCAGGGTTTCCCAACTGACACTGTTGACTTCTGGAATGGACATTTCTCTTTCTTGGGGATGGGGCATCTTGTGCATTTGCAGGATATTTAGCAGCATCACCGGCTTCTACTCCCGCTAGATGCCTAGTGACCGCTCCTCCCTCTAGTTATGGCAATCAAAAATGTTTCCAGACATTGCCAAATATTCCCCAGAGGGCAAATATACCCCCTACTTGAGAACCACACTGCTTTAAAGTTATGAAAAGACCATCCTTTGGTGTTTCTTGCTCAATTGTACCGAAGCTACTAGAAATAGCCATTTTTTTCTGGTTCTCATCACACTTTGAGAGATCCCATTTAAAAGTGTTGTCTGAACCCGTCAGACCCAAAATGATATTTTTTTCCGGATACCACTCCATTGCAAGGTCTTCTATATGCAGATATGCTGATTTGTGCTAATAAGTGTACCCCCTCAAGACCTGATTACCAAAAGGTACCTACCTATTTTGGGTGGACTAATAAAAGTGTTCCTTCCACCCTGTAAAGCCTCCTAACACAGAGTAGGTTGGAGATTAGAGATTGGCCTAGACTTCAGACATCCTCAGCGAGGACCTTGGCATCTACACAGTCTTCTGCCGTGGCCCTCATGGCCGTGAGTCAACATACTTCATTTCCCTTTCATGTTTTTAAATTAGGTTTCTGACCCTTCAGTAAGGAAATCAACTTCCATATATATTGTGCTGTCTGAGATTGGTCCTTGACAACCTAGTTTAATGGTGCAATCATTGTGGTAATAGCATGTTAAATAACATTAATAAAATAGATATTTGATGGGCACATTTACCATTTATTGAATATCAACTGTGTATCAACCTCTGCATCACTGGGCTGCAAAAGGGAGGTGAATGCACATTTCAGTGATAAATTATTATCCTCAGAAATACAATTATTAAGATAATTTTTATAAATGTTACCAGAAAAAGTGAGTAAGACCCCATAAATGAATATTCAAATGACAAGTAGAAAATAACTGTTCTAATTGACAAGATCATATTATGGACCAAATGCCCAAAATTTTCTCATATAGGACTCTCAGTAGCTTTATTAGTTAATGTTAAATGCTTACTTTTAGAATCTAAATTCCAAGAAAATCAAGAAGGTATATTACACAGTATTGATTAATACATTAATATGCTACAGAAACAAACCCCAAAATCTCAATAGACTGATAAAACAAAGGCTTATTTCTCACCTTTCCCAGTTAACAGCAACATTTGACAAACCAATTACTCCCTTTATTTTGAACCATATTCACTTTGTCTTTGGGATACCACTCTCTCTTATTTCTCCTTCCACCTCACTTCAAGCTCGTTTCCTATGTTCCTCTCATTCCCCAAACCTCTATAAATACAAGTATACCAGAGCTCAGTCCTCACATCTATTATCCTAAGACTGTGGCTTTAAATATCACCCATATACCTTTGACTTCCAAATTTTTAACATCCAGGCCCTCACTCTGCACTCCATACTCATACACAAGTGCCTATTCGACATCTCCACTTGGATATTCAATAGATACCTCACATTTAAATGTACTAACAGAACTCTTAGTTTTCTTCTGTCCTCGAATATTTTCTCTCCCCTGTTGATATCTAGGCAAATGGCAACCCCGTTTTAGTAACTGAGTACAATAACCAGGGGTTTATCCTTTAATTTACTCCTCTTTCTGTCCTTGTCCAGTCTATCAGCAAGACCTGGTGGTCAGAACCAAATTCCTCTCATTCACACCAGTGCCACCACCTAAGACAAAACCACTGTCGTCTTCCATCTAACTGTAACTCATCATAAGTTGTGCCCAATATTTGACTTTTGTATCCCTATTTATCCATTTACCTCATTTACATAGACTTTTATACTCCATTTACCACACGGCTATTAGAGTGGCACTTTTTCAAAAACATAAATTTAGAGCGTGTCACTGCTGTGTTCAGAATCCTCCAGTATATAAAAATAGACCTCAAGACAATCTAGATGTTAGGATTAAGAGAAAAAGAACTTTAAAGAAGTTGTTACAAGTATATTCAAGGTCTTAAAAGAAAGGGTAGCCATAAGACTGAGCAGATAGGGAATACCAGCAGGGAGATGGAGATGACTGAAAACATAGCCAAATGTCACTTTTCAAGCTAAAAGTGCAATGTCTGGAGTGAAATGCTCACTGGGTAATCTAAACTTCAGATTATAGGTTCCAGAAGAAATGATTAGTGAAATTGCATGCAGAGTACTAGAAATTATCCAATGTGAAGAACAGGAAGAGATTGAAAAAAGTATGATGACAGTTTTAGTAACCTGGAGGGCAATATCAAATGATCTAATATGTAGTTGGAGTCCAAGAGGGAGAGATGAGACAAGAATGGAACAGAAAGAATATTGGAAGAAATAATAGCCAAAATAGCACTGTCTATTAAGTCTTCAGTGTGCTGATTTTTATCTCAGAGTCTGCTTTCCAGGGAAATCAACCTGTGACATTTGTTGCTAGGAAAGATGAAAGGAGGCCAATGTGGATGGATTTTGGAGCTGGGTCACCCACTGTTGGGCAGATAATGAATACCTAACCACTAATATCTGTGGAGCACAGATAGCCCCTGGCAGTTTTTTTAAACTTCCAGCAAGATGAACTAGAATCATATACTACTGGAAAGGAATGCCTTCACTGTAATTAAGAATTTGAAAAATATGGAGGAAATACTAATTATAAGAATAAAGGAATTGAATGACAGTTTCAAAGTTTGATTGATGCTCTAGAAAAAGACCAAAAAAAAGATAGTTGGCAACTAAAAGCTAAGTGTGAAGGCTGGAAGAACTTTTTGGCAGCATTGAGTCTCTCAGTTCCTGCAATAAGAAGAGAGAGAAAGCTGAGGACCAAGACTAGGACTGAAGGTAGCAGAGCTCCAAAGAAGGTTAAACTCTTAAAAAATGCATATTTTCTATGCCAAGGTCAGGACTCTGGTTGAGAAATGGGACCGTGACACATGGGATAAAGTTGATGACACTGAAAATTATGAGTCCTTCGATTCTTTTAATTGATCTGGTCTTTAGAAATGACTTACTCTTTTCTTAATGACTAGCATTCCCTCATTTCTTGAAGGCAATGCAAAGCCTTTTCTCTAGCAAGACATTAGCTTTCCCAGGCTCTTCCCTCTCCTTCCCTCCTGATACCTATATCCATAAGTAGGCTTAATTAACAGTAAAATCTGGCCACAGATATGTTGGGCCTGAAAAAGAAGGAATATATCCAAGAGCAGCTACAGAATCTAATAACCAGCATATACCATCAGGAGCAGAGAGATTATGCACAGCACTGGATTTGGAGGGTGTGTGATCGAGGATGTGGAACAAAAAAGTTTCTCGGTTAGGAAACACCATATTAGGATAGAGGATTTAACACCCTAGTAAGGTTCTTGGGAGATGGTCTGAACACAGTGCTTCTAAGGCTGCTCTTAAATGGGCCATAAATTTACAACCTTACCCCAAGGCTATGTTAACTGTCCTGCCGTCTATTACAATATACTCTGAAGAGATATAAGTTAGCTGGACATCCTGCAGAATATCACCTTCATTCACTGTATCAATAACATCATGCAGATTGAACAAGATGAACAAAAAGTGACTATTCATTGAAGGCCTTGGTAAGACACAAGTGTTCCAGAGGGGAGTGATAACCTCTAAATAGTTTCAAGGAACCACCACATTAGCAATGTTTTAGGGCCCAGTGTCCTAAGGCATTCTAAGACATCCCCTCCAAAGTACAGGACAAATTATTGCTTTTTACACTTGCACTTTCTACCATGAATACGGAAACACAATGTTTAGGAGACCTCTTTCGACAATGGAGGCACCATTGTGCCACAACTGAGAATAATGCTATGCTACACCTCATTCTCTGTAAGATGAAATGCTGCAAGGTTTTAGTGGGGCTGAGAGTAGTAGAAAGGATTTTGCAGTAGATCCAGGTAGTGGTGCAAGCAGCCGTGCCTCCTGGGCTGCATAATATGAAAGATCTTTTACTATTGGAAATACCAGTAACACAAGAAGATGCCATTAGATTTATGGAAAGCCCAAATGTGGGAATCATAATGCAGACACCATCAGTTCTGGAACAAAGTTATGCCATCTTCAGCAGAAATTTACACTGTTTTGAAAGGCCGTCAAGTGACCATGCAGATGGCACTGCCCATCCTGAGCTGTATACTGTCAGACCCACCAAGGCATAAGGTTGAGCAGGCCCAGAAGTAATCCATAAGAAGATAGAATTGGTACATGTGAGATCAAGCACAGGCAAGACTGTGCAGGACATGCAGTCTACATGATCAGATAGCCTAGACACCAATGTCATCTACTACTATTCTATCAGTGCCTCTCTCTCACATCGTGTGGAAGACCTGTTATCACCAGTTGATGGGGGAGAAAAAAGTCAGAGCTTGGTTCACAAATGGATTGGCTCAGTATCCCTTGATACTTGAAAGACAGGAATGAGAGGAAATTTCCAAGTGAGCAAAGTTTTGGGCAGTGACCTGGTCATCTTCTTTGTATGGAAAGAGAAGTTACCTGAGCCAAGCTTAGAAAATACATAAATTCATGGACAATGGCAAATGACTGAGCCAGCTACTTAGGCACCTGGAAGAAGAAAGATTGGAAGATCAGGAACAACGAAGTCTGAGATAGATGCATGAAAAGATGAATGGGAATAAGCACCAAGCATAACAATCCTCATATCCCATGACAATGCTCACCAGAGAAACCACCATAAGAGAGACACTATACCACCATGAAAACAACCAGAACAGATGAAGGACTCTTACTAATCAATAATAATAACAAGACAACTCAATTAAAATAGAGGAAAAGTCTCAAACAGACACTTTACAAAAGCAGATAAATATTGCCCAACAGGCACATGAGAAAGTGTTTAATATCACTTTCTCAGAAAGTGTTTAATATCACTTTCTCAGAAAGTGTTTAATTTTTTTGCAAATTAAATCTGCAAAAAAATTACTATTTCACACTCACTAAAACAGATAAACTAAAAGACAGTAACATCAACCGAAACTAGAACTTTTATACATTGCAGGGGTGCATAAAATGGCACACCATTTTGGAAAAACTGATATGGCAACATTTTACATAGTAAAATATGCACCTGTTCTTTAATCACAAAATCTCTGAAAATAAACATTCTGAAGCTAGACACAAAAGAGTACATATTGGCTAGGTGCGGTGGCTCATACCTGTAATCCCAGCACTTTGAGTGGCCGAGGTGGGCAGATCACCAGGTCAAGAGATTGAGACCATCCTTGCCAACATGGTGAAACCCCATCTCTACTAAAAATACAAAAATTAGCTGTGCGTGGCAGCATGCACCTGTAGTCTAAGCTACTCGGGAGGCTGAGGCAGGAGAATCACTTGAACCCAGGAGGTGGAGGTTGCAGTGAGCCAAGTTTGCACCACTGCACTCCAGCCTGGTGACAAAGCGAGACTCCATCTCAAAAAAAAAAAAAGAGTACATGTTGTATGATTCCATTCATATGGAGTTCAAAATAGATAAAATGAATCTATGGTGATTAAAAAAAAAAACAGAACAGTGGTCACCTGTGGGGCAATTAGATTAATTGGAAGGGGTCACAGGAGAATTTTGTAGGGTGATGGAAATATTCTACATTTTACTTGTGTACTTTAAGATATGTGCATTTTATTAAATGTAAATTTTTACCTTAAAAAGTACAATCCAATGTCTTATCTCTCTGATCCTAATTTCTGCCACCACTCTCTCTACTCCAGCCCCACTGTCTCCTTAATGTTCCTCATCCTTTGTACTTCCCATTCTTTCTGCCTGAAAACTCTCTTCTCCTAGATAGCCACACAGCTTCTGCTTCCTCATTTGTCTGTGCACAAATAGGTATCTCAAATCAAAAAGGTCCACCTTTACTGCCTTATATAAAATATCACTATAATCTCACTCTATGCCTATTTCCTGCCTCCTTTTTCTTCTCTTTCTTAATGCTTATTACCGTTTGTATACATTATGAAAGCAGAGACTTGTTTATTTTGTTCTCAACTGTGTCACAACTCCTAGAACACTGCCTGACACTATAAATATTTGTTGAAGAGCTGTTACACCAAATATATCTTCAGGATACTACATTGAAAAATCAAAGGTATATTCAGTCAAACGTGATATTTTTAGGTGAGTTGTCTATATTGTAAAATACTCCTGATTGATATTATTCAGTCAGAGGTGATATTTTTAGGTGAGTTATTTGTCTATATTTTAAATTAATCCTGAGGTCGCTATTATTAGAGGATTACTGGATTTACTCAGCCGACTCCAAATGAGATTATTTGACTCCATTTGTAGTTTCTCAAATGTGATAAAGCAGGCAAGGAAAGTCAAGTATCAAAACAGCTTTTGCAGTCTTCTCCATGGGGGAACTCTGAAAATATTCTGCAAAGGAAAGGAAGAAAATCAAGATGGAGTTTTATACATAGATGGAACGTGGTATGATCGAGAGATTTTTAAGAGCTACCAGATATATTTTAGAACCAGAAAAGACCTTATATATAATCTAGTAAAGACCTAACAGAAAATTATTAATAGGAATTTATTGTTTTTATATCATTTTATTATAACCAAATAAACTATAAGATCACCAAAGGTCTTACAGTTGATTGTTGGCACATCCAGCTGTGACTATCACCAATATTATTATTAAAACTCATGTTAATATTAAAGTGAATTACTTGACTTTTTCATCTATTAAATCAATAACTGTATACACTAAGAATTCTGTGGTGAACAAGAAAGATAATGCCCATGTTATTATAGAGTTTACAGTCTACTGGAGGTAGGTAGACAATAAACATGTAAACAAATAAATGAGATATTTCTAGTTAGTGATAAGGCTAGGAAGAAAATATGGCACTCTGCTGGAGTGATATAGGTTGCCTGTGATCTACTTTCTTTAGGAGGAAACATTTAAGCTGAGATCTGAATGGTAAGGAGGAGCATTCCAGACACATGGAAAAACAAGTACAGAGGCTGTTAGAAAGTAACAAGCCTACTATGTTTGAGGAATGATGTGGTTGGAACATGTTGAATTCTATGAGATGAGATCAGAGATGTGAGGAAAGGCTATATCATGTAGAGCCTTGAAGGCCACATAAAGAATTTGATTTTATTCTGAGTGAAATATTTTAATCAGGGAAATTACATAAACGGATTCATGATTTTAAAGGAATCATCTTATTACTACTTAGAAAATTGCATGTAGGAGGCCACAAGTAGAAGGGAGACCTATGGTTAACTATTACAGTAATCCAGGCAAGAGGTAATGGATGGCAGATTGCTGTAGAGAAGTGGTTCTCAGCCGGGGTAGTTTTAACCTATAGCATATTTGGCATTGTCTGGAGACATTTTTGGTTGTCACAATTGGGAAAAGGGGCGCTACTGGCATCTAATAGGGAGAGGCCAGGGATGGTGCTGAACCCCCAACATTGCACAGGACAGCTCCATACAACAAAAATGATTTGACCCAAAATGTCAATTGTGTCAAGGTTGAGGAATCCTGCTCTAGGCTATTAGTACTATAAATGGAAATGAATGGAGGAATGTGCTATCAAGAAGAGGACTTTTTATAGATTAGATGTGGAGAAGTCAGGAAAAGGCAGAAATCCAGAATGACTCCTAGCTTTTGTGCTTGAGTATCCAGCAATGCCATAGTGCCATTACTAAGATGAAGAAGACTAGGAGAGAAGCACATGGAGGTGAAAAAAAAAGAATTCTCTTTTGACCACATTAAGTTTGAGATGCTTATTGGGCACCGAAAGTAGATGATGGTTAGGTCGGCTGCATATATGAGTATGAATCTCATATTCATGGAGAGTAGATTTGAAATATAAGTGACATCTGCACGAAGAAGATATTTAAACCATGGGAATAGATGACACCACCTGGAGGGAGATCATACCTAGAATAGAAAATGGAACCTATGACAGAGAGTTAACATTGAATAAATGGGGTAGGAATGAGATTCATGCATTCGATACTGAAGTAGCAAAAAACCTGGACACTAGAGTAACGAAATTTAAGAAAAAAATATTACTATTAGATTGAGCCAAATAAAATTGCCCAAATAATTCTAGACCTACAAAAACATAAATTTCCTATATTTCAACTTAATAGAAAAAGTGGCCAACTATATCAAATGCTACTGAGAGATCAAGTATGATTTGAATGAGTGTGGAGATTATGGTGACACAAAGGCTCTTAGTGACTTTGACAGGAGCAGTTCCAGAGGAATAGAGGGGTGAAAAGCCTGGTTTTTTAAGTCAAAGAGAAAACTGCTAGTTAGAAAAGAATCAATCAGTTCTTTAGATTAAGAAGGATATAGGTTTAGAAAAAAATCTTTTTTTAGAGATGAGGTCTTGCTCTGTCACCAAGGCCAGAGTGCAGTGACACAATCATAGCTCACTGCAGTCTCAAACTCCTGGGCTCAAGGGATCATCCCATCTCAGCCTCCCAAGTAGCTGAAACTATAGGCACATGCCACCACACCTGGCTAGAAGTGTTTCTTTAAAGACAGAAAATGCTAGAAACATTCGATTATTGTTCAATGCTAGTAAGAATTAGCCAGAAGAAAAGGAACATATTTTTTGGTACATTAGGAGAGATGGTAACTGAAAGACTAGCAATTGAATGATGAAAAGGATGAATCCAGAGCACAGAGGGAAGTCTGGGCTTCTTGTAGGATCAGGGGCACTTGTCCCATTGGAAATGAAAGGCAGAAAATGTGAGTAAAGATACAACTAAGTTACTAACAATTTTTTTTTTTTTTTGAGACGGAGTCTCGCTCTGTCACCCAGTCTGGAGTGCAGTGGCGCAATCTTGGCTCACTGCAAGCTCTGCCTCCTGGGTTCACACCATTCTCCTGCCTCAGCATCCCCCAGTAGCTGGGACTACAGGCGCCTGCCACCACACCCGGCTAATTTTTTGTATTTTTAGAGATGGGGTTTCACCATGTAAGCCAGGATGGTCTTGATCTCCTGACCTCGTGATCCACCCGCCTCGGCCTCCCAAAGTGCTGGGATTACAGGCGTGAGCCACCGTGCCTGGCCATAATTTTTGAATAGAAAAGTGAAGTAGTTAACTGTCTAATTATATTTTCTTTTTGTTATGTATAACTCTGAATATTTTTATATGTCTGTTATCCTTATCTCTTGGTACAGTTTATGCATATTTTACTTTATTCAAGGCAGTCATAGTTTTAGCCTGGTCTGGTATTCCTAGCTCAGTCTTCTCTTTAAAGAATATACTTTTAGAGACACATTTCTATTTTAGTACATTCACCTCACCATGACCATCTTTCGTGGATAGAAAGATGTTTACAATTCATTATGTTTTGTATTTCAGAATTTTCATGTATCTCATCAGGAAGTTTCTGTCCAGGGCTGTGTCTGGTTCATTTTTAAATAAATGGACTCCTGGAGTGAAAGAAAAAAAAAACAAAATTATAAACTATTTCCCAAACCCACAACTCCCATTGTCTCAAAAATTTATCTTCAGATCTTGAAATCATACATCCTAAGACAGTTTAGCAATATCTACAGTGATCACATGTTGCCTGGCTTTAACTTCCCTAAGTTAATCAATGGCTTGTTTGGAGTTCTTGGTCACATTGTTGCTGGCCTCACTGCTGTGCTGCAGGTAGGCATGTCACCCTTGGCAAAGACAGCTTTATGATTTGTCATTCTTTGAGCCTTATAGGTCAGCACAGCAGTGAGCAATGACATCTTTCCTCAAGATAAGTTGAAGGAAGTCTCCTTACTCCCACCAAAGGCCCCACCTAGATTCTGGATACCATCCCTTAGAGGCTTCTGTTCTGCACTTATCCCCACCCCTCTCCTACATACACAATATATCTCTCTCTCTACTGGATCTTTCTCATTGGGCATGATATTATTTTTAAGTGAGGAGATGATAATATAACTCGTTTTCTACAAATATCATCCCATTTTTCTTCTCTCCATAGAAAAACATTTTGAAAAAGTCTACTCAACTTCTATTTACTTATAAACTCACCTCAGTATGGCCTCTCCCTCCTCTGTGCACTAAAACTGTTCTTGTCAAGGTCACCAATAATCTCCACATTACCCAATACATGACCCATGTGTCTGGCTAAGGACCATGTCTATGCACTCAATTACTACACTTTTCAAATATATTCAACACATCTCTGATCACTCTCTACTTTATGAAATCCTGTTATTACATCATATTCCCCTTTTCTCCTCACTCTTGTCCTCCTCTAGGCTTTTTTCTTTCTTTCTTTCTTTCTTTTTTTTTTTTTTTTTTTTTTTTTTTTTTTTTTTTTTTTTTTTTTTTTTTTGCTTACTGCAGCCTCAAACTCTGAGGCTCAAGCATTCCTCCCACCTCAGTAGCCTCCTGAGTAGCTGGGACTACAAACATGTGCCACCATGCATGTCCAGTTAATTTTTTTTTTTTTAATTTCTGTGGAGAGAAAGTCTTGCTATGTTGCCGAAGCTGGTCTCAAAATCCTAGCCTCAAGTGATCCAACCGCCTTGGCCTTCCAAGTAGTTGGGATTACATGCATGAGCCACTGCACCCCGTCACTTTTTTTTCCCTTTTGGTTCTTCTATTATCTCCCTTTTAAATGTTCATAGGCTGAAGTCCTGATTACTTTTTTCTTCTTCGTCTGTTACTTCACCTAATGATATGATCTAGTCCCAGAATTTACATGTGCTGACCTGTCCCTGAACCTCAGACTCATATCTCAAACTGCCTACTTGACCTCTCCACTTGTATATTCCAGTAATTCTAAAAAATAACATGGTCAAAGCAGAACACTTGATTTGTATCCTGTAAACATTTTTTCTTCAAAGTCTCCTTCCAAGTTAGAAATTGACAATACCTTGGGCCCAGTGACCAAGCTAGAAACCTGTGAGTTATTCTTAACTTATTGCCCTCACACACCACAACATTCATTTTATCGGCAAAGTCCATTGCTTCTACCAAACTATTCTTAGGTCATTGAAGTTTCTGTAATCCACTGGGGCCACCCTAGTTGAAGATTTTCCTGCTTTAACTCTTCCCCCCCAGTCCACGCTGTACACAGCAGAGTGAACTGTTGGAAACATAAATGAGAACATCTCACTTCTCTGCTTAAAATTTCTTGTTGGCTTATTGGCTTCCTACTACATTTAAAATGAGGTGAAATTCATTTCCTTATCTTGGCCTTCCAGACCTTGCAATATCTGCCTTTCTTCTCTTCTCTTCTCTCATCTATGTATTCTTAACTCTTACTGCTCCAACCACGATGGATTGTGTAAGATCTTTGCTGCTTCAAAGTCTTGTACTTACTCTGCTTGTAAGATTGTTTGCCAGAATTTTCCCATGCTGGCTCCTTCTCATCCTCTAGGTTTATCTAGAGTAGATTCCCTCAGTGGAACCCCATACTCTTATCATATTATTGTGTTTGTTTTTCTCTTAGCACTTACCATTCAGTAGTCATCTTTTTAAAAAGTTTATTTATAAAGTGTACACACTAAATGAAGGCAGAGACTCTGTCCAACTCTTATCAGAGTATTCCCAGCAGTATAGTTCCTGGGAATAATAGAAACACAATAATATGTGAGCGAATCAATGAACATCTAAACTAAGTTGAGTTTTTCTCCCTCACACTTTTAAAATCCTCTGGTTGAGTGATTTCAAGTCATTTCCCACCTTATCCCCAAAGATATTATAATATGCAGTTGACCCTTGAACAAGGTAAGGGTTAAGGGAATCAAGTCCCTGCTCAGTCAAAACCCTGTGTTTAACTTTTTGACTTCTCCAAATTTTAACTACTAATTACCTACTGGTGACCAGAAGCCTTACTGATAGATAACATAAACAGGAAATTATATGTATTATATAATTATAATATGTATTATATACTGTATTATATGTATTATATACTGTATTCTTAAAATAAAGTAAGAGAAAAGAAAATGTTACTAAGAAATTCATAAGAAAGAGAAAATCCTTTTACATTACTATATTTATTGATAGCTTAAGTTTACATTGTCTGTTTCCAAGATGAATTATCTGTCTGGAATGGTGGGCAACCGCAGCTGCAACCTCAATCTACAATACATATCATGCAATTTGACTTTTTCTTGTGTAGGTCATGGCTTTTCTCTGCTTCTTGGGAGCCCTTTCAGCATCGCTAGTGGTACTCTGTGTGGGTCCCATGGTGTCATTCAAGGTTTATGATATTGCACTAAACAGGATGAAAAATACAGGAGATCCACTAGAGATTACTTTTTACTGTGATATGCAATTTACTGAAGCCATAAATGGCTCACAGGGAGGTGACTGGTTTCACATGGCACTTTTTGTTTTTGTTTTTTTTTAAGACAAGAGTCTCTGTCACCCAGGCTGGAGTGCAGTGGCGTGATCCCAGCTCACTGCAACTTCTGCCTCCTGGGTTCAAGCAATTCTCCTGCCTCAGCCTTCCCAGTAGCTGGAATTACAGGCACGTGCCACCACGCCTGGCTAATTTTTTGTATTTTTAGTAGAGACGAAGTTTCATCATGTTGGCCAGGCTGGTTATGAACTCCTGACCTCAAGTGATTTGCCCGCCTCGGTATCCCAAAGTGCTGAGATTACAGGCGTGAGCCACCACGCCCTGCCTCACATGGCATTTTAAGCAGATAGAATACTTGAGTTCACAGAAGTAGCAACAGGAGGTTGCTAAAAAATTATTACAGTAGTACAGTATGTACTATAGTTAATTTTATGCAGTTATTTAATATTTCATCTTTACATTTGTTTACATTTCTCTTTGGTGCACTGTTCAGTCTGTGTGCGCATAAGTCTTGATAAATTTTAACTTTTTATAATAGACTTGTACATATTTTGTGGTAGTAAATGACAGACTAGTATATCCATGTATTTTATATATTCATGACATACCCAACTTTTTAATTTTTGTAATATTTCTATCTGTACAGTTTGTGAGTTTTCTCAAATTGTCTCAAATCTCCAGAACATTTTCTAATCTATCTACTTTAAAAATCAGCATAGAAGGGGCACAGTTCAAACTTATTTTTTTTCTTTTTTTTTTTTTGAGACGGAGTCTCGGCTCACTGCAACCTCCACCTCCCAGGTTCAAGCAATTCTCCTGCCTCAGCCTCCTGAGTAGCTGGGATTACAGGCACCTGCCACCATGCCCGGCTAATTTTTGTACTTTTTTTTTTTTAGTAGAGATGGGGTTTCACCATGTTGGTCAGGCTGGTCTCGAACTCCTGACCTCAGGTGATCCACCTGCCTCGGCCTCCCAAAATGCTTACAAGGGATTACAAGTGTGAGCCACCACGCCTGGCCCAAACTTGTGTTTTTCAAGGGCCAACTGTAGTTACATCTTTGTATGCTCCAGGGATCTTAAACCTAAATAATGTTTTGACAATTGAATTTATTTGTATATATCATATTTACAAATTATTTTACTTGAAAGAAACAGAATGCCTAAAATAATAATAGTTTATATTTTGCATATAATTAGAAGTCCATGGGAGGGTGATGACCATAGTGATGTCAGCAGCTGAGCAATGTGATACTCTAAGATTGCCATCTCTCAAATTCTACAAATCCTTCCTCTCACAGTCCTATGGTAGCCACTGCCATTCTAAGCATCACACAATTATATTCAGAGGCTGGAAGCAACAGCAGCACAAAGGAGAAAAACTCTCTGCTTCACTTGTTATTATTAAAAAGAAAATATCTTTTCCAGAAGCCCCTCTATAAACTTCTCCTAGCATGTTATTGGCCAGAAGTGGGTCATATGCCCACCCTGATACAAAAAAAGCAGGTATTTTGGTACTAAGGATAGAAGGAATGGCTTCTGTGTGGAAAACAAAGAGTAAGGGCTATATTCTACACAAGTTTAGCCTTATTTGGCATTCCCTCTTTGGCTTTGCTTAGTGAAGGCAGCACATCACACTTGCCCCAGTTTCCACTCCATTACTCTACCCACAATCTTGGCAGGTCTTTCAAAACATGAACATTGTGATTGAAGCAGACAGAGAGGCCTAGTGCTTTCTCTATTTAGGTAATATATGTCTGGCTTTTCTACATGGCCTCTGTGGCCAGTTTATATTGTCAATTCTGCACCTATATTAAATTTTAAAATCTAGCTATGAAGAGTTTAAGTGATTTCACATAACCTCCTTTCTGAAGACTAAACTTGGCAAAAATAGGATTTCTAAAGGATTGGAAAAATTAATATTGCTTTGATGCCAACATCTATTATCACAGGCCAGATTTTTTTTTACCAATTTATTAAAAAATTGATTGGAATATCTTGATCTCCTATAATTTTTCAGTAACAAACACTCCACCCCTAATATGCTACCCCCAAACACTGGTGCTACTGGATTTTTAAACTTTAGAGAGTAAAGAAAATAATCTTTGGGGCTACAACAGAGAATAAACTTAACGGGACTTTTTATGCACAAACTGTGTACTTTTTGTTAGCCTTCTAAGTCAATTGTCTACTTTCTAGGTTTCTGAATGAATTTGTGCTTTGCCTTCACCTTGTTGGAATACCCTTTATTGAATATTTAGTGCTAATAAGGCCCTAAATAAGCACTTTACATTCATTATTTAATTTGATACATATAGTAATCCAATGTGGCAAAGGTGTCTTCCCCTTCTTCCACCCTGGCTCCAGCAGTTTATGAAGAAGAATGAGGCTCAGAGAGGTGTAATGGCCTATTTGGGGCCATGTAACTTGTAACTGCAGTGTAAGGACTCAGTAGGAAGTCCGTTTATCTGATTCCAGAAGCCCTTACATCACTATAGTAGACCACGTTCTCTTGCACGAATTTCTTATCATTCTTTGGGAAGCAAATTTTACCTCCATGTACTGGTTAGGGCCCCTGTCTTCAAGGCTTTGACAAATACCTTGCACACACTTCCATATGATTCTGTTGCCTGGAATACAAATAAGACATCTTAATTAAGCAGAAGAAGGCTTTGGAGGTTGGCTGCCGTCCCCTCTAAGGCTATGCAGGCCTCTCTACCCTATTTCATCTGATTGAAGTCTACTGGTAGAAGGTGAACTGCCAAATGAAATATTATCTTTGCTTTCCTCATCAGAATAACCTATCCAAAACCAAGTTCTGTAATCAGACACAAGTTTCTTGGAAATACACAGTGAATGGTCCTCAAGCTGTTCTAGTTTGTGGCACCTCATAGTGTGAAATTTGGCCATTGTCTTGGAATACTAATAGCAAACAGTTTTATAATGCTTAGCGTCTGAGTATTTGTATTAGTTTTTCCTGTGGCTGCTGTAACATATTACCACCAACTGGGTGACTTAAAACAACAGAAATTTATTCTTTCACAGTTCTGGAGGCCAGAAGTCCAAAATAAATACCACTGGGCCAAAATTAAGATGCAGAGCTCTGCTTTCTTTGCAGTTTCTCAAAGATAATTCATTCCTTGCCTCTTCTGGCTTCTGGTGGCTACTGGCATTCCTTCATTTATGATCACAGCACTTTTTTTCTGAGTCCATCTTCACACCACCTTTGTCTATATCTGCCTGTTGTCAGATCTCCCTCTGTTTCCTCTTGTATGAATACATGTGATTGCACTTAGGGTCCACCCAAATAACCCCCCCATCTCAAGATCCATAACTTAATCATATCTGTAAAGACTCTTTTTTAACATACAAAGTAACATTTATAGTTTCAGGATCCAGGAATTAGGACCAGATATCTTCAGGAGCTATAATTCAGCCTACTATGGTATTTTATGCATGTAACTCAATCACACAGCAATTGAGTTATATATTGTGATTATTGTCATTTACTGATAAGAAAACTGGGGCAGACAGAGATTATACAACTTACGGAAGATCCACTAATCACTAAGCGGACTTGTCTAGATTTGAATCCAGTAAATTTCTGACCTTAAAAATTTGCTGCCACCAGAAGTAAGTGAAAAAATAATTCATATTGGAGAATTCCCCAGACAGAGTGTGCCAAGATAGAAGTCAAATGACAAGAGGTTTCTCCTTTAAAGGCAGTCCTCCTAGGTTATGGAATTTCCCCACTTTCTCATCTTTGGCAGGACTCCTTGTTTCATCGTGTACTTTATCATCTTATACATACACAATCAGTTTAAGTGCAGGGCTTTTAGAGTAATATGAGAAAAGTATGCTGTACAAACTGTATGCAGTTGAGATATTTTCTGAACTAATGGATTCTTAATCAATCTATCAAAATAATGCCATGTTTGAGTTGGAAATAAGCAGTACCCAAACCTTTCTAAATATTCCCTTTTTTTTTTTTTTTTTTTTTTTTTTTTTTTTTTTTTACTTTTAAACACAGACACTTCTAAAACAGCTTGCTAGACTCCTGTACTCTCAATAACCCAGCTATGTATAGCTTCTTCTGCTACTCCTAGATCTCAGGAAAGGATTTTGTAAACTAAACATCTGTGGACTCAAACTTGTCAAATTCCTAGCAGGCAACTCCATAAATTTTGGACTAAGGAGACATAAAGTCCCTGCCCCTTAATATATTTGATCTGCTTTTTGCTCAAGTCAAAGATATACTCACTTTGAGCTTTAATCCAGAAGCAATATCCATCATTACCCCTGGCCCACTGATGAAAACTCATCATACACCTACCTACGTGTAAGAGAGACTGGGAATGTAGTCTAGGTATATGTCCTAAAACAAGAGAAACTGAGCTTTTGCTGATTAACTAACAACCTCTCCCATGTAGAACCTTCAAAAGAAATATGCCTGAATATTATACCACAAACATGGTAGAGAGGTAATGTAGATCCAGTACTGAGACCACACAAGCTTCACGGACACACAGGTAGACTCAGATTTGAATGCTGTGTCTGGCCCTTACAAACTGAGGCTCCTAGCCAAGTTACAAATTGTCTCATCTTACAGTTCAGATAATTAACTCTCAAGGGCACTTGGTGAAGATTAAATAAAATGGTGTGTTTAAAGTACTTATTGAAGTACTCATTCGCAGTAATCATTTAATAAATAATTACTATTATTATTTCTATTTTAAAGTTTTATATACAACTATATCTATTACAGTTCTTCCTGTTGAACCAGAGTAACATAGATATATGAGTAAGTTAATCATGGTATATGCATTCAGTAGAATAGACTACAGGCATTTAAAAGTTATTATTGCAAAGGATACATAATACTACTGAAAAATGCTTATAAAATGTTTTACATTTTAAAAGTAGAAGACATTTGGAAAAATGATACATTTAACTAGGTTAAAAAATTTTTAGTCACTATAATGTATGATTTTTTTACTTTTGACTTTTTTATATTTTTGAGTTTTTAGTGACTATTTTACTATTGGGCTTTTTTGTTCTTTTACCTAAAACTTTAATAAAATATTACAGATATCGTTGAAATTCCTTTCACAATCCTAAATGATACTACTCATTAATTTCAGATAAAACCATTTCTTGAGTTTGCATGTATCTTTCCTGACTAGATATTTTACTGTTTATGCAAATATGTTTACATAAAATATAATATTTAGATTTTTTAAAATTACATGAATGGTATCCACTCTTGATTTGTTTTGTCCATGAAATATTATGTGTCTAATATATATCTGCATTGATTCTCTAGATCTAGCTTCTTTATTTTAACAGTTCTGTAGTAATTCGTTGAATGCATATAATACAGTCCATTCATTCATCACCATAGTTGGATGTTAAGAGGTTTCCAAGTTTTTGCTATCCCAAAGAAACATTGCAAGTAACATTCTTTTAAATATCTTCTTATGAACATATGTGATAGATTCCCTAGCATATATTATCAGAAGCAAAATTTCTAGGTCATAGGATATGGTAATACTGAGGTTTATTAAATATAGGCAAATCACTCTCTTACTGAATTTATATTCCTCTAGGAATATATAAGGTCCAATTTTCCATATCTTTTTGCCAATTCTTGTAAGTGCCCCCCACCTTTTCCTTCTGCCAATTCTATGTTTAATGATCTCTTTCTATGGTTTTACTTTTCCTTTCACTGATAAATTATGAGGTTAAACATTTTTCATATGTTTATTGGACATTTAGATTTCATATTCTCTTCACTGTTTAATTCTTTCTTATTTGTATTTAACTTTTACTCCGATTTGCAGGGTTCTGTGTGTTCTCAAAACTAAACTCACTTTAAGATATAAGTATCTCAAATGTCATTGTCTATATTGTGGCCTTGATAAATTGTTTAACAAATAAAGTTAAAAATTAAACGAATATTTGTTTACCCTGGTGGGAAATTATAATTATTTCCAACTTGTTTTTATTGTGATTAATACATGTGGTTCACTAAAGGCATTGCTGAGGGTGAATGTATATTCCACGCAAATCAAAGAAAGACAAGTGACAGAACTGCTTGCAGTTCACTTTTCTTGCAGCTAAAGACAACAGACTCTAAACATGCTGCCAACTGTCGAGCATTTTCATGCTGCTCATCCAGGCTTAAATATTTGCTAATTTAGATGATGGCTGCAGTCCATCAGTTAATAGTATTTACAACAAAAACATATGTCCAGTACTTGGAAGGATAGTCATTAGCTAATGTGAGTCATTTCCAGATGACATAGAGATAATTCATATTGTCAGTATGAATTCGTATTGAGTAATATGACATCTACCAGGGTTGACCTTAAGAATAGATATTGATGGCTATTTCTGTATTGACTGTTAAGGTGCTCTCCAAAAGTCAACTCACCCATCACCCCGTTATGAGGTACAGACTGAAACAAACACTACAGCTTGAAGGAAATAGTAGAGACATGAGAAAAAGAAGATGGAAAGAGTCAGAAAGGACTAGGAGGACAGAGACTGGGCAAATTAAAGTCTAGAGGTACTAGGTCATATTGCAGTAACAAATAATCCCTAATAATAATGGCTTAAACCCAACAAAAATGTTTTGTTTCTTATGTCATATGGTCTCTGCCCAATGTAGTTACTCAGGAGCTAGACACTACATGAATACCAGAACTTCCTCCTCAAATTGGTATACAGTTGACTCTCGAACAATGCAGAGGTTAGGAGCACCAACTCTTATGCAGTCAAAAAATTCAAGTATAACTTTTGACTCTCCCAAAAGTAAACTAATAGACTACTGTTGACCAGAATCCTTACTGTAATATAGTCAATTAATGCATATTTTGTATGCTACATATGTACGATCTACTATATTCTTACAATCAAGCCAGACAAAAGAAAATATTAAGAAAATCACAGAAGAGAAAATATATTTACTATTCATTAAGCAGAAGTGGATTATTATAAAACTCTTCCTCCTCGATGTCTTCACATTGAGTAGGCTGTGGAGGAAGAGGGAGGGTTGATCTTGCTGTCTCAGGGGTGTTAGAAGTCAAAGAAAATACATGTATAAATTGACTGGCACAGTTCAAATTTGTGTTGTTCAGGGTCAACTGTATATCATTTCTGATCACATTTGGTTGTCTAAAGCAAATCTCATGGCCACCGGAAACTTCAGGGAGAACTGATGTGCCTTCCATGATATTCCTGGAAAGAGGTGAACTGGAAATATTTGATAAACAGCATAGTGACTACCAGCGGCCACTATTCTGATTACCAGATATTGGTTCAATTGGTTCACACTCTGTTCCATACACAGAATATATCTATTCCCACCCCAAGAAGGCAACCCCAAAATCACAGTCATAGCTCAGTATTGTGGACCACTGTGTTCAATTCATCAGTCTCTGCCTCAAGTTTGGATGTGGCTACTTTTGATATGCAGACTTATCAACAACAAAAAAAGACAAATTAACTTCCAATACACACACACACACACACACACACACACACACACACACACACATACACACACGTTAGTATAGCAGAAAAAGACAACCATGATAAGGTGGGAAGCAGCAGGAGACCAGTTCAGGAAGTTAAAAACTGCTGCAAACTGCCAGTTCAGAGTTTTTTCTGTAAGCCTTCCCAATGAGCAGGATCAGGAGGCTACCTGGTACTTCATTCATCCTAAACTAGGCATAGGATGATACCTGCAAAAGACAGACACAAGGAGCTCCCCCACTCAGTACTTTGTCAAATTAACGCAACAAATTAAAAACCCTACTTAGCATGAAAAGGTAGATAGGCCCTAGAATATGACACAATTTACTTTTTAGCCTAGACTTGTCTTTCAGTTTCTCGATCTGCAAATTAAATTCCCTTGTGGGCTGACTAATTTATACTCCAAGACTCCTTTAGCAAATGTAGTTCCCATCTATTTTCTCCTCATTTTCTTCCTGCCTGTGCAATTGGCAGCCCGTGAGCTCATTTGGACTGAAGTCTAATATCTGTGTTTCTGGCATCTAGTTTGTTTTGTCCCAACAGAGCCTTCCCTTCCCTATTTTCTATTTCCCTGTAGAAAATAGATCTATAAAAACAAAGCGACTTTTTTTTTTAAGATGGAAAATGTTGGTTAAAGGAAAATACCTAATATCACAACTGTTTTCAATAACTGTGACACAACAGCTGAAAAATAAATTCTAAATGAGAGAGCACGGGGTATCTTTCAATATGTAGATTATACTGTTCTTCAACAGGAACAACATCAAGAAATGATGGGGCCATCTAAAGAGAAATACAGAATGCCACACACCAAAGGGAGCAGCCCTTGAAAAGAAAAGCATGGAGAACTTTTAAATCGAACCAAGTAAAGGAAGCTCCCCCTTGCTATCGAAGTGTAGTCTGTTCACCAGGAATGTGGGCATCATCTGAGGGTTTGGGAGAAAGCTGACTTTTGGGTCCTGAAACTTACAGAACCAGAGTATGTGTGTTAACAATATCATTTGCTGATTTGTCTGTGTTAATATTTGTATTTATCTAAATTGCAATTATTGAAAGTTAAAAAATAGAAAAATATAATTTGTTCAGATATTCTTGCACTCTGAAAGCATCACAGTCCTGACAAGTAATTAGTTTCAGTAACCAGTAATTATTAAAATCAAATAGCCTCTTTTGTACTGAAAATAATGTGGAATATTATTGCCAAGAAAAAGTTTATGTGAATGGCAAAGCATTTAATATAAAATTTGAAAAAACTAATTTAGCCAGGAAAATGCCTTGTCATTTATATTTACATATATCTGTACATGTACACAGATATAGAAAATGCAATATAAATAAAACTTGTAACCTTTGTCATATAAGCATCTTTATACAATAAAGGATATTTAGACACAGAGAAGTTATCCAAGGTTACAAAATTTGTTAAGTGGCAGAATATAGAATGGAACTTAGTTCCCCCAGCCATAATCTTACATTATATTTGAGACAAATATTTTTATTAAGATTGATTCCAACATATTCCATGATGAATTTTAAGTAAGAATTGTGTTACAGCTTGAATGGTATGAGTTTTATTCTCATGTTCTACAATTTTAAAATTAACAACAAATTTTCATCTTGCAATTAAATATTTTTCATAATTTATAATATATTCTAAATATTTTATGTGTTTTATCATTATGGACTTACCCTTCCACTTTCCAAACAAAATAGGAGCAAAATTAATTTAAATGTTAAGGCTTTAACTCAGAAAAAGTTTTATTTCACTGAAGGTTGTCACAAAGTTTAAAATGTGAAAGCTTTTCTCATATTTGATTTGTTTTAATCTATTCAGTTTTTGTAATGGAAACCATAAAACATATAAAGTGTTTAAAACTATTTTATTAAATAAATTTCTCATGTGTCATTCACTTGTCCCATACTTTTTTGTATTCATAAATGTGAAGCTATCTTTAGATATCATTTTTTCTTTTTCTTTAAAAGATTAATATATATTGGCTTCAAATATTTCTATAGGTAAATAATGTCTAATTGTTTAGATCTGTGAAGACTTTAAAAATAGAGAAAGTAGGAAACAAAAATATATCTGTTAAAAAATTCAAAATTGCATGAATATCATGATTATAATATTAAAACATTCATGCACAAAGGGTGAAATGCAAAAATAAAAAGGCTATTTTACTAATATAAGGTTATAACTTTTTGTCATTCTAGATATTCACTTAGGATTATGTATGTTTTTCAATAAAAAGTGAGCTGTCTCTGTCTCTTTTTAAACATATAATTATATGTATATATTTATACACACAGGACAAGTGCCTTCTAATAACATTCTGTGGCATGAATTTTCATCTTAATGATAACTTTAAAGAAATATAAAATCTTAATTTTAACTGAATTAGAGATATTAATCTTTTCCTTCATATTAATAGCCAGTGTTTGGTTTCTGTTTAAAATTTTTCATATCCTTAGTTCATAAAGATATCATTTAAGAACCTTATTGACCTTTACATTTAGATTTGCAATCAATTTGTAACTAACTTTTGCTTATGGCTTATGGTATTAAAACATATTTTTATTATTTTTCCATATGAATATTCAATTTTCCCAGCATAACATTTTGCAATCAATATCATTTCCTGAAGAAGCATTCTTCAGTGCTTCTTCTTTTTTCACAAATCAAATATCTGTATGTGCCCAGATATATTTCTGCGTTTCCAACCCTCATCATTGTTCTATTTTGCTCTCTTTACATCACTATGACAATATCCTAATTATTTTAGCTGTATAGTCTTGAATTATAGATTGAATTTACTCAATAGAAGAATATTTATGTTTACAATTTCTTTTTGTACCCATTTATGTAAGTTGTATTTTTCTAGAAATTCTAGCATCCATTTAACTGAAGTCCCAGAAGGAAAAAAAGAAAATGAGACAGAAAAATATTTGAAAAGATAACAGCAAAAACTTTGGCAAAACTAATGAAAGACTTCTTCATTCAGTCCATAGATTTAAGCAACTGAAACTTATTTCAAGGTAAAATTCATGTTAGAGGAAGATAAATGGGTAGAAGGTAAAAGAAGTCACAAAATTAAGAAAAAGAACAACAAAGAGGCAGGATATATAGAAAGCGAATACCAAGATTACAGGCTTTAACACAAACACTACTGATTTAGTTATAAACTCATACTAGTTACATTAAATGTAAGTGTACTAAGTGCTAGAACTGGGATTTCTTTTAGAAGTTCTCAGCTGACTTAAAGCTATTCTATAGACTCTGCAAGAGCTGATTCATTTCCAGTTTACCCTTCTTCCTAGAATGTAATCTTTTGAGCCCTAATCTAAAGCATTGTGGATTTACAAGGGTCCCCACCATTGATGGGCTGTGGAGTCCAACTTTTGTCTCATACGTCAAAAATTCTTCCAACAGTGCTGCTGAGCTTCCCTGGCACCACTTCTGGGGTGATCAAAGGGGCCTGGGCCAAAGCAGCCCCAGATGCCATTCCTGAATTTCTGCTTTCTCGTTCAGTAATTCGTTACTACCTTGTTAAGATGCTGATCATGTCGAGTAAATTTTTAAAGCATTTTATGCAGGTTTTCTAGGTTTTCTTTCAATGGGAAGATTGTCCTAATTATCTAGTTTGCTGCTATCAGTTAAGGGAATTCCTCTCTCTCTCTCTCTTTTTAACCTGGCATAAAGGCTATCATTTTACCTCTTTCAAACCAAATTAAAATGGTTTCTCGAATTCTTAAACTTCTTAAAAATAATAGTGTAAAAATCTCATTAAAGTGAGAGAATCTCTGAATTCAATCATTAGTATTATATTTAATATTTGCAGATTTTGACATTTTTGAGCACTTATTTTATTGACATATTTTGAGCACTGATTTTTAATATTTACAAGTCAAGAGTTTAGTGGATTTATTCTGTACATTCCCCAGGACCCAATTTCATCAATATTAAAATGGGCACATGTCTTATACAAGGATGTTTAATATCAGCTTCTTTTAACTTAGCTAACCCTAAGCAAAAATATAATAATAATGTTAGATAAAATATTAGCAATTTGCAGCAAGTGGACTCCAACTACTTATAATCTGAAAGGAGCACCAAGAAGCTGAAAGGAAGTGCGGAAGTGAAGGTGAATATGTACAGAAGACAAATTCCACTTTTTCTCAGTTTTCCTAAGATCTATTGTTGCTCTTTGGATCTGTTCTCAAATAGCTGGCAGTTTAGCTAGTATGCAAATAATGTTGAATTGTAGGCTCATTTGACTATTCCTCCCCATCTCAGTTTCATAAGTTGTTATGCTTGGTTATTCTTGATAATGAAAACAGAGCCAGATGGTAACAGGCTCTGTGAGACATATACCAGAACTTAAATGTTCTTAAGGGAGTTAGTTTTACATAATTCAAAGAATTTTAGTTGCTTCTCTTAGTGTGAATAAAAGATGTGCAGTCACAGACGAGAGGTACTCAGTTACTTTAATACCACAAGCTTTGCTTAATGTAGTTCTGTTTGGAAACTACAGAGTAGGAAAGATTTTCAGGCAAAAATCAAAGTCCCTGATGACTATTGAATAATGACTGTGAATTAGCAAGGTAGTGAATGATGCTGAGAAACAATAATCAATGAAGGAAGATAATTAAGAGATATATTTTAAGGTCTTATGTGAAAAGCAAAGGAACAGTTTCTGACTTGAATGATTAGGTGGATGGATAATGATGACATTTGCTATTATCAGAAATACAGTAGGCTGAAATCCTGAGATCTTTCAATCTTTAAGAAATGAATTGAAAAAGAGGGGTAAAGGCCTTTGAGATAAAACAGAGAACTGGAAGAAAGTTATTGTCGAGAAGTCAATTAGAGTTTCAAGAAAAATAAGTGCTCAAAATGTCAAATAAAGCCTGCAAATCTAAACAGAAAATACTGAAAAGCCATTGGATTTAACAATGTGTTTATCATTAAGAACTTCTAGAGAGCAATTTTAACATCACTATGGCATCAAAATATAAGATTTCAGTGAGTTAAGATGCAAAGGAAGTAAGGAAATGGAAGTAACAAGGGCATAAAAGACTTTGGTAGCTATAAAAGGATGCAATGTCAAGGGAGGGCTATTTTTTTTTCCCCAGAAGGAGCTAAATTTGGAGATGAAGGTAGACCTAGGGGACTGTTAAGATAAACATAATGGAAAAAGCTTATAATTGATAGAAAAAATACCAAGTGAGAAAGAGGACTCTTGATAGAAAGCAATGAGAAGTGGTTGGCCATAAAACCGTAGGATATTTTAACAACAGAAGATAGGCAAAAGTTGTTTAATGCAGGTACACATAAATATGTACAGAAGGTTAGCTGTGTACATGAGGCACTATCACACCCTGAACTACGCAAATACATTGATTAAGCCACACTTGGAAATATCAGTTGAGGCTGATTTTTAATATAAATGTTATAAATAAGAGAAATAAAATAATTTTAATAGTCATCCACATAATGAATACTCAAGATAAATTGTGAACAAATTCAACAAGATTTTAAGGAAAGAATCTATGCATGATTGAGCTTGAATTATGTTATGGGAAGAAAGGGAGTTGCTGAAGTTCCAGAAAGGCTATATTCTCATCAGTAAGACTGCCCTTAGACTTCAAGGACATCCAGTCTATCAACCAAAGCAAATGTTAGTGGTAATTATAGGGTGAATATGTGAGATGGCAGAGGTAAAAAAGGAGGGCATTCCCAAAAGTGTGATACAAAATAACAGCTGAGAAAAGGGGTTTTGAGGTATTAACTACAATTCATTGCATCAGGTAATCTCTAGTATTTACACTGGTCTTTGGAATTTAGATTAAAATCACACATCATTGTTTGCTTGGTTTACACATTATCACAGCATCCTGTCCCATTTAGCACTTGTCATATGGGGATCCTAGATTTTGGCATACCTGGATGAACCTTAAAACTAAGAAAGACAGTGCTAAAGTTGAGTAAATATGTTGAGTTAGAATAGCTAAGAAATTTTTGAATTAAAGTAACTATGTCCTTTGGTGTTCACTTTAAATCACTCCCAGCCAATGCATTTTGCCTTAATCTAATTTGACTTTGATGAACATACTTGGTATTATAATCTTAGCTGTTCAGACCATAGTAAATTAGCTAAGGCTGAACTATTGACCCATGATGAAAATGTAATCACAGGTAAGAGGCCTAGGAGGCTCATAAACCCCTAGAAGCTTTCTCACAGCCTCCTGATAGTCTCTAGGTTAGAAGACTATGGCCTAGAAATATATTTTTTTCAGCCACAAATGATCAGGAAAGGATTATATTTATAGTTTTTAAAGGAGAAAAAAAAAAGAAAAATCAAGTTAATCTCTCCTTTTTCCGTTAACTTGCTTTACCTTCGTTCTTTCCCCTTTCCATCTCCCTCCCACTTTGGGAAAATTAACCACTAATTTAACTATTGTTTTCTGAACATAGAAATCAATGCAATATGCTCTATTGGCAGATAGAGAGGTCAGTGGTCCTCAAACTTTGGAATTAGAAACACCAGAAGGGCTTGTTAAAATTCAAATTACTGAGCCCTGTCCCCAGAGTTTCTAGTTCCATAGGTAGGTCTGGAGTGGAGCCTGAGAACTGCATTTTAACAAGTTCCTAGGGGATGCTGATGCTGCTGGTGCAGAATCGCACCCGAGAAGTGCTTCCTAGCTCTAGGTAGCTGCTCAAAATACTCTTTCCCTTGCATGGTACTTGAGAAACTGATTCCTTCCCCCCACCACCTCACTGCTTCCTAGATTCAAAGAAAATTCAGGCTTGTATTAAAATCCCAGAGCCCTCCCAAATAGTTATGTGCCTCAGGAAATTCTCTGACCTTCAGGGAATCTTGTGGAAATTAAATAAGAACCTGTTAAGTTAAATGGCTACCAAGGTGCCTCACTGCAAATCCAGAAGTCCACTGGTTACTAACACAGTGCCAATAGGAGTCAGACAAATAGTCTAAACAAGAGCATCTCCCGTTGCTATGGGAGTTAAGTGTGTATCACTTAGACACCTGAGCAAGCCCGAAAAAACCTCATCTGTAGTCTGGAATTTGAAGGTCTTCAGTTTTTTACCTCTGGTTGTGTTATCTCCTCTCTATTTACTTACATTTGTCATTGAAATATCATTTCCTCATATGGTTGCAATTTTCCTGATAATCTGCAATTTTACAGATTACTTATATTTACATGTATTATTTATTTTGTTGTTGAAATATTTCCTCCTATTATTGCAATTTTAATGATAAACTCCAATTTTACAAATTACTTAATAAAATTAGATAAATCTGAATCAGAAATTAAATCAGAATTAGAATCCTTGTTATAATTGTGCAGTTCTTAATGGTTTTTTAAGCCCTGGACTTATTTTGGGAAGTTGTGGGAAGCTACAGATACTTTCCCCAGGTAAATGCACACAATTTGTTAGGGAAGCAGAGATCTCCTGAGGGATCTATTTTCCAAATTAAGAACCTCATGCTGTAGGTTCTTCATATTGCTTGCTTCCTAATGAGTGAGCCGTCTCACAATCCTATGATATGAAGTGCCACTTCCAAGAGGATTTAAGAAACATGGGGTAGGCCCCTACTAATCTGTCACAGAATTTAGCATCTATATTAGTTTTAACTGTTGTGGTGAATTCCCACAAATTAAGTGGCTTAAAAGCAGCACAAACTTATTGTCTTAGAGCTCTGAATGTCAGAAGTCCTAAGATCAGAGTGTCTGCAGAACTGCATTCCTTCTGCAGGCTCTAGCAGGAGAAGCTGTTCCTTGCCTTTTCTAGCTTCTAAGGGCCACTTGCATTGTTTGACACAGGGCACCTGCCTCCATCTTCATGGCCAACAGCCTAGCATCTTCTAATCTCTCTGCTTTTATCTTCATATCTCTAACCACCCTGCCTCCTTCTTTCCCTTACTAGATCCCCGATGATTACACTGGGCCCATCTGCCTAATCCAGGCTAATCTTCCCATCTCAATATTTTTAATTTAATCATACTTGCAAAATTCCTTTTGCATTTAAGGTAACATATTCACAAGTTCTGGGAATTAAGACGTAGACATCTTTTGGATGCTGGGGACACGTTATTCTATCTACCACAGTAACCATATTATAATATCTCTAACACATACTGGTTTTTGGTTAATTATCATTACTTTCTATGTAAGTCAAATAAAATTAACAGTAACTGTAAATGTCAGTTAAGCATTTTTAACTTACCTCTCATGCTTGGTAGGACATAGTGGTTTGAATAGCCACTCCATGTACTATGAAAAACTTTGTAAATTAGATACTTATACCCATAAGATATTGATGTTCTTTATTGTCTCTTTTAACCCTCTAATGTAAAATCTGTACACTATGACAACCTGGTCAAATTATCCTATATTTTGAGACTAACTGACAAGAGATTAAAAAAAAGAAGAAGAAAAATTAGCGGGCATCTTGATTTAAAAGTACATGTAGCCAGGCATGATGATGCTACCTGTAGTCCCATCTAGTTGGGAGGCTGAGGCTAGAGGATCACGTGAGCCCAGGCACTTGAGACTTGAGTCCAGTCTGGGCAACACAGGGAGCCTCCTTCACTAAAAAAAAAAAAAAAAAGAAGAAGAAAAAAGTACATGATATAATTAATCAAAAGTTTTTGTACTTAAGTGTAAAAAAATTATGAAAATGCAATGAGAAAAACATGATTTCACAGAAATATTGTCAAAAGTAAAGTGTTGTGGGTTTTTTTGACCCCATTCTCCCTATGAGTTTTTAAGATAATGCAATTTTAAATTGCATTAACATTAGTAACATAATATTTAGAAAAGGAAATAACATCGATTATTTCAAAAACCATTGTTTTAAAAATATCTATGTGCCAGGCACTATGCTAGGTAATAGAAATACACTCCGTTTTGTACTGTTGCTGTGTCATTTTAAAAAGAATTTTAGGTTTATATAACCTGAGGGATTAATCACATTACAATTACAGGAAAAGAACTAACTTTTAAAGTCAACAAAATCAGTGTACAATAATTTCTCTGAATTATTATATCTGCTTATACAAATGCATTAGCAAAAAATACATTATGGTAGTTTGTTTATTATCATCTAGGTGATGCATATTTAAGGCTATGACCCATCTGCTTTTCAAATATTCAAACATCACCATCAGCACATTTGAAAATAGTTTATTTTTTCTTTCAATTTTTTATGTTCTTTCCAAACATCTCTTACTCTGAACTATAATCACTTATAGAATTTATATTCTGTTATTTTTAAACAAACTTTTAGTATACTGCAATTTTAAACTGTAATAAGAGTGTTGTATTATTTAGTAAGTGAGGTGTTTTAAAAATTAATTTTTAAACCAATCCATATGCACATGATACTCCAAATTGACTCAATCTTTTCCACAAATCAGGTTCAAATCCCCTTTTCATTATTATATTTCAGATATACACATATTCTTAAAATTCTGAATTGACAAATAAGTAGGCAGACACTATTTGAGTTAAAAGTTTTATAACAAAGAAGTAATTAATTCCTGTCCTGCAGCAAAGTAAACATGGGAGAAGATGAGAAAACCTAAGCAGTCACTGGTGAGTGTATCAGGTCACAAAGGTGCATAGGAGATGAAATCAGTCCTGTTTACCATGATCACTTCATGCTGGCATCTGCTGAAATATACATCATCATATTATCCCATATCATTAGCAGGTATTAGCCTATATCACTTGCAGCTGTGTCTTTCTCCTCCCCAACCTTAAAGCTTTTTGTTCCGATTGTTTCATTACTGCAATGCCTCTCTAGAGAGCTTGGAAAAATACTCCATGGCTGTACTCCCAAGCCATACTGGCACAAAAATAATTCTCCCAGGCTTTCTCAGACCCTTTTTGCTCAGACCTGCCACAGGCAACTCCTGCCCACACTGTATATACCATGTTGGATGCAGGGGCCCTTGGGATCTTGCTGTTGCCCAAGTATTTACTTGAACTTCTGTTCAAAATCTCCATCCTCTAACTAGGGTTTCTATTCTTCTTTTCCCTGGCATTTGGCCTGAGATTTCAGCCAGGGAACAGAACCCTCTCTCTCTGGGAATCATGCCAACATCTAACCCTATTGTATCCACCCTCATACAGTCTGGCAAACTTGAATATTATCTGCTGAGACAGAAAACATTGGCTCTGACTGACTTTGCAGCTTAAGCTCCTGAAGCTCATAAACTAAGTACTTACTTTTTTCTGTGTTCTGCCATAATTAATAAGCCTACCTGGAGGAAATGGATACTTCTTGCTCTAGCTGGTTAAGGAGTGGTGAGGAGGGAAGGGAAGGGGGTCATTCCTGGGATAACTGGGAGAGAAATACAAGTGTGAAATCTTATTCTCAAATTCATATAGACAAGGAAAGGGCAAGGATAAGAGTGAATATATGTAGGGGAAACTCTTTAAATGATGTGGAATTCTTGAAATTAGGTGAATTGTGAAGTGAAAATGTCTCTACTTAAGAAAGAAATGACATAAACAATTCACAAGTTTTAATTTGTGAGTGATTCTAAGTAGCATGATGAAATCTCATGCTGTCCCGCTCTGTCCTGCTCTGGAAGTGAATCCTCCCTTTGTTCAGCATCTCTATGCTGTAGAAACCACTCACCTGTTAATCACTTAGTAGCCCTGTGGGTTATCAGATCAACTGTGGTGGTATATCAGTGGTTGGCTTCAGGTATTAGAGAACAAAAACATTCAGGTTAGAATGAAAACTTATCTGCACAGGTGAGAGAGAAATGTGAAAATTAACCAGTTATTTTGTGTATGTGTAATTTTATTGAATTTTTTTCTTGATGTAAGTTAAATTTTAGATTTTTAAAATATTATGAGGAATGAAATGTGCTGAGGCAGAAAATAATTCACACATTTACAGCTTGCTCTTTTCTAGTCACAGTGGTTGAAAGTTTATACCTCAGAAAAAAATGCACAAAAATAATTAAAAATGGATAACTCATCATCACCCTCTCCTTATTGAAGGCTTCAATCCTAAACCTCAGATGTTGCCAAATATTATGAGTGGAACTTCTCATTCTCTCTTTCATTAAATTTATATTTTTGAATTGTTGTTGAAGTAATAACACTGTTTTTGCTAGACAACTGTATTTTTCAAAGCACAATGTAAATATTATTCTATATGGTAATAGGAAAAGAATTCAGGCACCTGCCCATGAAGGTGTTATATTCTCCTGGTGTAAGTAATTAATACTGTGGAGAATTAAACTCTATGAGGGGAGCTGTATATTAACAAGGCAGGAGGCATGCAGTAGTCCCCTTTAGCCCTGGTTTTGCTTTCTGAGATTTCAGTAACCTGCAGTCAACTGTAGTCTGAATATCTTAAATGAAAAATTCCAGAAACAAGCAATTCACAAGTTTTAACTTGTGCATGATTCTAAGTAGCATGATGAAATCTCAGGCCATCCCACTGTGTCCTGCTCTGGATGTGAATGCCCCCTCTGTTCAGCATCTCCACGCTGTAGAAACCACCCCACCTGTTAGTCACTTAGCAGTTCTGTGTGTTACCAGATCAATTGTGGTGGTATCTGAGTGGTTGGCTTCAGGTGATCCTTAATTTACTTAAAAAGGCTCAAAGCCCAAGAGTAGTGATACTGGCAATTCAGATACGTCAAAGAGAAGTCATAAAATATCTTTTAAAAGCTGAAAATTCTCAATAAGGAAAGAAAAATATCATATGCTGAGGTTGCTAAAATCTATGGTAAGAGGGAGTCTCATTCATAACATTGCAAAGAAAGGGAAAAAATCATGCTAGTTTTGCTGTCACACCTCAAGCTCCAAATGTTATGGCCACAGTGCATGATAAGTGTTTAAATAAGATGAAAAAGGCATTAAATTTGTAGGTGGAAGACATGAACAGAAACGTGATGTTTGACTACATGTGTTGCACTAGAAAGCATTGAGCCTATAAGACTTAAGCAACAGATTCCCTTGAAATGAGTGAAGCAGGGCATTTACTGTAAGTAAAGGATACTTGAATTTAGGAATAGGTTTGGACTGAAAAATATAAAATTTACTGGAAAGGTGATATCTGCCAATGAAGAAACTGGCACTACATTTCCAGCAGAGTTGAAGAAACTGTGTAAGGGGAAAGGAAGCCATCCAAAGCAAGTTTCCAACTGCACTGAAACCACACTCTTCTGGAAGATGCCCAATAGAACCTAAATTCATAAAAGTGCAAAGGAGGCACCAGAGAATCACATGAAAGGACAGATCAACTCTGGTACTATGTGGAAACACCGTAGGACATATGATAAAATCATGCACAGTGTAGAAAGTGTTCTCAAAAACAAAAATTAATGGCCCCTGTTATGGCTAAATAATAAGAAAACGTGGGTAACAGCCATCTAGTTTATGAGATGGTTCTACCTCAGCTTCATCCCAGGAGTGAACAAATACTTGGAAGAGGAAAGGCTGACATTTAAAATCTTATTAATAATAGACAATTCACCTGGCCATCCTGAATCTCTTTGTGTTGAAAATGAAAATGTTGAGATTGCCTTTATACCTCTAAATAAAACCTAATTGCTCCAGCCTCTTAACCAAGGCATCATTTGGTTTGTCAAGGTCATATTCACCCACTGGTATTTGATCTTAATAGACCAGCAATTGATGCAGACCATAATCTGGACATAATTTAAGGCTGGATATCATTCACTATTTATGATGAAAAAACATTCATCAAAGTTACAATGGATGAATTAAAACCAGAAGCTGTAAATGCCTGCTGGAATGTTATGGAATGTTATAGAGTAACATCATAGTCATGAATGATTTCAAAGGTTTTCTGGGAATTTATGGAGAAATTAAGAAAATCATTCATGCAGCAGTTGTTTGAGCTGTATGTATATTCTGATTATTAATCCCTTGTCAGATGGATAGTTTTCAAATATTTTATCCCATTCTGTGGGTTGTCTATTCACTCTGTTGTTTCCTTTGCTGTTCAGAAGCTTTTTAACTTGATGTGATGCTATTTGTTCATTTTTGCTTTGGTAGCCTGAGCTTATAAGGTATTACTCAAGAAATATTTGCCCCATTGAATATCCTGGAAAGTTTCCCCAAAGTCTTCTTTTAGTAGTTTCATGGTTTCAGATGTTACATTTAATAAGTCTTTAATCCATTTTGATTTGATTTTTGTATATGGTGAGAGACAGGGGTCTAGTTCCATTTTCCTGCATATGGATATCCAGTTTTCCCAGCACCCTTTACTGAAGAGACTGTCCTTTCCCAAATGTATGTTCTTGGCACCTTTGTTAAAAATGAGTTCACTGTTGGTATATGGATTTGTTTCTGTGTTCTCTATTTTTTTCCATTGGTCTTTTTTTTATGCCAGTAGCATGCTGTTTTGGTTACTATAGCTCTGTAATACAATTTGAAGTCAGGTAATGTGATTCCTGTAGTTTCGTTCTTTTTGCTAAGGACGGCTTTGTCTATTCTGAATATTTTATGGTTCTATATAAGTTTTAGGATTTTTTTTCTATTTCTGTGAAGCACGTTGTTCGTATTTTGTTAGGGATTGCACTGAGTCTGTAGATTGCTTTGGGTGGTATGGACATTATAACAAAATTAATTCTTCCTGTATAAGAACTTGGAATGTTGTTCCATGTTTGCGTGTGTCCACTTCAGTTTCCTGCATCAATGTTTTATTGTTTTCGTTGTAGAGATCTTTCACCTCTTTGTTAAGCTTATTCCTTGGTATTTTATTTTATTTTTAGCTATCATAAATGGGTTACTTTCTTGATTTCTTTTTCAGGTTGTTCATTGCTGACATAAAAATGCTGCTCATTTTTGTATGTTGATATTGTATCCTGCAATTTTACTTAATTTGTTTATCAGTTATAATAGTTTTTGATGGAGTATTTAGGTTTATCCAATAAGATTACATAATCTATAAACAAGGATAATTTAACTTCTTCCTTTCCAATTTAGATGCCCTTTATTTGCTTTTTTTGGTCTGATTGCTGTAGCTAAGACGTCCAGTACTATGTTGAATAACAGTGATGAAAGTGAGTATCCTTGTCATGTTCCAGATCTAAGAGGAAAGGCTTTCAGTTTTTCCTCATCCAGTATGACACTAGATATGGGTCTGCATATATGGCTTTTATTGTGTTCCTTCTATATCCATGTTTTGAGGGTTTTTGTCATGAAGGGATGTTGAATTTTATGAAATGCTTTTCAGCATCACTTGAAATGATCATACAGTTTCTGTCCTTCATTCTATCAATATGATATGTCAAAATGATTGATTTGTGTATCTGGAACCATTCTTGCATCTCTGGGATAAATCTGACTTGGTCCTGATGAACGATCTTTTTAATGTAATGTTGAATTTGGTTTGCTAATATTTTGTTGAGAATTTTTACATCAATATTCATCAGGCATACTGGCCTGTAGTTTTCTTGTTTTGATATACCTTTGCCTGATTTTGGTATCAGGCTAATATTGACCTTGTAGAATGAGTTTGGAAGTATTCCCCCCTCCTTTATTTTTTAGAATAGTTTTGAGTAGACTTGGTATTAGTTCTTACTTAAGTCTTCAGTAAAATTCTACAGTGAAGCCATCAGTTCCCAGAACTTTCTTTGCTGAGAGACATTTTGTTAGGGCTTCAATCTTATTACTTGTTATTGATCTGTTCAGGTTTTGGGCTTCTTCATGGTTCAATCTTGGTAGGTTATGTGTGTCTAGGAATTTATTCATTTATTCTAGGTTTTCCAATCTATTGAGATATAGTTGCTCATAGTACCCTCTAATGATCTTTAAAATTTCTGTGGTATGAGTTGTAATGTCTCCTTTTTCTTCTCTGATTTTTTTTTTTTTGAAACAGAGTCTTGCTCTGTTGCCCAGGCTGGAGTGCAGTGGTGTGATCTCAGTTCACTGCAAGCTCCGCCTCCCAGGTTCACACCATTCTGCTGCCTCAGCCTCCTGAGTAGCTGGGACTATGGGCACCCGTCACCATGCCCAGCTAATTTTTTGTATGTTTAGTAGAGATGGGGTTTCACCATGTTAGCCAAGATGGTCTCGATCACCTGACCTCATGATCTGTCCACTGTGGCCTCCCAAAGTGCTGGGATTACAGGCATGAGCCACCGCACCTGGCCTTTCTTCTCTGATTTTATTTATTTCAGGCTTCTCTCTTTTTTACTTAGTCTGGCTATAGGCTTGTCAATTTGGTTTATTGTTTTTAAGAAACAATTTTTTATTTTGTGGATTATTTTGTCTTATTTTCATTTCAATTTTAATTCTGCTCTGATCTTTGTGATTTCTTTTCTTCCATTAATTTCAGGTTTGGTTTTCTCTTGCTTTTCCTTTTCTTTAAGATGCACTTCTAAGTTATTTATGTAACTTTTTTTTTCTATAGGTGCTTATAGGTATAAACTTCCCTTTTAGTAGTGCTTTCACTATATACCAAAGATTTTGATATGTTATGTTTCCATTATCATTTGTTTCAAGAAAATTTTTAATTTTCTTCTTAACTTTTTCATTGACCCACTGGGCATTTAGGAGCATATTGCTCAATTTCCATGTGTTTGTATAGTTTCCAAAATTCCTCGTTATTGATTCTAGTTTTATTCCATTATGGTCAGAGAAGATACTTCATATATTCTCAATTTTTTTGAATTTCTTAAGACTTGTTTTGTGTGCTACCATATGATCAATCCTTGAGAATGATCCATGTGCTGAGGGGAAGAATGTATATTTTGAAGCTGTTGGATTAAATGTTCTGTAAATATCTATTAGGTACATTTGATCTACAGTGCATATTAAGTCCAGTGTTTGTTGCTTTTGTGTCTGGAAGATCTGTCCAATACTGAAAGTAGGATGTTAAAGTAGCCAGCTATTATCTTCTTCTGATCCATCTCTCTTTAGCTGTAATAATATTTGCTTTATATATATGGGTTCTTCAGTGTTGGGTGAAGATATATTTACAATCGTTATATCCTCTTGCTGAATTGACCCCTTTATTATTATATAATGGCATTCTTTGTCTCTTTATCCAGTTTTTGTCTTGAAATATATTTTATCTTATGTAAGTATAGCTACTTTTTCTCTTTTTTAATTTCCATTTTCATGGAATATCTTTTTCCATCTCTTCATTTTCAGTCTGTGTGTGTCTTTATAGGTGAAATATGTTTCTTATAGGAACAGATCATTGGGTCTTTCTTTTTAATCCATTCAGCCATTTTGTGTCTTTTGATTGGAGAGTTTAGTCCATTTACATTTAATGTTATTATTGAAGAGTAAAAACTTACTCCTGGCTGGGCGTGGCGGCTCACACCTGTAATCTCAGCACTTATGAGGCTGAGGTAGGTGGATCTCAAGGTCAGGAGATCAAGACCATCCTGGCTAACACGGTGAAAATCCATCTCTACTAAAAATACAAAAAACTTGACAGGCATCATGGCATGTGCCTGTAGTCCCAGCTACTCAGGAGGCTGAGGCAGGAGAATCGCTTGAACCCAGGAGGTGGAGGTTGCAGTGAGCCGAGATCGCGCCACTGCACTCCAGCCTGGGCGATAGAGTAAGACTCTGTCACAAAAAACAAACAAACAAACAAAAAACCTACTCCTGCCATTTTGTTATTTGTTTTCTGCTTGTTTTATGGTCGTCTCTTCTTCTTCTTCTTTTTTTTTTTTACTTCCTTTCTTTTAGTGAAGGGGATTTTCTTATGTTTTAATTTCATGTTTTTTTATTTTTTCTGTATCTGTTGTATGTTTTTTATTTGAGGTAACCATGAGGCTTGCAAATAATATCTTATAACCCATTATATTAAACTAATGACAACACTGATTCCGTAAGCAAAAAACACGAAGAAAACTAATAAAAATTCTACACTTTAACTTTGTCTCCACACTTTTAATGTTTTATTCTTTCGGTTTACATCTTATTTTACTGTCTAAGGCTTGAAAATTTGTAGTTGTTATTTTTGATTAGTTCATTGTTTATCCTTCCTACTCAAGGAATGAGTAGTTTACACACCATTACTATAGTGCTATAATATTGTATGTTTTTCTGTGTCCTTACCATTACCAGTAAGTTTTGCACCTTTAGATTATTTCTTACTGCTCATTATTGTATTTTTCTTTCAGATTGAAGAACTCCCTTTAGCAATTTCTGGTAGTACAGGTCTGGTGTTAATGGATTCCCTCAGTTTTTGTTTGTCTAGAAAATCTTTATTTCTCCTTCATGTTTGACATGAAAGCCACAAGACAGAATCCTTTCCACTCTTCACTCCCCTTTCTGCAAGCAAGGAAGTCTCTCCCTATGGCCAACACAACCTCAAGCCCACAATTAATACTGCCTGGCTACTGCTGATGTTCACTCAAGGCCCAAGTGCTCTTCAGTCAGCTCATAGTGAATGCTGCCAGGCTTGGGACTCTCTACTCAGGGCAGTGGGGCTCCCCTCTGTGCTAGGACATGTCCAGAAATGCCATCCAAGAGACAAGGCCTGGAACTGGGGACCCCAAGAGTCTACTTTGTGCTCTACCCCAATGTGGTCAAGCTGGTATCTAAGCTATAAGACAAAGTAGCCTTTATTTTTTCCACTCCTTTTCTCAAGCAGGAGTTTCTCATAGCCACCACAGCTGGGAATTTTCTGGGTCATACCTGAAGCCAGCCCATCTCTGAGTCTCACCAAGACCCACAGCAAGTAGTGCCTGGCTACCACTACTCATTATTCACAGCCCAAGGGCTCTTTAATCAGCAGATGATGAATCCTGCCAGGACTAGGCCCTTCCCTTCAAGGCAGCAAGTTTCCTTCTGGTCAAGGGTGTGTCTAGAAATGTTATCTGAGAGGTAGGGCTTTGAATGTGGGTCTCAGGACTCTGTCCATTGTCCAATCCTACTGTGGCTGAGCTGGTATCCAAGTTACAAGAAAAAGTCCTCTTTACTCTTGCCTCTCTTCTCCTCAAGCATAGGGAAGGAGTCTCTCCTGGAGTTGCAAAGTTGCAAGCTGTGCTGCCTGGGGTTGAGGGAACAGTGGTGCAAGCACTCTCTCGACTGCCCCAGCTGACATCTCATTAGGTCACATGCCCCCCATGTTCACTAGCTCCAAGCCCAGCACCCCACCTGGACCTGGCCAGGAATTGCAGTCCCTGTGGCCTAGATTGCCTTTCAAGTTTATTCAGGGTCCCAGAGCACTTTAGCCCATGGTAGTGAGGCTTGCCGGAACTCAGGTTCCGACTGCTGGGATGGGCGATTCTACTCTGCCTAGGGCTAGCGTAAATAACTTCCTCCACCGGTGCTGGCTGAATTCTGCCTGGTGTTGCTTTCTGCTGTGATGGCGGAACTGAGTTCCAATGCAAAGTCTCACAATCACTGTGCTCTCCCTTCCCTAAATGCACAGATTCTCTCTCTGCCCTATGTGGCCACTGCCACATGGCGGAGGGGTGGCATCAACAATTGAAGACTGTCTTTCCTACCCCATTCAGTGCCTCTGTCAGTGGATATAAGTTAAAATCAGGTACTGTGACCACTCACCTGATTTTTGCTTCTTATGAAGGTGCTTTATTATGTAGATAGTTTTTCAATTTGGTGTTCCTGCAGGGAGGATGATCAGTGAATGGTTCTATTTGACCATCTTGCTCCACCTCCTCTTCTCATTTTCACTCTTAATAAGTCACTATTGAAGAGAATACCAAGACCAACAAGTTTTACCCTTCAAGCGAAGGTCAATTACACAAACTTTACTGTTCCTTATGAATGGAAGAGGGTAAAATCATCATTATCATTATCACTGCTACCACTTAAGATAGGCTTAGGAAATTAAACAAATTGGGTCTTCATTACGTTTTTTGTTTTGTTTTGTTTTTTTGGAGTTAGAGATTCTTACCCTGTATCTTGCCACTTACACTCCAGTGAACTATTCCATCAGCATGGCGCTTCAAGGAGTATTTTTCTAAATTTCTTTCTTTTTTTTTGAGTTTGCTCTTGTTGCCCAGGCTGGAGTGCAATGGCATGATCTCGGCTCACCGCAACCTCCACCTCCTAGGTTCAAGTGATTCTCCTGTCTCAACCTCCCCCGAGTAGCTGGGATTACAGGCATGCACCACCACACCCAGCTGATTTTGTATTTTTAGTAGAGACAGGGTTTCTCCATGTTGGTCAGGCTGGTCTCAAACTCCTGACCTCAGGTGATCCACCCGCCTCAGCCTCCCAAAGTGCTGGGATTACAGGCATGAGCCACTGCGCCCGGCCTCTAAATTTCTTATGTCCAACTCATTTCTTCTCATGTCCCTCCTTCAACCCTTTCCCAACTGAGCACATTCCCTCTCCCTGGAGTCTAAGTAAAAGTAAATAAATGTTATATATGCTATTCATTTCTGTATTAACTTGCTGATTATTTGATATATAATTTAGATAGGTTTGTGATGAACAATACTGAGGAATATAATTTGTTTTGTTAATTATGCTCATTGCTATAATATATTGATTAATAACATTTGGGAACTCATCCCTTCAGGAACGTTATTCTCCACTAAAATCACATTTTTATGGGAAAGCAAATGTATCTTTCATTATTTCTACTGCTATAAAGTCAATTATTGTCCAAATAAGTCAATGGCTGTAAATTTAAGTATTATTCTTCTAAATTAATGTGTCCATTGATTCATTCAATTGAAATGACATTGTACAATATAACCCTGAAATTAGAAAAATGGGCATCTCTGTTTTTGTAAAATGAAGGCTAAAAACAATTTTTATGTTCTGTAGATAAATGAAACAAACTTTTTTTGTTGAGCGTATTCAGGGCCTTTATATTTTTTGTTAATTTCATCTTTACAACATTTTTTAAGGTAGGTTTATAATCTGTATTTTACAAATGAAAAAAACAAGGCTCAGAGAGGTGACTTGCTAAGGTCACCCAGCTAGTAAAAAGGCAAAGCTGTGATGACACAGAACAGAGAAATCTTGACTCCAGTTTCACTTCATTTATGAAGTCTATGACTTGAAACAACTTATGAGTTTAAATAGGAACTCATAATTGCTAGACATCAGATAAAGTCAAGGTGCCAGTGAATCTAATTTTCAGAAATTATTAATTAAAGCAAATATTTGCTACAGTGTTAAACTTATGCACCTGCAATGTGGGCCAGTAGACAGATGGCACTGTTTGACCAGAAACATTTTTAAAAAGTAAAAAAAAAAAATCACTGTCAATAATAATCAAGAACAATTGCTATTATTTATTTTATTTAGTTTATAGAATATCTTCAAATGATATCTGTCCTACATGAAGACAATACATTTTCCAAAATTGCCCAATATATAAGTAGATAAAATTAAAATTCCAATTATAGAGATAAGCTTACTCAGTAACATATATTTTTTAAAAAAAGATCTAACTTTAGCCAATTTAATTTGTTTAATTTAGCCTCCTAGCCTTCATTTGGAGCTGATAACTTTAAATCAAAATCATATACATTGAACAAATACTTGAATATTGATATGCAGAACATTTATGCAGAATCACTAAATACTTACTATACCCTTGAACCATGGGGTGAGGATGACCAAGTAAAAGAACATCCATGGATTGAGAGGCTGCAGATATACAAAGACAGAAGGCTGGAATGACCCACAGGGTAATGATTTAGAGTTGGAGTCCTAAATATGAACTGATGTTTAGCTTAATATAAATATATATGATTACACAAAGAAATATTCATAGATATGTGTATATACATAGGTTAATATACCAGGTATATTTCCTTGTTCTGTCAGCCAGCTGTCAGGGCCTAGAAGCAACAAAACACCAGTAACAACCCAGTCCTTACATTCTTCTATTCTCCAATAAAAGGAAACAGGAATGGCTGATGGCTGGACTGGGGCAAGTAGTAAGCAAGGTGAGCCTAGAGTATCTCGTAGTGCCAGAAAGTAAACCTGAAAACCTTAGAGAAGGGGATTGATTTATTGAACTGTCATATAAACATTTATTAACTGTTCACCCTCTGAAATCATGTTCATACTACAGTACATGAAACAGATTTATAAGATTTTTTTTGGAGGTGGGGAATTTTTTAAAAATAAACTTTTTATTTTAGGATACTTTTATATTTACAGGAAAATTGGGCCATATAGAGAGCAGCCATATATATGTCCAACACCCATTTTCCCCTATTATTATGTCTTAAATTAGTGTGATATATTTGTTAAAATTAATGAGAAATATTAATATATTATTATTAACCAAGGTTCTTACTTTTATTCAATTTTCCTTAGTTTTTACCTAATGTCCTTTTCTGTTCCAGAACCATGTTCAGGACATCATATTACATTTAGTTATCATTTTTCATTTTTACTGACCTTGGTAGTTTTCAGGAGTGCTGGTCAGGTATTTTGTAGAATGTTCTCAATTTGGATTTGTCTGATGTTTTATCACAATAAGAGTTGGCTTATCTATGGGTTACGCACAGTCTTTTTTTAGTCCAGTGTCGATAAGTAACATTTTCTATAAAGCATGTAAGAAACCTGATTTATTACTTTGTTCTTTTATATAATATATATAGAACTTCCCCCCATTTTCTGGAAAACAGTTGATTTCTTTTAATGCAAACTCCATTTGATCCGAATGTCTTTTTATGCTTTCATATAGCACACAATTAGATCATAATAGCTTAAAATAATGTTCTCATTTTTTATTTAAATAGGCTGTGAAGGTAAGGAAATAGAAAAATCAGATACTTTGATGTTGATAAAAGGCATTTGATCATTTATAGACTTTCTTTATAAGTATAATAGTTTGGCTTGCTTATTAATCATCAAAATATTTGACTGATGCAAATTTATGAAAATAGGTTTCATCATTATCTTTTATTTAAGCCAGTTAGATCACATTTCTCCCTTACTGGGTTTCTGTGGTAACATCAAAAAAGAAGTGCCTTTTTGTTTACTAAACTCAGTCTAACAGGAATTTGTTCATTACACTTTGGCATTTTTGGCATAAGCTTACATGTATCATCTTTAATATTTTTAGCTTGTTTGAACAAGAATATAATATATGGTCTGAATACTGCAACTCTTAATATATTGATAATTTAATTTTCCACAATTTTTAAAACCTGTGTCTATAGAAAATGGCGTATTTTTGGCTCAGACATCCACTCATAAGTAATAGTACATTCAATAAATAGCGCAAAGTAGAGTCATGGTGAAAAAGATAGCACATGAACTCCCTGATTATTTGCATTCCCAATCTCTGTTAGCATAACATTATTATACGACCTGCCCTTCACTGGTATGTGTCCCGTGTTCTCATCCATCATGCACACTGTGGCTGATGAAATCTCTTGGCTGCTCCTCCCATTCCAGCCCTAATTTACACAGAGAAAGAGGCAAAATATCTGTCAATTCTAAGAGATCCACCTTGTGCATCACACTAGAAGTCCCAAGAAGTACAACTGATTGATAGATGATCCTCTGAGTATCTATGTGTAAAGATTCCTCTGGCAATTTTTCCTGTATGTTAAGAATTAAGCTACTCTCTAGGGAATTTAAATTTTACTTCTAACCACAATTAATCTAATTTCCCTTTTAAAAACCAAGAGAACAATACTTAATTTCAGGCAATTTTGGCCTCCTTTCTCCTACAATTTCCATGGGCATTAGGTCTAAGTTCTTGAGAGTGTACTAAAGACATTTGATGAAAGATAGCCTTGGGTTACCAGCCATGCAACAGTCTCTGAAACGGTCATTGTTTTATTTGGTTCCCAAAGATCCATGCAGTTAGCCACTGAAATGCTCCTCATTCCCAGCCTCCAGACCTCTTGAAGTCCAACGGCTTTCTCACTAATTTCCTGCCAACATTGGAGTCGTAGTATTCATTTTGTTTCTGAAATATTTTTATCACTTCTCACGTCTCTCCTTTGCTAAGGCCAGAAAAATTCTTCTCTAGATGGAAGTCCCATTCTTCTTGAACTCCTCTTTTCTACATTCTCCTAAGGATATTACTTATTTTAAAAATTAAAATTGGAAAGTCACCTTTCCCCTCTGTTTTTTGGTCCTGACAACTTAGATTTTGGCAGGAATTCCATTTCTCATATTCTCCTCCTCTCCCTCATCTTCACACTGCTTAAAGGAGCATTTGGGGAAGCCAACCAGTATTTCTTACTTTTGCTGCCGCCTCCCTTAAGAACTGCACAATAACCCCTTTTTGACTGAAGAGCCTGGGTCCCCATGAAGAAGGATCCTGTAATACTTGGTCAATTAAATAGAGTAGTAAATTCCTATTCTCCTCAGAGACCTATGGCCATTTACTTAGGGGAAAAGCATACCCAAAGCTTTTTAGGACTGTTGAATCAAAGGCTGATTTTAATGTACTGAGAACTGCAGTAAATCGTGGCCCATGTGTTGGAATAGGAGTAAGTAAGATTCAGCAGTTAAAGTGATTATTGACTTCCCAGTGGCTCAGATGGGTTCACAGACATACCCTGTGGTCATTTCCCCAGTTCTAAAACATACAATAGGAATGAATACACCAAGCAAGTGGCACAAACCATATAGTGCTTTCTTCACCTAAAGAGTAAGATCAATAGTAGCAGGAAAATACAAGTAGAAGCCCTTGAATTCTGTGTCTTCAGCCTAAGATAGACAACAAAATTAAAAATGACTTTTACATCCCTGGAGGAATGACGGAGGTTTGTACCACCCCTACAGACTTAAAGGTTGCAGAGGTAGTAGTCTCCATCACATCCCCAAACAATTTATCAGTTTGGTGCCTGCATAAAGTAGAGGGATCATAGTGGATGACAGTAGCTTACTTGTAGTTTTGATGTATGTATCATCCTACAGAATAATCCAAAAAAGTGTCAACTATGTTGGAAGCCTTGCTTCCATTTGTTACATTAACTTTAGAAGGTAGAAGTTTCAATCTTTATAGAAATTCTACAAAGATTCAAGGGCCTGACATATCAGTGAAGTTTTTAGAGGTACAGAAGCCCAGTTGTAAGGAATGTCCTATTGAGATATTCTCTCCAAAGTAAAGGACAAGTATTATTTCTTGTACCTCTTACCACTAAGAAAATAGTAAAACATGTGGGAAGTCTCCTAGGGTTTTGGGAGCAATTGCACAATTTCACACTGGTGAATATTGCTTTGACCTATTTATCAAGTAGTACAAAAGACTTTTGGGTTTTGTATGGGTCCTAGAGGAAAAAAAGGGTTTTGCAGCAGATGTAGGCCAAAGTCTGAGCAGCCGTAAAGCTGGCATCATATCCACAATATCTTATGATTCAACATATATCTTTAATGCCTGAAGTTTTCCATTTAACAATATATTTGGGAGATCCTTCCAAATTAATATACAGAGAGCTGCTTAATTTTTATTGCAGTTTTGATGCATGTATCATAATTTATTTAAGCAGCCACTATTAATGCACTCTTGGATTGTTTCCAAGATTGTGCTATTACACATCATGCTCGAATTAATGACCTTGTAAATATTTCTTCTTTTATAAATACAGATGCATCTGTTGAATACATTCCCAGAAATGAGAATGCTGGGTCAAAGACACATGGTATTATAGTGTTGATAGATATTGCTGAACTGACTTCCATACAGTTATATAATTTTATGTTCCCATGAGCAATATATGAGACCATCTGATTCCCCATTTCCTTGATAAGTGTAATTTCAATAAGTATTTCTCTTACAATAAATAAAGTTGGACTTTTTTACACCCCTAGGGATTCTTTTGTCTATGTTCATGTCTTTTGCCCATTTTTCTACAGTGTTACTTATCTTTTACTAAACAAGACCGAAGAGATTTCCATTTAAGCAATTACCCCTTATCTGTGATGTTAATTGCAGATATTTCCCCTAGTTTTTCATTTGTCATTTGACTTTATTTCTGTCATAGTTCCCATTTGGTTGTGTTGCTCTAGCGAGGTTAATGAGTGATCCAAAAAGCTGCTAGTCTTAAGTGGGTCCCAGAGCAAGAGAAGGCTCTGCAACAAGTCTAGGCTTCTGTGCAAGCTGCTCTGCCAGCAGATCATTGTGCCTTATGATCCAGTATGTCCAGTGATACTTGATTTATCAGGGGCATGTAGGGATGCTATTTGGAGCCTTTGGCAGGTCCCTATGGTTGAATTACAGGCCTGCTGCTAAGTGTTAGAAAATGCACACTTGATCATTGGCCACCAAGTTACAATGTGACCTGAGCTGCCTATCATGAACAAGGTGTTATCTGGCCCATCAAGCCATATGGGCAACCACAGCAGCACTCCGTCATTAAATAGAAGTAATATATAGGTTATCAGGCCCTTAGCAAACTCTGAACACACAAGTAATTTGTATGAATAAATAGCCTGAATGTACATGGTCCCGACTCCTGCTACACTGCCTTCTCTCTCCCACTCTGCACTCTCAGCTTCATGTATAGTTACCTATGATTAGTTGACAGAGGAAGTGAAAACGTCAGCCTGGCTTACAGATGGTTCGGCAAGTAATACCCAAAATTGGATATCTGCAATTTAGGGGCTGTACTCAATGGTTTTGCTCGATGGTCAAGGACTAAGAAATATTATTGGAAAATTGATGACAAAGAAATTTAAAAAGAGGTGTACAGATGGATCATTCTGAATGGTCAAGAAGCCATTCTGAATGGTCAATAAACATTCTGAATGGTCAAGATGTTTGTGTTCTATGTAAATGCTTATCAGGGGTAACTTCAGCAGAGGAGTATTTTTAATAATCAAATGGATATAATGACCTGATCTCTGGCCTACCAGTCATCCTCCTTCCCAGCCACTCATTCTCATAAACAAAGTGGCCATGGTTGCAGGGATAACAATTATGTATGGGATAAGCAATATAAACTTCTGTTTACTGAGGCCCACCTGGCTACAGCCACCACTGAGTGCCCAATCTGCCAGAAGCAGAGACCAACACTGAGGCCCAACATGGCACTATTCCCCAGGCTGATTAGCCAGCTACCTGGTCACAAGCTGATTACATTAGTTCACTTCTTTCAAGGAAGGGGTAGCATTTTGTCCTTACTGGAATAGATACTCTCAATACAGATTGTCTTCCCTACATGCAATGCTTCTGCCAAAATTACCATCTGTTTACTTATAGAATGCCTTATCTATCATCATGGTATTCCACAAAGTATTGCTTTGACCAAGAAACTCACTTCACAGACAAACAAGCATGGCAAAAGCCCTAGGCTCATGGAATTCACTGTTCTTATCATGTTCCTCACCATCCTGAAGCAGCTGGATTGATAGGACAGTGGAATATCCATTTGAAGGAATAGTGATAGTGCCAGCTAGGTGACAATACTTTGCAGGACTGGGGCAGAGTTCTCCAGAAAGTTGTATATTATCTAAGTCAGTGTACAATATCTTTCTCTCATAGCTGGGATTCATGAATCAGGAACCAACGAATGGAAATGAGAGTGGCACCACTCATCATTACCACAGTGACCTACTAGCAATTTTTTTGCTTCCTGTTCCCACAATTTTACGTTCTGCTGGCCAAGAGGTCTTAGCTCCAGAAGGAGTGCTTCCATCAGGAGGTATCACAATAATTGCATTAAACTGGAAGTTAAGACTGCTACCTGGCCACTTGGGCTCCTCATGCCTTTGAGTCAACAGACCAAGAAGGGAGTTATGGTGTTGGCTGAATACATGTTTTTTATTTTTGTGTGTGTGTATGTGTGTGTGTAATATCTTTTGTTTTCTTTCCTCTATTTTTCTCATATAATATATAAGATGTATTGACTTTATAAATATATATGTTTATATATATTAACATACATATGTTAATTATACAGTAATTAAATTATGGGAGATAATAAAGAGTAAATATCACTCAAATACTTTATCTTCTCTCCTGGGAAAGGGGTCTGTGCTTTTTCTGTTGTATGCAGGATAGCTACATCATGTCAAGTGGTACGATGACCTTGTTATTTTATTTACTTGAAAATTAGGTATGGGTTAAGGAGTGGGTTTAGGTGCCAAGTTAATAAAAGGTAAACTTGTGTTGGTTAATTTTACGTGTCAACTTGACTGGGCTAACGAATATCTAGATAACTGGCAAAACATTATAACTGGGTGTGCTATGATAATGTTTCTAGAAGAAATTAGCATTTGAATTAGTAGACAGAGTAAAGAGTATCAGCCCTCACTAATGAGGGTGGGCATCCATCAATCCATTGTGAGTCCAAGTAGAAAAAAAAGATGAAGGAAGGGCAAATTTCTCTCTTTCTTCTTGAGGCAGGACATCTGTTTTCTCCTTTTGTATATTATAGCTTCTGGTTCTGAAACCTTAGGATTCCTGGACTTAGAACAGCACCTCCAAACTCCCACTCCTGGAGTACTTAGGCCTTCAGCCTTGGACTGGGAGTTACAACATTGGCTCCTCTGGGTCTCAGGCTTTCTGAGTCAGGCTGAATTGCATCATTGGCTTTCCTTGTTCTCCACCTGGCAGATGGCATGCTGTGGGACTTTTCAGCCTCCATAATCACATGACCCCATTTCTATACTAAGTTTCCTATTTATCTGTTTCTCTCTCTCTCTCTCTCTCCCTCTCTCCCTCTCTCCTATTGGTTCCATTTCTCTGGAGAACCCTGATCAATACAATGTGATTTCAATCTTCTTAAATTGGCTAACACTTGTTTTGGGACATAACATGTGATCTATCCTGGAGAGTGTTTCATATACACTTGAGAAGAATGTATATTTTCCTGTTGAGTGAAAGATCTATGTATGTCTGTCAGGCCCATTTGGTTTCTATGTATGTCTGTCAGGCCCATTTGTAGTGTTGTTCTGCTGCTTCTTTGTTAATTGTTTCTCCTGGATGTTCTGTCCTTTGTTGAAAATGGGGTAACTGAAATATTCTATTATTGTATTGCTATCAATTTCTCCTTTTAGATCTGTTAGTATTTCTTTATATAGTTGGGTGTTCTGATGTTGGGTGCATAGATATTTACAATCGCTGTATTTTCCTGTTGAATTTACGCTTTTATCGTTATATAATGACATTGTTTGTCTCTAGGGACAGTTTCAACTTCAAATCTACTTGTCTGATAAACATATAGCCACTCCTGCATTCTTTTGGTTATCATTTGCATGGAATATCTTTTATTTCTTTACTTTCGTTTTGTCTTTCAATTTAAAGTGAATTTCTTGTAGAGAACATATAATTTGAACTTGCTTTTCATCCATTCAGCCACTCTATATCTTTTGATTGGGAAGTTTAATCCAATTACATTTAAAGTAATAAATGACAGGGAAGGATTTACTACTGGCATTTTGTGAACTCTTTTTGGTTTGTCTTGCAATTATTCAATTTGTTTTTTCTCTTATTGTCTTTGTGTTTTATTGCTTTTTTGTATTTATAAGTTTTAATTCTTCCTTTTCCCTTGTGTAATGTCTACAGTTTTTTTATGGTTAACATGGAGGTTACATGTGATATCTTTTAGTTATAACAGTCTAAGCAGATAACAGCTTCACCTGCATGCAGGAAGTGTACACTTTTACTTCTTCTGACCCCCAAAAATGCTATTGATATCACAATTTACATCCATTTATATTGTGCACCCATTAACATAATTTAGTTATATTTTTAATACTTGTTTTTAAACTTTTATACTAGAATTAAAAGCAATTTACCCACCATCATTATAGTAATATTATCTATATATTTATCTTTGCCAATGAGTTTCACACTTTCCTATGCTCTTGTGTTGCTGTTTAGTGTCCTTTCATTTCAACTTGAAGAACTTTGTTTAGTATTTCTTGTAAGGTAAGTCTAGTGGTGATAAACTTCCTCATCTTTTGTTTGTCTGCAAAAGTCTTTATCTCCTCATTTTTGAAGGACAGGTTTTCCACATATAGTATTCTTGGTTGGCAGTTTTCTTCCTTCAGTACTTTGAATATATTCTTCCACTCTCTTTTGGTCTGCAAAGTTTCTACTGGGAATAAAAAACCACTCATTGTTTTATTGGGGTTTCCTTGTACATAATAAGTCACTTTTCTTCTTGCTGCTTTCAGAATTCTTTGTTTTTAACTTTGAAAATTTGATTATAATGTGTCTTGGTGTGACGCTCTTTGGTGTCATCTTATTTCGTGTTTTGTCTCGGGTCTTCCTGGATATGGATGTTTATTTCTGTACCCAGTTTTGGGAGGTTTTCAGCCACTATTCATTTGAATGCACTTTTTCTCCTTTTCTTCATCTTCTTCTAAGAGTCTCATAATAAATATATTGTTTGGCTTGATCGTGTCCCATAAGTTCCTGAAGCTATCCTCACTTTTTTATTCTTTTTCTTTTTGCACCTATAACAGGATGATTTCTATGACCTGTATGTATTTGAGTTCACTGATCCTTTCTTCTGCTTGATATAGTAAGCTATTGAATCCTTCTATTAAAACTTTCAGTGCGGTTATATTTTTTAGCTCTATGATTTCTGTTTGGTATTTCTAAATATTTTCTACTTCTATCACCTGGAAAAGTTGTGGTGCTGGATGTGTGGCCCAGTTTTTTCTCTCCTGAGAGAGGAGCTGAAAGTGGGAGTTTATTGCTGGCTGGCTCTGCACTGAGCTGAGAAAGGGAGCTGTGACAAATGCCTGCATGCTCATTCAGATTGCATGCACTTTCAAAACGTTGCTTTGCTCTCTGTCTCCCCACCAGCATAGCAAATGCTGGGCCCTATCAGCTCACAAAGACAGGCAGATTAGAGGCCAGTCCCTCAGATAGCAGCCAGAAAAGTTGGGTGGGTGGTATAGATGTATGGTCCAACTATTTCCAGGGAGAAGCTGGAGGCTTGTTTTTATTGCTGAATGAAGCTAGAAAAGAGAAGCCAAGGAAGTGAGCACATGCCCAGTCAAGTGCCCAGAGGACTAGTGATTCCCTGCCCTCTCAGCTCCCAGATGAAAGTTAGAAGCCAGATGCTCAGACAGCATCTGGAAAAGTTGGAACTTTAGAGGTAGAGTCTACCTTTCCAGACAGGAGCTGAAAGCTGGGCTTTATTGCCTGCTAAGTCTGCACTGAGCTGGAGAAAGAGGTGTGGGAAGTGCTTGCACACCTGTTTGAAACTGCCATTTTGTTCTCTGTGGTCCTGGGGAGGTAGTGAATACTTGAGTGTTATTCACTCATTCCCCGTCAGCTTCCTGGGTTAGTCAAGTCAGGGGCTAGTACCTCAGGACCCTTCACTCCTCGGGGCAAAGCTGGGAAATGGGAGTTCCTTCCAGATTTTATGGCACTGTGTTAGGGGTAGGGTTAATGGTGAGACTATTTCAGTTTTTCTTACCCAATTTGATGTATTTTCTAAGTTGTCTAGTGTGCAGAAGTCCCTCAAGTAGTTGCTGGATCTTTCTTGGAGGGTATTGATCCAAGTGTAACTGTTTATTTGGTATATCTGTGGGTAGGGAGAGAGTCCTGAGCCTCATATTCTGCCATCCTGCTGACATTTAGAAATGACTCTTAAGAGGGGGAGAGGGCCGGGCGCGGTGGCTCACGCCTGTAATCCCAGCACTTTGGGAGGCCGAGGCGGGCGGATCACGAGGTCAGGAGATCGAGACCATCCCGGCTAAAACGGTGAAACCCTGTCTCTACTAAAACTACAAAAAATAGCCGGGCGTAGTGGCGGGCGCCTGTAGTCCTAGCTACTTGGGAGGCTGAGGCAGGAGAATGGCGTGAACCCGGGAGGCGGAGCTTGCAGTGAGCCGAGATCCCGCCACTGCACTCCAGCCTGGGCGACAGAGCGAGACTCCGTCTCAAAAAAAAAAAAAAAAAAAAGAGGGGGAGAGAAGATGAGTACTGAAACATAAATTATGAGCATGCCTTTTGATAACAAAAAGACATTCATTTCATGGCAAAAAGAATAAAGATAATTGGCATATATATGTAAGTTGTTTAGGATATTATGAAAATCATGGTGTCCCCATCTGATGACTTGTATATTCTCAATTAAGAACAAAGAGAGCCATCAGCTGAACATAGTGGGGTAGGTGGGAAATGAGATTGGAAAAGCATGGGAAAGTATGTTATAGTCAAAGTGGAAAAAACCTGAGATGATTAGATGGAGATTGGTATGGGCTGATGACATGAATTAGGGTGAGAAGAAAGCTGTAGACCCTTTGATGAGCTTGTCAGAAAATGAGGTGTAAGGACCAAGAGGCGAGTACGTTGCAGCAGAATGGCAGAGCACTCATAGGTGCAGAAAGCATAACAGTCTAGAAGGGACCATGAGGTACAAGGAACACACCACCTCTTGACAGCAATATATGGTGTATGAGTGTTAGAGCCCCCACTTTAGTGGACCAAAAGTTAAATGGTATCCTCCAGGGACAGCAAGGCTTCTCTTTTTTTTCTTTTTTTTTTTTTTTTGTTTTTGAGACCGAGTTTCAGTCTTGTTGCCCAGGCTGGATTGCAATGGCGTGATCCTGACTCATTGCAACTTCCTTCTCCTGGGTTCCAGTGATTCTCCTGCCTCAGCCTCCCAAGTAGCTGGGATTACAGGCAGCTGCTACCATGCCCGGCTAATTTTTTTTTGTTGTTGTTGTAGTTTTAGTAGAGACAGGGCTTCACCATGTTGGCCAGGCTGATCTCAAACGCCTGACCTCCAGTGATCTGCCTGCCTCAGCTTCCCAAAGTGCTGGGATTACAAGTGTGAGCCACCGTGCCCGGCCAGAAAGTTTTCTAATAAGACAAATAGTTGGAAGGATGGCTTTGGGAATACACGAAAGATTTATAAGGAATCTGATGTGCTTAGTTACGTCTGGGGTTGCAAGAGGGCCCAGAGGAAAATCTGGGAGGCAGAGACAGTTAGAGAATGAGAATAAAGAAGTAAAATATTACACATGACAAGAATTCAAAATCCTTGTTAAAAATACAAGTTCCCGAGGCTTACGCTCAGAGTTTCTGATTTAGTACATCTGGGTGACAATCAGGAATATGCATTTTTAAAAATATCACAAAAGTTTGGTTTTGCACTCTAGCCTTGAGAAACATTTATGTATTGTTGGATGCTGGGGAGAAAGGTAATAAAGACTTCATGATTTTTACGGGGGAGGAAGAGCTATCACTGTTTACAAGGTTAGGTGTGGTGAACTGAGAAACAGTTATTCATTCACATTTTCAACGCTTTCACCTCATTGTTGAAATGTGACATAGTACACAGATAGTAATCATGTCGATATGATTCTATCTCTAAAAGGACTACAGTCAAATAGTTTACGTAGATTAAATGTCAAGCTACATTAAATCAAGAAACCAATATTCTGAATAAGGAAAAGCACTGCAAGAAGTTCATAAAATAAACTCCACTCACAGTTTTAGTGCTGCATTTTAACTTTGATTTTAATTTACTGAAGACATTACTCCAAGTTTCTTTGTATAAAAGCCACAGTTCCAGTAATAAATCCCTTCACTAGTAAAACAGCAACAGATATAACAGGACCTCAAAGAAAGATCATCTTGGATGTGGTTCAAACTTGGCTTTTGTTATACATGTTAAAATTTACATACAAATTTACTGCAATTTGGGGAGAATTAATAGCTAGAGTATTTTTCCTCATAAATTAACTCTTATGTATAAGATTTGTTAAAAATATCAGATGTTTTCTACTCTCCTTTTTAATGGTCTTAAAATAATTCATCTAAGTATGTCAAAAAGTGGTGAAATCTGTAGTAAAATGAAATATAGCAACAGAAATAATATCAACCTAATATTTATTTCTACTGAGAAATGGTTGAGTATCTTAAATTCGCTCCTATTAATACCACTTAATCAATTTCTTGCTTTCTGCCTTATATTTTTCTTAAAGAAAGCAATTAACTTTTCTAATTGTCTTAAAAGAACACATAAGCAGAATACAGCAATTTTTAAATTCAAATAATACAAGTAGAGACTAAAAAGTAACAAGTCACCTACTCTCCAACTCCACACTTCTTAATTAATTAAAATTGTTTAAATTGTCTTTACAAATACTTCTAATTCTCAATGTAGTTTTAACAAATAAATAATAAGTACTCTGTACTCTTTTTTTCCCCCCTTAGGGATACAGCATGGGTATTCCAGGTCAGTATATGCTGAGATGTCAGTCACTCTTTGGAATCATTGCAGAGCATAACAAAGCATTGATTTCATCAATTTTTATTTATCTTTTTTTAGGTCGTCTCCAAATACTATTATTAATAAATGCTATCCTTAATTGAACATATTTTGACATAAATCCTGGCTCACTATTGAAAGTGATTTTTTTTTTCTTTACTCCTACAAATAGAATTGCTGGCTGGGTGCTGTGGCTCATGCCTATAACCCCAGCACTTTGAGAGTTCAAGGCAGGCAAGTCGCTTAAGGGCAGGAGTTCGAGACCAGCCTGGCCAACATGGCAAAACTCCATCTCTACTAAAAATACAAACATTAGCTGCTGTGATGGTGCATGCCTGTAATCCCAGCTACTAGGGTGGTTGAGACACAAGAATCACCTGAATCCGGGAGGTGGAGGTTGCAGTGAGCTGAGATGGGCCACTGCAATGCAGCCTAATTTCTGTCTCAAATAAAACACACAAAAAAACAAAAACCCTTTCAAATAGAATTGATAAGTCAAAGTTATCTGTGTTTTATATTCTCATAGATACTGTTTTCCAGAACATTTACACTCATTTACATTGCACCCATTTACATTCCATCAACAATCTGAGTCCTATTTTTTATATATTGCCAGATATAGATAGATATATCATCTTTATTTTAAATTGAAGTTTCCTAATTAGTCATGAGTTTTAAGATTTGTTTCCTGATGCTGAATAAGTATCTGTTATTTTCCACTGGCTTTACCATTCTTTATGCTTATGGTTGCCATTTGTATTTCATCTATAGTAAGTTTAAACCAAGAAGATAATGTTATAAATTTTGCTTTAAATAGTTATGTACTTTTGTTAAATTGAGAGAAATAAAATAATATTTTATATTTACCCACATATTTACCATTTCTAATAACTCTTTATCTCTTCCTGAAGAGATAGGTTTCCATCTGGTATTTGTTTAGTCTAAACAACCTCCTTTAGCATTTCTTTAGACAGGACTCCTAGCTATGAATTCTTCTAGATATCTTTTATCTGAAACTGCCTTTATTTTACCTTTATTGTTGAAGGATATTTTCATTGCCCGTAGAATTCTGCTTTGACAGTTTTTTGTTTATCTAGGATCTTAAAGATATTGTTCTGTTTTCTTCTGTCCATCCTACCTTTGATGAGAAGTCAGACATACTTCAAATTGTTATTCCATTATGTACTTTTTTTCTGACCCCTTTCAAGAATTTGCTCTATTCTTTATTTGCCAGCAGTTTGATTTTAATGCCTTAGGTATGGTTTTCTTTGCACTTTTTCAATTTTAGGTCTGCTGAGTATCTTCGTAAGTTTGGGCTTCTGTAACAAAATACCATAGACTGGGTGGCTTAAACAACAAATATTTAGTTTTCACTATTTCACCAAGTTTAAATGAAAAAGAATTTAAACTCTTACATCATATACTTTAGAAGTATTTTTATATTAAAAGTATTTATATCACCTGAATAACTTAAAATTTATTTCCTTCATCTTCCTTCCATTTCTTTACAACTCTCCACATTTCTCAATGCCTAAATACAACTTTCTTCACTAGAGATAAACACTGTTATTAGTATAATATTTTTCAGATACTTTTCCATGTATTTATACATGCATATATATAAAATAGTTTTGTAGAATGTTTACATGAATTTATCTTATTGTATGAATTGTTCAGCAATATGAATTTTTAAATTTATAGTATGGCTTTATGAATCAGTATATGTTAGCCCACCTTATTATTTTATGATCACATAATATTCTACCATATGACTATATTGACATTTATTCTTTCTTTTGATGTATAAGTACAAATTTTTTTTATTAAAAGAGATAAAGATTCATTAAGACTCTTTGTGCACATGTCTATAATGTATTAAAGGTATTCCATGTCCTCTAGAAGTAGAATGCCATGTTGAATGCTATATACCTTTAACATTTTAATAAGTACTGCCATATTGCTTTCCAGAATGACTGTACTTATTTATAACCTCAGTAGAAGTACTGGTAAGCTAAAATTTCCCCACATTGCCTGTTCTCACATTTTTCTCATTAAAATTATTTTGCCTTTATATTTGTAAGTGTTCTTTATATACTATAAATGTGACAACTATTCTCCCTAGTTTCTAGCTCTTTAAAAACTTTAATCTTTATTGTCTTGTCTTAAATAAGTTTTTAAATTAACGACTTATTATTTTTATGTCATGAATTATTTTGTCTGATGCTGGAAGTTTTCTATAAGTAAGAAAAAGGCAAGAAAATTCACGGTCTCAATTTTCTACAATTAAGTATCCTGATAATTAATAATTGGGATACTCTGTAATTACACAGATGCCCCATCTTTGTTTTTATATGTGTTTACTGTGTGGTTGGAGTTCTTTTTCCTTTGAAGTAGTTTTTCACTGTGCATAAGTTTGATGTTTTGTTTCCCCACTCTTCCCTCATGGTTTCTTTGCTAATCTAATCTCACCTGTTTTATATTTTTTAGTAATTTTTTTAAGAGAGTCTCGCTCTGTCACCCAGGCTGGGGTTCAGTGGTACAAACATAGATCACCACGGCATTGACCTCCTGGGGACAGCCTCCTGAGTAGCTGGTCCTACAGGCACTTGCAACCATGCTCAGCTTTATTTATTTATTTAGTAAAAACAGGGGTCTCACTATGTTACCCAAGCTGGTCTTAAGCTCCTGGGCTCATGCGATTCCATTTGACCTCCCTAAGGCCTGGGTTTACAGATGAGCCACCGTACCTAGCCCTAACTCTCCATTTTCAAATGGATTGTTCTCTCTATAACATTTTGTCTTTCATTGCAATGGATTTGGCAGGAGGAGGAGTTTACCCATATATCCAAGGGGGTGATATATGTATGCCTACTTCGCTGTCATGATCAAATCTCCAAAGTTTTTAAAGAGTAGGAAATAAGAAATGTGTTCACTCAGATTCATAGTACTTAAAGAACACTTACAAATTAAAACTATGTAAAGGCAAAATCATTTTTAGTTGGAAAGGCAAAAAACCAGCCAAATCACAGATATAAAAAAGTCTATTGATTCATTTATGTTTTAATAAAGGAAATTAATCCATTCTCATTTATATATTGGGATATGAGTATGCTTACATGTATTTTTTCTATTTACTATTTTTTTGTTTCTCTTTCAAAATTCCTTTTTACAAAATTATATTTCTCATAAAATTTGACATTTTATTTCTATGCTATTTGTGGTTAACCTTTACGTTTTAAAAAATGTTTTAACTTTATAACATGATTTCTGAGCATTTACAAAATTAAACTCTCTACAACTTCAGTTCCAACCAAAGCAATCTCTTTAGCATGTGAGAGACTGCATGAAGCAAGGAAAACTTTCCATTTGGTTGTACATGGAACTGGGTTTATGGGCACAGGGGCTTCTTGCTGGGCAGTCTTCCCCCTCTCAGTCCAGCTCCGCAATGCCCTCCTATAGAAGATACCTCATCTTATTAAGAGTCATTTCTGTGGTTCTAGCTTGAAGGAAATACTGGAGCCTGGTGCTTCCAACTTGAGATAAGTACAATTGTGCTCATTAGATTATCCTTATAATAAATTTCCCCATTAACTACTCACAAAACTGTCCAAACCTGTAGCCCTTTTTGTTTTTAATCTTGATGAAAATCCTATGGTTCTATTCTAGTCTACTTTTTCCCAGTATGATGAGTGGTTTAGACATATCTGTTGGATTTTATCATCAGGTTATCCCTTTTATATATCTTCCAAAAATTCCTAAGTGCTCTGAGCTTACCAGTTTTCCTGATCTGCTGTTTCATATTTTTATATTTCTATCATCTTAATGTGAGTTTAAGATAAAGAAGATATCACTGCCTGCATTTAGTCAGTCGGCTTTCTTTGATTGGAAGTATACAATTAAAAACACCAAAACAAAAACTGAAAACACATTTTTTTATTATTATACTTTAAGTTATGGGGTACATGTGAACAACGTGCAGTTTTGTTACATGGGTATACACGTGCCATGGTGGTTTGCAACACTCATTAGCCCATCACCTACATTAGGTATTTCTCCTAATGCTATCCCTCCCCTAGTCCCCCACCACGCGACAGGCCCCAGTGTGTGATGTTCCCCTCCCTGTGTCCATGTATTCTCATTGTTCACCTCCCACTCATGAGTGAGAACATGAGGTGTTTAGTTTTCTGTTCTTGTGTTAGTTTGCTGAGAATGATGGTTTCCAGTTTCATCCATGTCCCTGAAAAGGACATGAACTCATCATTTTTTATGGCTGCATAGTATTCCATGGTGTATATGTGCCACATTTTCTTTATCCAGTCTATCACTGATGGACAATTGGGTTGGTTCCAAGTCTTGCTATTGTGAATAGTGCCACAATAAACATACGTGTGCTTGTGTCTTTATAGCAGAATTATTTATAATCCTTTGGGTATATACCCAGTAATGGGATGGCTGGGTCAAATGGTATTTCTAGTTCTAGTTCCCTGAGGAATCGCCCACTGACTTCCACAATGGTTGAACTAGTTTACAGTCCCACCAACAGTGCAAAAGTGTTCCTATTTCTCCACATCCTCTCCAGCACCTGTTGTTTCCTGACTTTTTAATGATCGCCATTCTAACTGGTGTGAGATGGTATCTCATTGTGGTTTTGATATGCATTTCTCTAATGACCAGTGATGATGAGCTTTTTTTCATATGTTTGTTGGCTGCATAAATCTCTTCTTTTGAGAAGTGTCTCTTCATATCCTTCACCCACTTTTTGATGGTGTTGTTTTTGTATTGTAAATTTGTTTAAGTTCTTTGTAGATTATTATTATTTAGTAGCCTTTTGTCAGACGGATAGACTGCAAAACTTTTCTCCCATTCTGTAGATTGCCTGTTCACTCCGATGATAGTTTCTTTCGCTGCACAGAAACGCTTTAGTTTAATTAGATCCCATGTGTCAATTTTTGGCTTTTGTTGCCATTTCTTTTGGTGTTTTAGATATGAATTCTTTGTCCATGCCTATGTCCTGAATGGTATTGCCTAGGTATTCCTCTAGGATTTTTATTGTTTTAGGTCTTATGTTTAAATCTTTAATCCATCTTGACTTAATTTTTGTATAAGGTGTAAGGACGGGGTCCAGTTTCAGTTTTATGCATATAGCTAGCCAGTTTTCACAACAACATTTATTAAATAGAGAATCTTTTCCCCATTGCTTGTTTGTGTCAGGTTTGCCAAAGGTCAGATGTTTGTAGATGTGTGGTGTTATTTCTGAGGCCTCTGCTCTCTTCCATTGGTCTATATATCTGTTTTGGTACCAGTACTATGCTGTTTTGGTTACTATAGCCTTGTAGTATAGTTTGAAGAGCAAATAAATTCAAAAGCTAGCAGAAGCAAGAAATAACTAAGTTCAAAGCAGAACTGAAGGAGATAGAGACACGAAAAACCCTTCAAAAAATCAATGAATACAGGAGCTGGCTTTTTGAAAAAATCAACAAAATAGACTGCAAGCCAGACTAATGAAGAATTAAAGGGAGAAGAATCAAATAGACACAATAAAAACTGATAAAGGGGATATCATCACTGATCCCACAGAAATACAAACTACCAACATACTATAAACACCTCTATGCAAATAAACTAGAAAATCTAGAAGAAATGGATAAATTCCTTGACACATACACCCTCCCAAGCCTAAACCAGGAAGAAGTCCAATCTCTGAATAGACCAATAACAGGTTCCGAAATTGAAGGAGTAATTAATAGCCTACCTACCAAAAAAAGTCCAGGACCAGATGGATTCACAGCCAAATTTTATCGGAGGTAAGAGAGGAGCTGGTACCATTCCTTCTGAAACTATTCCAAACAATAGAAAAAGACGGAGTCCTTCCTAACTCATTTTATGGGGCCAGCATCATCCTGATACCAAAACCTGGCAGAGACACAACAAAAAAATAAAATTTCAGGCCAATATCCCTGATGAACATCAATGGAAAAATCCTCAATAAAATGCTGGCAAACTGAATCCAGCAACACATCAAAAAGCTTATTCACCATGATCAAGTTGGCTTCATACCTGGGATGCAAGGCTGGTTCAACATACACAAATCAATAAACGTAATCCATCACATAAACAGAACCAATGACAAAACCCACATGATTATCTCAATAGATGCAGAAAAGGCCTTCAACAAAATTCAACAGCCTTCATGCTAAAAACTCTCAATAAACTAGGTATTGATGGAACATATCTCACAATAATAAGAGATATTTATGACAAACCCACAGTCAATATCATACTGAATGGGCAAAAACTGGAAGCATTCCCTTCGAAAACCGGCACAAGGCAAGGATGCCCTCTCTCACCACTCCTATTCAACATAGTATTGGAAGTTTTGGCCAGGGCAATCAGGCAACAGAAAGGAATAAAGGGTATTCAGATAGGAAAAGAGGAAGTCAAATTGTCTCTGTTTGCAGATGACATGATTGTATATTTAGAAAACCCCACTGTCTTAGCCCAAAATCTTCTTAAGCTGATAAGCAACTTCAGCAGTCTCAGGACAAAAAATCAATGTGCAAAAATCACAAGCATTCCTATACACCAATAACAAACAGAGAGCCAAATCAGCAGTGAACTTTCATTCACAATTGGTACAAATAGAATAAAATACCTAAGAATACAACTTACAAGGGATTTGAAGGACCTCTTCAAGGAGAACTACAAACCACTGCGCAAGGAAAAAAATAGGACACAAATAAATGGAAAAACATTCCATGCTCATGGATAGAAAGAATCAATATCATGAAAATGTCCATATTGCCCATAGTAATTTATAGATTCAATGCTATCCCCATCAAGCTACCAATGACTTTCTTCACAGAATTGGAAAAATCTACTTTAAACTTCATATGGAACCAAAAAAGAGCCCGCATAACCAAGACAATCCTAAGCAAAAAGAACAAAGCTGGAGGTTTCATGCTACCTGACTTCAAACTATACTGAAAACACATTTTTAATGAAAATTATGTTATTGGGTTATAAGACAGGATACATAAAAATAAAATATTTCAGTAAAATTTAATCTTTTATTCAAAATTAGAAATTTTACTTATTAGAAAGTACATTTTTAGTGATTGTCCAAACCGCTAGCCACTATTTATTATTTAAAATCTTTAGTATTAAGGAAAATACTTAGTTATGCACTGAATCTCCAAATAGATAAAAAGAATAATCAACTACTGTTTATATCAATTAAAAGAAATTAAAATTCTTATGCAATTAAAAAATTATCTCTCATATTAAGGAAATATAGTACATGCATAATTAATGTTAGCTCCCTTTCCCCATTTCATAAAGAATCATATACCCCCCTCTCACTCTTCCTAAGAAAGCATATGAAAGTTCTAGATATAAAAATCTTAAAGTTTTATTTCCCCTAACATTATTTGATCATAAAGTTCCCTGGTCAGTAGAACATAAGACTTTTTCAAGTTATCCATGAAGTAAAGTGGTTCAGAAATTTTCAGTGGATTAAATCCATCTTCCACCAACTGATGCTTCAATAGTTTGAATGTTCCTGTTGCTTCCATTTTTTCCTGTAAAGCAATTACCAGGATGAGTAGAATCATTTAATAACTATAATATATACATATATAGTTAATACTATAGACTGTAATATTAAATTATGACACTTTATATCTAGTGATCTCTGTATTTTCTAATAATTTAACACTAGAAATAAAAAATGTATTTTAGAATATTAAAATCTTTAGTTTGATTTACCTGTAAACTTTACTTAAATATAAACTCATTCAATATATAAGAATTATGAACATAATAAACTGATTATAATTATGTCTAAAATACATAGGTTATCTCTTCAATTCAATGCCAATATAACATTATGTATAGAGAATGCCATAAGATGCTAAGGAGATAAAAGCCACAAAAGACAGCAATTTCTACTACAGGTACACACAAATCTATCATAAAAAGCAGAATACTATAAGAGCCAGACGGGGTGCAGAATGTTCTAAAACATGGCTTAAATATACCCAGAGGGGTTACTTGAATGGTCTAAAACTTGAGGTACCTCAGTGAATTTCCAAGGTCCTCACAGGATATCTTGTTTTCAAGAGAAACTCAGTGACATCTGTTAGTCACCAGTCACAAACTACTAGCTCAAGGTTCACAGTTTCAATAGTAATTTGTAATACATTCAATGATGTCATTATCTTTGCAAAATTGGGTTTTTGGTAGTTGCTGGGATAAAAAGCAAGTACAGCCAAAAATCATCATGGAACATGAAATCAGGCTCTCCCTGTCCAGTCCAATCTAATTCCAAGGTCTGAAGAACTGTGGCCCAACTTACATCTCCTTAGTGACTGATTGTGGTTATTTGAAAATGAAATGAAAGCATTTACTTATTTATATGGATTATTTTTCAGGTGGCTACTCATTTGTTAGACCTAAATACTTACCAATCTGTTTTTCCTTAACTAGTGAATAAACAAATGTTTAGGTATTTGTTTTGACCCAAGAGTGCTATGAGACATTAAAGATGCCATGAGTCTAGAAAGTTTAAGAATCTCTGTTTCAAGGTGTTTAAAGGAGATAAGAGTGTATCCCTTTGTGGGAATTTCAGGCATGGATAAACAGTCTGTTTAAGTGAGATGACATGTAGAGACCCTACAACATTCTATGAGTAGCTTGGCCATTTTTATTTATCCTTTTGGACTATTTGAGTCAACTTCACTTTGAACCCCCTTCCCTGATCTCCCTTCCCTCCTCCATCTCCCCTGATCCAACACTGTCATCACAGCCAGATATGGCTGTGCAAGCAAACATATCCTTTTACTCTTTTCTTAAAAATTAGCAGCTCACTGTATTTATACAATTTAGTGTTCTGCCATTTTTAAGCTTAATATTATACAAAGTATATTTTCCTGGGTCCTGTAATTTTCTTCAAAATTGAACTTAGAAAATTGTTTTATAAGGTCTCATTTAATTATCATATTTTAATTAACTTTGCCCTTATTCATGAACTTTTAGAGAATATCAAAATTTTTAACACTAGAAATAAAAAATGTGTTTTAGAATATTAAAATCTTTATACATCTTTGATTACTTCCTAAGATGCATTTTGACTAAGTCAAAATATATGCAAACTGTTAAGAGTCTGATCATATATTACCAAATTGTTTTCTAGAGAGGTTATAACAATTTATGGTTCCATGAGCAGAATGAAAGGACCAAGTTCGTTTTATCCCAGCCACACTGAATATTATATTTTTGTGAATTATTGGCAAAAAGGCTTCTTCCATTTTTTAATTTGTGCTAAATAGATTTGTAATACAATACTTGTTTGACTCATTTTGTCAGAAGTAACTTTTACTTTTGCATTTCTTTTATGAGATCATTTATTACTAACATTCATTTATTAAACAAATATTTGACTGCTGTCAGGCTTTATTTCTAACTATAGTGAATACTCTAATAAACATAACAGTCATGGTCCATGTTCTTTTTAGGTGCTTAAGGATCCTAAAATACTTTCTAAATTTGTGCAAGGCTGATCTAATCTTCTAAAGTAGTCTTGAGCTAAAACATTTTTTCTATTTAATGAAAGTGAATTTTATGTTGCCTTGGAAAAAAACTCTTAAAATATTATTTGTCCTGTCAACTTTCTACTCCATCAAAATATATTACTTATGGGGTTGGGTGAGGATGAGGAGGGACAAGAGGGAGCTCGCTATGGTTGTAAAAGGACAACATGGGGGAAAGATTTTGAAATTATTCATATCTTTACTATGGTCATGAATGCATGAAGTTGCACAGGTGATAAAACTGTATAGAAAATATACGCACACATATAAGTGTAAGTAAAGCAGAATTTTTAATAAGATGGGTAGATTATGTTAACATCCTGGTTGTAACAGATCTGCAAAATGTTATCCTTGGGGGAAACAAGGTGAAGGATATACAAGTTCTCTCTTATTATTTCTTATAAGTGCGTGTCAATCTACAACTATCTCAATAAAATTTCAATAAAAATATATTACTTCTTTTTTCATATTTACTTACCTTTAGTGTTTCAGAGGGTTGTTGTTAAAATAATCTGAGACAATGTAAAAACTCAAAATCAAAAAGAGAGATGAAATAGGTATTATGATAGTTCAGAGGATGTGTCCCATTGAATAAGCAGTGACTTGGCTGCAATGATTGCTTGGCAAATACTGAAACCTGAATATGACACAGGTTATTGCTCCTCTAGGAGTCTATTAGTGAAATAACAAATGTATTCAGAAAAAAAAATCTGTGTGGTTGGATGTTAAGAGATGATGAGTAATAATTTTGGGAAATTATATTTGAGGCAAAATATTAAATACATGAATGGTTGAATAAATGAGTAAGTAAAGTTACCCAGTAGTTAAGGAAATTTGTTTTCTTTTTACTGTACTTATACCAGTAAGCTAACAAGAGAAAGTCCTCATCTCAAAATAAATAAACTCAGAATTTCTCACATGGGGAAGGTCCAGGTGAGGGGGAATTTGGACAGAACAGCAATAAAAATTAAAAAGCAGGATTGCCTAAAGCCAGATGCCTTTAGGTTCTGCACACATCTTGCCATCTCTTTGATGTCTCCTTAATGGAACCCAATTCTAGGCACATAGCACCAAATGTCTTCGCAAGATAAAAGTAAGATGTGGTTTTGGATTGCCACCGTCACTGGGACCATCATTTTGCTCTGAGGTCCTGACTGAAGAGGAAGAGAGCAATTCTATAATTAGGACAAAGACAGGTACGTCCTAGCATTTCACCATGCCCCCTTTATAATTAGGCTTCAAACATGGCATCGATCTGCATCAACTCTACACGCCACGCCTCTCACATAACTCACATGTTATCTAAAGGATACAATATTATTTTGCAATTAAACTACTTCCTTGTTTACTGTCTTATATTTGATAGTAAACTCCGCCACTAAAATTACCTGAATTCTTAAAAATCGTGGACAAGCATAAGCTGGTAGAAATGTTACAACTTGTTCATAAACTTTTTCCAAATCTAAAGATGTATTTGGTTTTAAAATAATAGAAGCCATTCCTGCTCTTCCTTCATAACCTGAAAAAAAGTTTGAAATAGAGTCATTTTTAAGTACCAAATAAACTTTAAAAGATAATTCTGTACATGCTAATTGGCACACATGGAGACATTAAATCTATTTCAGTAATAATAAGACAACAGGAGCATAAACTAGTCTGTATCCTTCCCTGAACATATGATTTACCCCCTAGAAATCATTTAAGGACAGGGAAGGCCAGAGTCTATCTCTAATTGCCTATACTACAGAAATGAAATACATGGAATGGGAAACACTATAAATTACAATGAATTTGCATCCTACCATCACTAAAACAAATATTAAGAAAGAAAACATTTATTTAAAGGCAACTATATTCCAGCAGAAATACATATCCTAAGCTTTAATGTAAAATATGAAGGGCTTATTTTTTAAGTTAAGAAACTAGAAACTCGTATTTCCATAATTGATTCCAAAAATCATTTAATGCTTATCATGCCACCTGTGGATCTTTACAGGGGTCAGAATGTCCTGGAATCTTTCTTCAACACTCAGTGGCTATTTATTAAGTAATCATTCCCTTCTTCTGCTCTCCTATCCACACACTCACATCCCTGATCTCTCCTGCACCTAAAAGCATTTGCAGAAAAAATGGAGAATGGCTGTCTTATGACTTCAAATTGGTCACTTTTCTGTGGCATTTTCAACATCATGAGACAATCCTCATATGCATAACTATAAGGATAATGAGTCCAAATTTAAAAATAATTTTTATAAAGAGCCATCTTAACTAAAAGTCAGTATTTTTAAACATTTAAAATAGAACATGTTCTTGTTTAGTGGTATGTACAAACACCAGTCATAAAAAGAAAAATAATAGACTAATAAAAAGCTGTAACTAATTCCAAGCAGTGAGACATTGATCAGAGTTTTCAAGCTTTGCTAAAAAAAAAAAAAAATACACGCAGGCATTAAAATTCAGTTGGTACCTTTCCCCTGATGTGATCATGAACTTTGTTAGCTTGGTCAAGGGGCATTACTTGCCAAGACAATAATAAAATCTTTATCTTAATACACAAAAATTAAAATGTTGAATTAGCAAGACTGTTGCAAAACTAGAGAATAGTGGCAATTCTATTCTAAGAATCTTTCCAAAATCTGAAATATATTTATACCTGATATAGCCACACCATAGACGTTTGCTTCCTGTATGAAATCCAACATTCCAATAACATCAGCAACCTCAGTGGTTGCGACATTTTCTCCTTTCCATCTAAATGAAAAAAATCAAATTCCAGTTAGTGCACCTGTATTTGAAAAACTAGGTACCCAGTTTTAGTTTTAATGTCTTGCATTTGGCACTGTGCAAGCACCTACTGACCAACATAATTGTAGTTTTCAAGATGAAAGGCATTTCTAAGAAAGCACTTTGTTGGTATTTCAACAAAATCAGCATTGGTCTTTTAGTCAAAATTACTTTATATCTCATTGTATAAATTACCTTCTATGTTTTATAATATACATAAAAATAAAATAACTACAAGGATTATCATTACAAAAATATTATTTTGTAAAATAACAATGAAGTGTGAAACATTCCTTTTCTCTGGTGTTAAGAATTGAAAGCAAAGCTCTAGTTGTCTTTTAGGACACTGACCCACTTCAGTTTCTAGGTGTTAACCCCTTTGACTCTGACCCACTTAAATTTCTAGGTGTTAACCCCCTTTGACTCCTTTAATGCTTTTGAATGAATATTTTGTTTTAATTGAAATAATTTTATATAAAGTGAGCTTATAACATGGTACAAGAAGGCAAGGATGTAGGAAGTTACTTATTCATTCAAGTCATTGGACTAGTAAAGCAAAATAATTTCATAGGCCTAAAATAATCTTAGGGAATTAAAAAAGGAAATGTGAGAAAGGGGATTTTTGCTGCTTCAAAATTTTTATCATTAGGCCAAGAATTAGACTACAGTTGACCAAACTGGCTTTCTGTTTTAACCCTACCATTTATATTTTACATCTGTCTGCCAGTTTTATTTCCTTAAAAAGGAGCTCACTGATTTGTTCTAAACTGATTCACTAAAATAATCATAAAACTTTACATCAAAATTTAACTTGTGGTTCAGTCTAGAAACAGATGGCCAATAAATGTTTTAATGAGGAGACATGGAGATAAAAGGGCTCTGTCTGCCCTGAAAGCTAAAGCATATGTGGTCTCTGATGTTTCTATAGAAGCATGGTTCACAATTACAGAACAAGCTATGGATCCCATAACATTTCATACCTGAAAGTGTCTCCAGTACGGTCCCAAAAATAAAGGAAATTGTCCTGATCCTGGACTATTAAGTCTCCAGTATTAAGGTAAACATCTCCCTTCTTAAAAACATCACAAAGCAATTTGTCTTTTGTGTGCTTATAAGGCCCAGCATAGCCAAAGAAGGGATTTTTTGCATTCACTCGAGAAATGAGAAGTCCAGGTTCTCCTGCAAGAAAGAACGACATTTTTGCAGCCATCTGATTAAAACTATTGTTACACACACCATGAATGTATCTATATTATATCTGGCCAGCACAACCAATGCTGCTTATCTCAGCTTCCTCTGAACCTATTTCTGTATTTGACATCATTTACCCTTGGTGCCTATATCCAGCACATCCTTTCATAGATTACCACAAATACAAATTACTTTGGAAAAACTAATAAAAAGGGAATTGAATGGAAAGAAAAGCCTCATTAGATTTCTTATACTTCCCAGGTGGATAGACCAACGGCTATTTTTGTTTTGGATTATGTAGATGTTACCACAGATAATATTGACATTTGTTATATAAATAACAAATGTAGTGATAGTGTTAATAAAATAATGATAGCATTTTTTATTGGGCATTTACCATGAGCCCTTTGCAAATGCCACTTTGCTTATTCTGCATAGAAATCCTTTGATATAATCCCTATTTCACCAGCAAGGAACTAGGACCGAGAGGGGTAAAATAGTTGCCACGCTCAGAGAAATAAATGGACCTATAACTCAAATTCAAGTTTTTATGACTTTGTGTGGCAAGGTTTCTGTATAATACTATCTCTGATCCAACACACATGTTATTATAATAAAACAGTTTATTCCTCTGGGATGCTATTCTGGAAATTTTTGATGGGAAAGAGATGAGACATTGAAAAGGTTTCCTATTCTATGATACTTATTAGTTTCAGTTATGTTTAGACACATTATCTGAAATAATTTTCCAATCAAACTTATTCAAATTAATTAAGGTTTTTCTCAGCAATCTGCAAGGTAAAAGCTACTTCTAAGAGAAGACGAGAGGACAAAGGACAGCAGCAATCACTGCTCTGGAAGTCTTCAAGGCTATTGTCCACTTGCTATGCCTGCTGTAAAGTGATGCAGTGTTCATGCGGCTAGATGAAGTTGGAGTCCAGCAAACTATGATACAGAGTGATTTCTGTCTTTTTAATGCTCTTAAAAAAAATAACTCTCACTCTGTGACCCAGGCTGGAGTGAAGTGGCATGATCATGGTCCACCACAGCCTTGACTTCCCAGACTCAACCGATCCTCCCACCTCAACTTCCCAAGTAGCTGGGCTGCAGATGCATGCCACTAGGCCCAGCTAATTTTGTAATTTTTTTGTAGACACGAGGTCTCACCAGGTTGCCCAGCTGATCTAGAACTCTTGGGCTTAAGCCATCCTCCCACCTCAGCCTCCAAAAGTGTTGGGATTACTGGCGTGAGCCACCGCACCCAGCCAACAGTCTTTACTCGACTCCCATTTCTCCCACTCCTGGGCATTCTGGCTTTCAAGGGCACATAGGTCACTGGCCAAAGCAAATCTTCTCTGCCCCAGCAGTCTGATAGCATCATCATCATCATCATCATCATATCATCACCATCATATCATCATATCACCAACACCATCATATCATCATCATCACCATCATTATCATCACAATTATACCTATTGAGCACTTTTTGCATAATAGTCATGATTCTGAGTGTTTTACATATGTAATCCATTTAATTCTCATCACAAACCTATAAGAAAGGCCCAGATAATATCTTCATTTTAAGGTGAAAAAACTGAGGCGTAAAAAAAGGAATTTGCCCAATGTCATACAGCTGTCAAATGCAGGAGTCGGAGTATATATATATATATATCCAGGTACATCTGACTCCAAAGCCTTACCTCTGTGATATATTCTGTCAGTCTACATTCCCTGTATTTCAGAATTTTTCAAGACTCTTATATCTCCCTTAAAACTTACGTTTTTTTTTCTTTTTTAGGACACAGGTGACAGTTTCTTTTCTGACAAACTAATTGTTGCAAATGTTTAAATAGGTCACAGTGTATTCATATCTTTCCTGTCTGGGCATAATTTACATTGTGAAGACACAATGCCTTAATGGAAAAAATATTGAGTAGCTCATAATGAGAATTCCAAAATAGAAAAACAGATATTTGGGGTCAACCAGCTTTTTAAGAAACCCTGAGGTTACATAAGCACAGTTCTGGGATTCAAGTTTTAACATCAGATATTACTATAATTGTAAGAAATAGAACAGTAGAAAAGTGCACTTAAGTTCTTTGCACTCTGCTCAGAAATTATTTTCCCATGGGCAGTGTCTACAGATTAGAATTGGAGAAACATATTTGATAAATGCCAGTAGGCTTGAAATTCAGAGATTTGGGAGATTTGTTTTTTAATAGACAAAGTTTGCATTTTTTATTTTAGTCTTTCAGCTACCAGAAAATAAAAACAGGTTTGTCACCTTATCTTCACATTTGAAGAAAAGATTTAGGAAGCCACTTCTGAAATGCAGTTTCAACATATTTTAAGGCAATACAAATTAATTTTGGCTTGATTTATCCATACTGGATCTCTAAACAATTCTAAGTGCACATCTCTATATTTTATTTTCTAATTTGATTATATGCAGCAGCAAGTTAATTGAAGTACTTGCTTTCATGAAAATTTCTAACCTAAAATTGTAAGAAAGTCTACCTTGGTAGAGAAGGGAGGGGAGTGAGAGGGAGAAGCTGAGGAGAGGAAAGTAACAAGCCACATACCAGGTCCCCCAGGAATATATATACATCCCATTTAATCGTCCACAATAACCTCACTTAATAAACATTGTCACTTCTACTTTACATATGAAGAAAATAAGACTTAGGTTGAGTAATCTGTCTAAAGTTGCACCATTTCTAAGTGTCAGAGACCACGTTTAAATCCAAGTTGGCCTGACTTTACATTATATCTAGAGTGATAAATTAATTCACTAATTTCTATATTATAGTTTGGCAATATAGGACATTAGAAATTTGCCACTGTTCATACTACAAGTGGTGGATTAAGAATAGTATGAGCCAAATAGTTACCACTTTTGTATTTTAATAATTTACCATCTGAGTGATCCCTCTAGGGCTCTTAACATTTAATAGTAAAATTGTTCCACCTGCATTAAAATTCCAAAGTTAAATTATACAGTGGACCTAGTCATCCTCTCCTTTTTAAATTCACTAATAATCACAGTGGGCCCTCCATATCCATGGTTTCACATCTGTGGATTCAACCAACCTTGGATAGAAAATATTTGGTAAAAAAGATAAAATAATAATAAAACAATAAAAAATATAAATAAAAAATACCATACGACCCTATTTATGTAGCATTTACATTGTATTATGTATTATAAGCAACCTGTTTAAAGTATACAGGAGGATGTGCACACCTCATAGGCAAATACTGTATCATTTTATATAAGGAGCAAACATCCATGAATTTTGGTGTCTACCCGGGGTCCTGGAACCAATCCCCCAAGGATACCAAGGGATGTCTGTATACAGGAGATCAGAAACTTTGCTTGAGGAGATGTCTTCAAATAGAAGTCTTACCTTTTTTCACATGAATACACCAACCCTGCTCATTTCTCATGGGTTCATCTTTCTGAAAGTCATACTTTATTAAGTCAAAAGTGGAAAGAAGCTGCAAAAAAAAAAATCAAACAAATAGAAACAAGCATTTAGTTACTTGTGCATTTAGTTACTTGTACAAGCAATTTAGTCTACTGTAGTAGACTATGCTAATTGAAATAAATAATTGGAATATGGAGTTATTAAAACAACTTTTACTGAAGACAAATTAAATAAATATTTAAAAATCAAAACTAAAGGTATTAGTAAACAGCAGTCATTTACTGGCATTTACTTTCATTTCTTTTGTGGTACACTTTACTTAGCAAAACACTACTAATTTTAATCAAGATACTGAAACAATCCAGGCATTCAATTATATACTCTGTTAACTGCAGGCAAAAGGACCATTTTCTGCAGCCATTTATTTAAAATAGCCCTTGAAATGAAAAGTTTTAATAGAACTAAAATGGAAGCATATTAATTCAAAAATTGTGTTATTTTTTCCTCACAGTATCTAAAAAAAAAAGTCAAAACACATCAAATGCCTAAAAAGTATGTTTACTTGACAGCCACTTTGTCCTTTTCCCCTAAGCCTTTCCCCTGAGCCTTTCACTGTAACGCTCCTAAACTAACATTCAGTGCTTCTCCACACTCTTTTGGTGTGAGATGATAAATTTATTAGAAAACTCCCATCGCATCAAGAACCAAAAATTGGATGTCTCCTCTCATCCCTTCAGCTACTCTGCTCCTATCATGTCCATATTATCACATCATGCAGGCTCATTTGTCCCCTAAATTCTCACCCTGGAAGAGAACTGCAGACTGGTTTAGTCCAACCTCCTCCTATTTTGTTTTGTTTGTTTTTGAGACAGTGTCTCACTCTGTCACCCAGGCTACAGTGCAGTGATGAGAACTTGTTTCACTGCAACCTCTGCCTCCCAGGCTCAAGCAATCCTACCACCTTATCCCTCCATGCAGCTGGGCTTACAGGTGTGAGCCACTTCGCCCAACCCTCCTCATTTTTATTCTGTAAGAAAATTGAGGTTCTACTCAGCAATCAAACAAGCTCAGTTAGAAAATGGTAAACTAACATGAATGTAATAAAATGAAGTGAGATAAAATAATAATAAGGAAAGATGAATGGGGGGAAAGCAGGAGAAGAGAAATGAACAAATATAGAACAAATAAGTGGGAAAAGATAAGATGATTGAGATAGATGCAATAGTATTATTTATCATCAAAGATTAAATACAAATACCTCTGGTTCTTAGCATTAGGAAAATAAGCATGTAACTTGAATCACAACTCATTATTTGAATTAAAATATAAATGAGAGCAATTAATATTGATTGGGCACCAACTATATGCTGGACACTGTGCTAAGTGTTTAAGAGTTCTATTTAATGTAATCATCAAAACATCCTATGATGTAGAAATTAATATTATCCTATTTTAGGATTAGAGCCAATGAAAGAGGCAGCAAAGCAAATATATTGTTATTCTAGATATAAAGACTGTTTATTAAAATACGAACTTGCATCTTGTTGGTCTTTGTCTGTAATTGGGATAACAGGATATTGGCCACTTGCCTAATGGCTAGTAGAAAGAAAGAGTCCAGAAGTTCCGGGACTGCCTTTATCATCTTGGCCAAACAAAAACAGAGCCCTGTTCATTACTTATTCTTTTCTCTCCTGTTTTAACATGCTTTGTTTTTTGGAAAATTTGCCCAGTGACTTGTGATGTCAGCTTTAGTGTTATTTCTTTTAGATTAATTGGGCAACTGTGTGTGGGTGAGATTCATTCCACAGCAAATTACTGTTTACTGTGTCTGTTATCAGAAAAAGGGGACTTGATAGTCAGAAATTGAATAATTTTATAATTCAAACGCAATTAAATATATCACAGCATTTTCTAGAAGTACTCTGGAGCAGAGGATTAATGCTCAACTGGAAATATTTCCATTCTCCTTCCTGCCTTCAAGAGGTCCTCATGATATTACAAAAATGGCTGCATTATAATACAAATTTAAAAAATAGATGCCACACATTAAAATCTCCCAAATGTACATGTTTATGTATGTGTATATGTGTACATGTCTGGAGCACAGCTGCAGGGGGTCCCATTCAAAACATGGGGTCCCATTCATAGCAGAACTGTGCAATGCACACACACCTATGTGGCTCTATGCATTGGCCCTGGGAGATTTTATCCACACCCACGTATCTTTGCAGATTCAGATTTGTAAATTTATGAGTTGGAAAAGGAACGCAAAGTTAATTTCCTTGATTAATACATGAGGAAACTCTGAACTGAGAGAAAAGTAACTTGTCAAAGTCACGAAGTGAAATAGTAGTAGAGTCGGGAACAGAGTTATCATCAGTCCCTGTGTAGTAAAGAATTTAACCTTGCCCCCAAAAGAGGTCCTGGCTTCTGGGAGGTGATCTCTAAGTCCTTGGAATGTCATTCTTAATAGAGTAGTACATTTTTTTGTCTAAAACCTTTGGGCAACTAGATGGTAACACTATGATTTAGAAATGGGGTCTCTGAGGCACATGAACAATGTGAGGTAGGCCGGGGGCTTTGGATCACCCAGCTTGACCTCCCAAGGGGCAGGAGATGGAAGTAAGCTATGTGAGCAGTCAACCCGAATTACACAACCAAGCCCCCAGAAAGACTGGACATCAAGCCTCCTATGAGCGTCCCCATTTGGCACCAGTTCGTGCGTATTATTATACAATTCCAGGAAAGTAATGCTGTTCTGACTCCACAACACAGCATAACTGGAAGCTTCACCCTTGGTACCCTCCTGGATTCTGCCTTACATATGACATCCCTGGGCTGATTATAATCTAGATCCTTTAGCTGTAATAAGCTGAGTTTTGTGAGTCCTTTTAGCAAATTATCAAACCTGAGAGTGGTCTTTGGGACTCCTGAAATTGTGTCAGAAATGGGAGTGGTCTTGTGGGGACTGTTCTCTTATTTTGAAGTTGTCTAACTTTCCTCATCCCTAAAAGACACCTACTTTTAAGGCAATAAAACAGCTTATGAAAATGGTTAAAGAAATGAGCCATTTTATTAATCTCATATATTATTTTAAAATTTAAGTTTAGATGGTAAATTTTAAATTCTGTTGTTATCTATGGATTTGCCAATATGACAGGTAGGAGAATAACCATTTCTTCCTTTCCTCCCCCCCACTCCCATTTTTGTTAGTGTTATAATTATTTTTACATTGTCAGGTTTTATTCCATGTATAAACAATTCAGAGTTGTTCAATCTTCTACGTGTGAATTGATCCAATGTTCACCATCAGGCATTTTAACTGAAGGTGATTCTTTCATTTCTAAGTTATGGTTTATCTTCAAGTTGGCCATGATTTTTCATTCAGTGAATTTTACAAAGAAATATTGCATTCCTATAAATATGCAGGTATTATAGTTTCTGATTTCTTAAAACTTTGAGAAAACCTCTTTGTTGACTTGATACTTGAGAAGCAACTTAGCCAGAACAAAAATTCTTAAGTGAAGCCAATTCTTTCCTTTTTTTCTAGCCTTGAGTGTTTTATTTTGAGAATGCCTGAGATGTTTCCCACCCTCATCTGTGTTACATTTTGCTCATCCTTTGCTTTTGCTACCTCAAAATCTCCTTTTGGTTCTTTTTGTTTCATAATTTTACCAGGATATATTTTTCTGATAATTATTCTACCCCATATAGTGTACTCTTCTGCTAAAGATTCAAGTTTTTACCTTAAGGAAATTTTCCTCTATTAGGGTAGAAATAATTATTTTTTTCTTTGATCTGTTCTTTACTGCAGGAACACCAATTAAGGACACATCAGATCATTGTCTATGTTTTCAAAATCCTTTTTCTTAATTTTTAAATTATCATTTGCTTGCTCTTTTTATTGTGTTTGTGGGACTCCTTAATTCCACTCATCTTTCTCCCTAACAACGTTTACATTCCTTTTATTTTATGTGATGCTCATTTGTGTAATATTTACATTTTTTCCTCTATTTTTTTCTTTGAGCTGAGCGTGCTTACTTTTTAGTTCATTTTGTTTATTTATGTTTCTCCTTGATCCTTTTTCTTTTCTGGGCTCTTATTTTTAAAGAGAATATTATTGCAAGTTTTCAAGCCTGTGAGTAATTGTTTTTCTAAACATTTCCTGGTCGTTTTGGGGAACTTACTATTTTGATGTGCATTCATTTTTTTTTCCAGCTGCCTTTCATTTAGATTCATTTTCTCTTTTTTTTTCCGAGCTTTATTTCACCTATGTATAAAATGTGCATTCATTTTTTTCAGCTGCCTTTTATTTAGATTCATTTTCTCCCTTTTTTCAAGCTTTATCTATGTATTTTATGTTTGTCTCTTCCTAGTTACTTTCCCCAGGTGAAAATACTACAGAAAAAGAGAAAGCACTTCATAATTCTACTTGAGTTTGTCTCTCAAATATGTTGTCACTAAATTTTTTATATAGTTTGCCCTGGGAGAATATGTGGGACAATATCTCTTCAGTTTTATGCATTAAAATAGTAAGTGTAGCACATAAAGACAATGGGTTATAGGAACTCTGTGTTGCTGCCTTATCTTTCTCCTTCACTTGTAACATTTTATCTCTGGAGGCTGCTTCCCTCCCAGATAATAAGCATGAGCCTCCATTAGGTTAGCATTTTTGACAGACATTTATCAAATCTCCTCTCTTAATTATGAGATAATCATTGAACCAAATTTTTCTAATTACCTGCTATCTAACAAAACAACATGTGAATAAAATGATAAAAGACAGACTAGAAGTCATAAAGTATTAGGCACAACTTTGTTTTTTCATTTCCAAACTGAAAAAGAAAACTAAAATGAGTTGAAAATCAGAGGTTTTCCAAATAAATTGAAGACAATCATGACTTTTTATATGATTGACGTTATTACAGTTGACAGAAAATTTAAAGCATTAGAAAATTATAATAAAGTCAGTAATATAAAATACAAATCATCATACCCTTGTTGGTTGCTTTAGAATGGCTCAGCTTCACAAAGGGGCTCAATATCAATACCAAATTTGTAATGGAACCAGTGCAATTAACTGAGAAAATTAACTGCAAGGAACGTAAAACTCAGTAAAATCAGCACTTACTTTCCCCAAAATGCTTTCGTTCAGAATAAAGTGCATTTCTTAGATGTCAACTATACCCTCAAAGTTCTAAAAGAATGCATTATAAAAATAGTTTGCACCTTCTTTTGGTTTAGAGCATTACTGTGATTTACACCAGCTTTGAATGGGCAACTAGACTGAAAAAGTGAGCTGCTGTGGCATGAAAAACACATGTCTGCCGATTACTTCCAGATACTGAAAAAAATCACCATGGATTAGAAAAGCAAATACTTTGTTGCTTCCAGGTGTTCTTTGAGGTATGGCAGTTTATTATACAGAAAATTTCACCTAAAAAACTAAAGCAGTTAGGGATGAAAGTGACAAAAAAGCACCAAAGTTCGCATTATGGGATTCTTAAAGATCTCTTCAAAAGCAGTTCTAAATATGGCTTGAGTAGGGTGCTCTGGAAATGTCAAAAGCAATGCTATAGGATAGTGCTACTTTCAGAGAACAGGTGAGGCCACTAAGGAAACACACCTGAGGAGAGAGATTATCAACCAAAAGCTTTCCTCATACATGTATGTCTGTAGGAAGTACTTTCGTTCTTGCACTATTACGTCAGGTTTGGAGTCAAAAAATGAGTTGGGAAGTTTTTTCTCCTTCTGCATTATCTGGAAGAGTTCGTAACAGAGGAATTATTTGCTCTTTGAATATTCATTATCCTGAGTGGGAAAGCTATCTGAAATTAAGGGAAGATGTTGGAGTATGAATTTATTTCATTTAGTGTGATAAAATAATTCTTGAGTCAATACTAGTAAGTTGTACATTTCTAGAAATTTATCCAATTCATCTAATAATTTCAAGTTTATTGATATGAACTTATTCAACATATCCTCTTTTACTGTCTTAATGTCTAAAGTATCAGCAGCAATGTTCCCTTTTCCATTCCTGATATTATTTGTGCCTTCTATCAATCAGAATCGATTTACTTTTTAAAAATTATATTTCTATTTATTTTTGTATTCATCACCAAACATTTTTTCTATGTCATTAATTTCTGCTCTTTATTATTTCCTTCCTTTTATTTCCTTTGAGTTTATTTTAGTTGTCCTTTTAAAAATTAACTTATAGAGATAGTTACTGAGCTCCATCCAATTTTCAGCTATTCTTGGCTAAGGCACAAGTTTTTTAATGTAACATTTTCTTTATGATTTAGCTCATAGTATCTTCTAATTTCTATTATGATTTTTTCTTTGATGAATGGATATTTAGAAATGTTTTATTTCCAAATATATAGGAGGTTATCTAGTTGTCTTTTAAAAAAATTATTTCTACCAACAATTAAACTGTTTTCAGAGAGCATAATTTATATATATTCAATCCTTTGAAATTTGTTGGAATTACCTAACTGGCCCAGTAACTTTTGTAAACGTTTCAAAAGTGCTTGAATAAAATAGATATACAGCAGTAGTTAGATGCAGGGTCTTTCATATGTCGATTAGTGGTTTCTTATTATAGAAGGTTACTGAAGATTTATTTTCTCTTGCAGCTATACCAGTTTTGCTTTACAAAGGTTGAGACTGCTATCTTTATTTTTGCCTGCATTCTTAAAAAATTATTGTTGAGTATAAGTTCCAGTTTGACAGTTATTTTTTCCAAGCCAGTGGAAGGTAAATGTCTACTGTCTTTTGTGTTTTGTGGTTGCTACTGAGAAATCAGCTGTCAATCTTCTCCTCCTAAAAAGTTGGTTTATTTGGCTACTTTTAAGATTTTAGTGCTATCTTAATATAGTTTAAAAATTATTAAAAGCCTGTATAGAATTGAGTGGTATAAACGATGAAAGATAAATAGAAATAGTGGAATAAAAACACTCAAGGAAAATGGAAAGAGTCAAATTAATATATACGGAAAGAGTCAATATATATCAGGGCCTATGCTTGCTATTTATAAATTATATCATTAAATTTGGAAACAGAACAAGAAAAGGCATCATTATGGTGATATGAGAGAGAAAATACAGAAGATAACTGAGGTTCACATAACCTATAGCACTGTCTCTCACACTGAGGCCACTACTCTATTTCTAGAAATTCTCAACTTAAAAAAAAAAAAAGGTGATAATATTTACCACAATTTACAAGCATAGTATCTAGAAGAGTGCTGGCAGACCACAAGGTGCTCCTTTTTTTTTTTTTTTTTTTTTTTGAGACAGAGTCTCGCTCTGTCGCCCAGGCTGGAGTACAGTGGCGCAATCTCTGCTCACTGCAAGCTCCACCTCCTGGGTTCATGCCATTCTCCTGCCTCAGCCTCCCAACTAGTTGGGACTACAGGTGTCCGCCACTACACCCGTCTAATTTTGTTTTTGTATTTTTAGTAGAGACAGGGTTTCACTGTGTTGGCCAGGATGGTCTCGATCTCCTGACCTCATGATCTGCCCACCTCGGCGTCCCAAAGTGTTGGGATTACAGGTATGAGCCACCGCACCGATGTATTTCTTTAATAAGGAAAATGCTGTACTTACTTTGTAAAACAAATTTGTTCTCCCAATTGCTCCAATTCTCCCAGTGTAGTTCATGAAAGATATGCTTGATTCGGTAGCTGCATAAAGTTCACACACCTTTATATTTCCAAATCTGTCTAAAAATTCTCTCCATACATCACTCCGTATGCCATTTCCAATTGCCAAACGCACCTTATGATCCTTTTCTCCTTCTCTCTGTTAGAAGAAAATGTTTTACTTGTAATTAGTTCCAGTTTCTAATTCTTTCTTTATTATTATTTAAATGAAAAATATCATAGACGTAAACTGCATATGTGCAATAACAGAAGGGAAGTTAAAATATGTGTATAAGTCTATTGCAGAACTGTGTCCAAATCCTAATGAAAGTAACACTGGTCAAGAATAATACAGTTTGTGTTTTTCCATATCTGGGAACAGCTCATTCTAAATTGCAGATCACTAAAGGCTTTTTTTTTGGGTAAATGTCAGGTAAGGAAGAAAGCATTTTTCAGGAAGAAAAAAATCATTACTTTGATAACATGAAACATACTTAAGTTTGGATGTCCAGGCTTAGCAGTAATTAGCTATACAATTCTGAACAAGATGTTGACTCCTACCTCTGATTCTCAGTTTATTCATCTATTTTAAAAAAGATAATAATACCCATCTTCCTTATATACTGTAGTGTATAGTTAATACGCAGTGCTTAACATAGAGTAAACGACAATTTGAGGCCATAGAATCAAAGTAATATTTGACTTGTAAATATTATGGCAACTATATGTAATTATTGTTTTAGAATGTGCAATATTCTCACAGTTTTACTTTTCATTCATATTTTAGAATTAAAGGAAGATACAGGATTCTATTTTGTTCTATATCTAGTAAGTAATGTTTTAACTAACATGAACTTTTACACTCACCTAAAATTAGAGTAAAAATATATTATCAGTGTAGTCACAATAAATCCATTATTTGCTCTGATTACCTCCATCATCACCAAAAAATGCAAAATAACAAGATGTAATAATAAATCAGCAACAACAATAAAATAGAGAAACTGGCTTCTTTGGTACCCATAATTTAAAATGATTAATGGATCACATTATTTATTTCAGTTTCTCTAAACACCATTTAAATGGTTTTAAAGTGAAGATTTTAATCTACGAATTCTCAAGAATAGAGAGAAGTGAGTTGAGAGGTAATTTTGGAAACTGAAAAGTGAAGAGATAAAAGGACATGTGATTGAGCAGAATGGATAAGGCTGAAATCCAAGCCTGCAGGTTAGCACTCGACAAGGGTTCCTGAAAGTGTCAAGCAAGCATCAAAAAGAATGAGGAAAGCAGAAAGCTTGGCAGGAAATTTGTTTCAGAAGCAGTTGTATAACTGAATATCTACATACAGACAAAGCATCTGGGAGTTTGCCCTTCCTACACATTGGCCAAAGACTGGAAAGTAATCTCTGGAGATGTCTAGCCAGACAGACACCAGTTTGGGTTGAGGAACTTACTGTGAAAATTAATTTTACAAAATAGAGTCCTTCACGTCATACCAAACTAAAATGGATTTGGAGGCCATGAAGAAAGGCACCCAGGTCATGCATACCTGTTCCAGAAAATGTTTTTGTAATTCAAACACAAAAGCACAAAGACCTAACCATAACTTTAAGTCTTACCTGGTAACTGTTGACACTCAGAACTCGCCAGCTCCCATAAGACACTGCCATCACCAATGAAACTTCCTTCAAAACAGCTTACATAACTTTGTTCATTTTCCCAATAAAACCCCAGCCTTTCCTTTTGTTCTTCAGACACACCTAGAGGCTACGCTGGTCTATGTGTCCCGAATTGCAATTTTTTGTTTCCAAATAAGCTCTTTGCTTAGAGATGCATCTCTATTATGTAATTTTTATTTCAAGTTAACACTACTGAAAACAGGAGGGTTAAATGAAAGTCTACATACTAAAAGATGAGATCACTAAACTCTTTTCCTGCTCTAGTATCAGAATTCCGATACCCCAAATCATATACCAGAGCAGGAAACTGTTCAGTTACTATCAAGGAAACTGGTCAGTCCAAGAGAAAAGATACTGACTTCTGGAAGTATCTCAATAAAATGTCTGGATCCTCACTTAGTCACCCTAGAATCTGAGCCTTTTGTTGACAAATCCCAGCCATGTGCCATCAGGCATTTAGTGCCTCATTCTGAAATATGATGATTAAAGAATTAATTTTTTAAAGAATAAAAATATGTAAAAGGAAGTAAAAGACATATGAGACGCAAAGAACATGCCAAAAATACCTACAAGTGGAGCCCTATAGAATAATAAAATGAATGGAGAAGAGGCAATTCTGAAGAGATTTTAACTGAGAATTTTCCAAAAGTGATAGAAAGACATGAAGCCATGAAAAAATAAATAAATAAAACCTAAAACCTCAGACAGGTTAAATAGCAGGGAAATACAGTTGGACATTTTCTGGCAAAATTGCTAAGAAGAAAAAATATATAAAAATTAAAAAGAGAGGGAGAATTTTAAAAGCAGCCAGAAAGAAATAGAAACATCATTTCCAAAGGGGCAACATGAATATTTATGGCTGACATTTCAACAATGACCGTAAGCCTGGAAGACAATATAATATTTTAAAGCTAGTACAAGAAAATAATTGTCAACCTAGCATTCTATACTCAGCTAAAGAATTATTCAAAACTAAAGGAAAAACATGTTTTCACACAAATAAAAATGGAAAATTTTGTTTTTAGTAGAACGGTACAGATGGAACACTAAAGGCAGTTCTTAGCACCAAAGAAAACAATATTATACAGGAGCAAAGAAACAAAAAGCAGGAAGGAATGAAGAGGACCAGAAAAGAGAAGTGTTACAAAGTTCTTGCATTATAAAGAAGTGGAAAATATGCTATTTGAAGATAGAATGTGGTAAGTTAAGAATTAATCTTGTATCCTTCCAGGTAATTACTCAAAGAAAAATACTTAAATAAATAAAACAAATATAAAAGGATGTATAACTAAAGGGCTAATCACTGAAAACTAATAATAAAAATATTATTTCAAAAGAAGATTAAGGGGGAAAGGGAACAAATAACAGATGAGACAACAAGAAAAAATAGCAAGATAGAAGCTATAAAAGCAAATATATCATAAGTACATAAAATGTAAATGGACTAAATATGTAATCATGGAAAAAAAAACTTTTAGAATGCATAAAAATATAAAACTCAACTATATCCTGTTTATGAAAAATACATCTTAAATATTACATAAGCCCAAAATTGAAAGTAGTTGGATGGAAAAAGGTAAGCCATACAATCATCACCCAAGAGGAAGCTAGTATAACTATACTAATATCAGACAAAGTAGACCTTAAGTAAAGCAACATTTCTGGAGATAAAGAGGGATAGTTAATAATAATAAAGGGGTCAATTCACTGTATGGATAGCAACCTTAAATTTCTATTTACCTAACAACATAGTCAAATATATAAAGCAAAAATGGACAGAGCTAAAATAGACTGAGATATTTTTAACTTCTCTCTCTGGTACTGATAGAATAAGCGGGAAAAAAATCATAAGAACATGGAAGTTTAAAGAAAACTAACCAACTTGACCTAATTTATGTATACAGAACAGTGTAACAAGGTACTGAAGAGTACACATTTTTTTTCAAGTGGCCATGAAACATTTATCAAAATAGATCGATCATTTGTTGAGTCTTACAGCAAGTCTAAGCCAAATTCAAAGCATTAAGCTTCATTCAAACTATGTTCTCTGACCACAATAAAATTAAACCACAGATCAATTACAAAAAAGAAAACTAGAAAATCTCCAAATGTTTGCATAATAATAATACACCTTTAAACAACCCATGGGTAAAAGAAAAAAAAATTACAATGAAAATTTAAAAAGTATTTTGAACTGTATAAGAAAAATAAGACAGAATAAAAATTATGCTATGCAGCAAAAGCAATACAGTAAAAATACGTATTTTTATATTATAAAAGTATATATGTATAAATAGTTTGATATATATTTATATAATACACGTATGTATGTGCATATACTTACACCAAACTATAATATATGTATATTTATGTAACCATATATAGATATATCTATATCTATATGTATCTTTTCAAGGGTATTTGTGTGGCAAACAGGCTTGGAAGCTAGAGATGGTTTTTGGGTCACAGAGAAAATTTATTTACCTTCCATGATAGTAAAGTCTCCCTCCTCTTCCGGGAGAAAATTTGTTTACATACAAGAAGATTTACTTGCATATCTTTATTAACTCTTTCTCAGATATAAAGAAAGGGCAGGTTTATCAGTAGCCCCTTAAATGACTGGGAAGCTCCTAAGGGCCGTGTTCTCAGCTGAGGCACAGACCTATGCTACAGATGTAGCATCCACCTAGGCCCACCTCTGCATTCCCCATAGGATGTGTGGGGAGAGGGAACTGTTGTGGACATGAGATGTGAACAGAAGGTTATGATGCTTTTTGTGCTGCATAAATCTATTTAAGTTCATTCTTTCCTTACTAACCAGTTTTATGGAAATATGGTGAGCCAGTCAAGCAGCTATGGTGTTGCTTATGGACTGCTTGAATGACTGACAAAGTGTTGAGCAGGTACTTCTCAAAGAATACCTCCAAGCATCCAGTAAGTATATGAGAATATGCTCAACATCATTCATCATCAGAGAACTACAAATCAAAACACCATGAAGTAGCAACAAACATTTACAAACATTATGATTTCTTCTTTAGCATAGCACTATAAATTTTCCAACAAGTGTTGGCAAGGACATGGAACAAATGGGACTGTCATAGACCATGGGCAGGAGTGCCTATTACTGCTGCCACTTTGATTAGCAATATCTACTAATGCTGAAATATGCATAAAATACAACCTACCCATTCCACTCCTAATTATCTACCAAGATAAATACATAAATCTGCCAAAAGACACATATAAGAATGTTCCTAGCATCATTAATCATATTAAGTCTCAATTGAAAGCAATCCAAATCCATCAATAGTAAAATAGATATATTTTAAATGTTGTGTTATAGTAACATAATGGAATAGTCTTCTATTAGTTTTCTATTGCTGCCATACAAATTTCCATAAACCTAGGCCCTTCAAACAATGTCAAGTTACTATCTCACAGTGTCCGTAGGTCAAAAGTCCACATCAACTTAACTGGTTTGTGTGATTCAGGACTCACAAAACTGAAATGAAAGTGTTGACTGGCTAGGGTCTTATTGGGAGACTCTTGGAAGTATCTCCTTCCAAGCTCATGCAGGTTCTTGACAGAATCAAGTTTCTGGAGGGTGTAGGACTGAGACTCTTGGAAGTATCTGCTTCCAAGCTCATGCAGGTTCTTGACAGAATCAAGTTTCTGGAGGGTGTAGGACTAAGACTCTCTTTTCTTTGCTGGCTATCAGCTGGGGGCTGCTCTTAGATCATAGAGGCCTCTCTCCAGTTCTTCCACATAGGCCTCTATATATGAGAACAACAAATGACACATTGAGTTCCTGTCATTTTCCAAATCTCCAACTTCCCCTATGCTGAGTCTTCCTTGCTTGCAGCCAGAGAAAATCATCTGCTTTAAAGTCTGATACGATTATATTGTATCCACCAGGATAATCTTCCTATTTTAAGCTCTGTAACTGTAATCACATCTGCAAAATCCCTTTTGCCAATGTTTCTACTGCACACATATTCACGCATTCCAGGAATTAGGGCATGGACATATTTGAAGGGGCCATTTTTTAATTTTTAATTTGTAATTTGTATTTTTTTTGCCTACCATAACTCTAAAGTGATGAGAGAGAATGAACTACTGCTATACCTCAAAACAAAGATGAATCTCATTGACATAGTGCTGACTGAGTCAAAGAAGCAAGGTCAAAAGAATGCATATATATAATTTCATTTAGATTCTGTTTTTGGGAAACAAGCAAAACTAATTTATACTGGGAGAAATCAGAATCTTGTTCACATTTGGGAGGACAGTGACTCACTGATTCAGCACGTTAGCAGGGACGCCTTTAAAAAATACGATTTATTAAAAACACGTAACATGTTATTAAATCTTATTAAGAAATGTTAGCGCCAGGTGCAGTGGCTCATGCCTGTAATCCCAGTACTTTGGGAGGCTGAGGCGGGTGGATTGCCTGAGATCAGGAATTAGAGACCAGCCTGGGCAACAAGGTGAAACCCCATCTCTACTAAAAAATACAAAAAATTAGCCAGGCATGGCAGCGTGCACCTGTAGTCCCAGCTACTCAGGAGGCTGAGGCAGGAGAATTGCTTGAACCCAGGGGGTGGAGGTTGCAGTGAGCCGAGATCGCGCCACTGCACTCCAGCCGGGGCAACAGAGTGACACAGGCACACACACACACACACACACACACAAAGAAATGTTAGCTATGATGGGGAGTTTGAGATGGATTTGTGATAGACATTAGAAAGCTAAATTTAAAATATAAAAATGGGACAATTATTATTTATAAGGAATGAAAAGAGAAAAGTTGTAATGAAATAAATACAGTATGTCTCAGCTATGAATAAAATTTATATATTGTCACTTCTTTACAATACTTTAAAAACTGGTTATAAACATATTTTTAAACTATCATAATTTTATTGGTGTCACAGAGAGAGAAGATATGTGTGTGGATAGTGAGTATGTGAGTAGGAAGCCAGGTAGACGACAGTTAAAACTGAAAAATCAAGAAATAGTAGAATACATATTTTACTGAGAAATATGGAGATAAGTAATAACTAAAAATGTCCTAGAAGAATTAAAGATGCTTACTTCTAGAGATCAAGTACTGATAATGCAGAGATATTTCTTATCCTAAGAGTACTATTTCATTTTTATAACTGTGTAAAAGTACTGTTTTGATTTTTAAAAATTCAATTGAGGCTGGGCATGGTGGCTCACACCTCAGCACTTTGGGAGGCCAAGGCAGGCGGATGACCTGAGGTCAGGAGTATGAGACCAGCCTGGCCAATATGGAGAAACCCTGCCTCCACTAAAAATACAAAAATTAGTTGGGCGTGGTAGTGGGTACCTGTAGTCCCAGCTACTCAGGAGGCTGAGTCAGGAGAATTGCTTGAACCCGGGAGGAGGAGGTTGCAACGAGCCAAGATTGCACCACTGCACTCCAGCCTGGGTAACAGAGGGACTCTATCTCAAAAAAAAAAAAAAAAAAAAATCAATTGAAAATAATAAGATAGCCAAGATGTGGAATTATGTGAAACGCTCTCACTTGTTGATTTCCTTAGACCTACATAAATGAGGTTTAAGGTAATTATTCTGCAAATGGAGAAAAGACTCCATCTGCAGCTCCTTTCAAGACAGAGGGTTCTTTTCTCACAGTAAATATAACCCACAGCAGTTCTGTTCTAGTTCCCGCCTCCTATGGGCATGGCAGATTTTGCCTGCCTGGCATGGAACTAGCTCTTGGATTTTCCACTGCCATTTTCCTGCGTCAAACAGCAGCATTGCAAATCTTAGGACTTATTTTGCTTGAATAGAGAACAATCTTTTATATGGTATAATGCTTGGAAGCTTTTCAGGTATGAGATGAGTTTTAGCAAGTATCATCATTTATAAGATGCCTTGGCATTCTCTGAAATCCAATATGAAGGTGGTTTATAAACCAAATTCCACAGGCTTTAACTTGTGTGGGCTATAGCTATACAAGCTTACTAAATAAAAACAATCATCCTAAGAAATTCAGTTGATACAGAGAATCACATTTTCTAAACTAGGATCAAGACTTTTGTCCCAAAATATCAAATTCATTTCTCTAATGTCCAAGATCTCTTTTTAAAAAATTTTTCTTTCCTTTAAAGAAAACCCAGAAGACCATGCTTTGAAAGGTATGAGGAAACATCAATTGATCTATTGTTTAGTGTTATGTGGGAAAAGAAAATGTGTATTTCTTTTGATGTTGAAATATACACATATCATATCATACAACATTTAGAGAATACAGAAAAATAAAAAATGAAATAATATATAATCTCACTATATAAATATTATGTAACATATCTATATATACATTAAAAGTTATAATCACCATAATATGGCCATATATTCTAATTTATTAATAAATTCTGGACATTATTCCAAATTGTTATCATTCAAATATATGATGTTCCATGCTTTTGATTATCATATAATTATACCACAATTTACCCCTTCATCACCTGTTTTTGAACTGCTACATTGTTCTTAAATGTTCATCATTATAGATAGTAGAGTGAATATCTTATCTATAAATTTTTGCATCTCATTAGGACAGATCCCTGGAAGAAGCCAATAGTTGTAAATATTTTTATGGATATGTTACCAAATTGTTGGCTAAAAATTTATATCTTATTGAGGAGAGGGAGATGGATACCTCTTCAATGAAGAATTCTTAGAAATATGACATTTCATTTAATTTAAAATGACAATTTGATAAGAAAATATATTGTGTTTAATTTCTTTTTATTTTTAACCAAGTTGAATGCTTGTCATTTAATAGTGTATTAAGAAGATTAACACTTTTTAAAATAGTTACGAGCATTTGTTTCTTTTAATTTGATTTTTATTTTTAACATTATATTTTTTTTTTTTTTTTTTTTTTTAAGACTGAGTCTCGCTCTGTCGCCCAGGCTGGAGTGCAGTGGCATGATCTCAGCTCACTGCAACCTCCGCCTCCCGGGTTTAAGCAATTATCTGCTCCAGCCTCCCAAGTAGCTGAGATTACAGGTACGTGCCACCACACCTGGCTAATTTTTGTATTTTTAGTAGAGATGGGGTTTCACCATCTTGGCCAGGCTGGTCCTGAACTCCTGACCTTGTGATCCACCCGCCTCGGCCTCCCAAAGTGCTGGGATTACAGGTGGATTGTGCCCAGCCACATTCAATGTTTTTAATAATTAAATGGATCATTCTCTGCTCTTATTAATATTTCAAATTAATATGTGATTTAAAATTTTCTTTCCCATCCTATAAGCAAAAAAATCTATATATTATTTTCTTCTTATCTCTTTACATTTACCTATTACATTTATCTAGAATTAACTTTATGACAAGGATATAATATTTTTTGCTGTACATAATGATGGTCAATTCAGATTTCATGAAAGTTTAATTTTAAATCTATTCAACTGCACTTTAGATAAGATTTACAAATAAAAGGTCTTCAATTAATAAAAGTCTAAAATTTTACAAACATCTTTAAGCTGATTCAGTAAGCACACATACACAAAATACTTTAAAACAATTCTCTAAAATCTTGTTTTAAATGGTAACTAAGAATCTAAACATGACACTTACAAAAGAGTTAAACATAAATGACATAATTTACATAAAATACGTGATATAAATTACTGTTGTTATTTTACAGATTATTGAGATATTTCTTGAAAGTTACCAGTAACATGTTTCAGGTTTTGGTTTTCTTGATTCAAATTATGAGCATGGAATTTTATGTAAATGAAAATAATATGATTCCTTTATTTATTATAATAATGACAAATTATATGAAACCCTGTAGAAAGCCCAAAAGTTATATTTTTGGCACTCACACACAGACACACAACACACACACACACACACACACACACACACACACACACTCATGCATATATACATATATGAAAGGTGAGAGAGAAAAAAAGCTTTAAAAAACGAGTGGCTGGGCGCGGTGGCTCATGCCTGTAATCCCAGCACTTTGGGAGACCGAGGCGGGCAGATCACGAGGTCAGGAGATCGAGACCATCCTGGCTAACACGGTGAAACCCCGTCTCTACTAAAAATACAAAAAATTAGGCGGGCACGGCAGCTGGCGCGGCGGCTGGCGCCTGTAGTGCCAGCTACTCGGGAGGCTGAGGCGGGAGAATGGCGTGAACGGAGGAGGTGGAGCTTGCAGTGAGCCAAGATCACACAACTGCACTCCAGTCTGGGCAACACAGCGAGACTCCGTCTCAAAAAAAAAAAAAAAAAAAAAAAAACAGTGTGCACAGGAATGAAAATTTTACCTATATGGAATACATAATAAGATATTATCATAAAGTCTAAATTAGGTATTGGCAAACTACAGCCTGCAGGGGCCCAATCTGAGCCATGTCCCGTTTTTGCAAATAATGTTTTATTAAAACAAAACCAGACCTAGGCCGGCCACGGTGGCTCACGCCTGTAATCCTAGCACTTTGGGGGGCCGAGGCAGGCGGATCACGAGGTCAGGAGATCGAGACCATCCTGGCTAACACCGTGAAACCCCGTCTCCACTAAAAATAGGAAAAATTAGCCAGGCATGGTGGCAGGCGCCTGTAGTCCCAGCTACTCGGGAGGCTGAGGCAGGAGAATGGCGTGAACCCAGGAGGCGGAGCTTGCAGTGAGCCGAGATCAGGCCACTGCACTCCAGCCTGAGCGACAGAGCGAGACTCTGTCTCGCAAAAAAAAAAAAAAAAAAAATACAACCAGACCTATTTATGGATCATCTATGGCTGCTTTTGAGAAACATGGGTGGAATTAAATAGTTGTCAGAAAGACAGTATAACCCACAAAGCTTAAAATATTTACTAACTTGGTTGGTGCTTTACAGAAAAATCTTGCTGAACCCTTTCCTAAATGATACAAAGTCAAAATAGCAAAAACTTCTTAGTATTAAAACAAGTTAAGCATCGTCTGGTTAACTGGACAATACATTGGTGCTACAAATATTGGTTTATAAAGTTTCCTTATCCAGATTCCCATGTGTTTTCCTTTTATGTTTCCTTCTCAGGAAAGGGCTTTATCCCATTAGAAATAACTGGGAGTTAATATTTGTAGTGGAGAAAATCGCCTAGTCAGAGCATTCAAAAGCATGGCTTCCTATACACATTGGGCATAGTGGTAGGTGGGCAAAATATTGGTCAGGTGAGCCTTTAAAAAAAAACAGCTGTTTATGTTGTGAAACTCTATTGGTGAACCCTGGAAGAAAACTGGAAGCCAGTGGAGGGCATCAAGGAGAGAAAGATGATGGAACAATAACCTGCCCCCACCTGGCATGATGGATGGAAAGTTAGCGGGGCCAGGGATAGCACCTGAAGTAGTTCAGGCAAAAGATGATGTGGGTGATGATGATGAGAACCTAGATTGTAGTCAAGGAAATAGAATAGCAGGCTCAACAGAATGACAACCATTGAAGAAGAAAAATCATCAAGATCAGCAAAGAGAGCTTTAAAAAGTGACCCTGGACTATCTAGACATAGAGATGAGGGCCTGATGGTTGTTAATTATATTTGGTTTTATACTGGACAGTTTTGAGATACTGTGAAATTAGTGGTACGTCACCTAAGATACAACCAAATCTTGGTAATATCCATCTGTAATTTTTAAAACTCCACTTCTCAATCCATAAATCCCCTTATGGCTTCTTTAGAATAAATCTCTATTCCTTTTTATTCTTCTTGAGATATGAGATTGCTACCTAAATATCACCGAATATCTAAGCTATATTGGGATAGGAATGAGAGGACATGCATAAACATAATGAGCACAATTAAATAAATGAATACACAAAAACCTACCTACACACTCACACAAGTGAAAGATATGAAGTGACAAAGAGACAGAGAGAGCGTGAAAGACTGACGAAAAGCAGGAAAGACAGAGAGTGAAAGTGAGAGACTCAGAGAGAAAGAAAGCAAGAGAGACTCACAGAACAAGAGAAAAAGGTGAGAGACAGAGCCAGACAGAGTCAGAGCTAGGGAGCAAGGGGAGAAAGGGCAGGCAAGAGCAAGAATATGAATGAACAAAACAGAAAAAAAGACAGAGTCAAACTGACATTATAGAAACCTAAACACAGTAAGACACACACAGAGACAGAGGGACTCACACTGTGAGAGGAACATAGAGAGACACTCACACACATTCATGTACCGATCCAAATATGAACCTGAATGAGACAATTCCTCAAGATAAATCCTGAGTGGCTAACTGGGCCTAAACATAAAATAGAGCCAATGAGCTGTTTTTTGACTAGAGGTCAGACACGTTCTCTGAGTTCTCAGAAAGCTCACACACATCTGCTTAACTTTGAGTTTGAGGTTCTTTTTTTTTTTTTTTTTTTTTGAGACAGGGTCTCACTGTGTCACCCAGGCTGGAGTACAGTGGGGCAATCTCAGCTCACTGCAGCCTCAACCTCTCATGCTCAAGCAATCCTCCCACCTCACCTTCCCAAGTAGCTGAGACTACAGGCATGCACCACCACACCTAGCTAATTTTTTACTTTTGTAGAGATGAGGTCTCACTATGTTGCATAGGCTGGTCTTGAACCCCTGGGCTCAAGCAATCCTCCTGCCTCAGCCTCCCAAGTAACTGGGACTACAGACATGTGTCACCACGCCTACCTAATTTTTTACTTTTGTAGAGACAGGGCCTCACTATATTGCCCAGGCTGGTCTTGAACTCCTGAGCTCAAGTGATCCTCCCACCTTAAACTCCCAAAGTGCTGGGATTATCGGCATGAGCTACTGCACTGGCCTACTGCTAAGGCTTTCATAGCTGACTCTTCTTGTTCATTTTTCCTGAACCAACCAATAAGCTGTGGCTTGAATTGATCAAGCAGAACTCAGCTACATCAACCAATCAAAACTCAGCAAGTTTGAGTCTTTCATTTGCATAAATGGACCTGATTGGAAACCTGAGCAGGAACTGTTGCTATAAACACTCAACCTTCCCTTTGTTCTCTGGAATGTACCTAAGTTTCACAGCAAAGGCTGTATCTTACAGTTTGCAAACAGTTCACGGGAATAAAGTTGCTTTCTTTCAAATTCCTTTTCACAGAACTTTGATTTTAAAACTTAGACAAATTCACAGAGACAGAGAGAAACCCACACTGTAAGAGAGAAAAATGCAGAGACAGAGATGTATGCACACAGATTCTCTCTTGCTCTCTCTCTCTCTCGTGCACAGGCACACGCACACACACAGATCAAAAAAGAAAGACACAAACTAGACATACAGAGGCATATAAAAAGAAAGACACAGTGAGAGAGACACACATGCCAAAGCACACAAATAAGAAGACTCGGGTGCACATAGAAATAAAGGCACTGAGACCCACAGATACACTCAAAAACCAAAGTAGAGAAACAGCAAGAAAGAGGACAAATACAGAGAATGCAGGACAGCAGCAAAACCCATGTGGGCTGCCAGGTCAGGCGAAACAAAGAGAGAACATGCTTGAGCCCCCATATCAAAGTATTGTATTGTCTCATGTTAATCACCACAATAACCCTATAAAAGAAGAAGAATTATTCTCATTTTGCATATGGAGAAATGAAGTTCAGATCCAAGTTCACATAAGATACAGAGATAATTTGAACTCATTAAAATGTAAGCTCTATAAAGGCAGGGATTGTTGTCTGCTCTGTCCTCTGCTGTACCTCATTACCTAGAGCATGGCCTGCAATAGGACCTGGTGCATAAGAAGTGTTCACAACACATTTATGGAAGGAAGGAACGAAGGAACGAAGGAAGAAAGGAAGGGAGGGAGTGAGGGAGGGTGGGAGAGAGGGAGGGAACCAGGGAACGAGAGAGGGAAGGAACGAGAGAGGGAAGGAACAAGAGAGGGAAGGAACAAGAGAGGGAACAATGGAGGGAGTGGGGAGGAAACCAGCTTTACAAAGCCTCAAAAGCCCATGCTCTATTTACCGATCCTGTTCCCATGGTTTCAGTAATAGGAAGTCATCAAAACATGAGTTTCTAATTCAGTGGTTTTGTTCTTTACTCAATGAAGCTGAAAAAGTACTGGAATATTTCAGTTTTATTTGTCAGATGCTTATATGTTTGCATACACACATTGAGTAAGCCACATTCAAACATGTAGAAAATGCTCATTTCATCGTTAACTACTTAAAATTCCTTTTAAAATTTAAGAGAACTTGCTTAGTGGCCCAGAGCTTTTAATACAGACATCCCAAGGTCTTGGATTTCAATAGATATTTCCCTCTAGCTTTCAGGACCATTCATCAAATTGATGTGATGATACCAATAAAGTAGTCACATCAACTTGAACCAAAACTCTGGTTTCTTCAAAAGGTTATTTGAGAGATGTTTTCCCAGCAGTGTCTGCTGAGCTGCTGCACAGTAAGTTGAACTGTAGGTACCTCCTACAAGGTCAAGAATTTATTTATTCATTTCCCGAAATACTCAGGCCTCTAACAATGCCTTTCTAAAAACAAAGCCTCTTTCTTCCAAAACATGTGGTTATTCCTACTTAGAGAATCTCTAACATACTCAGGCTGAATAACCTCTTTATATGCCTAAGAAAAGTGAACCTCTCAAGCTCTGTTTAAATACAGGTAATTTTATATCAACCTTAATTTTTCATGAAACAAAAGAATGTTTGTTGATAGGTGGAGAGACACAAAAGAAACAAATTCATCATGAAAACAAAGAAGCAAATCATTTCTGCCTTCAGCTTTAGATAACTAACCATTTAATGCATAAAAGCATGATCTAACTCCTAAAAGATCACCTAAAATATAAACATATGTTAGGGATTATAAGACTTCTTTTTCCTAAAACCTGCTCACAATTATATATATACATGTGTCACACCAACACACCTTATGTAATAATAAGAAAGATAAAACATTCCAACAGTTTGCTTTCTTCACAGACACTCCAATATTATACACTGAAACAATATAGACACCAAGTCAAATGGCTATTGCAGAGCCAGTAAGAAGTAACACTAAATGCGAACAGGATGTCGGAGAACTGGGGCAGAAAAATAGGCATAAACTGGGGCAGAAGAACAGATTTTCTTTTACTGAAGCAGGAAAGGAGTGGTGTGGGGAGAGAGTATGCACTTCTTTTAAGAAAGGATTTGGTAGTATTTAAAATGAGTGGCCTACAAGGTCAAGACAGCACAGGTTCCAGCTGCCCCTGAAAATCTTTTCAATGTTGCCTTTAACTCAAGCCTGAGTTTGGGTGGGCCGTGGTTTCAGAGATGACAGCCATCAGTTTAACAAAGATTTTAAGGCACAAAAGATAGTTTGAAAAGACTTCTGTGATTTCAAGTGTTACAGCACAAAGTCGGCTTACTTCAAACTCATTTTCCAGACATAATAGTACAGGGATAGGAACTGCTACTTACAGACTACTTACTCTGAATAGCTGCTTTCTATCCTGCAGCACGTGGGAGAACAGTGGAGGGAAAGCAAATGCCTCAGACCCAGAACATTCAAAGGCACCTTGTAGAGAAAGACTAGCTCCAACGGTCTGCAAGACTTGGCTCTAACTTGAATAACTGTGTTAAATCACCTAAGAAAAGGATGCGTAGATGTGAAGGGAGGTTGATTTTTCCTAGAAACTCAGAAAAACTGTCACCTGAGCTACAACTACTAGCGCTCATTAATGAAACGTTCCAAAAAGTGCAGGGTCCCATTAGCAAGGTCATTTCTGCAGTGACCTGAATGCATCAGAGTCCCAACTCCCTGCCTGCAACGATAGAAACTTTGATTTATCCAAATTCCCTTGTTGGACTTTGTCCCCTCCAGAAACACCAACGTTCTGTAGAATTTAGCTTTCCTTGCAGGTCTGAGACTAGGGAAAGATTATGTTGGTCATGAGCACACAAGTATCCCAGCAACTGGACTTGTTCTATTTGCTACTCTCTTTTGTTTAAATATTAACAAATTTTGTTGAGGATCTACTATGTGTCAGGCACCATTCTAGGCACTAAGGATATAATAATACATAATGGAACTTATGCAATAGTGGAGGGAAGAAGATTAAGAGAGATAAAGAAAGAGGTTATATATAAAATATGTAATGGAATTATAAGCTCTAGGAAGAAACATAAAGCAGTGAAAGAAGACACTTTCATGAAGAAGACAGACCTCATAATCCAGTGTCCATCTCCATTCTTCATGCGTGACTGCTCACAGCTTTCACACCGCACCACTATCCTTTCCTCTTCAGCAAGCTGATGAGAATGCCCAGTGCTCTTTCTTTGGGCACCAGCTGTATGTTCAGATCAACATATACAGGCCTAAATGCCCAGGAACTTTCACCCTAGTGATGCTCCTTTATCAAATAAAAGTTGAACCAGTCTTTTCCCCTGCTCTCCAGCCATTTTTGGACATGCTTGGAACTCTTTGCTTCTCTCCTCAGAAGGGTCTGTCAGTAGTTAACCTTTTTGTATTCTCTTGATGCATGTATAACATCAGTCTACCCAAACTTTGGGTAGGGAGCCCATCAAGTTGGTAGTGTGAACACAACAGACATTAGTGGAGCTTGAGGTCAGAGAAGCCCACTCTGAGGAGGTATTTGATGGGTTAGGGAGTGAGCTATACAATATCCAGGGGGGGAACAGTCCAAGGGAGGAAAGTCCTGGTGTACTGAAGGAAAGGCAAGGAGGCAGATAGGCTGGAGTAAACAAGGAATAAACTAGCGGGGTGTAAAAAGTTGGACTTTGGCTATTTTTGAGGTAAGATGTCAGATTTCTAAGTGGACATGTCAGGTAGGAATCTAGATATAAAAAACTAGAAATCAAGGGAGAAGACAGGATTGGAGACACCAATTTGAGAGTTAAGTTGTAGACGGTATTTGCAACCAGGAGCCTATCCATGGAGTGACAATATAGCGTAAAGAGTAAAGGTTTGAGAGTGAGTCAGGGGCATGCCAACATTTAGTCAAGAAGATCAGGGAAGGTCCAGCAATGAAGAGACTTTGAAGCCATAAACTGGCATTCTTGAGCCTGGTTTATATGAGTCCAACCTAAAGACATGTACTGATAAATTGAGTTCTGGTCCTGGAAGGCTGAAGACTACATCTTCAGTTTTGGCATATTCAATATGATAATAAAAAAATCTTGTGAAGCTTCTTCCAGAGAGCACCCCGTGTTCTAGTCAACCTGTTTCTACTTGAGTTAACTCATTAATCATCCTATCACCTCTGGATATAATTGTTATTACATTCATTATATAGATGAAAGAACAAGAACTAGCCCAAGATCACAAAGCTCATAAGACATGGTTGTTGGTTAGGCTTAAATTTCAGGCTCCCCAACTCCAAGGGGCAAATAAATTAATTCAATGAATTGCCCTATGTCACATGGTAAATTAATAGAAAAGTTGTCATTAAATCCTTGATCTTAATTCATTGTGTTTTACCCCCGCTGGGAATAAAAATGATGTGATCATGGAGAATTCTAATAGTTTATCATTTGTTGAATATTCTTGTATTTCCTGATAAGCCCTCACTGCAGAACAAAGATTAACCATTTCTGACCTTCACTTTATGTGTTCATAGCAAGGAAGTTCAGGAATAGAAAATTTAAGGAATAGTCAATGTGAAAAATAGCAAATGAATACTCAAAGAAATAATCCTGGACATAAGTTTTTAAATGTTAAATTAATATCAAATGTGGGAAAATCTTACTAACACACCACATCTACAATAAGAATACATAATCTAAGAGGAGATATGCATAATATTTTTAGGGTTTCTGGTTTTTTATTTTTAGTCTTTTTGTGACAAGCCACTATAAAATTGTTAATATTTTATTATTAAAGTTTTATTTTAAAATGATCATGATCTATTTATATGGAATTTTACAATCAGTATTATGTAATTTTTATTAGTCAAAGACCAATTAGTTTTCAATACCTACAAAATTACTCTAATTTTATAAATACATTCTACAAAATTACTCTAATTTTATAAATACATTCTACAAAATTACTCTAATTTTATAAATACATTCATGTAAAATATTACTTTTTTTATTTTGAAACAAGGTCTTGCTCTGTCACCCAAGCTGTTGGAGGGCAGTGGTGAAATCATAGCTCACTGCAGCTTCAAACTCCTGGGTGCAAATGATCCTGCCACCTCAGCCTCCCCCATAGCATGGACTACTAATGGCATACATCACCACCCCTGGCTAATTTTTTTTTTTTTTTTTTTTTTGTAGAGATGGGACTGTCACTATGTTGCCTAAATTGATCTCAAATTTCTGGCCTCAAGCAATCCTCGTGCCTTGGTTTCCCAAAGTGCTGGGATTACAGGCATGAGTCACTGCATTCAACCTACATTTTGTTTAAAATCCTTCCATTTGTATTCGGCTTCCTTGTTTACAGTTTTTCACATATATCTCATAACTGGATTATGAGAATCAAGGGCCAATTAGAAGAAGTAGGTATTGTTACTTATTTTATATAAAGAGAAGAATTATGGCTTAAAGAAGTGAGCAACTGAAAGTCAAACAACAGGAGCTTGAAATTAAGCCTATGTCATTAGATTCCGTAGCCAATGCACTATCAGATGGTTTCCTACATAAAGCTAAATTTCTTGGGAAATTTTACAAAGACGGGATATATGTATCCTCAATGGAATTAGCATAAATGGCATAAAGGACAGATAGAAAAAGATGTGTATATTTTACATGCACTGCTACCTATGAAATGTGAATCATTAACTATTAAAATTAGCACTTATAAAAAGCCTTTAATATATACACATAGTTCTAAAACACTCCAAAATATTCACAAATTCCTGTGTAATTCCACTAGCATTCAGGCTGCTAACAGCTATTTATGTTAGCCCCTTGTATTTCTACATTTACAGTTTCTAAGCTGAAAAGAGTTTCTGGCAGCTTACCAACTTCTCTAAATGCTTTTATATCTATTATAACAATGTAAACATATCTTTGACTTATTTAAGGAAAACTGGGTTTTGAAAGAGAGATTACTTTCTCAACCATATAATATGCTTCAAATATTTGAGGAATACAAATAATAAAAAATATATAAATGTCTTTAACTAGATCTTACAGGCAAAATCAATTGTTTTGAAAGCTACAGAGAATTGTAATGAAACTATATCAGAATATCTTGATAACAATTAAAGTTTACATTAATTTTAAAATGCTATTTTTAAAAAGTTACTAAAATGTGGTGGGAAAAGTTTTCCAAAACTATGTACTTTGATTGATTACATCTTTTAAAGGACATGAAAAGGAGAAAACATGATAAAACACTTGAAGTTATGTAGAAACTAAGAACATGAAAATGTGATGAGAGAATATTTTTAATATGCCCATTTTCAATAAAGAAAAAAGAATAAATAGAATGCACTTAACCAGGTACAAAGTAAAGCCAAGATTTTAGCTTATGACCGTCTTTGGTCCCATTCAAAAAGTAACTGGCGAAACAAATGAACAAACAAACAAGTTCAAGATACGAAGATCAAGATAGCATCATTCGATCTCTCCTTATTGGAATTTTATTCTCTGGCACTACTGAATCTTCTTCATTTCCATATCATATCTAGATATGACAAAGAAAACTCTTGAAAGGAATGATACATTCTTTTGGAGAAAAGAAAGCAGGTTTCCTTTCTAATTGAACTCTTAAACACTCTCACACTGCCATAAATCACTTCTTGTGTTCCAAAATTTTCATCTTGTCAGCCTCAGAAAAACAAAACAAAATAATAAAAAAAAACCTGTAAACTCTTAGGGGCTCACTGCAGGATTGTCTAAGCATTACTAATGAAAAATTTAACACAATTTGTAAAGTTTAAAAATGAATAAAAATACTTAATGAATACACTGATACTTTAAAACACCTCTCTTTTTATAATGGGAGTCAAGTGTAAGACATTTTGTCAAATTTCAATATTCTTTACCAAAAGTATTCAGAATCATAAGGATGTTTTCTGGCTCCCAGGGAATTTCTTAGCTTTTAAGAAAACAAAATAAGGAAAGGGGATATAATTTTTAGAAAATGCATTCCTAATAAGTATAGACTATGCCTTGAGAATGTCAAAATGTGGGTGTTCTACATTGACATATATAGACAAATTATATAGCCTAAATGTCAAACTACAAATAGTAGCTTGAAAAATAAGCATCATACATGTATCACACTATAGGTCCTTGCTTTGTTAATTAGGTCCTGTCTTTTGTACTATTCGAGCTTCAGATTCCTACATCCAATTGCCTATTTAGCTTATTCATCTGGATGCCTAATATATCAAACTTAACAGATCAAAAAAATTAATTTTAATTCCTCGAATCTCAGTTTTCTTCATCTCAGCAAATAGTTCATAATTTGCCTACATGTTTGAACCAAAAACCTGGGACTTATCCTTGATTCTACCCATTCCTTCACTTCCTATCCTTGATCTAACAAGTCTTGTTAGCTTTCCTTCAAGATAGATCCCAAAGTGGTCTAATTTTTTCCAGTTTTTCCTTCATCTTTTTTCAACTACTCTGATGGGAATAAAATCCAAGTTTCTCCTCCAAGATTACAAAGATTCAAGCCCTACAAGATCTAGTCAATGGATGGCCCAGCATACCCTCCTTCTCTTCAAACATTCAGGTGGTGTTTTCTGTGGGGCTCTTCCTTTTGAGTTTCTTCTGTCATGACGGCAACCTCCCAGCTTTTCTGTGCCTGGATCCCACTTGTCATATCAGGTCCTCGGCTCATAGATTACTATTTCTGTGAAGCCATCCCTGACCACCAAATCTAATTAGCAATGTCCTACTCCCACAGTCCATCATTCTCCATCACCGCACCCTGTTTTGTTTCTTCATAACCTTTGTCATTGTCTGTAATTACTTTTCATCTGTGTTTGCTGGGTTTATTTTCTCTCCCCCTCATCAAAGAGAGTATAAATTCTAAGAGAGAAGCAGTCTGATTTGTCCTGTGTGTCCTGTATATCTAATCCTACAATATTACTTGAATGAATGAATGAATGAGGAAATGAATATGTTACATATATGGTCTATCCCTAGATATATCCCTAGATATGGCTAACTGTTGACTGTGTTAGGTGGAATTGCTTATATAAGACAAACTCTGCAGCAAGACTCCCCTAGAGGATCACTGATGTCTAGAGTTCCAACATATTCCTCACCAATCAATATTAAAGACAACATTAGTATTAAGAAAATATAGAACTAGACCCAATCAGATTGTATGATGGTGCTTTAGTGACATAGAAAACTTGGAAGATTAAAAGTGAGGGAGAGCTGCTTTCCTAGTCTCAGGGGAAGAGAAGAACAACTTCATCTCACCATGACTAACAGGAGTCAGTCTCTTTTTCTGAAAACAATGCTGCTGCCAGCAGTTTTAAAGAAGTACATCTAACGTTTATGCCAAAAGAACTTTTGTAACTGGAGTTTTGAAAAAGAGAAGCAGTGGGGAATAGGGTGCATGTTTGAGAGATGGGAAAGGATAAATGCTTCTGGCCATAGAAAGCCAACCCTAGGGAGTCTTTGTGCAACTACACATAAACATTCAACTCACATTCTGACTTCTGCCTGCAGGTAAATTTCCTTTGGAATATGCTACTTACCCTGAGATTGTCAACAAATCTGAATCTATTTTAAAACCACATGGTTTTGCTTTCTTTTAAATAACTGTCTGTGGGGCTTCAAACCATGGCTTATGAGACATTCAATTTTAATTCTTTGAAGGTAAGGACCTGGACCATGTCACGTGTTCATTCTCTGGCTCTACCTGAATCCACTGATGTACTGGCTGGGCAGCAGAAACTGCCCCTTCATTTCAAGGGAATGTCATTGAAAGGAATATTGGACAGCAAAAATGTAAGATCTCCTTGAAGGGAAAAGATGTCATAACAGAATGACTTTCTCCTTTTCCTAATTTGTAATGCCAAGAACAGCTTGTACTCATTTTGTGTGAGTTCAACAAAGGGTATTAGGTAGTACAATGCTTCTCTGCTTAAAAAAAAATTATTAAGTTTCCCTTTGGGTAAAGCTGTATTTATTTCCTTCTTTCCTCCTCAGTTTGCATTCAGGTAAGCATTTGCAGATTATTTGATAAACATCATTTTTTCTTTGAAGAGATTTAGTTAAAAATTAAAATTAAAAATTAAATTAATTTTTTTTTTGAGACAGAGTCTTGCTCTGTCACCCAGGCTGGAGTGCAGTGGCACAATCTCGGCTCACACAACCTCCACCTCACGGGGTTAAGCAATTCTCCTGCCTCAGCCTCCCGAGTAGCTGGGATTACAGGTGCTCGCCACCACGCCCGGCTAATTTTTGTATTTTTAGTACAGATCGTTTCCCCATGTTGTATTTTTGTATTTTACAAAAACATAATTTTGTATTTTTAGTAGAGATGGTTTCCCCATATTGATCAGGCTGACCTCAAACTCCTGACCTCAAGTGATCTGCCCACCTTGGCCTCCCAAAGTGCTGGGATTACAGGCGTGAACCACCATGCCCACCCCTAAAAATTAAATTAATTAAAAAGCAATCAGGCATTCTGTTTTCAATTCTCAGTTCTCTCAAATTCTCCGAAGCTATAATATTTCCTCCAAATCAGTGCAATACAGATTCAGAGAGTTAAAAAGAATATTTCATTTCTTTAAAAAATTTAAAGAAAAACACTGAGAAAAGATTTGTAATCAATATGAAAAACTATTAATACCTTTATTATATGAAGTGGGAGTTCAACTGGATAAGGTAAAACATTATGTACCAGACAAATAAATGAGTACAAGACACAAAAGAGACATTTTTAAAGGGAAATACAGCTGGAAAACTGTCCCACCTTGCCAGTAATCTTAACAGAGCACATTAATATATGTTTGTTTCTAGTCTATAAAATTATAAACAAAAGTAAATAATCGAATTTACTTTTTCTAATTAAAAACCACTGAGGCATCCTTTGTTCAAACAAAGCATTATTGAGGAGCTCAGGAAATTGGGTTTAATTCATGATATTTGAAAGGGTGGGCCTTGGAAATTGGCCTGCTTTTACTCTTACTCACCATGTTTCAAGGACTTTTGAGGGAGCTTAAAAGAGCTTCTAATTTTCCAAGAAGCACAACTGGAAAACCACTATTTTTAATAACACCCAGTACTGACAGACACTGTGCAACAGGCATACTCCTACAATGTGCATGAGCTTCTAAATCACTTCAACCATGTTGAACAGCAATTTAGAAATATTTTCTATAAATCGCAAAAGTATCCACATACTTTGGCTATTTACATTCACTTCTGAAAACCTACATTAGCTCAATTGCATGAAGATACTAAATGCAGCATTAAGTTGGTAAATTTTAGAAATAAGTAAATTCATGTATTCAACCATTCAATAAATATTTACTGAGCAATGACATTACACAAACTGATGTCACTATTAAAGGATGAGAGGAAACAGGAATGGTGGAGCACATGGTTTAGAAAGCAGATGAGCTTCACTAGGTAGCACCTACTGTGTTCTGTACTAAAGTCATGAAATCTCAACTGAAGGTGACCTTAATCTTACTGGAGGGCATTAATTCCCTAAATTAACCTAGTCCAGATATCACATTACCAAAAAGTACAATGAAAACTAGAAGATAAAATATGTGAGGTTGTGGCATTCTAAGTGTATTATTGGGGTTCTTTAGATTAAGACTACCTCCCTTACCTGAGGCAAGGTCTCCTTGAAGAGAAAAATATTTAAAAAATGTAAAACATTTATCTGGAACTCTTTGTCTTGGCTATGAATCTGTGGAATCTATAGTTATTTGAAGCACTCCAGGCAAAAAATGAGTAAGGATGGCTTCTGCCACAGGGAGGTGGGTCAGAAGCTCGACTGGAGGTTTCTCCTTGGTGAACTCCAAGCTCAAAATGAAAAAGTCTTATTTAAATGCCTCCAGCCTAGTGTCAGCTGTGCTCTGGGTAATTAATTGAAAAATTACATGGCCAGATTTTAGCCAAAGAGAAGAGAAGATATCCCAGCACACCATTCATGCCTTAAGCAGATGTGATGATGGCAGAGGTGATAAGTGAGAGATCCTCTAGTCAAGGAAAGGTGGGTCTCAAAGGCCAAGGTTCTGTTGCCCCACCCCACGTAGGGCAATATCCTACTCTATTGAGAGATCCTCTAGTCAAGGAAAGGTGGGTCTCAAAGGCCAAGGTTCTGTTGCCCCACCCCACGTAGGGCAATATCCTACTCTATTGTCATTCTTGAAGGGGCTGATGTGGATCTGATGTTTAAAATAATCAGATAATAAAAGATAAATAATTTATAATAATAAAATAATATAAAGAATTAAATAAATTTGATTAAAGAAAGTAACTTCTTTATAGTCTCAAGAATGTTTAGAAAATCATAAAGTTAAAGAAGAAGCATTTGGAGAGATAAACGAAAGCAGGAAAAAGAAAATAACTTCTGAGGGCAAAAAAACAAATGAACCAATAAAGATAAACTTCAGGCTATTGCAACTGTCTCTGCTTATCTGTTTTTCAGATGGTGGCAGTTGATCAAACGAATGTGGAAATGACTTCTTCAGTTAAGGAGACAAGTGCAAATCAAAGCAATGTGGGTTTTTTTTTTTAATTTAAAGTAAAACAAAAAGATATCCTAATATAATCACTTATTCAAAAGAAAAAATAGAAAATAAATTATAATCAGTGTCAGTGGTCAGTAGTTATTTTTTTAAAGAACAGCATTTTAAAAGATTATTTTAACCTTAGAATAATTGCTTTCTGTAAACATAGCATGAATCTAATTTCATAATCTGATGCGTGTTATGTTTATAGAAATTTTAATTTTAGTCTAAACACAGTCTTTGGGTCAGTCCTATCCTGCTACAGTACAAAGCACATTAGTACATTCTTGGATAGCTCTCTGTTTATTTTCTTTCACTTGTCTTATTTTATCTTGGGGTATTGCACGCATCTTTGTAAGTCAGCTAAATTATGTTCTGAAAGAAGGTGAGAGACAGGACTAGCTGGATTTCCTAGGCCGACTAAGAATTCCTAAGCCTAGCTGGGGAAGGTGACTGCACCTACCTTTAAACATGGGGCTTGTAACTCAGCTCACACCCGGCCAATCAGGTCATAAAGAGAGCTCACTAAAATACCAATTAGGCTAAAAGCAGGAGGTAAAGAAATAGTCAATCATCTATCACCTGAGAGCACAGGGGGAGGGACAAAGATCCAGATATAAACCCAGGCATTTGAGCCGGCAGTGGCAACCTGCTTTGGGTCGCCTCCCGTTGTATGAGAGTTCTGTTTTCACTCTATTAAATCTTGCAACTGCATACTCTTCTGGTCTGTGTTTATTCTGGCTCAAGCTGAGCTTTTGCTCACCGTCCACCACTGCTGATCTCCGCCATCGCAGACCCGCTGCTGACTTCCACCCCTCCAGATCCAGCAGGGTGTCTGCTCTGCTTCTGATCCAGCAAGGTGCCCATTGCCGCTCCCAATCGGGCTAGAGGCTCGCCATTGTTCCTGAATGGCTAAGTGCCCAGGTTCGTCCTAATCCAGCTGAACACTAGTCGCTGGGTTCCACGGTTCTCTTCCATGACCCATGGCTTCTAATAGAGCTATAACACTCACCGCATGGCCCAAGGTTCCATTCCTTGGAATCCGTGAGGCCAAGAACCCCAGATCAGAGAACACAAGGCTTGCCACCATCTTGGGAGCTGCCCGCCACCATCTAGGTAGCACCTGCCACTATCTTGGAAGCTCTAAGAACAAAGACCCGCCAGTAACAAAGGTAGAGTATAAACAAAGAAATAAAAATAACCTTTTCTATCTCAATACTTATTCTTTCTGACATATTTTTTTCTGATAATGATTACGCCTACCTTAGATTGTTTGCAAAGGTAGCGACAAAGTTCTCCAATATACTGAAACACAGTCACATCATACTTCTTGCAGTCACTCCAAAACTGGCTTGCTGAAAATTTCTTCTTTAACACACAAGTGGCACCTATAAGAAAAGACAAAAACAGGCACTAGGGAAAAAAATTCAAAGGCAGAATGAACATAAAACATGAATGATGTTTCTCTGTCTAGAACATGTTTGCTCATTTTAAAACTTTAATAACTCATCATCAATAATTTATATCAAACTCATTTGGAAACACTAATTTTTACCGTCCAAAAACTCTGTTAAAATATTGTAATTCTAAATTTTGACTGAAAATATGCTTTTTGCAATACACAGGAGAAAAGCAACAGTCAAAATAAGTAAAAGAGTTAAAGTATTAGAGCATGGCTATTGATAAGAGTCATCCTTCTTCATAGAAGCCAAGAATATTCACTTACTTGTGAACTGGAATATATACATATTATTCATTTTTAAACCTTAAAGCAGCCTCAACATATCTTTTTTTTTTTTTTTTTGAGACGGAGTCTCACCCTGTCATCCAGGCTGGAGTGCAGTGGCACGAACTCGGCTCACTGCAAGCTCTGCCTCCCAGGTTCATACTATTCTCCTGCCTCAGCCTCCCGAGTAGCTGGGACTACAGGTGCCTGCCACCACACCTGGCTAATTTTTTGTATTTTTAGTAGAGACAGGGTTTCACCGTGTTAGCCAGGATGGTCTCAATCTCCTGACCTCGTGATCCACCTGCCTCAGCCTCCCAAAGTGCTGGGATTACAGGCATGAGCCACTGCGCCCGGCCACCTCAACATATCTTGAGGTCAACTGTTAGTAAGGTTGAATTAGCAAGATAGTACTAACAAAAAAGTTCTTAAATGACTGCAGAACCTAATTTTGACAACAATGTATGTCCACTGAAGATTTTAATGTCTTTTAATATCTCATCTTCATTTATGGTGGATATTGATCATATTCTAAATATTCTATTCTAAAAATTACAGCATTTTAGACAAATACAAGTAGCAAATGATCTCCACTGTTTGTATATTATGTGAGGTCTAGAAACTGACACATAATCTTGCATGTTTATGAATGGAATCTACTGAGTCACAAGCTCTACCAACTAATTTATTGAGTGTCTATGGCAGACTGTTCGCAAAGATGGCCTCAGCAATTTCTTCAGGGCTCTTACTTTTGCAGTGTAAATTTGCTCCTTCTCCCTTCAAGAGGTGGCTTCTGTTTCTCCAGCCCTGGAATCTTGAATCTAGGCTGGCCCATGACTTACTTTGATCAATGGAATGAAGGTAAAATAACCTATGTGTCTTTCAAGACTAGGCCTTAAGATTTATGCAGCTTCCATACTCACTCCCTTGGAACATTTCTACTACATTTGAGGAATCTGGGGTAGTTTGTTTGAGGGTGAGTGACTACAAGGAGAGAGAAGCCCAGCCAATAGCCAGCTCCGACCACATGGCCAAATCCTCAGAAAACTGTTCTTTTCACCTCAGGAAAACACTGAATATGCCATAAAATTGTGTAGTTTTTTTAAAATAAATATTGTGTTATAATAAAATAATATGCATATAATCACTCTAAATTCTACCGATACAGCTTCAAATGTTAATAAATACTTGTTCTAATTATTAGACATTTTGAAAACTTATCAAAAAGAAAATAAAGCCTTACCCAACTCAACACATCCAGAAATTCCCAGGATAGCTGCTGAACTATGATACAGAGGAAGGGTTATATAAACAATGTCATGAGCAGTACAACCAAAAGCCCACAGGACAGCAGAACCCCTTAAAACCTGCAGCTGACTAATCACAGCTGCTTTTGGTAGACCTGGAAGAAAAGAAAAGAACAGGAAATATATATACACACATACATACATATACATATGCATACATATTCATATAACTAGAAAGGAAGTAACAGAAAGAAGATGATACTGATAACAACTACACTAGCAATTGACAGAAAATATATCAAAGTAGTCTATCTGCTTTGTAAAAGAGGCCATTCTGACTTTAGCAACGCTCCTTTGACAGGCTGCTAAGTAGGCCTGTATCTCAAACGCTATGTAATTTTATCGTTGGCCTTTCTGGATAGATCTAAGATTCTAGAAATTAATTACAGTGGTAGCACACATTTGGTTTCAGTAGCTATCTGATAAAGAGCATTTGGGAGGTAAGTTTTTGTCAGTCCTTATGTGCCTGAAAATGTCTTTTTTTGCCACCTATACACTTGAATGGCTGCTTGTAAAGAATTCTAGGTAAGTAGTCATTTTTACGCAGGACTTTGAAGGCATTGCTCTATAATCTTCTGACTTCCAGTATATATATTGAGCAATTATCAGTCTTTCTGATTTCTTATCCTTTGGATGCAACATGGTATTTCTATTTTTTTTCATTTTTGGAATCTTCTATTTGTTTTCAGTAGTCTGTAATATCATGATGACTTTTACTGGGACCAGTCTCATCTATCCATTTCGCTGGGAAATTTTTAGGCTTTTTCAGTCTAACAACTCAGGTCTTATAGTTCTAGATATTTTTGAATTTGAAAACAAAATAATTTTCACACCCCATTCTTCTCTTTCCTTCCTTATTTCTGTTCTTTTTGCCCATTGCTTTTTTCTGTTACATTTATTTGTGTGTTCATCCTTTCATTTTTAGAACTCTTGATTTTCTGAAGATCAGCCCTCCTGGACAGAATCACTGGTTTCCTAATGTTGCCTATCCTGTTTTCCTTCTCTTACCTTTTGCTTTACTTTTTGAGAGATTTTCCAACAATTATGTTCTCTGAATATTCCTCTTTTTGTAGTATGTTATTTTTATATTATTGACACTTTTTTGTCCCCATCTTTCAGAATATTAACAATAATAATTTTTTGAAAATTTCTCCTCTCTATCTTGTCAGTTTTCTCCAACATCCTTTTTATCTTTCGTTTGTATTGGTCTCAATCTAATCTAGAATATATTCAGGAGGATTTTTTTCAAATATCTGGAGACTACTGACTATCAGTTTATATTTAAAAGTGCAGACACAAAAACACAAAATAAACAAACAAAATATTAACTAGAATCTCTGTGTCTGAAGAATACTTATTTACTAGTTGGTTTCACTGTCCAGGACATTCTGTTGGGGGAATCCATCATGATCAGTGTCTTTCAATTTTTACATGTGGGCTATTCAGATTCCTCAGACAAGAATCTCAAAGATTAAAACAGTCAAGTATTAAAAGAAGTTATATATATTAAAGAGAACATATACATATATGTATATCTATCTATATACATATATACATATTTATAGGGAGGGAGACTTTCTTTTATATCCCCTACTTTTTAAACCTCTGTTCTTCCTGGTATTTTCAGAAGTTCATCTTTTCCAGAATTACGTCTCAGGACTTCTATCAGGGTGGAAGAAGCAATCCAGGACTATAGTTCCTTCTTAAACAAACTTCCCATAAAGTTTCCTGCTTATAGTTTCACATTTATTTTCTACTCTTTGAGGTACCTGGTACCCAATTTCTGAGCCTTTCTGGGGTTTGGTGGGGGCAAATGAATTTTCTTCAAGGCTTCACCATAAGCTTCAGCTTCTTGGGTCTGCGGTGTCTGCCACCACACTCAGTCATCACCTCCTTTTCTAAAATTTTGTAGCTGTCATCTCTAGTTCCATTCCTTTTGTCCTAAGGGACTGTGTATCTGTTCAATCTGCCAACTTCTAGACCTGTTATTATTCAATAGACCTGATTAGGTAGCCTGAACAATCTGAGAAAGAAGCTCCCTCAGTCTGGACAGAGTAGCCACACACATATTAGCACTTTTCAGTTCATTTATCAAAACTGTTCTAATCATGTAAAAAAAAATTATATTCTCCAGTCTAAAAGGGATTACAATTAGGAACTGAATAGATTTTTAAAATGTAAGAAAAATTTTACTATGCAATAGTTGCTCACAACCTATGCACAAGAAATGAGTAACAATACTCTTAATATGTCTAAGTCAAATCAACAATCATTTTCAAACTAATAATGAAAGCCTATTTAGGCTACCATTAATACCATTCAGTTTTTCCTAGAAATCAATTAAGTTTAACATTTCTTTTGAATTCTCTTTCTTTTCTTTCTTAAGACTGAGTCTCACTCTGTTGCCCAGGCTGGAGTGCAGAGGTGCAATCAGCTCACTATAACCCCGAACTTCTGGGATAGAATGATTCAACTGCCTCAGCCTCCTGAGTAGCTGGTACTACAGGTGCATGCCACCACATCTGGCTATTTTTTTTAATTTTTTTGTACATATGAGGTCTCACTGTGTTGCCTAGGCTGGTCTCAAACACTTGGCCTCAAGTAATCCTCCTGCCTTGGCCTCCAAAGTGTGTGATTACAGGTGTGAGTAGTCACTGTGCCAGGCCCTTCTTTTGAATTCTCAGGCAGTTTTATTATTGTTATTGCTGTTGTTTACTTAAAATAAAGCTTATTTACTTGATTTTATTTTGTATCTTAGTCCAAACCTGCAGTGCCTTCAAGAGTTCCTGTTTGTCACATGATTCAATTACCCTGACCAAAATCAGGAGAGCCAGCAACAGGTGCTTAAATTGCCGGTATACCTGGATTATGTTTAGGATTTAATAATTTACACAGGAATATAGAGAACTGTTTTCAAGTACATTAAAACACTTTTTAAATCCAAAAGAATCAGTAGAAACTATTTAAACTAATTTCTTCATTTTAGATATCAGAAATTTGAGGATCAGAGAAGCTAACAAAGATCTTGCCCAAAAAATCAAGTATCAAGTATCATACACTGAGCAATGAGACTGGATCAAGGTGTTTGGATACTCCCATGCCCTTTGTACTACCAAACTTTAAGAAAATCTTGTCAAATGAGACAAATGCCAAATGAACACAATGACTTTTCAAGTAAAAGTTAAGATAATTAACTTTCCATCCAAGTTGGAAAGTTCTAGCCTCTGAGATCCTTACATCTTCTTGCAAGCATGCATTCTCAGATGGTTGGTCACTACACATGGTAGAAATTTGCCCAACACTGTTGCTTTGCAAATTTCTCGCATTCATTTTAGCCTTCAAAAGAATTGGATCATACCTGTTGTTCCAGAGGTAAAAATGTAAAGACAAGTAGACTTGAGGAGTGAGACAACATGGTGGCTGCGTGGCACGGGCTCATCAGGTGAGGTGCTCAGTTTTTCTTTGAGTGAAATTACACCTTGTGGAACAGAATCTTTCATCCCCCAAACACTGATATTTTCTGAGAGGCTTGGAAGGATTTCTTCTACCGTTCCAAGCAAATCTAAAAGCCAAAGGGTTGGGAAGAGTTAAGCAAACCTTAAATCTCAAACAATTCACTTTGGAGTTGCTTTTGTGTATTGAAACAGGGATAAAATGTAAATAAAATGCTGATTTCCTTCTTATGTTGGATAAGTAATATCACAGTCATTTTATGGTTCCGTTTCAACAGGACCAACTGAAAGGGAAATTTAGTTATCACCTGACAGACCAATGCAAGCAGTCCAATTCAGACTGAATTTAAGAGACTCCATTATTCAAATTATGGGTTTCCCTCCACCAATTTTTAAATAAAACTATTTAAAACTCTGTCTGAATCTAAATTCAGGATACTGCACTAAACATTTTCCTTGAAGTACAACTCAGTAGCTAGTTATTCCAAAAGCTGTCTGCAGGTTACTCTTCAGTTCCACTGTAATGCAAAACATTTGGGAGAATCCCCGACTGCTCTGAAATCACAAGATCATTGTGGTTTAGAAATCATTCCAAAGCCAGAAGTTAAGTGAGTGGGGACTCCAAAATGGGGGAGGGTGGGAGAGAGAGGTGAAGACTGAGAAATTACCTATTGGGTACAATGTTTACAATTCACAGTTTGGGTGATTGGCAATTTAAGGTTCAGAAAGAAAAAGGGACAAGTTTCTTAGGAAGGATCTGCTACAAGGATAACAAAGGAGCAACTGGTGAGGTGAGACTATGTTGAGTTAATCTGTGAAACTTAACCAGACCTTCCTGATTTGCCCAGTAACCCAGGAAAAAAATATCATCTGTTCAAGAGAGGAGTAGTGGTGAAAACAAGAGAGACAGAAGGTGGGACTGGGTCCTTGATGAGGAAATAATTAAGCACTGAGGTAACCAACACTCTGTGGGATACAAAAGAAACAATGTCATCATTCCTATACAGTCTTTTGTGTAAGCAAGTGAAGCATCATTTTTTTCTCCAGAGTAGACAGGCATACAATTATTTATATTATTTAAATTCTTTTTAAATTCACCACTCCCTTACTTTAGCATGGATCTCTGACATGAAGTTCAACTTTTATATTCTACATGGCAACTCTGATTTTACTTCCTTATTTCTATAATATGCTATACATTTAGAAGGTTCAAGGGATTTCTGAGTGCTATATAGGTTATCTTAAAATCTATATTAACGTCCTTGGGGATATTAAACAATAGTACCCCACTGGCCTTTTGGAGTTAATGCAAGGGAAGTCCAACATTACTGGCAACTACCAGAAGCTAAGAGACAAGAAAAAATTCTTGGATCCTTCTGAGGGAGCATGGCTCTGCTGACAGCTTTATTTTGGATGTCTAGCCCCCAGAACTGTGAGAAAATAAATTTCGCTTGTTTTAAGCCACCAAGTTTGTGGTACTTCATTATAGCAGCCTTAGGAAACTCATACATCAAGCTCACAAGTTGGTGGATGGTAGAATTAGTAATCTAACCATAGACTAACTCTAAAACTATAAAATTACCTCATAAAAGAAATAAATGGCAAAAAAGAAAAAATAATGGTGCTAAATGTAAAATAGATACAGATTGGCCAGGCCCGGTGGCTCATGCCTGTAATTCCAGCACTTTGGGAGGCCGAAGCAGGTGGATCACCTGAGGTCAGGAGTTCGAGACCAGCCTGGCCAACATGGTGAAACCCCATCTCTACTAAGAATACAAAAAAAATAGCCAGGTATGGTGATGGGTGCCTGTAATCCCATCTACTCAGGAGGCTGAGGCAGGAGAATCGCTTGAACCCAGGAGGCGGAGGTGGCAGTGAGCCGAGATCACGCCATTGTACTCCAGCCTGGGCAAGAAGAGCAAAACTCTGTCTCAAAAAAAAAAAAAAAAAAAACCCGGATCAGAATGCTCAAGTTCTGTACATGAAAATGTGGACCTTTACACCTAAAGCAATTATATTTTTTCTAATTTTTTCAGGAAAAATTTTAAAATAATCACAAGATATATTCTGCTTTGAGTTTGAATTCAGAGTTCTGCATTAAACATTTCCCTGGAAACATAAATCAGTATCTGGTTCCCTCAAAAGGCCAACTATCAGTCATTGGGTTAGTTCTACTACAATGAAATACATTGGGGGAAAACTCTTGATTTACTTTCATGAAATCTATAACCCAGATTGATCACAAAGCAGCAGCAAGATAAATATGTCAAGTGGGACTAAGCAGTTTATAAATAAAACCTGTATGAAAATAGAAGGCAACACAGAAATTATAATGAAGTTGATATGCGGTGGAAAGTGGGGTTCATAGCCTTAAGATGTCTTATTAATTTTTATTTCTATAACAAATCTAAGTAAAATATAAGAATCCAGGGAAAATGCCTAGCTCTACTTAACACACACACATCATGCTGCTGTATATAGATTGCTTTGGCAAAATGTGAAAAATCACCAAGGATGATAGGAGGAGTGACAAGTTAGAAACATGAAAAACTGGATAAGCAAAGGATCTAGACTTTCTTTTTAATGTTTGTTCCAGATTTTGTTGTAATGACTCTTTCTCAGGTTTTGAACTTGTAAGTGCAAATCTCTGAACTGACTCATTACTTTAATTTCAAAATCTCTCATCTAGAATAAGAAATTCCCAGCACAAACTTTTATATGTTCTTAATGATATGTATGTCTAAATTGGGGAAATAAGTGCCAAGAAAGTTAAAATATGAATAAGTGTGGCTCCAAATCTTTGTTGGAATTCTAGAGCCCAAAGAAACTGAGTATTTACCAAGAGTGATAATTTTTACAGCAAGAAAAAAGAAAGTGAGAAGGTTCCTAGGAATCAGAGGAGATACAATGTCACTTCTTTCATAAGTTAAAATTAATTTTATTTAGGTGAGATGCTTAGAATTCTCAAATAGAATTTAGTGTAACAAAATTATTTCTTCAATAGTGGTAGGAAATGTGGGTGAGGATAGAGAAAGTTAAAATAAAAGAGTCATGTAGGGGATAAAGAAGAGTCATGCAGGGGATAAAGAATCATTATCACTGCCAGTCTTTCTTAATAAAATGAATCTTGGCCAGGCGTGGTGGCTCATGCCTGTAATCCCAGCACCTTAGGAGGCTGAAGCAAGTGGATCACCTGAGGTCAGGAGTTAAAGAAGAGCCTGGCCAACATGGTGAAACCCTGTCTCTACTAAAAATACAAAAATTAGCTGGGTGTGGTGGCAGGCACCTGTAATCCCAGCTACTCAGGAGACTGAGGCAGGTGAATCGCTTGAGCCTGGGAGGCGGAGGTTGCAGTGAGCCAAGATCACGCCACTGCACTCCAGCTTAGGGGACAGAGTGAGACTCCATCTTAACAAAAAAAAAAAGAAAAGAAAAGAAAGAAAAAAACTCTTTTCATGTCCTTTAACAGTAAATTCTGAATATTGTCTTGACACAAAATAGCATTTGTTTAAATACTTTAAGGAAATGACTTTATCTCATGAGGATTTATGCTTCACTGCATTACCATTGATACCTGTAGAATTATAAGCATCTCAAAAGAATGATGTGTGTTCTCCTCCATCCTTCTGCTCACTCTACCTGGCCGCATGCCATTAGGTGCTAGATAGATAACTGGTTACAGAAACTGAAATTTGTACCATTTTGATCGTAAACTACTGCAGGAAAATGAGACAACTGGATTTTTTTTTCTTTTTTTTTTTTGAGATGGAGTCTCACTCTGTCCTCCAAGCTAGAGTGCAGTGGCCCAAACTCGGCTCACTACAACCTCCGCCACCCAGGTTCAAGTGATTCTCCTACCTCAGCCTCCCAAGTAGCTGGGATTACAGATGCCCACCACCACACCTAACTAATTTTTGTATTTTTAGTAGAGACGGGGTTTTTACCATGTTGGCCAGGCTGGTCTCGAGCTCCTGACCTCAGGTGATCCACCCACCTTGGCCTCCCAAAGTGCTGGGATTATAGACATGAGCCACCACGCCCAGCCAGACAGCTGGATTTTCTATGACCTTTAACAAAGTCTACATTGTAGGCTTAATTTCTGTTTTCAAAGAAGCATGTTCATTCAAAAATTACATATTTTTTTCCTCCCACATGCAATGTACTTCATTAGGTGGGGTTGCAAGTACAAAAATGTTAATTATAATCCCTGCCTAAAATCCTTTAGCATTTATTTTACAAATTGATTTCTTGTTTCTTCATCAACATTAGATCTTATTCACATTTTTGAGACTGCAAAATATATGGGTAAAAATTTTATGTATCCCTCTAATATGCCATTAGTATGAGTTATATTATTTATGCTGCACTAAAAACTACATTATTCTACATAAAACAAGCTAATACTTTCAAAGATATGGCATGGGAATTGATTGATTATGGTTGTTAATACATTGGTAAGCATTTCAACTTTTAAATTTTATGCACTAATAAACCTAATATGGTATTCAGCTACAAATGGTTAACTTTAGCTTCCCATACTGCAAAGCAACATTAGAATTCAAAGTGAAATTAGAGATCTTGCCACATCCTTATAGTTACCATCCTACTATGTAGAGCAGTTCAACAGGCTTTTCACATAATGCACGGGTAGCTCTGGTTTCTAAGAAAATTGATGATTAAGTAGGCAAAATTATTGCCCAAGAATGGGTTCCAACATACACTGTGGACCCCACTGGCTTAAAAACAAAAAAATATGGTTTCAGCAAAACACTGGAATTCTGGATTGATTCCCTAGAGTATAGGATTTTCAGCCAGAGAATCTGGATTCAAACACTGCTTCTGACACTTGCTAGTTGTGTGACCTTGGACAAGTCACTTCATTTCTCTGAGTCTCCCTCTCCTCTTTTGAAAAGTGACTCCATACAACTTATACAGTTGTTGAGATAATTAAATGGTCTATATAAACCATTCATTGTGGTGCCTGACCCAGAATCAGTCCTCCTTAAATGGTGTCTGCTGTGGTGGTGGTTGTTATTACTACTACTGTTGGTTGTGATGATGATGATGATGATGAGGACATACAATGAGCTCAAGCTCATTAAATAGAAAGTTGAAGACTGAAAAGAGGAGATGATAGACCCTGGAAGGGAGAGCAACAGATTGGGAATCCAGGTCCTTACATGGGAGAAGTGCTTCTAGTGATTCTGGCCTGTTTTGTTTCCAAGTCAGACCATGCCCTTCCTCTTCCCACCCAAAAGGGCATAACCAGGCAGGGTGAGTTGAAGCTTCATTCCTCACTTAACATAGCAAAGTTCTCGAGGAGTGAAATACAAAACTCATGAATAACAGAAGCACAAGTCTTTCTATTGCAATAACATATTTTTTCCTGACATGATTTAACTGCCCTGAATATATGCACACAAGTTTCTAAGTGGGTTTATGTGTTTTCACTCTCAGTTGTTCCCACATTTTTGAGGTGAGCAGATTGAATATTATTATAATATAATAACACAATTTATACATTATATTATTATAACCAAAATTATACAAAAAAGAAAAAGTCGAACACTTCATTTGATGTTATTTCTAACACATCTCCTGTTGCCAATGAATAATTATTACTGAAATGGCACAAGAAGGCATGTTGCATCTGGCTTGCTATTTTTCAGTAAGAAAGTGGTGAAATTAGAAGAGTAAATGCAGACCAAAGCAATCTACAGACAGACTCATTAGTAAGTAAATGATATATATATTTTTAAAACGCAGTGAATACTAAGGTAGTATTTCTGCAAGACTCAGACCCCATCAGGGTTATCTCCCTCATGACCTCTTTGTTATTAACAGTAGAAGAACCTTCTTCTTTTTGGCCAGAGAAGAGCTAACGACCTCACTCCAAACTTGTGTCTGAGAGCATTCCAACCTTGGCCACTGAGGGTTGGGAAGTAGTTATGGATGTACTGCTACTGGAGAGGACAAGAAAGCTGTTTAAAGCCAACTCACTAAGGTTGTGTAACACACTACGTGGGTTTCCCTCCATACAACAAATCTCAAATGAAGAGACCTGAGCAAAAGTGACTTCTTACTATGGGTGGCTGTCTCTGCCATTATGCAGTTAAAAATAATGATTGCATCCATTTGTTGAATATACTTTATGATCCTGGTATTCTGTTGAGTTCTTTACATTTAATTCACACAAGACTGAATGATAATCATTGATCAAACCTAAGTGATATAGCCCACTACACACCTAGGCTGTATGATATATAGCCTATCGCTCCTAGGCTACAAACCTGTACACCATGTTACTGTACTGAAAACACTGCAGGCAATTCTAACACAGTAATATGTGTTTGTGTATTTAAATATATTTAAACTTAGAAAAGGTACAATAGAGTATTACAATCTTATGGGACCATCATCATGTATGCATTCTATTATTGGCTTTATAATGATTTTGCCTTCTATTTTTAAGTTATACCTCCTAGAACTATGTATTCAGGCATTTCCATGTAGCTTCAAATAATAGTGTGGTTTCTTTGAAATAGAACCTTAAACACATTGTTTTGGTACATTTTAGAAAAACTCTATTTTTCATAAGTTATACAGAAGCAATTCCAAACAGGTTTCATAGGCCACGCCAGATAATGTGCACTGTGATAGGTGAAGTTTCTATCATGGCTGGTATCTGATAACTGTCTTTAGGAATAAGCCAAAGGAAAAGATTTCAGCTAAACCACCAGGCAAATGTTACTCTTGTTATTGTCACTAACAAAAATAATGGTTGCCATGTACTCAAGGCTAACTAAAAGGCACTCTCAGCGGTTTTGGGAGACAGGTAAAGTGCTATATTTTAGAAACTGAAATGGTAAACTATTAAGTAACTTTTTTAAGGTAACACAGCTTAGTAGGTTGCAGAGCAGACTCAAAACATGGTCTCTATACTATATAGTCCAATGTTTCTGAGACTGTCAATTCCACTTTGATGTAACTGAAAAAATACACATTCAGGCTATACAAAATATGAAAATAAAAGTTACCAATATTAAGACACCAAGTTTTTTATACACAGATAAGAAAAATGTTAAAATTTTTATAATACTATTATTTCCTTCCCACACAGTCTGAAGACTCAAAAATACTTGCAGAAGTCTTATATCTGTGTATTTTTGGATTAGAACATATATCAAATGGCATCCCAAATTTCTCTGGGAAACTTATTGAAAATTAAAGTGTTTGAGATTAAACCTCAACCTTTCCCCCAATTTTTCATCTCTGATATTGCTAATATTATCTGCTGCCAAGATTACCATCTACTGATCTATGCTCTTCTCTTTACTTAAAACAAACAGAACAATGTTGGGGTGCTTTTATATCATTTAAAATTTGTATGCTATTATCTCTATATCCTTTGGCATGTTTAGTCATAATTATAATGCTGCTGATGATAAATAAGAATACTTGCCATTTTAAAGTACTTCATAGATTACAAAATGTTTTTATACATTATTTTTGGTGATCAACACTTACAGCCATGATAGGTAAATATTAACCTTATTTTAAGGACGAGGGAAGCCTGGTTATAGTGGGCAAATACTCTACTCAAGCTCATACATCTAGGCAAGGTGGCATGGGAACTAGAGTTCAGATTTTCTGATGCTAAATCATAAAAGCCTGAAGGGCTTACCTTTGTCTTTTTCCTCCTTTCTCCTCCTGCTCATTCCCTCATCTCCATCTTCTCCCTTTCCCTCTCCTTTTCTCCCTTGTTCCCCCACCCCTTTCCTTTTCTCTCTCACCTTTTCTCTATCCATCTACTTTGAGTACCTTTTCCACTGACCTCACCTGCCTCAGGTGCTCTATGTGTCTTTACAGTGACTCCCTCCAATCATAAAGCTCTCTTTGCCAATTCACAAATAGATGTTGATGCAGCCTCAAGGAATAGTTCAAGAACTAGGTTGTAAACTCTTGAACTGAGGAAATTTGTTTTGTTCACTGCTAAATTTTCAGGACTTAGCACAAAGGAGATATTCAACAAGTATTTATTATCTGGATGAATGAGTGAATGAATGGCATAATAAAAACTATGATACACATGAACACTTGCTAACTTTTAATTTACTTCGCATATTTTTGCAAAAAGTTGTCCACTCTCCACTGTTCATTTGGTAACTGGTTTTGAGGGTGGTGATATGGTTGGGATTTCCTGGTTGTGTTGATGTCAATGTTACTAATCATCACTCCCAAAAGGTACAAAGCACTTTAGACATAGTAGGCACCCACAAGGCTTCAGATTTACTTGCATATGGTATATATTTTATTCTCCATCCTTTCTTAATACACCACATATTAAATCATTATACTTATAAATAGAGACCTTTAAAAAACTATTCAATTACCCGGAACTCTTTCAATTTAGATTTGATAGTATTTTGCTGTTCAACATATTTTGAAGCATTTCAGATTTCTCTTCGTAAGAAGTAAAAATCCTGTGTCTTCTCTATAAACACAAAATAATGCATGCAGCCTTGCACTGTTAGTAAACTGTTACACTGAAATGGTGCATAGTTTGTAGTTATTGTTAACAAATGTTCTTGTTAACAATCAAGCCATTGTAATTCTCCAAATGACTTTCAACCATAAAGGCAATTGTTTTTTAAAGACTAAGAAAAAGAGTCAGAGGAAAAATAAATGCCCTTTTGGATTTTTTGTTTTGTTTTGTTTTGTTTTGTTTGAGACGGAGTTTCATTCTTGTTGCCTAGGCTGGAGTGCAATGGCACGATCTCAGCTCACTGCAAACTCCGCCTCCCAGGTTCAAGCGATTCTCCTGCCTCAGCCTCCTGAGTAGCTGGGATTATAGGCACGCACCACCAAACCTGGCTGATTTTGATTTTGTATTTTTAGTAGAGATGGGCTTTCACCATGTTGGTCAGACTGGTCTCGAACTCCTGACCTCAGGTGATCCACCTGCCTTGGCCTCTGAAAGTTCTGGGATTACAGGCATGAGCCACCGCGCTGGCCCCCTTTAAGTTTTATAGAAAGTGTTATGTATGCCGATAGATAAAATACATAGCTCATGTGAACTTTTATTATCTTACCTACATACTATGATATCCATACATGGTATCTGTTTTACTTTTCAGGACATTTCTAAATTTCTACTTGTATTTAGTAGAATAGACTGTTTGGCTTTTTGTTTTTTTTTTCTTTTTCATTCCTAGACTCAGCTAGATCAACAATTACTTCTGTTACAAAAGAAAATAATTGATTTTAATAGGAAGTTTAAATGGCTTCATGGTTCAGTAGCTAGAAAAGGCAGTGTTCTAAGCACTGATAATGCGTGGTTTCTTCTTTACTGGCCATGGAGGCACTGACTCTGGGGTTTTTATTTATAATATCTGTTGAACATGTATTTACTGAAAGGGAATGATGCTTGAATACTGTCAGGAGCAAAAATAATGTAAAGAAAGGATATGCCTCCTTACAGAAGGGGCAAGTCTGAATGTGAGAAATACACATCATGATATCAGGTAAACATGGGCTCAAATCCTAACTCTGTCATTAACTTACTGCTAACACATAGTAATGATAATGATATTTTGGTCAATGAGGGACTGCATATACAACAGTAGTCCCATAAGATCATACCACTATGTTTTTACTGTACCATTTCTGTTTTCACTTAAAAATACTTACCACCATTGTGTTCCAATTGCCTACGATATTCAGTACAGTAATATCCTGGTACAAGTTTGTAGCCTAGGAGCAATAACCCATACCACAGCGCCTAGGTGTGTAGTAAACTATGTCATCTAGGTTCGTGTAGGTACACTCTATGATGTTCACACAACAACAAAATCACCTAACACATTTCTTTTGTTTGTTTGTTTGCTTTTGTTTTTTGGAGTCTCACTCTATTCCCCAGACCGGAGTGTAGTTGCACGATCTCAGCTCACTGTAATCTCTGCCTCCTGTGTTCAAATGATTCTCCTGCCTCAGCTTCCCAAGTAGCTGGGATTACCAGTGTCTGCCACCACACTCGGCTAATTTTTGTATTTTTAGTAGAGACGGGGTTTTGCCATGTTGGCCAGGCTGGTCTCAAACTCCTGACCTCAGGTGATCTGCCTGCCTCAGCCTCCCAAAGTGCTGGGATTACAGGCGTGAGCCACCACGCCTGGCCCGTCTAACACATTTCTAAGAAAAGTATCCTTGTCATTAAGTGATTCATGACTGTATATACTAGCTAACATCAAATAAGGTTGTAGCTGCAAAATCCAAATGAGATCCCTTATTAAAAGCCCCAGGATTACTCTATAATCATAATAGCAATCATTTAAATACAATAAGATCTACTTAGTACATACCAGGCACTCAGCTAGCCACTTTACAAAAGATGTGTCATTTAATCCTCAGAATTATACTGTGAATCAGATGGTATCATCACCATTTTACAACTAAGTTCAGTGAGATCCAGGGTAACTGATGATATTATCTTTAACCATACAGCCAGGAAGTGGCAGACCATACATGGAATTTGGGTCTGTCTGGCTTACCTCCGTCTGAACCACATGATTCATCTTTCTACCTCAATATACTCTCCCTGGGGGTATAATGATTTAATAGTACACCATCAGAAACATCCAATGAGAATCCAAGAAATCTGAAATTTAATGTGCTAAAAAGAGTATGTTTATATTGTTCACAAATGAGACTCCAGATGCCAACAACACAGTATTTTAAGTATAAAAGTGACTATGATCTAAGCTACATCTTATTACAAAATCTGTTAATCAAAATAGAATTTTTCCATCTTTGGAAAACATATATCTCATTTATATTTGAAGGTATGCCAGAAAGAATGGGTGACTTCTCCAGTGACCTACTTACCGAGCCAATCAACTAAATAGTCTTGGCTTAAAACTTCAGTATCCCAAAGTGGCTTTTTTAAATACAAAAAACTGACTGTTGGTGTTAAAAACAAAAATAAGAAAACAATGCAATTAGTTATTGGCAAGCAAAGTAAAAGCTGGCACAAGTAAAACTGCAAAATTAATTGGTCCTAGTTAAACAACAATTCGGTCAACAGAAAAGCCTGAATGCTCTATCTTGAGAAGTAGCCAGTCCTATGTACTTTAAGACGAATCTCTCAGGAAACCGGCTTTGGAATGTCTCCATTTTTTCAGGGACACTGTGGCCCTCTTGGTTGGCCCTTGTAAACAGAACTTACGGCCTTATCAATTATTAGCAAAACTTGGAGTTTACATTTGCTCCTAGACCCTTTCCTCCCGTAATGAAAACAAGATTAAAATGAGTGCTCAGAAGTAAACCTTTGTGTTTTTATTGTTCCAAGATAGCTGAATAGGAACAGCACCAGTCTATAGCTCCTAGCGTGAGCGACGCAGAAGACAGGTGATTTCTGCATTTCCAACTGAGGTACCGGATTCATCTCATTTGGACTTGCTGGACAGTGGGTGCAACCCACAGAGTGTGAGCAAAGTAGGACAGGGCATCGCCTCACCTGGGAAACACAAGGGGTCAGGGAATTCCCTTTCCCAGCCAAGGGAAGCTGTGACAGACGGTACCTGGAAACTCGGGATACTCTCACTCTAATACTGCACTTTTCCAATGGTCTTAGCAAACAGCACACCAGGAAACTATATCCCGTGCCTGGCTTGGTGGGTCCCACACCCACGAAGCCTTGCTCACTGCTAGCACAGCAGTCCGAGATTGAACTGCGAGGTGGCAGCAAGGCTAGGGGAGGGGAGTCCACCACTGCTGAGGCTTCACTAGGTAAACAAAGCAGTGCGGAAGATCGAACTGGGTGGAGCCCACCACAGCTCAAACCGGGCTGTGTGCCTCTGTAGACTCTACCTCTGGGGGCAGGGCATAGCTGAATAAAAGGCAGCAGACACTTCTGCAGACTTAAACGTCCCCATCTGACAGCTCTGAAGAGAGCAGTGGTTCTCCCAGCAGGGAGTTTGAAATCTGAGAACCGACAGACTGCCTCCTCAAGTGGGTCCCTGACCCACGAGTAGCCTAACTGGGAGACATCTCCCAGTAGGGGCCAACTGACACTGCATACAAGCAGGTGCCCCTCTGAGACCAAGCTTCCAGAGGAAGGATCAGGCAGCAACATTTGCTGTTCTGCAGCCTCCGCTGGTGATACCCAGGCAAACGGGGTCTGGAGTGGACCTCCAGCAAACTACAACAGACCTGCAGCTGAGGGTCCTGACTGTTAGAAGGAAAACTAATAAACAGAAAGGAATAGCATCAACACCAACAAAAAGGACATCCACATGAAAACGCCATCTGTAGGTCACCATCATCAAAGACCAAGGGTAAATAAAACCACAAAGATAGGAAACCAGAGCAGAAAAGCTGAAAATTCTAAAAATCAGAGTGCCTCTTCTCCTTCAAAGGATCACAGCTACTTGCCAGCAATGGAACAAAACTGGATGGAGAATGAATTTGATGAGGTGACAGAAGCAGGCTTCAGAAGACCGGTAATAACAAACTTCTCCGAGCTAAAGGGGGATGTTCGAAACCATCACAAAGAAGCTAAAAACCTTGAAAAAAGATTAGATGAATGGCTAATTAGAATAAACAGCATAGAGAGGACTTTAAATGACATGATGGAGCTGAAAACCATGGCACGAGAACTGCATGATGCATGCATAAGCTTCAGTAGCCAATTTGATTAAGTGGAAGAAAGGGTATCAGTGATTGAAGATCAAATGAATGAAATGAAATGAAACGAGAAGAGAAGCTTAGAGAAAAAAGAGTAAAAAGAAAAAACAAAGCCTCGAAGAAATATGGGACTATGTGAAAAGACCAAATCTACGTTTGATTGGTGTACATGAAAGTGATGGGGAGAATGGAACCAAGTTGGAAAACACTTTTCAGGATATTATCCAGGAGAACTTACCCTACCTAGCAAGGCAGACCAACATTCAAATTCAGGAAATACAGACAACGCCACAAAGATACTCCACAAGAAGAGCAACCCCAAGACACATAATTGTCAGATTCACCAAAGTTGAAATGAAGGAAAAATGTTAAGGGCAGCCAGAGAGAAAGGTCGGGTTACCCACAAAGGGAAGCCCATCAGACTAACAGCTGATCTCTTGGCAGAAACTCTACAAGCCAGAAGAGAATGGGGGCCAATATTCAACATTCTTAAAGAAAACAATTTTCAACCCAGAATTTCATATCCAGCCAAACTAAGCTTCATAAGTGAAGGAGAAATAATATCCTTTACAAACAAGCAAATGCTGAGAGATTTTGTCACCACCAGGCCTGCCTTACAAGCGCTCCTAAAGGAAGCACTAAATGTGGAAAGGAACAACCAGTACCAGCCACTGCTAAAACATGCCAAATTGTAAAGACCATCGACGCTAGAAAGAAACTGCATCAACTAAAGAGCAAAATAACCAGCTAAAATCATAATGATAGGATCAGACTCACACATAACAATATTAGCATTAAATGTAAATGGACTAAATGTCCCAAAGAAAAGACACAGACTGGCAAATTGGATAAAGAGTCAAGACCCATCAGTGTGCTGTATTCAGGAGACCCATCTCACGTGCAGAGACACACTATAGGCTCAAAATAAAGGGATGCAGGAAGACCGACCAACCAAATGGAAAACAAAAAAACAAAAAGCAGGGGTTGCAATCCTAGTCTCTGATAAAAAAGACTTTAAACCAACAAAGATCAAGAGACAAAGAAGGCCCTTACATAATGGTAAAGGGATCAATTCAACAAGAAGAGCTAACTATCCTGAATATATATGCACCCAATACAGGAACACCCAGATTCATAAAGCAAGTCCTTAGAGAACTACAAAGAGACTTAGACCCCCAAACAATAATAATAGGAGACTTTAACACCCCACTGTCAATATTAGACAGATCAATGAGACCAAAAGTTAACAAGGATATAAAGGAATTGAACTCAGCTCTGCACCAAGCAGACCTAACAGACATCTACAGAACTCTCCACCCCAAATCAACAGAATATACATTCTTCTCAGCACCACATCACACTTATTCCAAAATTGACCACATAGTTGGAAGTAAAGCACTCCTCAGCAAATGTAAAAGAAAAGAAATTGTAGCAAACTGTCTCTCAGCCCATAGTGCAACCAAATTAGAAGTCAGGGTTAAGAAACTCACTCAAAACCGCACAACTACATGGAAACTGAACAACCTGCTCCTGAATGACTACTGGGTAAATAACGAAATGAAGGCAGAAATAAAGCTGTTCTTTGAAACCAATGAGAAAAAAGACACAACATATCAGAATCTCTGGAAAACATTTAAAGCAGTGTGTAGAGGGAAATTTATAGCACTAAATGCCCACAAGAGAAAGCAGGAAAGATCTAAAATTGACACCCTAACATCACAATTAAAAGAACTAGAGAAGCAAGAGAAAAACATTCAAAAGCTAGCAGAAGGCAAGAAATAACTAAGATCAGAGCAGAACTGAAGGAGATAGAGACATAAAAAACCCTTCAAAAAATCAAAGAATCCAGGAGCTGGTTTTCTGAAACGATCAACAAAATTGGTAGACTGCTAGCAAGACTAATAAAGAAGAAAAGAGAGAAGAGTCAAATAGACACAATAAAAAATGATAAAGGGGATACAACCACTGATCCCACGGAAATGCAAACGACCATCAGAGAATACTATAAACACCTCTACGCAAATAAACTAGAAAATCTAGAAAAAATGGATAAATTCCTGGACACATACACCGTCACAAGACTAAACCAGGAAGAAGTTGAATCTCTGAATAGACCAATAACAGGCTCTGAAATTGAGGCAATAATTAATAGCCTACCAACCAAAAAAAGTGCAGGACAAGATGGGTTCACAACGAATTCTACCAGAGGTACAAACAGGAATTGGTACCATTCCTTCTGAAACTATTCCAATCAATAGAAAAAGAGGGAATCCTCCCTAATTCATGAGGCCAACATCATCCTGATACCAAAGTCTGGCAGAGACACAACAAAAAAAGAGAATTTTAGACCAATATCCTTGATGAACACTGATGCAAAAATCCTCAATAAAATACTGGCAAACCAAATCCAGCAGAACATCAAAAAGCTTATCCACCATGATCAAGTGGGCTTCATCCCTGGGATGCAAGGCTTGTTCAGCACATGCAAATCAATAAACGTAATCCAGCATATAAACAGAACCAAAGACAAAAACCACATGATTATCTCAATAGATGCAGAAAAGGCCTCTGACAAAATTCAACAGCCCTTCATGCTAAAAACTCTCAATAAACTAGGTATTGATGGGATGTATCTCAAAATAATAAGAGCTATTTATGACAAATCCATAGCCAATATCATACTGAATGGGCAAAGACTGGAAGCATTCCCTTTGAAAACTGGCACAAGACAGGGATGCCCTCTCTCACCACTCCTATTCAACATAGTGTTGGAAATTCTGGCCAGGGCAATCAGGCAGGAGAAAGAAATAAAAGGTATTCAATTAGGAAAAGAGGAAGTCAAATTGTCCCTGTTTGCAGATGACATGATTGTATATTTAGAGAACCCCAGCATCTCAGCCCAAAATCTCCTTAAGCTGATAAGCAACTTCAGCAGTCTCAGGACAGAAAATCAATGTGCAAAAATCACAAGCATTCCTTTACACCAAAAACAGACAAACAGAGAGCCAAATCATGAGTGATCTCCCATTCACAATTGCTACAAAGAGAATAAAATACCTAGGAATCCAACTTACAAGGGATGTGAAGGACCTCTTCAAGGAGAACTACAAACCACTGCTCAACGAAATAAAAAGAGGACACAAACAAATGGAAGAACATTCCATGCCCATGGATAGGAAGAATCAATATCATGAAAATGGCCATACTGCCCAAGGTAACTTATAGATTCAATGCCATCCCCATCAAGCTACCAATGACTTTCTTCACAGAATTGGAAAAAACTACTTTAAAGTTCATACGGAACCAAAAAAGAGCCTGCATTGCCAAGACAATCCTAAGCAAAAAGAGCAAAGCTGGAGGCATCACGATACCTGACTTCAAACTATACTACAGGGCTACAGCAACCAAAACAGCATGGTACTAGTACCAAAACAGAGATATAGACCAACGGAGCAGAACAGAGCCCTCAGAAATAATACCACACATCTACAGCCATCTGATCTTTGACAAACCTGACAAAAACAAGAAATGGGGAAACGATTCCCTATTTAATAAATGGTGCTGGGAAAACTGGCTAGCCATATGTAGAAAGCTGAAACTGGATACCTTCCTTACACCTTATACAAAATTTAATTCAAGATGGATTAAAGACTTAAATGTTAGACCTAAAACCATTAGAACCATAGAAGAAAATCTAGGCAATACCATTCAGGACATAGGCATGGGCAAGGACTTCATGTCTAAAACACCAAAAGCAATGGCAACAAAAGCCAAAATTGACAAATGGGATCTAATTAAACTAAAGAGCTTCTGTACAGCAAAAGAAACTGCCATCAGAGTGAACAGGCAACCTATAGAATGGGAGAAAATTTTTACAATCTACCCATCTGACAAATGGCTAATATCTAGAATCTACAAAGAACTTAAAGAAATTTACAAGAAAAAAATCAAACAACCCCATCAAAAAGTGGGCAAAGGATATGAACAGACACTTCTCCAAAGAAGACATTTATGTAGCCAACAGACACATGAAAAAATGCTCATCATCACTGGCCATCAGAGAAATGCAAATCAAAACCACAATGAGATACCATCTCACACCAGTTAGAATGGCGATCATTAAAAAGTCAGGAAACAATAGGTGCGGGAGAGGATGTGGAGAAATAGGAACACTTTGACACTGTTGGTGGGAGTGTAAATTAGTTCAACCATTGTGGAAGACGGTGTGGTGATTCCTCAAGGATCTAGAACTAGAAATACCATTTGACCCAGCCATCCCATTACCGGGTATATACCCAAAGGATTCTAAATCATGCCTCTATAAAGACACACACACATGTATGTTTATTGCGGCACTTTTCTCAATAGCAAAGACTTGGAGCCAACCCAAATGTCCATCAATGATAGACTTGATTAAGAAAATGAGGCACATATGCACCATGGAATACCATGCAGCCATAAAAAAGGATGAGTTCATGTCCTTTGTAGGGACATGGATGAAGCTGGAAACCATCATTCTGAGCAAACTATCACAAGGACAGAAAACCAAACACCACATGTTCTCACTCATAGGTGGGAACTGAAAAATGAGAATACTTGGACACAGGGTGGGGAACATCACACACCAGGGCCTGTCGTGGGGTGGGGGGAGTGGGGAGGGATAGCATTAGGAGGAATACCTAATGTAAATGATGAGTTAATGGGTGCAGCACACTAACATGGCACATGTATACATACATAACAAACCTGCACTTTGTGCACATGTACTCTAGAACTTAAAGTATAATAATAAAAAATAATAATAAATAAGAAAAAGTATACATTTGCCACTTTATCAGACCACAAGTTGAACTGAAAAGAACTAGGAACAGTGATAGCCTTGAAGGGCTAGCCCATTTTCCATATACTGCCTAACTCACTTTGGTTTGATATACAAATATTATATCATAAAGGTTATTTGAAAAGTTCTATACCTTAGAGATCACCAGGGTATAAATATATTTTTCCATATTGTTCTGTGAGTTTAAAAACTTTATACAAGGTATTGGTATGTATCTATTAATCTAAAATACTTAAATATTTTCATTATGGTCCTTGCAATGGATCTTCCTCTTTCCGCACCTTCCTTCCCCATTGAAGAAGACTCTGCATAAACCATTTAGATTACACCAAATAAGTATCATTTTTCATATTTCACTTCTATTTCATTAAGCAACCCATCTTCCTAGCTTCTTTACTAATTAGCCACTAAACCCCAGGCTTTTCTTTACAGTTCAGTGAAAATACGTGTAGCCTAAGATGTCCTAACTCCAAGGCAGGGGGAGGAGGAAGGGTAGAACTTAGTCAAAAAAAGAAAAGGATGCATGGAAGGATAAGAAGAAGAAACAGAAAGGCTCCTAGAGTCTGCCAAGAGCCCACGTTCTGGCTCACAGGTGGGAGCGCAACCTTGCTAGGCAAGTCCTAGCTTGCAGACAGTATAAAATAAGAGCAGACATGAAGAAAGGAATTCAGGTACCTTCCTTTAAACATATCTCTTCTGCAAATGTAGTCATCCCTGATAAAGTACAATTAGAGGTAGGTAGACGTGTCACAATGAAGTCAGATAACTTTCCTATTCACCATTTTGTCAGAGCTGATAAAATTTAGAAGTGACCAAGTTCTCTGTGTGTTCTTGCACTCACTGAAGGAACCAATAGCAGTAAAACTGTCCCTGTCTCAAAATGGTAGGAAGCAGAGATTTCATAAAAGTTTTCTGAAACTACGTGCCTGAAGGGAGGAGACAGTTGTTAAACCAGCATAGAATCATAAAACTATTTTGTACTCTTAACATGCACACTTCACTCACCCAAAATATTAGTTACGAATTATCCTAAAGAAAAAAAAAAGGGTATGAAAGCAGGTGGGCTGCCATTCTGTATAGGCAGACCACACCCCATACTCTACCTGCGCCCACCACTAGGGCTCTGGGCCCACAGGCGCGGATGCAATTCAGGAGGGAGTTGGAGCGAATGTTGGTGTTGAGAAAGGCCACCACGCAGCCCAGCTTGGCGAGGCCGAACCACACGTGAACGAAGTCCGGCTCATTGCTCATCAGCAGAGCCACCGTGTCCCCCTTTTTCAGAGAGGAATGGTTCAGGAAGACATGGGCCACTCTGCTGCTCCTTTTGTCTACATCCTGATAGGTGTAGATGTCTCCCTCATAGATGATGAAAGGTTTCCGAGGTTGTCTTTTGGCATGACTCAAGAATTTATCCAGCACAGTCACCAGCTCCCCTCTCTTTTCATACTTCTTCAGCCGAATTATAATGAGCACCACCTTCAACACGAACCAGAAGTCATCCCAAAAGTAAGGGAACAGGAGTTTCTGCAAGAAGTGCAGGACGACCATTCCAGCCCCTAGAACTGTTAGCCATGACAGAAGCATGGGGGCAACTGGGCCAGAAGACAGCTCTGATCTCAGCCCCCACCAGCGTCCTTCTCTTCCAGGCACAGCTCTCCACGGAGACCGCAGATCCTCACTACTCAGGGCTTACACCTGAAGTTCTTGTCAGCTTTTCCGGGGCGAAGCGGGATGGGGAGGAATCCTGAGAAACAGAATCGTAGGTTTGCACCGAAAAGGTCGCCCCAAGTGGTGCTGAAGATTAAGCTTGGGTCACTGGGCGGCTGGAAAGCAGGGAGCCTCCGACTCCTGCGAGAAACCAACACAGCCACCCTCAGGGGTCTTGGAATCTACAACCCCAGCGCTGCGCCCTCGCCTCCCAACCGCGACAGCGGCCCGTGCCCTGCGAGTTCCCCAGGACTTTCCAGACCTCTTCTCTGTGAGGGCTGAGTCAGTCCTCCCTGCTTCTGCGACCCTAAACAAACCTCACCACCCTCAGAAGAAGGTCCAGGGACAGAAGCTTTTCTCCTCTCAGGTAGTCTTTCCCGCGAGCTTGAGTTGGAGGCTGAATTCGAGCCGGGAAAAGCTGGGATGATGATGACTGAGAAGCGCAGCGATTTACAGTCTCTACGCACCAGAAACCGCGCAGGGGCTCAGCACCACGTCTCGGTCCGTGGCCTCAGGGCCAGCGGGTTCCAGGGTTCCTGAGCGCCGCCCCCGTCCTGCCCCGCCCAGCCCCGCCCAGTCCCTCTGACGCAACGGGTCCCGGAGAACTGCTCCTTGGTGACCCACGCGCCCGCTGGAAAGGGGTGCCCCTACCCCAGCCGCAGCTCGCACTCCGAGTGTCGTTAGGCTAGCCTAGTGTATTCTCCTCCGAAACATGGTGGGAGTGTTGCCTGCCCACCTTCGGCCTCCAGGCTCAGGGCTAACCACATCCCCTGGCGTGCCGCAGCCGGAACAGCCTGGGCCCCGCCGCCAGCTCCTCCCTGGGCGCGCGTCCGGCCACCTAGAGAAGTGTGGCGCGCCGACCTGCTCACACCCCAGGGAGGAGGCCCCGCGACTGGCGTCTCCGGCGGGGAAGAATGTGACAGTCCCGTGGGGGGAAACCCAGGGATCTGGAAGGCTTGGGGTCACAGGAGAACCAGAGTTGCTGGGATTGGGCGGCGCGGGGGCCCTGGCGAGGCTGATAAGGTATAACAGTGTCGCACAAAGGTCATCCATTGAACCAATTAATAACTAGAAAATGGAAAGAAAAGAACAAACATCAAAAAAACTGCAGGGAGAGAGAGGCAGGGAGGGAGGAAGAGAGGGCAGGAATATTTATGAACTGGACAGATCCAATAATATTTTGTAAGAAAGAAAGGAATATTTGGACACCACAAAATTGTACTGTTCTTTACAAAAAGTATTTTTGAAAACATGTTGATAGGTTGGTTTTTACATTTATATTAGAACTCTATCGTTAGAGAGCTAAGACAGTGCGTTTTACAAAATTTGGCAACAATATTGATTGATTTGAGAGCTTCAGTCGATATTCGTATTTAAAAATAAAAACAAAGTTTATAATGCTATTTGCAGTCCTTAAAAGTAACAAGATCCCCCCTCCCTGAGACAGATCATTTAAAGAATTATGTCTTCAAACTAAGGATTCTAAAGGGAGTGGGGAGGTGGAGTGGAGAAGTAACAAGTTAGTGGAATGGTTAATAAAATTTTATACGAAGATGAAATTTTACTAAAGATCAAAAAACTAAAGAACATTTCATTACACTTTTTTTTTTTAGCAGACACCATCATCCCAGCTGTCTGCTTTTAAGTGAGTATAAATGGTTAATTGCTTGTGTTAAAATAGTTAAGGAAGGCCTCACCTTGTTAGGTGTTTCTCCCTTCTGCCTCATGTTCTGCAGATGGATTCTGGCTAACCTCAGATTCTGTAATAAAAGAAAAACTGATAATTCCAAAGACGAGCTCCAGTTTATTAATCTGAAAATGATTACTTTGAAGTCACAGTGAAGAGCTCTTAAAGCCAAAGGAACATAGGCTCTTAAAGCCCTTTTCTGTAAATGACAAAAAAATGCTTTCTAAATTTACTCAGAAGCTTTGATCTTTTCGATTCAGAAATATCTTTTTAATTAAGAAAATAGTATCAAGTAGTTTATAACTTAAAACATTAGTTTACAACTTGAAAAGCATCTTTGACATTCTATTGTTTTCTCTTCTAGCTTTAGTCTAATTAAGTCACCTCCAAATAACAACATTTAACGAACACAAAAGAATATGGAGCAGTTGGTCTCAGACTTTTGTAGTTTTAATGAGTAAAATCTGTCCTTCTCCAGTGGAAAAAATAATACAGAAAGATAGGCGTGGCATTTCTTTTATTTTGCTGCACTTATTTTTCTTATCATGGACATTCTAATACCATCCTAAGGCATGGAACTAAATTTTTAGCAACTACAGATACAATGAATCTAGAATATATTCAGCACCATAAATGTGAGCTTGTTTGACTTATTAGGAAGAACTACAAGTAAGCATATGTTGGGCCAGACTTTGTACTAACCCAAACCAATTTTATGCCTGAAATCTCACCATGGAAGACATAATCAATGAAAAATCTTGGGACAGTTAACAGTATTGTGTATATTCCTATATTAGCCCATGTACCTGTTTCTATTTTGTCCAGAAATTTTGCATTCACTTTCAAATGCTACCAAAGGCAGCTAAGTAAAATAGATACAATTTTTAGCTACAATAGTTTAAGAATTTTGAAATGGGAGAAATATAGCAAGAGTTAGTTGCAAGTGAGTAAATCTATCATTTAACTAAAATAAAGAGAAATAAACACATAGAAATAGTCTAGACATTCCTGCTAACATTACTTTTGACTAGGAATAGTGTAATATTTCTCTGCTTCTCCTTTAAAAAACATAAAGACTGTTTGTTTTTCTTTAATGTTATTTGAAAATAAAAATATTGTGACTAAATGAAAATCAATGCCCCAAAAAAGTTTATTTTTAATCTACATGTGGTCTCTTCAACCTCTTCTTCATTTCTGATTTGACTTTCCTCTTTAACCCACTACCAACCACCTTTGCACCCTCAGTTCTATAGAGGATGAATTGTTTAGTGAGTAGATCAAAGTAAGACTGAACAAATAGCAATATATGACAGACATGGAGCCTACAGGATTTTGCCACTGTAACCTAAGAATTCTGACTCTTTGCTGTCAAATCACTTGTCTTCATAAGTCTTCTGATGGAATTCTATAGCAGTCATCATTTGGATTATGGGAGGTTTGAGTGAAAACCAAGAAATTTAGAAAGATGCCAAACAATGCTGGGTTGGTGGCTAAACATCATGATGAGTGCTTGCAATGGGCCAAGAAGCTCTGACTATCTAGACGGCAGCCGGGGCTTGGGAAAGGGAATGGCAGTGAAGTGACTGAGGGAGTTGGATGGCTCTAAAAATGAATGGGAGAATGCTGGATGCAGGAGTCATCCACTTTACAATTCTACCTGGGAACAGGGTTTTTAATTATTGCTTTTAGGATCTGATAATAACTTCGGTTATCATGGGAAGCTTACTCTTCCTATAATCTAATGTTTATTTGTATTAATGAATAATCATTGCCCAGAATAGTATTCGACACAAGGACTCATGAAGCAAACCGAACATTAAAAATAAGAGGCGTGCACGGAGCCTCGCTTACTGATAACACAGCAGTCTGAGATCCAACTGCAAGGCAGCAGCGAGGCTGGGGGAGGGGCATCCTCCATTGCTGAGGCTTGAATAGGTAAACAAAGTGGCCAGGAAGCTCAAACTAGATGGAGCCCACCTCAGTTCAACCAGGCCTGCCTGCCTCTGTAGACTCCACCCCTGGGGGCAGGGCATAGCTGAACAAAAGGCAGCAGACACTTCTGCAGACTTAAATGTCCCCTTCTGACAGCTTTGAAGAGAGTAGTGGTTCTACCAGCACAGAGTTTGAGATCTGAGAATGGACAGACTGCCTCCTCAAATGGGTCCCTGACCCCGAGTAGCCTAACTGGGAGGCAACTCCCAGTAGGGGCCGACTGACACCTCATCCAGCCGGGTGCACCTCTGAGATGAAGTTTCCAGGGAAGGATCAGGCAGCAACAATGGCCATTCTGCAATATTTTCTGTTCAGCAGCCTCTGCTGGTGATACTCAGGCAAACAGGGTCTGGAGTGGACCTCCAGCAAACTCCAACAGACCTGCAGCTGAGGGTCCTGACTGTTAGAAGGAATACTAACAAACGGAAAGGACATCCACACCAAAACCCCATCTGTACATCACCATCATCAAAGACCGAAGGTAGATAAAACCACAAAGATGGGGGGAACCAGAGCAGAAAAGCTGAAAATTCTAAAAATCAGAGCGCCTCTTCTCCTCCAAAGGAACGCAGCTACTCACCAGCAATGGAACAAAGCTGGACGGGGAATGACTTTGACGAGTTGAGAGAAGAAGGCTTCAGATGATTGGTAATAAAAAACTTGTCTGAGCTAAAGGAAGATGTTCAAACCCATCACAAAGAAGCTAAAAACAGTGAAAAAAGATTAGACAAAAGGCTAACTAGAATAAACAGCATAGAGAAGACCTAAAATGACCTGATGGAGCTGAAAACCATGGCACAAGAACTACGTGACGTATGCTCAAGCTACAGTAGCTGATTCTATCAAGTGGAAGAAAGGGTATCAGTGATTGAAGATCAAGTTAATGAAATGAAGTGACAAGAGAAGTTTAGAGGAAAAAGAGTAAAAAGAAACGAACAAAGCCTCCAAGAAACATGGGACTATGTGAAAAGACCAAATCTACATTTGATTGGTGTACATGAAAGTGAAGGGGGAAAAAGGAACCAAGTTGGAAAACGCTCTGCAGGATATTATGCAGGAGAACTTCCCCAACCTAGCAAGGCATACCAACATTCAAATTTGGGAAATACAGAGAATGCTACAAAGATACTCCTCGAGAAGAGCAGCTCCAAGACACTTAATTGTCAGACTCACCAAGGTTGAAATGAAGGAAAAAATGTTTTGGGCAGCCAGAGAGAAAGGTCGGGTTACCCGCAAAGGGAAGCCCATCAGACTAACAGTGGATCTCTCGCCAGAAACTCTACAAGCCAGAAGAGATGAGGGCCAATATTCAACATTCTTAAAGAAAAGAATTTTCAACCCAGAATTTCATATCCAGCCAAACTAAGCTTCATAAGTGAAGGAGAAAGAAAATCCTTTACAAACAAGCAAACGCTGAGAGATTTTGTCACCACCAGGACTGCCTTATAAGAGCTCCTGAAGGAAGCACTAAACATGGAAAGGAACAACTGATACCAGCCACTGCAAAAACATACCAAATTGTAAAGACTATCAATGCTAGAAAGAAACTGCAACAACTAACGATCAAAATAACCAGGTAAAATCATAATGACAAGAACAAATTCACACATAACAATATTAACATCAAATGTAAATGGGCTAAATTCTCCAATTAAAAGACACAGATTAGCAAATTGGATAAAGAGTCAAGACCCGTCAGTGTGCTGTATTCAGGATACCCATCCCACATGCAGAGACACACATAGGCTCAAAATAAAGGGATGGAGGAAGATCTACCAACCAAATGGAAAACAAAAAAAAGGAGGGGTTGCAATCCTAGTCTCGGATAAAGTAGACTTTAAACCAACAAAGATCAAAAGAGAAAAGAAGGCTACTACATAATGGTGAAGGCATCAATTCAACAAGAAGAGCTCAGTATCCTAAATATATATCACCCAATACAGGAGCACCCAGATTCATAAAGCAAGTCCTTAGAGACCTACAAAGAGACTTAGACTCCCACACAATAATAATGGCAGACTTTAACACCCCACTGTCAACATTAGGCAGATCAATGAGACAGAAAGTTAACAAGGATATCCAGGAATTGAACTCTGCTCTGCACCAAGTGGACCTAATAGACATCTACAGAACTCTCCACCCCAAATCAACAGAATATACATTCTTCTCAGCACCACATCACACTTATTCCAATATTGACCACATAGTTGGAAGTAAAGCACTCCTCAACAAATGTAAAAGAACAGAAATTGTAGCAAACTGTCTCTCAGACCACAGTGCAATCAAACCAGAACTCAGGATTAAGAAACTCACTCAAAACTGCTCAACTACATGGAAACTGAACAACCTGCTCCTGAATGACTACTGGGTATATCATGAAATGAAGGAAGAAATAAGGATGTTCTTTCAAACCAATGAGAACAAAGACACGACATGCCAGAATCTCTAGGAAACATTTAAAGCAGTGTATAGAGGAAAATTTATATCAATAAATGCCCACAAGAGAAAACAGGAAAGATCTAAAATTGACACCCTAACATCACAATTAAAAGAACTAGAGAAGCAAGAGAAAAACACATTCAAAAGCTAGCCGAAGGCAAGAAATAACTAAGATCAGAGCAGAACTGAAGGAGATAGAGACACAAAACACCCTTCAAAAAATCAATGAATCCAGGAGCTGGTTTTTTGAAAACATCAACAAAATTGATAGACTGCTAGAAAGACTAATAAAGAAGGAAAGAGAGAAGAATCAGATAGATGCAATAAAAAATGATAAAGGGGATATCACCACCGATCCCACAAAGATACAAACCACCATCAGAGAATACTATAAACACCTCTACAAAAATAAACTATTAAATCTAGAAGAAATGGATAAATTCCTGGACACATACACCCTCCCAAGACTAAACCAGGAAGAAATTGAATCCCTGAATAGACCAATAACAGGCTATGAAATTGAGGCAATAATTAATAGCCTACCAACCAAAAAAAGTCCAGGATCAGATGGATTCACAGCTGAATTCTACCAGAGGTACAAACAGGAGTTGGTAACATTCCTTCTGAAACTATTCCAATCAACAGAAAAAGAGGGAATCCTCCCTAATTCATTTCATGAGGCCAGCATCATCCTGATACCAAAGCCTGGCAGAGACACAACAAAAAAAGAGAATTTTAGACCAATATCCCTGATGAACATCGATGCAAAAATCCTCAATAAAATACTGGCAAACCAAATCCAGCAGCACATCAAAAAGCTTATCCACCACGATCAACTTGGCTTCATCCCTGGGATGCAAGGCTTGTTCAGCACATGCAAATCAATAAACGTAATCCATCATATAAACAAAACCAAAGACAAAAACCACATGATTATCTCAATAGATGCAGAAATGGCCTCTGACAAAATTCAACAGCCCTTCATGCTAAAAACTCTCAATAAACTAGGTATTGACGGGATGTATCTCAAAATAATAAGAGCTATTTATGACAAACCCACAGCCAATATCATACTGAATGGGTAAAAACTGCAAGCATTCCCTTTGAAAACTGGCACAAGACAGGGATGCCCTCTCTCACCACTCCTATTCTACATAGTGTTGGAAGTTCTGGCCAGGGCAATCAGGCAGGAGAAAGAAATAAAGGGTATGCAATTAGGAAAAGAGGAATTCAAATTATCCCTGTTTGCAGATGACATGATTGTATATTTAGAAAACCCCATCATCTCAGCCCAAAATCTCCTTAAACTGATAAGCAACTTCAGTAAAGTCTCAGGATACAAAATCAATGTGCAAAAAATCACAAGCATTCCTATACACCAATAACAGACAAACAGAGAGCCAAATTATGAGTGATCTCCCATTCACAATTGCTGAATAAAGAGAATAAAATACCTAGGAATCCAACTTACAAGGGATGTGAAGGACATAGGAGAACTACAAACCACTGCTCAACGAAATAAATGAGGACACAAACAAATGGAAGAACATTCCATGCTCTAGGATAGGAAGAATCAATATCATGAAAATGACCATACTGCCCAAGGTAATATATAGATTCAATGCCATCCCCATCAAGCCACCAATGACTTTCTTCACAGAATTGGAAAGAACTACTTTAAAGTTCACATGGAACCAAAAAAGAGCCCACATTACCTGACAATCCTAAGCAAAAAGAACAAAGCTGGAGGCATCACCCTACCTGACTTCAAACTATACTACAGGGCTACAGTAACCAAAACAGCATGGTGCCATACCAAAACAGACATATAGACCAATGAAACATAACAGAGCCCTCAGAAATAATACCACACATCTACAACCATCTGATCTTTGACAAACCTGATGAAAACAAGAAATGGGGAAAGGATCCCCTATTTAATTAATGGTGCTAGGAAAACTGGCTAGCCCTAAGTAGAAAGCTGAAACCAGATGTCTTCCTTACACCTTATACAAAAATTAATTCAAGATGGATTAAAGACTTAAATGTTAGACCTAAAACCATAAAAACCCTAGAAGAAAACCTAGGCAATACCATTCAGGACAGAGGCATGGGCAAGGACTTCATGTCTAAAACACCAAAAGCAATGGCAACAAAAGCCAAAATTGACAAATGGGATCTAATTAAACTAAAGAGCTTCTGCACAGCAAAAGAAACTTCCATAAGAGTGAACAGGCAACCTACAGAATTGGAGAAAATTTTTACAATCTACCCATCTGACAAACGGCTAATATCTAGAATCTACAAAGAACTTAAAGAAATTTACAAGAAAAAAATCAAACAACCCCATCGACAAGTGGGCAAAGGATATGAACAGACACTTCTCCAAAGAAGACATTTATGCAGCCAAAAAACATATTAAAAAATGCTCATCATCACTGGCCATCAGAGAAATGCAAATCAAAACCACAATGAGATACCATCTCACACCAGTTAGAATGGCGATCATTAAAAAGTCAGGAAACAACTGGTGCTGGAGAGGATGTGGAGAAATAGGAATACTTTGACACTGTTGGTGGGACTGTAAACTAGTTCAACCATTGTGGAAGTCAGTGTGGCGATTCCTCAGGGATCTAGAACTAGAAATACCATTTGACCCAGCCATCCCATTACTGGGTATATACCCAAAGGATTATATATCATGCTGCTATAAAGACACATGCACGCGTATGTTTATTGTGGCACTATTCACAATAGCAAAGACTTGGAACCAACCCAAATGTCCAACAATGATAGACTGGATTAAGAAAATGTGGCACATATACACCATGGAATACTATGCAGCCATAAAAGAAGATGAGTTCATTTCCTTTGTAGGGACATGGATGATTGGAAACCATCATTCTTAGCAAACTATCGCAAGGACAGAAAACCAAACACCGCATGTTCTCACTCATAGGTGGGAGCTGAACAATGAGAACACTTGGACACAGGGTGGGGAACATCACACACTGGGGCCTGTAGTGGGGTGTGGGTGGGGGGAGGGATAGCATTAGGAAATATACCTAATGTAAGTGACGAGTTAATGGGTGCAGCACACCAACATGGCACATGTATACAGATGTAACAAACCTGCACATTGTGCACATGTACCCTAGAACTTAAAGTATAATTAAAAAAAAATAAGAGGTGTGCTGTTTGAGAATTGGGTGCTGTTTACTACATGTCAGACACATCAAACGCTTCTTAAAATATAAAAATTTTATAGCACCAAATAAATGGTCCTATAATGATAGAATTAAGAACAGTTTCCAAACAAATGAAATATTTAACTATCATTTCTACCACTTATTACAAACTATGCCTAGAAATTTATGGCACTCAGGACCCTGCCAAGAAGATATTTCACACGTTTTTTATTCGTGTTGTTTTTTTAAAAAAAACAGCTGTCTTATATCCACATACTTCTGGTTATTACAATTCTCCTTTCTCAGTGTTGACAAAATTTACTGTTTGGAAAAGATATTTATGTAAATAAATAATTGAGGACACTGAGTCCTCAAGCCAGCTTCCTTTCTATTTTATAAGCCACCTACATGGAGGAACTTCATTTCATCATTAGTGAGGTAAATCAAAGAAACTCTCTGGCAACTGTTGTTAGGAATTAACAATGCTCCAGTGTTGCAGTGAGTCTTTCCATGTGCTCCCACTCTTGCATGTCTCAGAAGGCCTAAGATTTAGTCTCGAAGGTGTATGAGGGGAGAGTGGGACTTCTGAGATGTACAGTGGAAATCCCATCTCAATATATTCTGAAATGTTACAACACAATTTTTTAAAAATGTTTTTTCAATGACTTGATTATAATAATTATCTTTCCCTGGGTAGGCAGGTGATTTGGTGATTTAGCGCTGGTGGCCCAGGGCTGGCACCGCTCTGCCAACTGGAGGTTTCTGCTTATAAATTCAAGGCAGCTGCTTCAGCTCTCGCTCTCTCCTGGCCATCAGGAAGGGAAAATGGGCCCAGGAAAGTCATAGCCAATTGCTGTTTCTTTGTTTCAATTTTAATTTTTAGTTTTTCGTTAAATAAAAAATTAGAAACATACATAATGGTAGAAAGAATAAAATTTTGACCCACCCCCTCAATATGCTCATCACACAGGTTTAATGATTGTTAGTATCATATTCAAATTCTTATCCGTTTATTTTTAGATATTTTAAATAAATTGTAGACGACATGGCATTTCTCCCCTGAATATCTCAGGGTGCATCTCTGACAAAAAGACATTTTCCTACCTAATCACAATACCATGATCAATCCTGATAAAATTAATAATTCTTTAATACCATCTAATATTTAGTCCACATTTAATTTTTTCATAATGTATTATAGAGTTTGTTTGTCTAAACTAGAATTGATTTCCTATCACAACCTCTTTATCTTTGTCAGAAATTTACTTGTTAGAACAGGCCACAGATCTTGTAGAGTGTCCCACCTTCTGCATTGGTCTGACTGCTTCTCCCTGCTCTCGTTTAATGTGTTCTTATGTCCCCTAATTGCCCCTAAAATATGCTGTCTAATTACCATGTTTAATTTCATGTAAACTGATAATTAGACTTAAAATCTTCATGAAACTCAGGTTAAACATTTTGGCAAGAATACTTCATAGGTGATGCTGTGTACTTTATGTCATGCTGTGTACTTTATGTCATATTACATCAGGATAAACCTAATACCTGCTTGTTGTGAATTGGACAACACATTGCTATTGATGATGAAACCTGACTACAGGTTTCAAGTGATCACGTTTGGTTGTTTTTCCTCTTTTGGTGTGCTACTGCACAAGTACCAGGAAGGGGTACTTGGACCCTGTGTGAATGTTCAGTTTTCTATCAATCTTTCACTCAATTATTTTAGTATCCATTAGTGATTGCCCATTGATTGCCTGTCAATTATTTCATAGAGTTGAAAAATGATCCTACTAGCTGACATTTTTCTCCAAAAAGAGCTTTATTTTATTAACAAGAACCATATGATTATTCTTATATACAGTTTATACAATAAACTGAGTTGAAGAGTCAATTCTTTCCTCAACAATCAACTTGCAAAGTGAAGACTTCCTGCAACATTTGTTTCTGTAATTGACAAGTGCTTTTTAATGTTGTTTTAAACTATGTATTATATTCTAAATATGTAAAACATTAAGTTATATATATATATATACTCAAAAAATTTGGCTTTCATCTTAACCCTTTCACCCTTATTGCCAGTGCATTTATAGTAGTAATTTTTGCTTTCAGTTCACTCTTCCAATATTTCTTTCTGCAAATACAAGAAATACATACATATTTACATTTTTCTCTTTTTTATTTTACAAAACATAGCTTGCTATATACAGTGATCTGCACCTTGCCTTTTTCACTTAATGGATCCTGATGATCACAACCTATCATTATGCAGACATCCTCTTCATTTTACATATGGTTGCATATACTTCACTGTGGGATAATATAATAACTTATTCAACTCCCTCCCTACTGATAGACATTTAGACTTGCTTCCATTTTTTTGCCATTACAAATAGTGTTACAATTAATGAGTTGGGACATGTTACATACTTTTCTAGCTGTAACTTTAAGATAGCTTCTTAGAAATGGGATTGCTGTTTCAAACGGTAAACGTATCTGTGAATTTTCTGGATTTGACAATTTCCCCTTTGTATTGGTTGTACTATTGGCATGTACTGCATCAGTGTATGAGGATATTGGGCAACTGAAAAAGAAGTCTCTAATAAGATTACTTTTCAATAAGGGAAAGTAGGAAATACTAGGAAATATATAAGATGTTCTCACAAATATGTACAAGTTAACTAAAGTTACCTATTGTAAAGGTTTTTGTTCTATATCCTAATGCCATTAAGTGTTTCATGCCTATAGAATGTAAATTTTGTTTTATTTGACATGAAATTATGTAATTCAAAATCCATATCAGTTTTATGCTCCTTGCAGTACTAAATTTCCTGTTTATATTAAATAGCAAATTAGGAAAACACATTTAAAACAAAAGCTAAACTAAACAAATAGAGTTTCTCAGAGATGAGAGATACGGTAGCAATGTGGCCTCAAAATCCAGGCCACATGCTTCAAAGATATGTTGTTCTCCAAACTGTTATAAAAATGTATGTCCTGACTTGCTTTACGAGGCACATACATTTTGGCTCATTAAATCAATAAGGTCCATAAGCTGCCTTATGTAATATCAAATGAAAACCTAATGGTTACACACAAGGAATGTCTGATGTTTTTCAACAAGAAAAACCTGTCAACTCTTTACAATTAACTTCTGAACTCACAGAAAGATTACAAAAGGCCTAATCTGGATTATTGTCTCTTTTTTAATTTTATTATTATGATACTTTAAGTTTTAGGGTACATGTGCACAATGTGCAGGTTTGTTACATATGTATACATGTGCCATGTTGGTGTGCTGCACCCATTAACTCGTCATTTAGCATTAGGTTTATCTCCTAATGCTATCCCTCCCCCCTCCCCCCTCCCCCACCCCACAACAGTCCCGGTGGGTGATGTTCCCCTTCCTGTGTCCATGTGTTCTCATTGTTCAATTCCCACCTATGAGTGAGAATATGCGGTGTTTGGTTTTTTGTCCTTGCGATATTTTGCTGAGAATGATGGTTTCCAGCTTCATCCATGTCCCTACAAAGGACATGAACTCATCATTTTTTATGGCTGCATAGTATTCCATGGTGTGTATGTGCCATTTTCTTAACCCAGTCTATCATTGTTTGACATTTGGGTTGGTTCCAAGTCTTTGCTATTGTGAATAGTGCCGCAATAAACATACGTGTGCATGTGTCTATATAGAGCAGGAGGGACAGCGCAGAGACAAGGGTAGATGGTGGAGCAGAAGATGTAGAAGGTAGGGAACTCATTTAGCAAAATAGAAACTTTCCAAATATCCCATTTTTCATCAGAGGCATGATGCTTCGCATATTTTCTCATGTTGAATTAGGAGAAGGGTGGGATAAGCTTACAGATTATGTAGACTCATTGTGGAGGTAGGATAAGAAAGGGATTGACAAGTCTTCACAAGGATTTTTTTTCCTCAAAACTTCTTAATTATTTAATAATGCATTTGAGGATTATTAGATGAGCTCAATAGGTTTTAGAAGATAGAACAAAGGGGTTGAAATGGACAAATTACTTCTTTACTATGATTTCTGATTTATTTAAAGCAACAGGCTTGAAGGTAATCCACCCACTTACTGTCTCACCTGCTTCAGTAGTTTATTTTCTGCTTTTAGCAAAGCTGGAAGATTGTTTTCTGATGTGCCCTCATCATTCAGTCACCCAGGCTGGAGTGCAGTGCCAAGATCTCAGCTCACTAGTACCTCTGCTTCCCTGGGCTCAGGTGATCCTCCTACCTCAGCCTCCTGAATAGCTGGGACTACAGGCGTGGGCCACCACACCTGGCTAGTTTTTGTATTTTTTGTATTTTTGTAGAGACAGGGTTTTACCATGCTGCCCAGGCTGGTCTTAAACTCCTGGACTTAAGAGATCCACCCACCTCGGCCTCACAAAGTGCTAGGATTACAAGCATGAGCCACTGCACCCAGCCCTGTGTGGCTTCTTTGCAGACCTGGATTACAGAAGATTTTGCAGAAAAATTTACACTTTTTTACTAGATCGAAAATAGAGATTCATCAACATACAGATACAGGAGTATCTACCACAGAAGCATTCACAGTAGTATACAGATTACTTTTATTTGTTTGTTTTAAATGTATGACAAGGTAAATAAATCAGAATTAGCATATATAGGCATGTATTTATATTTTAATATTTAATATCTAATAAGAAATATTATTACTAATAACATGTGTTCTTTATATTACTAAATTTCTTATAAATGTTCTGTTTTTTTAACAACTTTATTGAGATGTTTTACATATATTATAATAATATAAAAACTACACATATTGAAAGTGTATAGTTTAGTTTTGATATATGTACATGCATATGAACCAATCACCACAATCAAGATAATGGATGTATCCATCACCTCCTGAAGTTTCCTCACTTTAAAATCCCTCTCTGACACATCTGTTCCACCTTGTTACTAAGCAAATCCTGACAGTGCTTTCTGTCACTATAGATTAGTTTGCATGTTCTAGATTTCCATATAAATGAATCATATAATATGTACTCCTCCTTTTACTTGGTCTGGCTTCTTTGGCTCAGCATATTTATTTTTAGATTCATCTATGTTGTAACTGTAGAATGAGTTTATTTCTTTACATTGCTAAGTCATATTCCATTGAATGGATACACCATAATTTATCTATCGGTTCACGTTTCAATGGCATTTGAGTCATTTCCCAGTTTGCCTATTACACATAAAGTTGCTATGGACAGACGCGGTGCCTCATGCCTGTAATTCCAGCACTTTGGGAGGCCAAGGCGGGCAGATCACTTGAGGTCAGGAGTTTGAGACCAGCCTGACCAACATGGTAAAACACTGTCTCAATTAAAAATACAAAAATTAGTCGGGCATGGTGGTGGGTGCCTGTAATCCCAGCAACTTGGGAGGCTGAGGCATGAGGATTGCTTGAACGCGGGAGGCGGAAGTTGCAGTGAGCTGAGATTGAGCCACTGCACTCCAGCCTGGGTGACAAGAGTGAGACTCCATCTCAAAAATCAACAACAACCACAAAAAACAAATCAAGTTGCTATGAATATTACAGTACACATCTTTGCCTAGGCATGTGCGTTTGATTCTCTTGGATAAAAACTCTAGGGTAGAATGGCTGGGTTATAGGGTAAGGTTATATTTAACTTTTGAAGAAACTTCCAAAATGTTTTCCAAAGTATTCAGTTTTTCAGTCCCACCAGCAGTTCTAGTTGCTCTACTTCACCAACACTTGGAATGTTAATTCTTTTTCACTTGAGACATTCTAATATCTGGGTTGTAATATCTAATTGAGCTATCAATTTTTGTTTTCCTAATAAGTAATAATCTTGAGCTACTTTTAAAGTGCATATTTACTATCATATATCTTCCTTGGTGAATGTCTGCTTAAATCATTGATCTATTTTTGTATTGGGTTTTTATTGTTTTCTTATTGAGTTTTGAGAGTTTTTGAAAATATATTGGATAATAGTTGTTGGGGCTCAGAAAACAATACCCCAAAATGAAGCCCTCAAAAGCAGCCTCAGAAGGAAAGATTTTTCTTTGACCTTTCCCTTCCTTCCTGTCTCTCAGCTCCATTTCCCCCTAAGGCTAGCCATCGAAACTAGAATCCCTCTTCGTGAAGGCAGTTTATAGAAACCAGGACTCCTTTTCCTTACAGCCAGCCATAAAACCTAAAATTATTACTCTAATTTTCCCTTTATGTTTCTGTGTAAGATCTGGCCATAAAGAAATTACCTGACCTGTCTTGTTTGACTGTAGAGCCTAAGACCCCATTCCAGAGAAGGTCCTGCCCCATACCTGGAAGGAAGGAATGCTGCACAGAGAGGCCAAGAAAAATCTAGACAGACAGGATTGGCTGGGTTTCCTCACTCGGTCCATTAGCATTACATCATACCTGTTTTGTCTAATCATATTTCTACATGGTTGTTCATACTTTGTTCAATCTAAGAATAAAAATCAATGATTCTCCTGTATCTTTGGGCCTGCATTCTGAAGGCTCCTGTATACACACATTAAATAAATTTGTATGCCTTTTGTTTTTTTTTCCTTAAGAGATGGAGCCTCGCTCTTTTGCCCAGGCTGAAGTACAGTGGCACTATTATAACTCACTGCAGCCTCAATTTCCTGGGCTCAAGCCATGCTCTCGCCTCACCCTCCCCAGTAGCTGAGACTGCAGATGTGAATGACCATATCTGGTTCATATGCACCTGTTCTCCAGTTAGTCTGCCTTTTGCAAGTAGATTTTTCAGTGAATCTTCAGAGGGCCCTCCTTGGCCCCTAGAAAGTCAACATGTGATTTGCAAATATTTTCTCCAAGTCTGTGGCTTTTAAAAAAATATTCTCTTACGATTGTCTTTCAAAGGGCATAAGTTCTTCATTTTAATTGTTTTATTTATTAAGTATTTTTTCTTTTATGGCTCATGCTTTTTATATCCTATTTAAAAGGACTTTGTCTAATTGAAAGTCACAGGTTTTCTCTTATGCTTTTTTCTAGACGACTAATAGTTTTAGGTCTTAAATTTTTATCTAGGCTCCATTTTGAGTTAATTTTTATATGGTACAAGGTATGGATGTAAATTTTTTTACATATGGATATCTAATTATTTCAGCACCATTTTTTGCAAAGCTCTACATTCTACAAAGAATTTCTTTTGCAATTTTGTAAAAAATCAGTTGTTCTACATTTTTGGCTCTATCTTTGTGCTATTTTGTTCCATTGATCTGTCTGCCTGTACATCATTTTTTCAGTGTCCTCATTTCTCAAGCTTTCTAATAAGTTTTGAAGTTAGGTATCATTAGTCCTCCAATGTTAAATTTATTTTTTAAAGTTGTTTTTGTGTGTGTGTGTCCTTTGCATTTGCATTTTCTTTTTAGAATCATTTCGTCAATTTCTACCAAAAGAAAAAGAACCTAGGAAAATTTTTATTCAGAACTCATTTGATCTATAAATCAGTTAAGGAATAATTTACATCTTACCAATGTTAATCTTTCAATCCAGGAACACAATATATCTCTCCTTTATTCAGTTCTCTTTAATTTCTATCAATAATTTTTCTAGTTTTTAGTGTACCTCTGTTTTGTCCAGGTTTTGTCAAGGTGATATATAAGCATTTCATATTCCTGATACTAATATAAGTAATGTTTTAAAAAATTCAATATCTGATTTTTCTTTGCTAGTATAAAAAATAATTGATTTCTCTAAGTTGTTCTTGTATCCTAGAACAGTTGCTAACCTCACTTATTAACTATATTAACTTTTTGCACACTCCACAGGACTTTTTATGTATATGATCATGCCACTAATGAATAAGATTTACTTCTTCATTTCAAATTTGAATGCCTTTATTATTTCTGGTTTTTTTCTTAATGTGTTAGCAAAAACTTACAGTACAATGTTGAATAAAACTGGTGAGAGTGGGCCGGGCGCGGTGGCTCACGCCTGTAATCCCAGCACTTTGGGAGGCCGAGGCGGGTGGATCATGAGGTCAGGAGATCGAGACCATCCTGGCTAACAAGGTGAAACCCCGTCTCTACTAAAAATACAAAAAATTAGCCGGGCGCGGTGGCGGGCGCCTGTAGTCCCAGCTACTCGGGAGGCTGAGGCAGGAGAATGACGTGAACCCGGGAAGCGGAGCTTGCAGTGAGCCGAGATTGCGCCACTGCAGTCCGCAGTCCGGCCTGGGTGACAAAGCGAGACTCCGTCTCAAAAAAAAAAAAAAAAAAAAAAAAAACTGGTGAGAGTGGACACCCTTCCCTTATTCCTGATATTAGGGAGATAGCATTCATTCTTTCACCATTAAGTGTAATGTTAAATGTAGATATTTTAATAGGTACTTTGAATCACGTTGAGGAAGTTCTCATCAGTGTTTGATGAGAGTTTTTATTTGGAATGGAAGTTCTCATCTAGTTTGATGAGAGTTTTTATTTGGAATGGATGTTCGGTTTTACCAAGAGATTTTTTTTTCTGCATCTGGTAAGATGATCACATGACATTTCTTTTTCAATCTAAAAATACTGTGGATCGGCTGTGGTGGATCATGCCTGTTAATGCCAACACTTTGCGAGGCTGAGGCAGGCAGATTGCTTGAGCCCAGAAGTTCAAGACCAGCCCTCGCAACATAGTGAGAACTTCATCTCTACAAAAAATACCAAAAAAAAAAAAAAATGTTGGGTAATGGCGCACATCTGTAGTTGCAATAGAGGCTGAGGTGGGAAGATCACTTGGGCTAGAGAGGCGGAGGTTGCAGTGAGCCAAGATTGTACCACTGCACTCCAGCCTGGGTGACAGAGTGAGATCCTGTCTCAACAACAAACAAAAAAAAGTGAATTATATTCATTAATTTTTAAGGGTAAAAACAAACCTTGCACTCATAGGATAAATATCACTTTGTCAGGATATATTACCCTTTTTATATATTGTTTGATTTTATTTGGTAACATTCTGTTAGGCCTTTTTTTTTTTCTTTTTTAACCTTTGTCCATGAGCAATACTGGTCACTTCTTTCTTTCCTTGAAGTGTTTTCATCTGGTTTTGGTATTAGGGTAATACTTCCCTCATAGAAAGAGGTAGAAAGCATGATTTACTCTACAATTTTCTGGAAGAATTTTTGTAGACTAGGTATTATTTTCTTCCTTAAATAGTAAAATTAATCAGGGAAATGATCTTGGCCTGGACTTTTATTTGTCAGAAGTTTTATAACTACATGTCCAATGTCTTTAATATATATAAGGTTATTTAGATGATCTATTTCTTCTTCAGTGTGCTTTAGCTGTTTTTTGAATGAATTTATCCATTTTATTTAAATTGTCTGAGTTTTTGGCATAAATTTGTTGATAGTATTATCTACTGTGACAGGCAGAATAACGGCCCAACAATTCGCCCACTTTTGGGGCATTCAGAAACTCAGAGCCTATGAATATGTTATTTAAATGGAAAAAAAGCACTTGCGGATATGTTTTAAGGATCTGGGGATAGGGAGATTATTCTGGATTATCCAGGTGGACCCAATGTAATCAATCTCACTGTTTCTTTTACATGAAAGAGGGATACAAGAAAGCCATAGTCAGCGAGAGATTTAAAGATGCTACACTGTTCGTGACCAGCCTGACCAACATGGAGAAACCCATCTCTACTAAAAATACAAAAAATTAGCCAGATTTGGTGGCACATGCCTGTAATTTATTTTGGCAGTTAGTTGATGCAGTTTCTTCCCAGCATCGATGATCTTTACAATTTGGCATGTTTCTGCAGTGGCTGATACTGGTTGTTCCTTTCCGTGTTTAGTGCTTCCTTCAGGAGCTCTTGTAAGGCAGGCCTGGTGGTGACAAAATCTCTCCGCATTTCCTTGTCTGTAAAGAATTTAATTTCCCTTCAGTAATGAAGCTTAGTTTGGCTGGATATGAAATTCTGGGTTGAAAATTCTTTTCTTTAAGAATGTTGAATATTGGCCCTCACTCTCTTCTGGCTTGTAGAGTTTCTGGCGAGAGATCCACTGTTAGTCTGATGGGCTTCCCTTTGTGGGTAACCCGACCTTTCTCTCTGGCTGCCCGAAACATTTTTTCCTTCATTTCAACCTTGGTGAATCTGACTATTACGTGTCTTGGAGTTGCTCTTCTCAAGGAGTATCTTTGTGGTGTTCTATGTATTTCCTGAATTTGAATGTTGGCCTGCCTGGCTAGGTAGGAGAAGTCCTCCTGGATAATATCCTGAAGAGTGTTTTCCAACTTGGTTCCATTCTCCCTGTCACTTTCATGTACACCAATCAAACGTAGATTTGGTCTTTTTACATAGTCCCATATTTCTTGGAGGCTTTGTTGGTTTCTTTTTACTCTTTTTTCTCTAAACTTCTCCTCTCACTTTATTTCATTCATTTGACCTTCAATCACTGATACCCTTTCTTCCACTTGATCGAATCAGCTACTGAAGCTTGTGCATGCGTCACGTAGTACTCATGCCATGCACTAAATGTCCAAAAGAGAAAGCACGAAAGATCTAAAATCGCAACCCTAAGATCACAATTAAAAGAACTAGAGAAGCAAGAGTAAACACATTCAAAAGCTAGCGGAAGGCAAGAAATAACTAAGACCAGAGCAGAACTGAAGGAAATAGAGACACAAAAAACACTTCAAAAAAATCTATGAATCCAGGAGCTGGTTTTTTGAAAAGATCAACAAAATTGACAGACAGATCACCAGCAAGAGTAATAAAGTAGAAAAGAGAGAAGAATCAAATAGATGCAATAAAAAATGATAAAGGGGATACCATCACCAATCCCAGAGAAATACAAATGACCATCAGAGAATACTTAAATACCTTTACACAAATAAACTAGAAAATCTAGAAGAAATGGATAAATTCCTGGACATATACACCCTCCCAAGACTAAACCAGGAAGAAGTTGAATCTCTGAATAGACCAGTAACAGGCTCTGAAATTGAGGCAATAATTAATAGCCTACCAACCAAAAAAAGTGCAGGACCAGATGGGTTCACAATCGAATTCTACCAGAGGTACAAAGAGGAGCTGGTACCATTCCTTCTGAAACTATTCCAATCAATAGAAAAAGAAGGAATCCTCCCTAACTCATTTTATGAGGCCAGCATCATCCTGATACCAAAGCCTGGCAGAGACACAACAAAAAAAGAGAATTTTAGACCAATATCCCTGAAAAACATCGATGCAAAAATCCTCAATAAAATACTGGCAAACTGAATCGAGCAGCACATCAAAAAGGTATCCACCATGATAAAGTCGGCTTCATCCCTGGGATGTGAGGCTGGTTCAACATACACAAATCAATAAATGTAATCCATCACATAAACAGAACCAATGACAGAAACCACATAAATATCCAAACAGATGCAGAAAAGGCCTTTGACAAAATTCAACAGCCCTTTATGCTAAAAACTCTCGATAAACTAGGTATTGATAGAACGTGTCTCAAAATAATAAGAGCTATTTATGACAAACACATAGATAATATCATACTGAATGAGCAAAAACTGGAAACATTCCCTTTGAAAACTGGCACAAGACAGGGATGCCCTCTTTCACCACTCCTATTCAACATAGTTTTGGAAGTTCTGGCCAGGGCAATCAGGCAAGAGAAAGAAATAAAGAGTATTCAATTAGGAAAAGAGGAAGTCAAATTGTCCCTGTTTGCAGATGACATGACTGTATATTTAGAAAACCCCATCGTCTCAGCCCAAAATCTCCTTAAGCTGATAGGCAACTTTAGCAAAGTCTCAGGATACAAAATCAATGTGCAAAAATCACAAGCATTCCTATACACCAATAACAGACAAACAGAGAGCCAAATCATGAGTGATCTCCCATTCACAATTGCTTCAAAGACAATAAAATACCTCAGAATCCAACCTACAAGGGATGTGAAGGACCTCTTCAAGGAGAACTACAAACCACTACTCAATGAAATAAAAGAGGACACAAATGGAAGAACATTCCATGCCCATGGGTAGGAAGAATCAATATCATGAAAATGGCCATACTGCCCAAGGTAATTTATAGATTCAATGCCATCCCCACCAAGCTGCCAATGACTTTCTTCACAGAATTTGAAAAAAACTATTTTAAAGTTCATAGGGAACTAAAAAAGAGCCCACATTGTCATGACAATCCTAAGCAAAAAGAACAAAGCTGGAGGCACCACACTACCTGACTTCAAACTATACTACAGGGCAACAGCAACCAAAACAGCATTGTACTTGTACCAAAACAGAGATATAGACCAATGGAACATAACAGAGCCCTCAGATATAATACCACACATCGACAGCCATCAGATCTTTGACAAACCAGTCAAAAACAAGAACTGGGGAATGATTCCCTATTTAATAAATGGTGCTGGGAAAACTGGCTAGCCATAAGTAGAAAGCTGAAACTGGATCCTTCCTTACACCTCATACAAAAATTAATTCAAGATGGATTAAAGACTTAAATGTTAGACCTAAAACCATAAAAACCCTAGAAGAAAACCTAGGCAATATCATTCAGGACATAGACATGGGCAAGGACTTCAGGACAAAAACACCAAAAGCAATGGCAACAAAAGCCAAAATTGACAAATGGTATCTAATTAAACTAAAGAGCTTCTGCACACCAAAAGAAACTACCATCAGAGTGAACAGGCAACCTACAGAATGGGAGAAAATTTTTACAATCTACCCATCTGACAAAGGGCTAATATCCAGAATCTACAAAGAACTTAAACAAATTTTCAAGAAAAAATCAAACAACCCCATCAAAAAGTGGGCAAAGGATATGAAAAGACAATTCTCAAAAGAAGACATTTATGCAGCCAACAGACACATGAAAAAGTGCTCATCATCACTGGTCATCAGAGAAATCCAAATCAGAACCACAATGAGATACCATCGCCAGTTAGAATGGCAATCATTAAAAAGTCAGGAAACTGGGGGTGGAGCCAAGATGGCCGAATAGGAACAGCTCCCATCTACAGTTCCCAGTGTGAGCGATGCAGAAGATGAGTGATTTCTGCTTTCCAACTTAGGTACCGGGTTCATCTCACTGGGGAGTGCCGGACAGTGGGTGCAGGACAGTGGGTGCAGCCCACCATGCATGAGCCGAAGCAGGGTGAGGCATCATCTCACCTGGAAAGTGCAAGGGGTCAGGGAATTCCCTTTCCTAGTCAAAGAAAGGGGTGACAGACGGCACCTGGAAAATCGGGTCACTCCCACCCTAATACTGTGCTTTTCCAACCGGCTTAACAAATGGCACACCAGGAGATTATATCCCGCACATGGCTCAGAGGGTCCTACGCCCACAGAGCCTGGCTCATTGCTAGCACAGCAGTCTGAGATCAAACTGCAAGGCAGCAGCAAGGCTGGGGGAGGGGCGCCCGCCATTGCGGAGGCTTGAGTAGGTAAACAAAGCATCCGGGAAGTTCGAACTGGGTGGAGCCCACCACAGCTGAAGACAGCCTGCCTGCCTCTGTAGGCTCCACCTCTGGGTGCAGGGCCCAGACAAACAAAAGACAGCAATAACCTCTGCAGAATTAAATGTCCCTGTCTGACAGCTTTGAAGAAAGTAGTGGTTCTCCCAGCACACAGCTTGAGATCTGAGAATGGGCAGACTGCCTCCTCAAGTGGGTCCCTGACCCCCAAGTAGCCTAACTGGGAGGCATCCCACAATAGGGGCAGACTGACACCTCACACGACCGGGTACTCCCCTGAGACAAAACTTCCAGAGGAACCATCAGGCAGCAGCATTTGCAGTTCACCAATATCTGCTGTTCTGCAGCCACTGCTGCTGATAGCCAGGCAAACAGGGTCTGGAGTGAACCTCCAGCAAACTCCAACAGATCTGCAGCTGAGGGTCCTGACTGTTAGAAGGAAAACTAACAAACAGAAAGGACATCCACATCAATAACCCATCTTTACGTCACCATCATCATCAAAGACCAAAGGTAGATAAAACCACAAAGATGGGGGGAAAAGCAGAGCAGAAAAACCAGAAACTCTAAAAATCAGAGTGCCTCTCCTCCTCCAAAGGAACACAGCTCCTCACCAGCAATGGAACAAAGCTGGACGGAGAATGACCGTGACGAGTTGAGAGAAGAAGGCTTCAGAAGATCAAACTACTCCGAACTAAAGGAGGAAGTTCGAACAAATGGCAAACAAGATAAAAACCTTGAAAAAAAATTAGACGAATGGATAACTAGAATGACCAATGCAGAGAAGTCCTTAGAGGACCTGATGGAGCTGAAAACCATGGCATGACAAATACGTGACAAATGCACAAGCCTCAGTAGCCGATGCGATCAACTGGAAGAAAGGGTATCAGCGATGGAAGATGAAATGAATGAAATGAAGTGAGAAGAGAAGTTTAGAGAAAAAAGAATGAAAAGAAATGAACAAAGCCTCCAAGAAATATGGGACTATGTGAAAAGACCAAATCTACGTCTGATTGGTGTACCTGAAAGTGATGGGGAGAATGGAACCAAGTTGGAAAACACTCTTCAGGATATTATCCAGGAGAACTTCCCCAATCTAGCAAGGCAGGTCAACATTCAAATTCAGGGAATACAGAGAATGCCACAAAGATACTCCTGGAGAAGAGCAACTCCAAGACACATAATTGTCAGATTCACCAAAGTTGAAATGAAGGAAAAAATGTTAAGGGCAGCCAGAGAGAAAGGTCAGGTTACCCACAAAGGGAAGCCCATCAGACTAACAGCTGATCTCTCCGCAGAAACTCTACAAGCCAGAAGAGAGTGGGGGACAATATTCAACATTCTTAAAGAAAAGAATTTTCAACCCAGAATTTCACATCCAGCCAAACTAAGCTTCATAAGTGAAGGACAAATAAAATCCTTTACAGACAAGCAAATGCTGAGAAATTTTGTCATCACCAGGCCGGCCCTAAAAGAGCTCCTGAAGGAAGCACTAAACATGGAAAGGAGCAACCGGTACCAGCCACTGCAAAAACATGCCAAGTTGTAAAGACCATCAAGGCTAGGAAGAAACTGCATCAACTAACGAGCAAAATAACCAACTAACATCATAATGACAGGATCAAATTCACACAAAACAATATTAACCTTAAATGTAAATGGGCCAAATGCTCCAATTAAAAGACACACACTGGCAAATTGGATAAAGAGTCAAGACCCATCAGTGTGCTGTATTCAGAAAACCCATCTCATGTGCAGAGACACACATAGGCTCAAAATAAAGGGATGCAGGAAGATCTACCAACCAAATGGAAAACAAAAAAAGGCAGGGGTTGCAATCCTAGTCTCGGATAAAACAGACTTTAAAACAGCAAAGATCAAAAGAGACAAAGAAGGCCATTACATAATGGCAAAGGGATCAATTCAACAAGAAGAACTGACTATCCTAAATATATATGCACCCAATACAGGAGCACCCAGATTCATAAAGCAAGTCCTTAGTGACCTACAAAGAGACTTAGACTCCCACACAATCATAATGGGAGACTTTAACACCCCAATGTCAACATTAGACAGATCAACGAGACAGAAAGTTAACAAGGATATCCAGGAATTGAACTCAGCTCTGCACCAAGCGGACCTAATAGACATCTACAGAACTCTCCACCCCAAATCAACAGAATATACATTCTTTTCAGCACCACACCACACCTATTCCAAAATTGACCACATAGTTGGAAGTAAAGAACTCCTCAGCAAATGTAAAAGAACAGAAATTATAACAAACTGTCTCTCAGACCACAGTGCAATCAAACTAGAATTCAGGATTAAGAAACTCACTCGAAACTGCTCAACTACATGGAAACTGAACAACCTGCTCCTGAATGACTACGGGGTACATAACAAAATGAAGGCAGAAATAAAGATGTTCTTTGAAACCAATGAGAACAAAGACACAACATACCAGAATCTCTGGGACACATTCAAAGCAGTGTGTAGAGGGAAATTTATAGCACTAAATGCCCACAAGAGAAAGCAGGAAAGATCTAAAATTTACACCCTAACATTACAATTGAAAGAACTAGAGAAGCAAGAGCAAACACATTCAAAAGCTAGCAGAATGCAAGAAAACACAAAGATCAGAGCAGAACTGAAGGAGATAGAGACACAAAAAACCCTTCAAAAAATCAATGAATCTAGGAGCTGGTTTTTTGAAAAGATCAACAAAATTGATAGACTGCTAGCAAGACTAATAAAGAAAAAAAGAGAGAACAATCAAATAGACACAATAAAAAATGACAAAGGGGATATCACCACCGATCCCACAGAAATACAAACTACCATCAAAGAATACTATAAACACCTCTATGCAAATAAACTGGAAAATCTAGAAGAAATGGATAAACTCCTCGACACATACACCCTTCTAAGACTAAACTAGGAAGAAGTTGAATCTCTGAATAGACCAATAACAGGCTATGAAATTGAGGCAATAATTAATAGCTTACCAACAAAAAAAGTCCAGGACCAGATGGATTCACAGCTGAATTCTACCAGAGGTACAAGGAGGAGCTGGTACCATTCCTTCTGAAACTATTCCAATCAGTACAAAAACAGGGAATCCTCCCTAACTCATTTTATGAGGCCAGCATCATCCTGACACCAAAGCCTGGCAGAGACACAACAAAAAAGAGAATTTTAGACCAATATCCTTGATGAACATTGATGCAAAAATCCTCAGTAAAATACTAGCAAAGTGAATCCAGCAACACATCAAAAAGCTTATCCACCATTATCAAGTGGGCTTCATCCCTGGTATGCAAGGCTGGTTCAACATACGAAAATCAATAAACGTAATCCAGCATATAAACAGAACCAAAGAGAAAAACCACATGATTATCTCAATAGATGCAGAAAAGGCCTTTGACAAAATTCAACAACGCTTCATGCTAAAAAATCTCAATAGATTAGGTATTGATGGGAAGTATCTCGAAATAATAAGAGCTATCTATGACAAACCCAGAGCCAGTATCATACTGAATGGACAAAAACTGGAAGCATTCCCTTTGAAAGCTGGCACAAGACAGGGATGCCTTCTCTCACCACTCCTATTCAACATACCATTGGAAGTTCTGGCCAGGGCAATCAGGCAGGAGAAGGAAATAAAGGGCATTCAATTAGGAAAAGAGGAAGTCAAATTGTCCCTGTTTGCAGACGACATGATTGTATATCTAGAAGACCCCATCGTCTCAGCCCAAAATCTCCTTAAGCTGATAAGCAACTTCAGCAAAGTCTCAGGATACAAAATCAATGTGCAAAAATCACAAGCATTCTTATACACCAAAAACAGACAAACAGAGAGCCAAATCATGAGTGAACTCCCATTCACAATTGCTTCAAAGAGAATAAAATACCTAGGAATCCACCTTACAAGGGATGTGAAGGACCTCTTCAAGGAGAACTACAAACCACTGCTCAATGAAATAAAAGAGGATACAAACAAATGGAAGAACATTCCTAGCTCATGGGTAGGAAGAATTAATATCATGAAAATGGCCATACTGCCCAAGGTAATTTATAGATTCAATGCCATCCCCATCAAGCTACCAATGACTTTCTTCACAGAATTGGAAAAAACTACTTTCAAGTTCATATGGTACGAAAAAAGAGCCCGCATTGCCAAGTCAATCCTAAGCCAAAAGAACAAAGCTGGTGGCATCACGCTACCTGACTTCAAACTATACTACAAGGGTACAGTAACCAAAACAGCATGGTACTGGTACCAAAACAGCATGGTACTGGTACCAAAACAGAGATATAGACCAATGGAACAGAACTGAGCCCTCAGAAATAAAGCTGCATATCTACAACTATCTGATCTTTGACAAACCTAACAAAAACAAGCGACGGGGAAAGGATTCCCTATTTAATAAATGGTGCTGGGAAAACTGGCTAGCCATATGTAGAAAGCTGAAACTGGATCCCTTCCTTACACCTTATACAAAAATTAATTCAAGATGGATTAAAGACTTACATGTTAGACCTAAAACCATAAAAACCCTAGAAGAAAACCTAGGCAATACCATTCAGGACATAGGCATGGGCAAGGACTTCATGTCTAAAACACCAAAAGCAATGGCAACAAAAGCCAAAATTGACAAATGGGATCTAATTAAACTAAAGAGCTTCTGCACATCAAAAGAAACTACCATCAGAGTGAACAGGCAACCTACAGAATTGGAGAAAATTTTTGCAATCTACCCATCTGACAAAGGGCTAATATCAAGAATCTACAACGAACTCAAACAAATTTACAAGAAAAAAACAAACAACCCCATCAAAAAGTGGGCAAAGGATATGAACAGACACTTCTCAAAAGAAAACATTTATGCAGCCAAAAAACATATGAAAAAATGCTCATCATCACTGGCCATCAGAGAAATGCAAATCAAAACCACAATGAGATATCATCTCACACCAGTTAGAATGGCGATCATTAAAAAGTCAGGAAACAACAGGTGCGGGAGAGGATGTGGAGAAATAGGAACACTTTTACACTGTTGGTGGGACTGTAAACTAGTTCAACCATTGTGGAAGACAGTGTGGTGATTCCTCAAGGATCTAGAACTAGAAATACCATTTGACCCAGCCATCCCATTACTGGGTATATACCCAAAGGATTCTAAATCATGCTACTATAAAGACACATGCACTTGTATGTTTATTGTGGCACTATTCACAATAGCAAAAACTTGGAACCAACTCAAATGTCCATCAATGATAGACTGGATTAAGAAAATGTGGGACATATACACTATGGAATACTATGCAGCCATAAAAAACAGTGAGTTCATGTCCTTTGCAGGGACATGGATGAAGCTGGAAACCATCATTCTGAGCAAAGTATCACAAGGACAGAAAACCAAACACTGCATGTTCTCTCACATAGGTGGGAATTGAACAATGAGAACACTTGGACATAGGGTGGGGAACATCACACACGAGATCCTGTCTTGGGGTGGATAGCATTAGGAGAAATACCTAATGTAAATGATGAATTAATGGGTGCAGCAAACCAACATGGCACATGTACACCTATATAACAAAACTGCATGTTGTTAGTGCAAACCTGCACGTTGATAGTGTCCAACAAATTTTCTATAGCATTGTGCACATGTACCCTAGAACTTAAAGTATTTAAAAAAATTTAGCCAAGGGAAACCTATTCCTGACCTCTGGCCCCCAGAACTATAAGATAATAAATTTGTGTTGTGTTCGACCACCAAGTGAGTGATAATGTAGTAATCTGTTACGATGGCAATAGGAAAATAATACACCTATTAGCCTTTTGAACATCTGCAGAATCTGTATTCATATAACTTCTCTTTGATATTAGTAATTTATTTCTTCTATTTCTTTTCCCAATGAATCTGTCTAGAAAATTATCCATCGCATTGATCTCCTCAAAAAAAAAAAAAAAACTTTTAAGCCAGATGAGTGGCTCACACCTATAATCCCAGCACTTTGGGAAGCCAAGGTGGAAGTATTTTTTGACCTGGAGCCTGGGCAACATAGCACGACCTTGTCTCTGCAAAAAGTTTTTAAAAATTAGCCAGGCATGGTGGTGCATACCTGTAGTACCAGCTATTTGGGAGGCTGAAGCAGGGAGATTGCTTGAGCCCAGGAGCTGGAAGTTACAGTGAGCCATGATAGTTGCCATTGCAACAGTCTGGGCAACAGAGTGAAAAAAAAAAAAAAAAGAAAGAAACAAAAACGTTTAGTTTCATCGACTCTGTCTTTCTGTTTTACTGAATTTCCCTCTGATGTTTATTTCCTTTATTTTGCTTATTTTGAATTTAATTTGGTCTTTTTTTCTATTTTCCCAAAGTGGAACTCCAATGCTTTGATTTTCTGCTGAGCGCTGCTTTAGGTGCATCTCACAAATTTTGAAATGTTTTGCCTTTAATTTTATTTTGTTCAAAATACTTTATGATTTCCTTTTTGTGTCTTCTTTGATTAATGAGTTATTTATAAAGGTGGTAATTAGTTTCTAAATATTTGCGGATTTCCCAGATATATTTTGCTTATTGATGTACAGTTTAATTATATTGCAGTCAGAGAACATACTGCTTTTGATTTGAATCATTTGAAATGTATTGAAACTTGTTTTATGACTCAGAATATGGTCTGTAAATGTTCCAAAGGTGCTTAAATTCTTCTCTTGGTAGGTGGACTGTTCTATAAATGTCAATTAGGTCAATTGGGTTGATAGTGTCAAACAAATTTTCTATAGCATTACTGATATTCTGACTAATTGCTCTATAAAATGTATTATTATATGATAATATGTTCTATATAATTTATTGAAAGAGGGTTATTGACATTTATATTTTACTACATTCGTATACTTATTTCTCCTAAAAATTCTATCCATTTTTGCTTCATGTATTCTAAGTCTCTGTTATTAGATTCATAAACATTGAGAATTATGTACCCTTGAATAATTTATACTTTTATCATTATTAAATGACCTGATAATATTCTTTCTTCTTAAATCCATTATGTCTGATATTAACAGAAACATTAATAACATTCATCTTCCATGTTTTTACTTAACATGCTCAATCTGTCTTGTAGTTTCTTGAACCTATGAAATCAATTACATTCATTGTTTAGCCATTCTTTACTAATTCTATCACAAATATAATTCCTATGTCAATTTCTTTCTCTTTTTTTGAGGCAGAATCTCACCCTGTCACCCAGGCTGGAGTGCAGTGGCATGATCATAGAGCATTGCAGCCTCTATCTCCCAGGCTCAAGCAATCCTCCTGCCCCAGCCCCCAGAGTAGCTGGGACTACAGGCACACACCACCACACCACTCTATTTTATTTTTATTTTTATTTTTACCAGAGACAAGATCACACTACGTAGCCCAGGCTGGTCTTGAATTCCTGAACTCAAGCAATCCTCCCGCCTTGGTGTCCCAAAGTGTTGGGATTACAGGTGTTAGCCACCATGCCCTGTCCCATGTCAATTTCAATGGATTGATTTATCTCCTCAAAATGGGTCCTATTTTCCTTTTTCTTTACATACCTGGTAATTTTTGATTGGATGCTAGATATTGTCAATTTAACTTTGTGTTAGCTATATTTGTATTCCTTTAAATAAATATTGACCTATTTTTGTGATGCAATTAAGAAACATGGATACAGTTTGATACCTTTGAGATCTATGTTTAAGCTTCACTGGGAAGAAAAAGAGTGATGATTAGTGTAGGGCTAATTTAGCCCTAATACTGAGGTAAAATCTTTCTGACTTTTCTACCCAGTGTTCTGTGAATGATGGGGTCTTCCACTCTGCATGGTTAGAATAAAAAACATTTCTCACCCTGTGTGTTCCATCTTATCCTTTTGGTTGGCTCTTCCTCCACCTTTGGCTACTTACGCTCACATGAATGCACTGATCTGAACTCAGCTGAAGATTCAAATAGCACTCTCTACAGATGTAGAGATTTCTCTGGATGGCTCTCTCTTCTGATACTATGCCTTGCAACCTCTAGTTTTGTTGATCTCTCTGGATTCTAAGATCTGTCTCCTCATCTCATACAAAACTGCCAGATCCTACCCAGTTCTCTCTCCCTGTACTGTTTCCTGAAACTCTCTCCAGTCAGTAAACTGGGGCTGCTGGAGGGTCACCTCATTTTTTTCCTATCTTTCTGGGATTACTGTTCTTTATTGCTATATTTCCAATGCCTAAAACCCATTTTTTTCTTAAAATTTTTTCCAGTTTTTAAGTTACTTCAGGCATGAGATTTAATTGAACTCTGTTAGTCCAACTTTACCAGCAGCAGTAGACTTCATGCCCAGGATTTCCTTATCACTATAAATTAGACTATTCTTATCTTTCTGTCAAAATTGTTTTTACTGCTTTCAAGAAGTATCCAACATCCTTTGTGTTCTCCAGCAAAGTCCTGAAACACAAAAATGATTAGCGAATTAATTCTTGGTCTACAGAAAGATTAGCACTTGCATTATACATTATAGTAAAATTACAAAAGATATTCAGTATTCTTTTCTTCCAGAATAAAGAGAATACTGCAATTAGAAATTCAGCTTTGTGTGAATAGGAAATCTAACAAAAAGCTATGCTAGGAAATTATGCAGTGAAAATCTTATTATTGAGTGTAATATAGCAAGATTATTTTCATAACTACCTATAGTTCTGCTCCATTTTGCAATATAATTATTTAGCATATATGGTAAAATTTATTTTTCTTACTGTCACTTTTTTGAAATATCATTTCATGAAAATTCTTCTACATATATGTAAATATATTTTTATCTTAATGATGCTGTATCATCTATGCTGCCTCCATTATTTAATGGAGAGACAGTTATATACAAAGTAGAAACCTAACCTCACTGAACCTCTATGCTCTTTTCTGGCAAATAAAATATAAAACTCCCACAGGAGGAAGTTGTGAAGATTTAAGGAGTTAATGTATAAGAATAGACTTTGTAAAATGTAAAGTGCTTGTGAAAAATCAGAAATGTATTAATGAAGATAAAAGCCCATTAGCTTTTTCATAGTGTTTAAATCTATTTATTATATATGAGTCTATTTATTATATATGGAATCCATAGGTTTGTCATTATATTACCCTTTTTTTCCTTTCTCCTTCCTAGATAGTTATAAATATATTAAGTAACATGAAATACTATGTCATTAAGTAATTTGTTTTTGTTTACTATATATTGTTTAACTTCCTATCTAAATATGAATGTTCTTATTTGCAAATATGTCATCATGATAAAGTAATTTAATTGAACATATTTTATCAACTCTAATGGTAATTCTGTGACCAAGAGCAACCTTAGCTGGAGTAGCAATATTGTTTGTTTCACTCAGATGCATTTCATCCTATATTGGGAAAAGATCTACGCGTTTTTTTTTTGTTTTGTTTTGTTTTTTTTGAGACAGAGTCTCACTCTGTTGTCCAAGCTGGAGTTCACTGGCATGATTTTGGCTCACTGCAAACTCCACCTCTTGGGTGCAAGCGATTTTCATGCCTCAGCCTCCCAAGTAGCTGGAATTACAGGCATGTGCCACCATGCCCAGCTAATTTTTGTATTTTTAGTAGAGACGGGATTTTACCATGTTGCCCAGGCTAGTCTCAAACTCCTGACCTCAGGTGATCCACCCACCTCTGCCTCCCAAAGTGCTGGGATAACAGGCGTGAGCCACTGCGCCCAGTGACTCTTCTTGAAGAGGATAGAGAGGAAGAGAGGATAACTTCTTGCAGAAATGCAGTGGGATAATTTAGGAATCAGAGAGACCGAGGGTTTGAGGAGGATATATATTATTATTTAGGGGCACCAACCCGGTTGAATTAACATCCAAAGGACTGAGCCCCAAACAAAGGGTCAGATTACCTTTTAAGCATTTTGTGGGGTGGGGGGAGATCTGTGCAGGGGGAAGCATGTTACAGAAGCGAGAAACAAAGACAGTTATTCAATTGAGACATGTATTACATTATTTCTTAATTTTCAAGGAAAAACATGTTTTACGACTTGAGTTTATCTGCCTAGTGACCTTGCAGCTGCACAGCTAGAGAAACGGGGTCTTCACAATGCCTGGGAAAGGGAGAGATAAGGCTCACTAGCCACACACGGAAAAACAGGCAGTTAATTTTTAAAGGACTCCATTTCTTTTTCTTTCTCAGGGGGAATTGGGTTTTTTTTTACATATAACTGAGTTTTTGCTTACATATTCTTAAATTTCTTTTAATTCCTGTTTCATTCTAGGAGCATTAGTAAGAGAAATTTGATATTGGTAGACCATTTTGCTAAGCAAGTGAAGATATTTCCAAATAAGTCTTTTTTTCTTTTTTCTTTTATTATTTTTTCAAGACAGGGTCTCACTATGTTGCCAAAGCTGGTCAAACTTCTAAGCTCAAGTGATCCTCCCACCTTGGCCTCCCAAAGTGTTGGGATTATAGGCATGAGCCACCATGCCCAGCTCCAGTCCTTATCCTCTATGAGGAAGAAGTCCACATCTATCAGGATGTGTGTTGGGAACAGGCCCCCAAATCTGGCCATAAACCGGCCCCAAAACTGGCCATAAACAAAATCTCTGCAGCACTGTGACATGCTCGTGATGACCTTGATGCCCACGCTGGAAAGTTGTCAGTTTACCGGAATGAGGGCAAGGAACACCTGGCCCACCCAGGGCAGAAAACCACTTAAGCCATTCTTAAAACACAAACAATAGCATCAGTGATCTGTGCCTTAAGGACACATTCATGCTGCAGATAACTAGTCAGAGCCCATCCCTTTATTTCAGCCCATCTCTTTATTTCCCATAAGGAATACTTTTAGTAAATGTTATGACTGGCTTGCTGTCAACAAATATGTGGGTAAATCTCTGTTCGAGGCTCTCAGCTCTGAAGGCTGTGAGACCCCTGATTTCCCACTCCATGCTCTATATTTCTGTGTGTGTGTCTTTAATTCCTCTAGCACCACTGGGATAGGGTCTCCATGACCGAGCTGGTCTTGGCAGATGTGGACACAGGCACAATCAGGTTGGCCATGTCTTGCTGTATTAGGCAACTCTTAAGGAGAGGGACACAACTTCTCTGCCACTGAGCAATATATCAAATTTCATACATGTATGGTTTGGACTGGCCAAGTTCAACCATGTTAGACTCCTCATACCAAAGCTCAATCCAATTTCTGCTTACAATGTCCTCACAAAAGCAGTGCCAACATGTTGGTATTGGATGATTGGTAAGTCTTATTTAATATATACTGATGGTATGCTTACTGGCTTTTATTTCTGTAGAAATGTGTTAAATATTTCATTCATTTATTTAACGAATATATTCAGTACCTATTGTATACCAGATACTAATGGATTCTAGGGATACAGCGTGAAATATCACAGTCCCCTCTTTCAGAAAGGGAGGTGGACATGGCGCTATCCGTATGATAGTTTATATAATGAAGGAATGAACAAAGTGTATTGAGCAGCTAAAGAAAAGAATTCTTGAGTTTCTTGGAAAAGTCAGATAAATTTTTCTAAAGGAAGTGACATTTGAAATGAACTTTTTAAATCAAAGAGTAAAGGTGAGCCAGGCTTAGGAGTTTCATGTGGGTTTCACCTGGGCTTGGTGTGGTACAGCAATGTAACTTGGTCTATTTGCATTTTATTTTAACCATCTACCACCAAAGATTATGGTGGAAATTAAATGAAATGATAAAGAACACTGCATGCACATCATAAGCTTCTAGTAAATATGATATATTCTTGCTTTCTGTGCTGTTTTAATACAAGATATTTACTCATTCTAGGCATTAGGGTGACATAATCTAGCTCAGGACTCACAGATGAAGAAAAGCAGAGCCAGTAAGGCTGGTCAGCCACAGCCACCCAGGTAATTAATCACCTGAAATCATTCCCAAGGTTAACTTCTGACTCTTCCAAAAATTAATTCACTTCACTTTTCATTTTTTTTTTACTCTAAACATGTGAATATTTCAAGGTTACCATGCCTAAATAAGGTAGCACTTAGAAATTTATAAAAAAATGAGTAACATATTAAAAATCTTCACATTGTTTTGACTATGATAACCCTTCAAATTATTATTATTATTAGAGATAGGGTGTCTCTGTTACCTAGGCTGGAGTGCAGTGGTGTGATCACAGCTTACTGTAATGTTGAACTCCTGGGCTCAAGCGATCCTCCCACTTTAGCCTCCCAAGTAGCTAGGACTATGGCTGTGTGCCACCATGCCCAGCTAATTCAATAATTTTTAAATCAATTAGATAAAAGATTAAAACTGTCTCTTCTTATTTTAAAAATTATAAGTATTTTCCCCTTTCTTCTTGATAATGTAAATATTTGTGAGAATAAGTTTATCTGTCCCTTCTGGAAGCTAACTTTAGTAGCCATATTCTTAGGATGTTCACACAGGGATGAAATCACCCAACAACCCATTTCTCAGAATGACCCCCCATTGCTAAGTGACACATGACTCTGTTTGGCCCATGAACAAGAAATATTTTTTTCCAACACATTAATACTTCATTGGATAAACTAGATGATGCCCCAAAGATCCTGTCCCTTCATATCTCAGAATTCAGCAGATGTAGGCAGCCCAGCCTTAATCATGTTCAAATCCGAAATCACAGGCAATACCTGTTAATCATGTACTCATATTGTTTAAAATCTCTACTGCTTAAGAATTTATATGAATAACATCTGGGCCTTACATCTATTTCTCAATATCACACTGCAAGCAAAGAGAAGAAAAATTTCTAAAATTGTATTTTTAAATGAAAATTCATGAGCTTAATGCTGGCAAATATCACGTTTTCAAATTTTTCTAAGCATCAAAACTGCTATTTATATTCATATTCTATTTTTACTAATTGTATCTACATGCTCACTGGGTAAGGTAAATTAATCAGTCTAAATGAAATTATTTAGACTGATTTTTACTAGTCAGTAGTAAAAACATTTTTTTTTGCATTTTTGTTAACTGACTAGTATTTCATGCTTGTTTCATTCGATATTTCACAAGTGCTTATTTGCTACAAGAACACAGTTGTGCTCACTTAACTTCGAAGCAGTTATAAGGAATCATCACATTTACATGTGGGTGTTAATCCAGTACAGATTTGGGAAACTGGTGGCATTTTAAGTATGAGTTAAAGTTTTCAACATATCCTTATTGGATTTATATACCAAACATTTAGTCTGAAAACTCTTGTGCAATGAGGACAGTTGAAATGTCAAAACATAATATCCTAAAGAGGAAAACAATGGAATTTAATGGGCACTTTCCCCAACAAACCTACTTCTTTGCATTTGAGGACCCCTTGCTATGGCCTATTGATGAGAAGTTGTGCAGAAATTAAGGCACCAACTGGATGAATCAACTACGAAAATTTACACTGGCCATCTAGCTTGTTACTGGAAAGAATTAAACTAGATCTCACAGTCTATTAACAAATACTAAATAATCTTGATAATAATAATGATACTTATGCAGAAAAATACATGCTTCTTTACACTGGTCTTTAGATGACTGCAGATGGCATTAGACACATTTTTGCTTCATACACATTTCTTTTCTTGTACATACCCAGGACGGGCCCCCAGCATGTGAAACGGAGTGGCCATAATGAATTAGTTTTATTCCCCAATGATACAACTAGGGCTCCCTTCTCTTTCATTGCTTATGACTGCCTTCCCTTTTCTCCCTCACTGAATATTGGTCTTTTGTTGCCCGACCCTGACCCCAACCAGGATTTTTGACAGTAGAAGGGATATAATGAGGATCCTGTTGAAGAAAGGAAGGTGAAAAAATCCCAAGATAGATTCTTTCTCTACTTACTCTCTCACCAGCAAGCTGAATTATCAATTCTCCTATCAAACTTTCACCTCTCAATGTTCCCATCCTTTCCTTCACAGGCCTCTAATGAATATTTTTGCAAAGAATCTCTGAGATAGTGTTCTTTTGCATAAAGCAGAGGAAAAATCCCTAATGTTGAGTTAAACCTCAGGGAAATAGATTGCAAGTCATTGCAAACCAGAGAAACCAACTTACACAGTGGCAGATTTAAAAAGAAAGGGAACTACTAGAAAGGCTGGAGAATCAGACATGGGCAAGGTAAGGATAAAAGGAGGCTGGACACAATGATTACAGCTAAAACCACACCACCAAACACCATGTGGATGCAGATACTGTTATCCTTCTTGCTGGCTACGGGGTGCAACATGTGGCACCCAGGCCCATTCCACAATGAACAGTGTACTCTGTTGTACCACTACCCATGCAGCCAATGTTAATTTATGCTGCCAGAATGAATTCTTGCTCCAAACCAAGAAACTGAAAGGGTCACATGCTCATCCCTTATTTCTAGGGGCCAGAGAAATAGTGTGTCTGGACAGTGGCAATTTTGCAGTAGGAAACATACCCTTATCTCTCCAGTTTTCATGAGGTAGAGAAGTTTCCATAGTGAGGAGTTTCAAAGCCCTAAACGTCAAAATAAACTAAATGTCCAGTATAGTGTGACATTTTCGAGATGATTTGAAATTGTTTATGTTAGTTTTTAGACTTTTTTTTAAAGTTTTTTTTAATGTTTAAAGCACAGTTCTTCAAACTGTGAGGTATAATCTATAAAACAGTCATAAAATTGACTTAGTAAGCCATGATAACAAACATTTTTTAATAGAATGGAATAGAGTGTGCATATCACATAGTAGGATGAGTTTTGCCCTGTAAAACTTTTCTTTCACTTATGTCTATGTAGAGGTACATATTTATTTAATTATGGTGTCAAATGCTTTTATTGCTGCAGATCATGTAAAAAAAAATAGTTGAAAACCACTGCTCCAAAGGACTGTATACTTGATTCAGGAACTGGAGACTAGAGAAGAACTGTAGTTTCACAGGGCAGTGGCCTGGGAGAGGAGACAACCCATAGCCAGAAGAACAGGCCAGGATAGTAGAACTAGAAATATGTGGACCAATCTCCTGGCCCTGTAAGAAATGCAATTAGAAGCTGATGCAGAACCAAGAGCCCCTGGGGACTCCTTTTTTCTCTTCCTATTGTCCTTTACCCAAACCCCAGATGGATGGAACTCTTTGTCCATATCCCAGTAATTATTCCCAGTGACTGAAGAGAGTGTGTTGGAAGAGATTACAGCCGTGAGACGTAATTTGTCATCTCAAGTAAGAATCTGCTATGAATTTTCCTCTGAGAGAGCTTAGAGTACAATGTTGGAGTCAGTGTTATTATTGCCATATTTAGGCACACTGTGAGTTAGGTAGGCTACCTGTATAATAATGTTCAATTTCTAAACAACTGACTCATAATAATTTGGCAACTTCCTCTAATAGTTCTAAGTGGAAGTGGGGGTTGGTAAAAGCCATGTGGACAATAGAGGAAGTATCTTTTAGTATAAACATATGAACAGGCAGTAGAAGCCATGTGGAAATTGCTTTGTCATCTTTCTCATAGCGCAAAAATTCTTTTCAGATAGCTTATAACATTTAATTTGGCATTTGCACAAATTATAGTAATATAAGATATTTTTGATGTTGCCGTACTTTGTCATTACTCATTTTCAGGTCTCCCTAAACTGAGTTATAATTAATTTGAAGTTTTTGAAAGGAAGTCTCTCAAATATTTTTTGTGGGGGTAGATCTCATGATATTATCATTTTGATCTTCCTGTGTACCATGCCAGGGCATTTCTTCTTGCCAGGGGAGAATGCATTGAATTGTATAATTTATCCAATGATTAAACATTGTTGGCTGGGTGTGGTGGCTCACACCTGTAATCTCAGCACTTTGAGAGGCCAGGGCGGGTGGATTGCTTGACCTCAGGAGTTTGAGACCAGTCTGGGCAACATGGTAAAACCCTGTCTCTTCTAAAAATACAAAAATTAGCCGGGTGTGGTGGCGGGTGCCTATAATCCCAGCTTCTTGGGAGGCTGAGGCATGAGAATTGCTTGAACCCAGGAGGTTGAGACTGCAGTGAGCCAAGATTGCACCACTGCACTTCAGCCTAGGTGACAGAGCAAAACTCTGTCTCAAAAACAAAACAAAACAAAACAAAAACACTGTTTTATAATTCAGACTGGCTTGGTGTGGTTAACAGGACATGGAGCTAGAAGAAAATCATCCCCCAAAATATAGATATATATTTTTCTCACAGAGAACTATACTGTGAACTGCTAAGGAATGTGATTTATTTACTCCCTTGTACCCAAGCTGAATATAAAGCTTAACACATAACTGACATTCAACAAGCCATTCTTGAATTGATAGTCACATTTCTCTCTAACATTTACTGAGCACTTACTGTGAGCCTGTTACTGTTCTATGGTCTTACTGTACATCCTTTACTAATTTAATCTTCACAAAAACCCTGTGAGCTGGATCTTACTGCTGTATAAATTTTGCAGTTGAGGAAATGAGAAAGGTTAAATCATTGCTCAAAGTACACAGCTCATGAGAGGCCAAGCTGGGATCTTAACCTATAGAGTCTTGACTCGAGAGTCCACATCTTTGATTACTGAGTAAGACTGCCTGTTGTGACGGTTAAGTGTTAGTGGAAGGAAAGAGGACCACAAGGAATATTGCCAGAGGTTTTATAGGAATGACCAAAATGAGAATAAAGGTAAAATTATAAAATTTCCTAACAGTGTGCCATTTACTTTGCTCCGCCTGCCTTTAGTGAAAGCCTCCAGGGCTGTAGATTAGAATCTGTTTTAGTGGGATGGACCAGAATATCTCTGAATAATAGGGGCTTACATAAGTTAGAAGTTTATTTCATTATTGTGTAAAATAAGTCTGGAGGTAGAAAGTTCATTCCATGTTTTCATAAGAACACAATTTCTGTCTTTCTGCTCTATCAGACTAGGGCAAGTTTTCCGTCTTCGAGTCACCTCATGACCCAGGATAGTCTGTGAAACTCCAGCCATTATATCTGAGGGTGTGGGCCAAAAGACAGACAAAAGGCAGAATAGTGATGAAAAAAAAAAAAAAAAGATTTATCTCCTTTCTCTCTGCAAGTCAGCTACTTCTAAGTGACATTGACAGAAATCACACATAACACTTCCGTTGACATTTCTTTGGCCAGTGCTTAGTCACATGATTGCACTCAGCTTTAAGGGAGCCTGTGAAATGCAGTCTTTCTATTCACGCATCAATGAGCTCAGCTAAAAATCAGAATTCTGTTCCTAAAAAGGAAAGGGTAAATGGATATTCAGGTGGGCAACTAGAAGTTTCTGCCACACTGCCTGAATGATATGTCAACTATTCCATGAAATCTTTCTTTTAACTTCTAATGTGATATGATCTCTCCTTTCTTTGAATTCTACAGAATATTTTGTGTGCTTCTAATTGCAGTTTTTATTACCTACAATTACCTGTAAATACTCTTGCCTTATCCTTACAGTTGATGCTAAGATCTATGAAGCCAGTTACTATCACAGTTCTTGCATTCCATGCATTAAAAAGAATAGTCTTACACTGAGTAGATGCTCAATAAAAGTGAAATGGAATCTTTTTTTAGGTACCATTTAGGGAAAGAAAGGAATGATCATAAATGAAGTTCCTATGAAGACATAACATGTAGATTATTTCCAACATATCAGTTAGACTGTAGAGTTTTCAGCAAATTAGAATTATTTGAGCTCCTACTTTGTCATAAGTACAGTACTAAGTAATAGAGATAATTTTAGTACATCATACAGGCATGTTTGAATAACATAGAAAATGGGAATGATTAGCTATAATAATTATCATTATTATTTCCTTCAGAAAGTTTCTATGCAGAGTTTAACAAGTATATAGATACAGATGAACTACATGAGCAAATCCCCAGTATTATCTGAAATAGAAAAACCAAAATGTAAACAAGAGAGCATACCACAAGAATAATGGAGAAGCTTTTCTCAGAAACTGATTTTAAAAAAACCTAGAAATATTGGATTCCTTGATAATTATGAAGAAGACACCATATCTTATTTAGTAGCACATCTGATTATTGGGAGATGCATTCAGAAAGATCTTTAACCAATGGTGTTTCAAAGGAGCCAGGAAAGACAGAATGTTGATAGAAGGCAATATGGCTGAAGCTAGGAGCTCCAGGCAAAAGTGGTATTAAGAGACCTGGCACAGAAACAGAAAAGTATGGGCATGGTTGGTGAATATCAGGGCTTTTGCTGTAATCTAGAAGGGATCTAAAGTGGACATGTGGTGGGAGAGATGAAACCGAGATAAAGGATGTGTCCCCAAATTCCTAGGTTGAAGCTTAGTCTCCAGTGTGATGATATTTGGAGGTGAGGTCTTTGGCAAATAATTAAGTAATTGGGGTGGAGCCCTCACAAATGGGACTAGTGCCTTTATAAGAAGAAACATCAACATTGGTCCAGTCATTTCTGCAAAATGGAGCAAATTAATCATAATATTCACCTCATTCTCAAAACCTCTTCTCAAATGTAGCTCATCTTAGACTCCTGCCAAATTGAACCACTCATTGCTTTCTATAAGCTCTGTGCTATCCTCCTCCCACACTTTGGATGGTATGCCATCCCACCACCTGAACAAAAGTCTCCCTCTTATTCAAAACCTAGTTAAAAATATCCCTCTGTCTCGAAGCATCCCCTGACACTCCTAAATCCCAATAGTACTTGCTTCAGCACTGGCTATAGTACAGTGTAATCATTAAAGCATGGCATCTAACTGGAATCTTGCCCTGGTACAGACTGTGTGATCTGAAGTGAACTATTAATTTCTCTAAAAATGGAAAGAATACTACTGACCTCCCAGGGCTGAGCTAAGGATTACACAAGATAGGGCACTCAAAGTACCAGTACCTATAATACAATACGATGACTACAGTTAATACAATGTATTGTATATTTGAAAATCACTAAGAGAAGAGATTTTATGTGTTCTCATCACAAAGAAATAAGTATGTGTGGTAACGCATATGTTTGCTTGACTTAGTCATTCCACAATGTATACATATTTCAAAACATCATCTTATATGCCATAAATAAGTTCAATTTTTACTTATCAATTTTAATAAATACATTAATAAAAAGTACCAGTACCAAGAAATGGTCACTGTGTTAAATATTTATATCTTTGAATCTCCCATAGTTTTATGATAAATGTCTTATTAGTGACGAATACCTATTAGGTGGCCAACTCTGCCTGGCACCACTGTTGGTCCTAAAGATACAGCTGTGAATAACAAGGGCAATTCTTTGCTTGTATACATTACTTTTCAGTGTTAAGACAATAAAGTACATAAATACTTTTTAAAAAAATAAAATTTGGATTGGTTTTATGTAGAATATTAAAATTAAGTCATGTTAAAGAGGGATTGGGTAGCTACTTTCTATGGGTGGTTATGGAAGTTTCTCCTAAGATGGGACATTCTAGCTCTGACCACAATCTTTTCACCACTACCCAACAAAACAGGACATAATAGTATAACTTTTCTTACAAAAGAAATTATTATAATATATGGTTCTTTATGTCTGTTTTCTCTCACTAAGCATGTTTTCAAGGTTCATAATGTTGCAACATGTAGAAGTATTTCATTTCTTTTTATTGTGGAGTAATATGCCATTATATCGATATTACCACATTTTATTAGTTGATGGACATTTAAGTTGTTTCCACTTTTGGGTTATTATAGATGCTGCTGCTATGAACAATCACTTAGAAATGTTTGTGTGGACATGTTTTTATTTTTCTTGGGTATATACCTAGGAGTAGAATTGCTAGATCATGTGGTAACTCTATGTTTAACGTTTTGAAGAAGCTCTAGGCTTTTCCTAACTGTTTTTCAAATTTTATATTCCCACCATCAGTGTATGAGGGCTCCACTTTCTCCAAATCCTCCCTAAAAATTTTTATTTTTGGTTTCTTTGACTATAGTCATTCTAGGAGGTGTGAAGTGGTATCTCATGGATTTCAATTTGCATTTCCCTGATAAATACCAGCATTAAACAAAAGGATGTTTGTATATATTCTTTGAAGAAATGTCTATTTGGAACATTTGCCCTTGTTTAAACTGGATTATTTGTCTTCTTAATTATGGAGTTGTAATTGTTCTTTATATAGTCTAGATACAAATCCCTTTTCAGATACATGCTTTGAACATTTTTTCTGTCATTCTATGGGTGTTCTTTCCACTTTCCTGATGGTGTAATTTGAGTATGAAATAGTTTGATTTTGATGATACCTATTTTTTCTTCATTTCTTGTATCTTTGGTGTCATCTCTAAGAAACCATTCCCACATCCATAGGTATAACAAAGATTTATACCTAAGTTTTTAAGAGTTTGATATACATGTTTTCTAAGAGTTTTATAGTTTAAGCTCTTATATTTAGGTCTCTGATCAATTTTGTGTTAATTTGTGTGTGTGTGTTGTAAGCTAAGTATCCAACTCAATTTTTTAATGTGAATATCCAGTTGACCTAGCACCATTTGTTGAAAACACTATTCTCTACCCATTGGATGGTCATGACACCCTTTTAAAAATTAATTTATTGTAAATGTGAGGGTTTATTTCTGGACTATTTCATTGATCTATATGTCTATTTTTAGACTAATACCATACTGTTTTGATTACTATAGATTTGAAGTAAATTTTAAAATCAGGAAGTGTGAGTCTTTCAGCTCCATTCTCTTTCAAGGTTGTTTGGGCCATTCTAGATCATCTGCATTTCCAAATTAAATTTAGGATCACATTGTCAATTTTGGCAAAGAAGTCATCCAGGACATTGGTAGGAACTGAATTAAATCTGTATCTCAATTTGGAGAATACTGTCATCTTAACAATGTTATCTTCCAATCCATTAACATAAAAAGTCTTATCATTTATTTAGGTATATTGTAATTTCTTTCCACAATATTCTGTAGTTTTTAGAGTATAAACTATATATTGCTTTTAAAAATTTATTTGTAAGAATTTTGTTCTTTTTGGTGCTATTATAAATGGAATTGTTTTCCTAATTTTATTTTTGTTCTGCTCATTTCTTGCAAAATATCTTATCCAGCTGTAGAAAACAAATAACATTTTATGAATGCATTTTTAACTAGGCTTTTACTGACTTAATTTTATGTTTCTGGGGTTGTATTTTTTCTTTCTACTTTTTCTATGAACATTTGAATAATCTTACTATATTTTATATAGACTTATTTAAATTATTTGGAGTCAAAGCTCAGTATAAATAATAAAATAATTAATCCAGGTACTGTATTGAACTGGTTTACAAATATACATAGAACTGAGAATATTTTGACCTTCTTCATGATCACATCACAAATTTTCCTCCACCTCCCACTTTTAAGTCATTTTTCCATTTTTATAAAGACAAAATAATTATAAATATAATCTGCTCCAGTATATATATCTGACACTAAATTACTAAGTAGCACATTTAAAAGCTTGTTTTCATTTTATAATTTACAGAAACAGGCTTGATAGTGTTTATTCCTTAAAACTGTTAATAGTTTGTTTATAGTAATTTTTAAGGTTTTTCCTCAAAAACAAACATAGTAAAATGAAAATAATCATTTGTAAGTAAAAGCGAGTATATTAACAATTTTTTCAATCATTCCAAACAATGTGTATTAGGATCACTTAAGAAATGGATTATTAATGTACACGGAAGAGTTTTGCTACCCTGAAATACACATTTGACTTTTTTTGCTTTTCCTTGAATTTTAAAAATTGAATGTCTTGAGGCATTCTGAATTAAACAAGAGTAATTGCTATGTACGAATTATTTGCCTAAAATGGTTACTTACTTCTTTGCAAATTCACATGGAATTTACTGAGCACAAATTAATTAAGTAATACATCTCATTTCATGTCTCGTGTTCCTGATATTTTATTCCCATTTAGAAAGAACTTAGGTGATAAAGAAATTTTCCTCTGGTAAAATCTAGAATGAGTACCCAAAATACACAATGACCATATCCCTATACATTGGGGGAGTTCTGCCATTAACTGTGTAACTAGCCAAAGGTGAAATTGAAGGACAGAGACACAAGGCTGGGCCTGAGCTACTGGACAATGGACCTCACTCTTCAGGCAGACCAGTGGTTCTCAATTAGGGAGATTTTGCCCTGACGCATATTTGGCAATCCCTGCACACATTCTTGATTGTCACAATTAAGGTGCCAAGTGGTAGAGTGGCAGGGCTTGGGAAGAGTAATTGAGAGGGAGGTACACTACTAGCATCTAGTGGGTAGAGACCAGGCATGTTGCTAAGCATGCTACAATACACAGGACAGTGCCCCACAACAAAGAATTATTCTGCCCCAAATATCAATAGTGCCCAAGTTGAGATTCTGATGCAGACAGAAAATAAACTGCTCTATCCAAATTCTCTGTTTTCTGCTTCTAATGAAAATCATTATCTATTGAATTCCAGGCAGCATGCCAGGGCTTTGACACTGAGTCATTTTCTCTTTTAACTTTATTTACATAATATCAGCTCACCTTTATGTTATTTATTCTAGTTAGGTGTTTTTCAGAATAATTACAATAATTTGCCCAAGTTTACACAACTAGAAAGTTACCAAGCCTGGATATGGACCCATATCCAGACTGACTCCTAAGTCTGTGCTTGTTTCATTGTATTCCACTGTCTCTTTCCTGGTTTATGACCACATTGTATGACTAATGGATTCACATGTTTGTGGATAGCACAGCTAAGAACATTGGAAATAAACATGGATTTAATGGTAATCGAATTAGTCATGGGAAATGGCTGTTACTCTCAAACAATTGCCCTTGAAAGTTTGTCATTTTAAGTTAGAAATCTAAGAGAATACATAAAAATATGAAGAATTAATACTTATTTCTTCAATTTTCTCTGCTAAATGGATTTGAATGACTCATGAATTTGTTTCTAAGAGTCATAAAACTGTGCTAAATTGACATATGCTTTTAGAACTTTTAGACATTTAAATAAAACATTTGTAAGACAGTTGACACTTGAACAACATGGGTTTGAACTGTGCTGGTCCACTTTATACCTGGATTTTTTTCAACCATGCGCTCAGATGAAAATGCATTCTTTGCAGGATGCAAAACCTGCCTTATATAGAGGGTGTGATTTTTTTCCATAGATGGATTTCACGGGGCTGGCTGCAGGACTTGAGTATGTGTGAATTTTGGTATGTGTGGGGGTCCTAGAACCAATCCCCTGCTTATACTGAGAGACAGCTCTATATGATGATTCCATACCTAGGATATCTTTATTTCATCTCTGACTACCAAATTATAGATTTAGGCAAGATGATGCTCTACACAGATTGGACAGAATGATGCTCTACACAGAACTGATCTCAAAAAAAATTTTTTTTCCCATAAGTCTGACTATTCCTACATATCCAAAGTAATTTCTAAATTATACATGATAGCACATACACAAAAATTATTTAATTTGGTGTCATCTATTGCGTCATCTGCCACAATACTTCTTGTATATGAAAATATAAAAGCTGACATTTTTGTTCAGAAAAACTCACTTTTATTTATACCATGAACCCAAATCTGACTAGTTATAGGAAAATAAATACGCCTCACAAGCAGGGAAAAAGGTAAAAGCAGAAGGATGAGCCAGATATGAGAATATTTCTAGTTGTTTGTTAAAAGGGAGCTCAAATTAGAAAAACCAACCTTGAGAAGGAAATACAAGTGAAGTGGAAGTGGAAAGAGAAAAGCTCTTTCCAGCTGATGCTAAGCATATTTGAAACTGGGGGATACTACAGTTCCATTGCTATGCAACTGGCATTTTGTTAAAATAGAGGGCCATAAAAATAGAATTATGCTGTATTTCCATTTTGGCCAGTCAAATAGATGTTTGAACAATTGTTCTAAGCAAAGGCTTTTTACAACACACATGCAATATCTAATTCTATTATAATAGCTGCAAACATGCCTCCTTGCTAATTGTGAAAGAGTAGATTTTGGTCAGTTTTCCTGCATTGGCTACAGAGATAGTGTTGAAGAATGACACATCCTGTCTTAAGGCCATTTGACCTCATCTCTAAGATCCTCATTTCAAAGTTTAAGAGCAACTTTGAAACATACAAAAATTATGATATTCTGAGACAATCCTTAAATTGTCCTCCATTATCACCAAGGGACAGAATTCTCCACAGGAAAGTAAGTACAAGAAACAAAGTATTACGTTTACCATAGCCGGCTACACACGGGCTAAGTAAAAATTTATCCTGAGAAAGATTCATATTTTTTGTTCAATAGAATCATTGTAAATCTAATTTTAAGACCCCAAAAACATGTTTAAAAAGGCAGTACAATATTTGAGGCTCTATTTTATAAACAACCTAATGAAGTATATTTTAAATATAAGTTGAATATACTTAAAATAGAAGTATATCTTACTGTTTTTATCAAGCCCTCAACACAAACTGAGCTTCTAGTATTTTGGACTCACTAGTGTCATGTCATATGTAACATTTTCAGAAGGAAAGAGTGATCACCAAGTCAGCCTAGCACTGGAAAAGCTTAAGACTTGGAAGAAATGTCTCAACTAGTTTGGTTAAATTAAATTATTTGAGGTTAGTAGATCCACAGAGGAAAATATATTTGTCTTTATCTACACAAATGCCACTGGAGCTGGGAGACATCACTGTGTCCTCTGAGGTCAATGCTAATGTGCTTTCATGTAGACAGGCGGCCGGAGCCCTACCTGAGAAGATCCGTAAGCTTAATTCAGACTTCCTTCAGTGTTTTCCAAATAATCATAATTTTACCAAATCATATTTATGTCTTCAATTAGTTGGGTAGTCCATTCAACTTCTTGATATTCAATGTCAAGAAGAATGTACCATTTCTAGATGATTATGAATGGCATATCAAGGCCAAATTCTGTCTAAAATGCCTTTCTTTCCAGTACACCATTGTTTGGTGAAATAAACATTACTATATTATTACTGTGGCAATAATGACATAAACACAAAGCTAAAAAATACAGTTAAAACACTAATAATGCCAGATAGGTGAAAACAAAGCAAAAATAAAAGTGAAATATCTTCCTTTGTGGTAGGCTGCATGGTGACCACCAAAACAATATGCCCATTCCCCAATCCTGTTACTATATTTGGAAAAGCAAGTCTTTGCAACATAATTAAATTAAGGATTTTGAGATGAGGAGATCATCCTGGATTATCTAGGAGGAATCTAAATCCATTGACAAGTGTCTTTATTAGAGACACAGAGAGGAGAAGACAGATGCACAGAAGAAGCAAGGTGAGATGCAATAAATTAGAGTGATGTGCCCACTAGTCAAGTCATGAAAAGGACTCTTCCCTAGAGTCTCTGTGGGGAGTGAGGTCCTTCTAGCATCTTGATTTTGGACTCTGGCCATCAGGACTGTAAGATAATAAATTTCTATGGTTTTAAACCACCAAGTTTGTGAAAATGTTACAGTAGCCCTAATGCACTTTCCAAACCATAAACACACACACACACACACACACACACACACACACACACACACTTATTCATAATCAATATATTCATTTAGGGCTTCAGCTAAATAAATCTTGACCCCTTGAAATGTTCTGCAATGTTTGGCAAATATTCCTGAGTGCTCCAAGTTCCAGTCATCATTTTCCCCCAGAGGATAGTCTCATGAATAAGAGAATCATAGCGTAAAAGGACATTGAGAATTTCTATAACCCTTTATTTTGTTTACAGAATGCTTTCTACCTCCATGCCAGATGCCCTGTTAAAGCTGCATGCTTAGAGATGGCTCACTTTCTAAAGAAGATGCTTCCACTATGGTAAGTCTATCCCTAATGGATTATGTGAAGTTGCACTGAAGATTTGCAATATGTGAAACAACTGGTTTTCTGTCTATAACTACCTTATTAAATAACCTGGGATTGATTGTAATCCTACATTTTAGCACAATTTAAACGAGGAATATTGTCTATCAGTAAACACTGATGATGATTCCTTTAAGAATAATGAAAAAAATAAATCTCCGAAGTGTCAGTATGTATGTAAGTGTCTAGGTCATGGAATAAATAATGAGGACAATTATCATGTTTCTTCCCTTTGTATCCCTCAGGGGTAAAATTTTTTGCCTTTTTACATCCCAAGTGATTACAAGCAACCTATTTCTAAACTATTACAAGCAATCTATTCTTGGAAATGAAAAGGCTGCTAAAAGCAAACTCCTAAACAATGCTTTTGTGAAAGGAGATCGGTGTTAGAATTCTGGATCCCTGTTCTTGAAGGCCCAAGATAAGTTTCTGTACTTCCGAGACCAAGTGGGGGATACATTCAGCTAATGTATTTTTTGCAGAAGTATGTAGATGAGTCTCAATCACTGGAGAAATGTTCAGAAATAACTTACAGAAATAACAGTGTCATTCTGTCTTTGAAAATTTCGTTAACAAATTGTGCTTAAGCCTAAGATTAAACCATTATGTTTCCATATACCAGAGATCTGAGATCCCAGCCAAATGGTTGTTTTTTGATACAATCAAATTGTGTAATTAAATTCTTTTGCATTTCAGTTATCTTTCTCTTTGTGATCAGCTGCAATCAAGCATTCTTAGTATTTGTAACTGTCCCATAATAAGTATCATTCTTATAGTGAACTGGTACAAACTCTTTTAATAGTTTGAATAAGATGTACTTAAGAAGGAAGCACTGAGAATAGCCAGCTTGTCCATGTGTGTATGTTTTTGTTGTTGTTTGTTTGTTTTGTTTTGTTTTTAGATACGAAGTCTCCCTCTTGTACCCCAGGCTGGAGTGCGATGGCGCGATCTCGGCTTACTGCAACCTCCGCCTCCCAGGTTCAAGCGATTCTCCTGCTCAACCTCCCGAGTAGCTGGGATTACAGGCGCCTGCAATCACGCCCGACTAATTTTTGTATTTTTAGTAGAGGCAGGGTTTCACCATTTTGGTCAGGCTAGTCTCAAACTCCTGACCTCAGGTGATCTGCCTGCCTCGGCCTCCCAAAGTGCTGAGATTACAGGTGTGAGCCACCGCACCTGGCCCCATGTGTTTTAAGATGTAGTTTTCAAACTGTAATTCCAGTTTTTTAAGGACTCACAGGGTTCTTTTCAATGGAACCTATCCTATTTATTTTCTCCCTTTTTGTCTTTAGGCAATTTTCCTCATTACCTGATAAGACTTGTCTCTTAATCTTTGTTTTTCCCTATGTAGAAGTCCCTGGCTCTTTTCCTGACTTTTGCTGGTATTGGTAAGCTTAGATATCCGCATTACAGCTTTATTGGGATATATGTGTGTGTGTTTTTCAAAATAACTTAAAAGCACTCTTATTTCACCCCTTTATTTGAGTAACACTGGGCTAAAACAAAATTTGGTTGAGATTATGTTTGTTTTTACTTGCTGGAAATTAATAAATTTTTACATTTTAATATGTAGCACATAGGTATATACAAACAAGATTAACTTGTTTAAAAGAAAAGCTGGCAACTTTTAGACAAAAAGAAACTTACTTTCTGTGCACTGCACATTTAATTAGATGAAAAGGAGAATATATTTCAACCATGGAAGTTTCCGAGGCCTTTGGCACACTAGATTTTTCATAGAGGCCAACGTATATGAAGTGAGTCTTAAAGACAGGATGCAACTTCAGTTCGGGAATTTGGTTAATTTTTTTTAATCACATAAATTTACCAGAGGGATGCAAACTTAAAAACTCCCAAAAGGAAAAAGTAGCAATCTAGAGAGGAGTTAGAATTCCTCTAGATGAAAATTTTAACTTGTTTCTTCTCAATGTTTGTAATTCATAGAAGATAATCCAATGTCAGGTTTCTGTATCTACTAGTCTGATCATAAATTTTGCAAAGACATGAGCATGTTCTTGAAACTTTAGTGTATTGGCTCAATGACAATGTTCTTACTTGGCTAATTCTATAAGAGATGTAACACAACACCAGAAATACAGATGTACTTGAAACTATTTGTCTTAATTACATTTTTTAGTTTACCTGGTCCTAGAAGTGATAAATAATGAAATTCCTATGCACAAAACTTTAAAAAATATTTCATTCAGTTGACAATTTTAAAATGAGTATTAACCCATAGTAAATGTCAAACAACAATTATAATTATCCTCTGTTTATCTCAGGTGCCAAAGGGCAAGTAGAAACAGTAACATTGTTCTTACCATCTCAACAGGTGGGTGGAATAAGACTTTACAAGCACCATGTGAGCCTCCTCCTAATTTGAGTCATGGTAAGGAAAGAGACCCCACTTCCAAAGAACTGTGCTTCACTTTTAATAAGTGGGTCCTGACTCCCTTCCTCTCAATGGTGCCTGGAGAAACTACAGAATCAAGAGTTTGCCCGGGCATACCAGGAAAGATTGTCACAAATTGGTTTGAGGGGTGAGCTAGGCAGTGGTGTCATGGCAGCAGCAGTGGCTGGGGCCCAAAGAGAAAGGACAGTTTGGAGAAAAGTTAGTTAAGTTGTGATCTGTCTTTTTTCCTCATTGCCTAGGGAAAATTATTACTTGCCCCATCACTGAAGAAATTCACAGCAATTGCCAGACTGTTGAGGTTAGTGGGGCATACAAGGGCAACTGCTCCAAAAATTTCTCTGAGAGGTTTACACAGAGACATGCACAGCATTATGTGGGCACAAAGTTATTACCTGGAGTGCAGTGGAGGCACCCTAGGGTATATTATACAGCAGTCAGGGTTTGCTTTTTACCAAAATATAATACCTCATGTTAAAAAAAAAAAAAGTAAATTTAGACCAGCAAGTGGTTGAAAAGGGAACTGTAGACATGTTTGTCTACAGTGTTTGAAGTGAGTTGTAACAACAAAAAGGACTTAATCCAAATATCATCTCTGGATCACTCTATTAATTTGGATGAATCTGAGAAATCCAACTTTCCTTTAACAAAGGAGACCTAGAAAAAAATCATTTCTGACCAGGTCCAGTTACAATTGTTATCATCATATTTTTTAAAGAAAATGAGAATATTCTGAGAATCTGATTTTAAAGGTTGTCTGACAATTTTTCTAATCAGTATTGCTGTATCCTATGTTGCATTTTTATCTTACCAAAAAATTAATTATATCATAAATCTATAATTATACAAGTAATTATCAATTTGTTTAATCAATACTTTGACACTAAGAAGGCAATGGTAAGTTCAAGGACTTTAGAAAATATTCTTATTAAAATGACTATATTTATTTCATTGGATGTATATCACTATGAGCATTTTTTGGTAAGTTAATGAATAAAGTTAGTTGTTTGTCTTTACAAGGAAAATAGTAGTAGTAAATAGAGTAAGCTGTCAACACAGATTCCCTACTCTGACCTAGTCTCTGATGCTGCCTGAACTACCACACATTTTTAAAAACTGCTTGTGCTGGAGACATTCATGTAGGTCTGGGAATTACCTATGTTACCTTCAACTAAGGATGAAACTAAGCCTAACCATGCATAGTCATACTTGTAGAGGCTACAAGGGCTGGTTGAATCAGACAGGACATTTGATTTTAGCAATAACCTCTTATTTGGAATTCTGTTAGTATAGTTTCTCTCTGCTCCAATATATTACTCATTCGGTAGTCATATTAATATTTTAAAACACCAATTATAGATTATTCCATTCTTCTAAATGCTCAGCCATATTCTGTATATTGCATACAGTGCCTCCCATGCTGGCTACATGGTGATCTCGCATCTGTTAATACCCCACCATCCCAACTATTCAGTCATTCCTCCTATGAATTCCAAATACTGCTCTTTGCCCCAAACTGTCCATTTCAAACTTAAAGCTTTACCTCATGCGTTTCCTGCTACTTTTCCCTTCCCAGGCTATCAACTATTTAGTTGAAATCCAATTTCTTTTAAAAATGTGTCAATATTACTTAAGCAGCCATGTATCTGATTCTTGTAGCACTTATTTTCTTGCCTGTTTTTTTAGCATCTAAATATTTACTTCTGTATCTTGTTAATTATTATTTCAAAGTTTAATCAGGTTTCTAAAATTAGGTATTTAGATGATAATTGCTGCTGTATATAAGTAAGACCTTACTCATTCCCAGCTAGCAGAGTGTTTTGCTCATATCTGGCCCTTTTTATCTGTTAAATGAAGAGTGTTGAGAGAGCAAGTTCAAGTGCAGTGATCTCAGGAAAATCAAAAGTAATGTTGGATCTCTTGGTTACATAAGTCCAAGAAATATACAATATACAACACCTACTGGTTTCTTATCTATGATGACATCAGGCAATATATACTAGCAGGAAACGACTTGGATTTGTGGTCAAGACACGTCTTCGGTATTTTGACAAGACCATATTTTCCATTGTGTATTGTTTTTAGTATATCTAATAGTGGCTATCTCACTTTGCCTTTTTGGAAAAAATAAGTTTCAAAATGTGCCTAAAATCTACCACTATGTTTTAAAATCTAGATTTTATACTTCCAAATAAGGTGTAGGTTTTTATTTTTATTTTTTGCCTCATGATTTATTTGAAAGACTATGATTACCCAGCTATCATTATGGAAATGTCTTTGAAATTTATAACCAAAGCCAGTTTACAAATTACACAAGAGAAAATGAATCTTATGTTATTATCACAATTCATTTTGGGATCCAAATAATATCCACTTTATTCACTAAACTTACCTCCAAATTGAATTTTCACCAAAATAAATCTACATTCAAAGGATGATCTAACATTGATAATATTTTTTTAAATCGCTTAGACATTGAAGGCTATTACAAAGATGGAATTCCAAAAAGAAAAAGAGATGAAAAAGACAAATCATGAGAGTATTTCTGACTTCCAAAGGAGATAATTTTGAAGATTATAAAAGAACATCTCCTTGAAAGGACTCCCTATTTACTAAATCGTGCTGGGAGAACTGGCTAGCCATATGTAGAAAATTGAAACTGAATCCCTTCCTTACACGCTATACAAAAATTAAATCAAGATATATTAAAGACTTAAATGTAAAGCCCCAAACTATGAAAATCCAGAAGAAAATCTAGGTAATACCATTCAGGACATAGGCATGGGCAAAGATTTTATGATAAAATCACCAAAAGCAATTGCAATAAAAGCAAAAATTGACAAATGGGATCTAATTAAACTAAAGAGCTTCTGCACAGCAAATGAAACTATCATCAGAGTGAACAGACAACCTACAGAATGGGAGAAAAATTTTGCAATCTATCCATCTGACAAAGGCCTAATATCCAGAATCTACAAGGAACATAAGCAAATTCACAAGAAAAAAACAACCCCATTAAAAAGTGGGCAAAGGATATAAACAGATCCTTCTCCAAAAAAGACATACATGCAGCCAACAAACATGAAACACATGAGAAAAAGCTCATCATCAGTGATCATTACAGAAATGCAAATCAAAACCACAATGAGATAACATCTCATGCCAGTCAGAATGGCAATTATTAAAAAGTCAAGAAACAACAGATGCTGGCAATTTTGTGGAGAAATAGCAATGTACACTGTTGGTGGGAGTGTAAATTAGTTAAACCATTGTAGAACATAGTGTGGCAATTCCTCAAAAATTTAAAACCAGAAATACCATTTGACCCAGCAATCCCATTACTGGGTATATACTCAAAGGAATAAAATTATTGTATTATAAAGATACATGCATGCATATGTTCATTGTAGCACTATTCACAATAGCAAATACATGGAATTGACCCAAATGCCCATCAATGATAGACTGGCTAAAGAAAATGTGGTACGTATACACCATGGAATACTATGCAGCCATAAAAAGGAATGAGATCATGTCCTTTGCAGGGACATGGATGAAGCTGGAAGCCATTATCCTCAGTAAAGTAATGCAGGAACAGAAAATCAAATACCGCATGTTCTCATGTAAGTGGGAGCTGAACAATGAGAACACGTGGACACAGGAAGGGGAACAACACTCACTGGGGCCTGCTGGGGGAGGGCAGGGGGAGAGAACATTAGGGAAAAGAGCTAATGCATGATGGGCTTAATACCTAGGAGATGAGTTGTTAGGTGCAGGAACCCACCATGGCACCCATTTAACTATGTAACAAACCTGCATATCCTGCACATGTATCCTGGAACTTTAAAAAAAAAAGACTACCTCAAAAGTTTATAATTTCTTCACTTCCACTACCTATTATTAAAATAAGTTGACAATTAATGAACAAAATGAAAATCTCTGCACTCTTTAATATGCATATCTTAGGTTACTACTAACTCTAAAGATTTCAGTGTTTTTACCGAATGTATGTATTTTCAAATGGATTACTCTTTGCTCATTTTCTGTTGACTTTTAATCATTCCTTATATATGAAGGACATTAATACATTCACCATTGTATGTGTTTAAAATATGTTTTCATTATATGAAGTTTGATTTTGTTTGCGATATTTTTGATGAACACATTTTTATTTGATTAAAGCATATATAAAAATTTAGTATATGTGCCTTCTTCATTACATATTACAAAATACATTTTGTGAAGTTAAAAAAAGAACATCTCCTTAAATGTATAAGTCCTGGTATGTTTGTTAATATCATTGTTACATTCTACCATGTACACTGTGAATATATGTGTTTTTATATGTTTCCTTTTAGTTAAACATTTACTAAATATCACCCTGAGGGACAATGATGGGGATATAAATAGAAATGAAATAAAATAAGACACCTCACATAGCTCACATCAAGTCAGGAAGAGATATAAGCATATGATTGCTTATAATAAAACATCATGAGTGCTATTGTACATGGGGAGTTCTAATGTTTGGTTTGTGATTATCTTTAGCAGATGAGGGAAGTAGAGGAGTGTCAACCTTTTTCACTATCAGAAGTGCTCTATTAAGAGAGCAAAAGCATCCCCCTAATAATTTTTAATATCTCTAGAAGTTAATAGAAAAGCAAAATTCATTGAAGTGGTTTAAGTAGAGAAGTAAAATGATTACATTAATTTACTCTAGAAGATATGTGGAGAATTAATTCCAAATTTAGAGACTAGAAGAAAAGATGTAGGTTAGGAGGCTGGTGCAATAATTCAGACAATGTTATTTGGCCCTTTTGCACTTATTTATAGCATATTCTTTGTATTTTACCATGCTGCATATTTTTCATGCTACAATTTAATTTGTTAAAGCCACTTAAAATATTTTTTGCAAGTATATATATGTATGTATCTATGTACATATAAATATACATATATGCATATAAGCATTAATATTAAGCACCAACACACAATATATAATATATTTAAATATCTTTACTCCTAGTGATATTCTTTTTATTCTAATTATTAAAGACTTAAAATATATTACCTGCAAAAAAGCCAATCCCTGTGTAGCCTCACTGAAATGATATAATGATGAATGAATATGATATATAAGTAATTTTTATTCCTCTCAATAAAATTTCCATGATTTCTTTTAAAAATGCAAAAGTAACAATTTGCTTTTATGGAGCTTATGGTCTAGTAGAGGAAAGAAAACAATAAGCAAAATTAATAAGCAAAGAGGTACCATGTTAGATAGTGATAAGATAATTTATAGAAAAATGAACCAGGGAATGGGGATAGTCATGTTGGAGATTACTAACATTTTAAATAGGGTGGCCAGAGAAAGCCTTTGTGAAAAGCTAAAAATTGAGCATAAGCTTAAAAAATGTGAGAGTCTAGACAAAGCAGTTATCTAGAGAAAGAGTATTCCAGGCAGGTGCAATGACCCTGATGGAGAGGCCTTACTGATATGTTTAAGGAACAACCAGAAGCTCAATACATGAAAGAGAAGAGGAACTAGTGTTTGAGAGAAAAGGGGGGAAAGTGTTCAGGTTGCAGGGAGGCAGTGTTGGGGGTGGCAAATAGAAGGGAGAGAGGATTAATATAAAATGAGACCAATGAACTAAGGAGCATATGCCTATGTTGTAGGGCATTGAGGTCATTTTTGGGGCTTCTACCTTATTTTGAGTGAGAGGGAAAGCCACTGGTGTTTAAGAGCAGAAGAATGATACAATCATACTTGAGTTTTAATGAGGTCACCCAGGATGTTGTATTGAACAGACTAATGGGACAAGGGCAAAATTGGGACACCAGTTAGGAAGCTATTGCACTAATACACTCAAGGAGTGAGCGTATCTTGGACCCAGCTGACAGTAGTGAAGATGGAGAAAAGCAGTAGGAGTTTGGATGTTTTAAGACAATGGAACTGACAGTGTATGCTGATAAATTAGAAGTTCAGGCAAGGCATGGTGGCTCACACCTGTAATCCCAACACTTTGGGAGGCCAAAGTGAGTGGATCTCTTGAGTCTAGGAATTGGAGACTAGCCTGGGCAACATGGCAAAAAATACTAAAAATACAAAAATTTGCTGGATGTGGTGGTGTGTGCCTGTAGTCCCAGCAACCTGGGAGGCTGAGGTAGGAGGAATGCTTGAGCCCAGGGAGGTTGAGTTTGCAGCAAGCTGTGATCACACCCTTGTACTCCAGCCTTGGTGACAGAGTGAGACCTTGTCTTTAAAGAAAAAAAAAGAAAGAAAGAAAAGAAGACAGAGAACTTAAGATGTTAGAGAAAGAAGCAGCCATAGGCAACCCCAAGTCTTTGACCTGAATCATCAGAAAGACAGAATTTCCAGGAGTTCAGTTTTAGCAATGTTAAATTTGAGAAGCCTATGAGACCTTCAAATAGCAATATTGAGGGGGCATTGAGGTCTAGAGTGGAGGGAGAAAGTCTTGACTGGAGATATGAATTTGGAAATCATCACATGGTTTAAAGCCATTAGACTAATTAGATAACCAAGGGAGGGAATATAACTGGAAAGAAAGTCCAATGACTAAGCCCTGTGGTTCTCCAATATTGAACAGTCAGAGAAAAGAAGAGTAACCAGCAAAGGAGGTCTATCTACAGGGAACCAGAAAGAATGGCCAGGACTGTGAGAATGAATTGGGAGTCACTAATACATATATTATGGGTGAAGACCACAAGATTATCCTGGGTTTGGGGTGGGGAGGGTGTATGGAACAAAAGAAGTGGGTTAAGACTGGAAGCTAGAACCCTGGGAGACACCAACTTTTAAGAGAAACAAGTGCAAAAAGAGAAGCAAGCAAAAGAATGGGAGAAAATGTGCTCAGAGAGGCCTATTGACAGCTAGGACAAAGACATGTCATAGACCCAAGCAGAGATCTGCAAGGTAAAATTAAAATTCAATTTCATTTGCAACAAAAGGTCAAGTAAGATGAGGACTGAGAACAGTTCCTCAGATTTGGCAGTTGTGATATTGCTGGTGAGATTTTACAAAGGAATTATGGAAAATTAGGGATGAAGAAAGGGAGACAATGAAGGTAGTAGGTATAGACTATTCTTCTGAATAAATTCATGATGAGAAGGGGAAATAGTTTGGAGGCATCTGAGTAATGTGGAGATTGCTTTGGATAGGAGGCATCTAGAGCATGTTATTAAGAATAAAGAAGCAGATATAGAATGACAAAAGAAGAGAGAGAATGCTGGAGATCGATCTAGTATATGAGCATATTTTCTTACACAGATATATACACATTTTGCCTAAGAATAAATCGATTTAATTTCCACGTTAGAAAATTGAGACTATGATAAATGAGTTGTCCAAGATGACATGGATATTAATATATTTAACCTCTGAATCACTTTGATCTAGTTGATTCTAAGTCAGTCAAGACATTTAATAGCAAAAAGATGATCTGTGAGTGCTTTCAAGTGCAAAAAAGCTAGAATGAGACAAAAGGGTGATATAATTAAATGTGACATATTCTATTTGAGATTTGGCTGGCAGAATTTCCACTCCAAATCAAAAGGTAGCTTGTAAGGCATGATGCACTTCACTTTCCTCTACCTTTGGACAATTCTCCCTCTTCTGTTTCAGGTCAGAATTATTTTGTCTAGTCTATGAACAGAAATATAAACCTGTTTTTTCTAATCATGTCATATCTCCACTATTTTTTTATTTAATAGACAATGATCTTCCTTGATCTTAAAAGCTGAAAAAAGTGGCATGATTTTCTCCTACTGTAAACTATTCCTCAAGCAGATGACACTCTTTCTTTGAGCTGCCAAGTTTGAGATCAGTAAGCAGTTATATCATAAGGTAGGAGACAGTATATGCATTAATTTCTTAAAATATTTTCCCACTTCATTTATGTAAGTTCTTCACCAGGAGAAATGTCAGTCACGAGTTTGTGCCTGTGAAATTTTTTTGTGTTGTACATTTGCTCTGTATTTGCCAGTATGTCTAATAAAAACCAATAAGATTCAAGGAGATAACTTACAGAACCTCAAGCAAGAATTATGATATTTGATTGAGAGAGAAAAGAGAGGCCTTGTGTACCTTGGGAAGTTTTCTTTATTAGAGGTTAGGAATGTTTGGAAAATCATGGCCGCTATTGAAGGGAAAGAACTAGCTTCATTCTCTGTGATCTCAAATCATTAAAAATTAAAGAAATAATTTTATTATTCATATTTGCTTAATTTACATAACCAGAGCTTCACATCTATGTCAGGATATGAGTAAAAGTGATATTATTATCCATATTGACTAAATAGAACCCAAATACCACGAAGTTTGAATGGCAGCATGAGGGTCCTTAGTAGTCGCGTAGAACAGGAATGAGAACTTCTACCTCTCCATCCTTAGGTTAGAGCTCTTTTATTTATGACACTTGTTCTGTTTAAATACACCTACCATCTTGCTACAATTATTTCAATTGTTCCAACCTTTATGGCAATACATACTTTCAACACATGTTTAGTGAATACCCACCAAGTGCAGGCACTATTCTGGAAGTTGGGGATACAACCATGAACAAGCCTGACAAAATCCTTTCTCTTGCAAAGCTTACATATTACTAGGGGAGAACAATAAACAAATAAATAAGTAAAGGTATGGTAGATTGGTTGACAATAATAAATTAGAATCAGGGAGGGAGAGGAATACTAGAGGTACAAATGGTGTTATGATGTCTTTTTTTTTTTTTTTACAGGGCAATCATGGAGGTCTTCATAGAAATGAATTGAGCAGATACCTATGAAACTTGAAAAAGCAATGTGAAATCTAGGGGAAGAACTTTATAGAGGGAACAGCAATTTGAGATTATTTCTCTTGTGAGTCTAAATCGAAAGAGAGGTCAAATAACATTTGTGAGGAAGGATATATCCTCTCATGGGCCTAAAAGTAAATAGGTTTTTTCCCCCCCCGACCAGGTAGCTTAATTTGTAAAAGAACAAATTTTGATCTGATATTATAGAGGGAAAAATACGTGTTGCTCTTGAACTTAAGAAGATGAACAACAACAAAATAAGCAATAATAATAAGCAACAACAAAAAAGCAATAATATAAACTACTTATATTCTAGAAGGTAGAAGGCTACCCTTTAAATCATCCAAAACCCAGAGACATTAAAACTATACACAAATGATTACTGTAAATAGGCACCCTTGCATGTGCTGCCATCTTGTGGTACAGGAGAAAAGTGTTATTATTTGACTGTATTAATGACTACTACCCACGTTCTTAGTTGACCACATCTGTGTCCTGGGAGAGAAAAGTATGCTTTATAACTGATCTTTAAGATTAAATACCTTTGAATTAAATTAACATTGTATAAAGCAACTTAAAAGTGTAAATTATGAAAATAAAGACTTTATCAGCTTGACTGTTTAAAAATTACTTCACAATACATAAATTTTTTTCACAATGCACAATACATAATTTTAAGCTTAATCTCAATATCGTGTAATACCCAACTCAACCTCTTTCTCTACTTAGGCAGATCTTGTCTTTCATTCTTGTTTAATTGCTTTCTATATGTTATACAAGATACACAATGATAGTTTTCACTCTTCCCCAGTCCACTTTTGTACTATTTAGCCCTACATGACTTGAATGGACTGGTTGCCTGGGTAATTATGAGCAGTGTACTTGGAAGAATAGGATTCCTGAGGGGAAGCTTCCCAAGAAAGCGAATTAATCTATCTTGGAAAGTAACTCCCTTGTCTCCTGGAGTGTTAAAGAACATCTCCTATGGTATGTCATTATGACACATTTGTCTTAAGAGAAAAAATGTTTGAGAGATTGCTTTATGGTAACACCTAGTCACAGATTTAACCTTTGCCTCCATCTGAAAGAAAAGTTGGCCAGCAAACCAAAAGTCTGGGAGAAGCCATCAAGAGGTCAAAATTGTGCAAGACTCCTTGTTTACTTGAACCATCTTACAGAGTCATTCCTTCAGATTCACATAATTTTCCCTTAGTTCAACATACAAAGCAAGACATTTAAGTTAAGTCTACTCATCTATATAGCGCTCTGTGTTCCTGCTCACACCTGACCCCAGATCCACCACTTTAAAATATTGTGTGTGTCACTGGGGCCTGTCGGGCAGTGGGGGGCTAGGGGAGGGATAGCATTAGGAGAAATACCTAATGTAGATGATGGGTTGATGGGCGCAGCAGACCACCATGGCACATGTATACCTATGTAACAAACCTGCACATTCTGCACATGTATCCCAGAACTTAAAGTATAACAAAAAAAATTTAAAAAAAAATATATGTGTGTATGTGGTGATGAGGTCTCTCTATGTTGTCCAGGAGATGAGGTCTCTCTGTGTTGACCAGGCTGGTCTTGAACTTCTGGCCTCAAGTGATCCTCCCACCTTGGTCTCCCAAAGTGCTGGGATTACAGGCATAAGCTACCACACACGGCCTCATCATTTTTATTTTGCAATGGATTGCTACATGGTGCATCTTACAGACCAATCTTATGTCATCTACTAGACAGTATTTTTATATTGTCAAAAGGTATTACATTTACGTTTGGTTCTATAATGGTAACTACCCGTTGTTTAACCTTGGTTTCAATTTAAACAGATTTCAGTGTTTATGGCAGAGATGGCCAGCGGGCCTCCTATATCTACTCTTCACTCCTTGTCTGTTAGAAGTAACAGAAATCCCAACATTCACTTGCACACTCAGTGCCCAGAATGAAGAGTGCATTTCCCAGCCTTCTAGACATGGCTATATGACTAAGTTCTAGCCCATGAAAAGGAAGCATAAGTGTTGAGTGATTCCTTCTGGGGGCCTTTATTAAAAGACAGCTTGCACCCTATATGTTTCTTTTTTAAAATATTCGATCTCAAAAAGTAGCATATGAATGGGAGGACTCTATTAGGTAGGAAATAAATCTTACAAAATTTTGAGGATGCAATACATCTAAGTTAAGATTTTAGAAGCCTAATAGATGGGGCACGTCAAGACATTCCCTCCAAAATAAAAAACAAATTCCTTCTTTTTGAAGCCTGGTCCCCTGATGGACTATTCAGCTCCAACCTCCCCGCTGGATCGACTGTGATCTCTGTTGCAAACACCTCTCAGTTCTGCTTCCCTGTCTACCCAATCCTGCTTCCCCAACTCTGTATAGGTGAAAGGAGAGGAGCAGCAGCCCCACCTACCTCCAGTTAAACTCCTTCACACATACTTCTACTTCTGCATTGTTTTTCTTGCAACTCAATCGAAGACACCTCTCAGTGTCTGGCCATCTCCACTCAGATCTACTTGATGTACAAGTTCTTTTGAACCCCACATGGCCTAATGTTAAGCGTGTTTGATGTTGAACTCTAACCCTCCCCTATTTATTTCAGTGTAGTTACATACAGTTATATACACTACACATATGATCCTATACATGCATATGTAGATTTTCAAAAGACTAGAAAACAGAAAAAATATATACAGAATTATCTCTAGATGGTGAATTACTTTTATCATTTTTTACCCATCTTTTTTCTAAAAATAAAATTGATTGTTTTTATAACAATGAAGATAATTTTAAAATAAAACAAAAAACTACACATCTAAATAATAATTACAACAATAACTACCAACCAGGAATACCAAATATGCAAAATAAGTTAGATGAATTTGTAATACCAACTCCATTTTTGGTTACTGATAAGCCCATAATTTATCCCATGTCTATCTCTTTCCTCATGCCAAGCAGAGTAGTGGGAACAATTTTGCGGCACTAGCTAGAAATATTTCAACCCTCAGAAAGAAAGAGAAAGAAAAAAATGGGCTATTTTTGCAATCTCTGTCAAGTGATATTTCTGCTGTAATCTGCTTTGAGTCAAGTAAAAGATAAATACACTGAAAATGTGAAGTGAGAACCACATTGTAACACCTTCACTTAGTATTCTTCCAAGTTAATCGGCATAGATGACCCTTGACAATTTTTTTAGGAGGGGCCTAAGATGGTTTTATTATTATTGGAAACTCTAGAATGAATTGCCGGGTTACCTTTTGCCATTTGAGATTCTGGCTTTCAACCTTAACTTTCCTGAGATAGAATCCATTTAGTAGTGTCTCTCTTCTTTTACCTTCTGGTCCTATTCTACACTGTTTTCCAATTTTTGATGCATTTCTTGGAGGGACAAAAATCTCATAATTCCTTAAAGATTTAAAGCTAATGCTTTTTTAGAGATTTCTTTCTGTAGGGCTACTATCTAGCTGCATAGAGTCAGACCAGTTCTTTCTTAGAGCAGATAACGTTGGCTTTTTCCATTTTTTCTTTTTGAGGCCGGCCTTTTTTTTTTTTTGCATATAGGGATAATCATAAGCCAAAGTCACAATGAGAACACCTACAATGTTCTGTGTGTGTATGTGCATTTGCATGCTTGTGTGTGTGTGCCTGACTTGTGTGAGAAGTCTCTATAGGATTTCATGTGTCTGGCAGACAAGTGGCTTTATCTCTTAACACAATACATTTGTTCTTTCAGCTCTGTAAGTCCAACTTTATTAATGCCACATTTTACAAATTATATCTTTATCCCTCTAAAGTTATAGAAGACTTTAATTTTAAGAATAAATAGAAGGTTCTTAAATAAAAACATTAACTAGTCCTAAAATTATGTGGTCGATTATTAAATAATATTACCACAGCTGAATGCTTTGGAAGATTAACAATGAAGGATATAAAATGTCATATGGCCGTGATATTTATGTATTCATCTTAAGTTGTTTTAATTTTCAGTGTTCCTACGATCATAAGCATGCCTGCACATACTCTTGAATGAGGACTGGATGGTAACCATCCCTGTGAATACCATTCCTTTGTTTTTGTGCTTGTTTGAGCATGATTATCTTCTCACTAAATTCTTGGCTCTGGAGCTAGGAGCTTTGGTTCATATTTTTACTCTATAGCAATTAGTACAGTGCCAGTGTTTTGCACATAGATGATGCTAATCACTATTTGTAGCTATATTAATAGCTAACAGCTATTGATTAATAGGTAAAATATTTATATTGCGATGAAACTCACCATTTATAATTAGTGTTGCCATCTTTGAGTAAGGATAAACAATTGATACTATTTGGTTTAACAGTAAGTGAACGGCTGTGCACCCATATTCTGATGTTAACCTGAGCCTCTTGTGACAATATGTGGTTTTTTAAAAGATGGCTGCAAATTCTTTGACACTTCTCCCATTGAAGCTGAGCACAATGTCCCTTCCCCTTGAATCTGGGCCAGTCTTTGACTGCTGTGATCAAGGAATATTACAGACGCGACACTGAGCTAGTTCTAGGTCTAGCCTAAAAAGGATTGACACATTTCACTTTAGTCTCTGGGAGCCCTGGGCCAGGGCAGTAAGAAATCTGACTAACCTGAGGAAGAGAATGTGTGGAGAAGCCCAGAGGCTACGTTGGAGGGGGAGGAAGAAAGGTAGCCCCAGGAAACAGGAATAAGAGTGAATCCATGTGGACCCTCCAAACCAGAGTGGCTGCCAACTGAATACTACCACGTGACCACAGTGGATGCCACATGCAGTGGAAAAACCTCTCAGCTGAGCACTGCCTGAATTCCCAACGCACAAAACCATGAGATATAATGAGTGAGTTGTTGTAAACCACTACTTTTTGGTATAGTTTCATACCTAGCAATCAATAACCAGAACACTCTACATCTCGGTTTGCCCAGAACTGTACCAGTTTCTGCCAGTTACCTAAGACACCCTGTCATGATTTACATTTGTTCCAGATTCTTCATTTTTTACAAAATATTATTAAATACTTGTGTTAAAATAAGCTAAGGTGGGTTTGGTAGTTTCTGTTAGTCTTATTTAGAAAAGTGTGAGAATTATGGGGAATGAATACTTTCAACCTGAAACCTAATTTAAATTTAAAGACAGGTAACATAACCCCTTCTCTTTCCCTGGCACCCTCAGCCATATAAAATCTAACATTTCCCTTTCCAGGTCGGCATGCAGGGTGTTATGTTTCTGGTACATAAGTGGTGAGAGGAAGCCATCTCCTCTTGGTCTGGGTGGTGGTGGAGGGCGGAGCATTATACACTGTCTTGGTCCTATGTTGGTTTATAAAATACACAAATCTGCCAATCACCAGTCCCACATAAAACTATGCTCATAATAGATGGTGGTGAGGGGCATCTGGGGTAAAACACAGGAATGTATAGGTTAAGTATATGACAAATGTGTAGGAAATAGAACCAGAGCTGTTGTTTTATAAAATGAAGAGAGGAAGTAGCTTGTACTCTTAATATAGTGCTATTGTCATTATTACATCATATAACTCTACAATATTGATTTATTTATTGTTTCTCAATTTGTGAAATTTCACAACAAATTTTCAGCAGCAATGAGCTAAAGATGAAAGTGAATATTTCATGATAATTAAATATTGAATTTTTATTTTCCAAGAAACTAGATGACAAAAAGTAATTTGCACAAAATGTTTGTCATTTCCTATCCACCATGAGATCTCTACTGTATCACTAATATATGAAAACCAGAAGACACAGATCATCTAAAGAAGCATCAGCCATCTACCTCAAAAATTTATTATTTTGAGACTGTGCCAGAAAAAAAAATTTGTGTGTGCAGTCATAGAAAATGTGTCTACATATCAACCTGTGAAGCATAACTTTCATGTACATCAAAAGACAATTTTTTAAATTAAATACATTCAGTTTCAATTCCCAGGTTTCTTGTGAACATAAGAAAATGAAGCAATAGGTTTTAATGCATCCACTGTTAGCAAAAGAAAAACACTGTAAGCAGTTAATTAATGCTGTTTCTTTATCAGTATCATTAAGTGCTTCAAATAGAAATCAGTTAAACTCATATCAATAATCATTCAAATATTTTTCATCTAATTATTGGAATCAAAGAGAAGTTTTTAGTTCACTTCGCAAAAGTAAAACAGCTGACAATGTAGATGCTATTGTAAAATTCGTTGAAAAATTTAAAAATAAAAATATGATTTGGTAATAAAAATATGAAGAGAAATTTAGAATAAACACAGCTTCATGATAAAATAATAATCTTAAAAATAAAAGGACAATTCAGCTGGAATTGGTCATGATGAACACATAATTCAAAACCAAGTTCAAACAAGTTTCACAATTCTACTGACTGAAATGGAATATGTTAATTGTCCAAATTTACAAATTACAAATATTATTACACATATAATTGGATAAACTAATCTAAAAATCTTTGCAAGTAATCTAATGCTTAATATTTTACAAATCATTTCAGCCTTGCTGCAGATACTTTATTAATTGAATATTAATTGTAGATTAGATATATTTGAGCCTTGGAAGAACTACCTTGTAAATCAACCTTAAATTTCTATGATGTCATTGAATATTTCTGTAAGTTAATTCTTTAAAGTTTAGAAGAAATTTTCTTTAAAATAAATTGGAAACATTTAAAGTGTTCCACAAATTGAGCACCAAAAATGTTTGAAGAATTGACGTAATGCATCACCTGAAAACATTGAAACAATAAAAATCATCTTCACAGAAGCTAAAGAGGAACTGAACAAAATAGATAATGTGAGCTTAAAGAATGTACAAGATTGGCCAGGCACAGTGGCTCATGCCTGTAATCCCAGCACTTTGGGAGGCTGAGGCGGGCAGATCACAAGGTCAAGTGATCCAGACCATCCTGGCCAGCATGGTGAAACCCCATCTCTACTAAATATACAAAAATTAGCCTGGAGTGGTAGCACATGCCTGTAGTCCCAGGTACTTGGGAGGCTGAGGCAGGACAATCGCTTGAACCCGGGAGGCTGAGGTTGCAGTGAGCCAAGATCATGCCACTGCACTCCAGCCTGGTGACAGAGCAAGACTCCATCTCAAAAAAAAAAAAAAAAAAAAAAGAATGTACAAGATTACAAGATTTAAGTTTGTCATTCTACAACTGAAAATTACAACATCTCAATCTGCAGGAAGAATCTTTAATGTAGCTCCTATTTTTAATAAATTTAAATTCTATACTGGATTAAAATAAAATTAAAAAGGGCCATAGTTTGCCAAATCTGGCAAAATATTGAAAAGAAGCATACATAGGATTTTTAAATGAATTTTTGGAGCAATATTTGTCAAAGATGGTTTTCTGAATTGAGTCAAAATAACTCCTAAAATATTAAGCTGAAAAATTTCACAGTTTAAATAAAAACTAATTTAAATGGAGAAAGTCTTCCATTTAGTAGAATTTGCTCTGAACTTATTAAGCATGTCAGCTTTCATAGGCAGAATGCTTCATCAAGTAAAACTATCATAATCTACAAACAGATCAGGCAAATTCAGCATCATAAAATATAATTTTCAAGAAGATTGCAGATAATTTTATGAAAAATCAATAAGAACATTGCATTGAAAAATTATTCTCTATAAATTAACAATGACAAGGTATTAAAAGCAGAAATAGCTATAAACTGATTAAAGTATATAAAATATATGTATCACAGAATCAATTATTTTGCTTATGTTATTCTAAATTTTCAGCTAATCAATAGTTTTGTTTTAATGTAAATAAACATAGTCTATCTATGAAAATAAATTTTAAGTAGGATAATTTTTATAGTTATATCAAAAATATAAAACCAATTTACTATCCTATAAGTATTTTCAAAATGTATAACATTTTGATGATTTTAGTGCCCAAATTTGTTCTCAAAAGTATCCCAATTCGGGGTATAAATTATTTGGTTACTTTACTTATTTCTATTCTGATTTATTGTTTTTAGACACTTTACTTTGCTCATCACATAACCTCCTGCCATCATTGGCGGATTATTTTTCTTTCTTCACGCCACAGAAAAAGTCCATTTTCTTATATTCTTTTCCAGTCTAACATTCCTCTTCATTTTTCTATGTACCCAACTTTCTCGTCCCTGAACACATTTTTTCCCTTTCTGATGTCTAAGACATTGCTAATCCACTTACCTGACCTTTTGAATGTTTCTTTACTAAAACAGCCTGCAGCAATCTTCTTCATCCTTCAACATCTAGCTCAAATATTTTCTCCTCCCAGATTCCCTAAGCCACAATTAATCTCATCTCTTTTATTCTTTCCTAAGAGCTTTACTTAAACATTTGTTGGAGCATATATTTGCTTTCCATAGCAGTTAACTACATGCCCAGCTTTCTTCCTCTAAATCATTGTGTTTTTAAAACACCATATTTTCTGGTTTATTTCTGCATTTCTTCCCTTCCAGACCCTCCCTACTGTGGTACAGTGGATTAAGCAGAGTGGTGCTCTATAGTTTTTTCAACTAATTACAATCTTCTATAAATATTACTGACTTATCTAACTCTCTGTACACATGCAATCCTTACTAGTTTTATGTATTTAATGCATTAAATCTTATACCCTTTTCACAATGTGCCTTAATTGAGCGTTCTAATCCAAGCTCTTAACTATTCGCTTTCAAAAATGGCCTTCTAAGTTTTTTCTCTCAAATGGATACATTTTCCCGTTTCCTTTACCATCTCTTAGTTTTGCCCCAAAGTCTATGTAGCCTTTCACATTATAATTCTAATGCTTCTGACAAAAGATGACAATTTCTTCTCAATTTTTAACCCTCAATATTTCTCTGCACAAATGATAACACATGGAAAGGGGCAGAGCAAGGTGACAAAATAGAAAGCTGCACCGGGTGTACCCCAACAGGAACACCAAATGTAACAACTATCTACACACAAAAAGCACCTTCATAAGAATCAAAAATCAGGTGGTACTCACGGTCCCTGGTTTTAACTTCATATTACTGAAAGAGTCACTGAAAAGGGCAGGAAAGACAGCCTTGAATCAGCAATACTACCTCTCCCACCATCCTCCAGCAGCGGCAGCATGGCACAGAGAATCTGAGTACTTGGAGAGGGAGAGCACAGCAATTGTGAGACTGTTTACATTGAACTCAGTGCTGCTCTGTCATAGGGGAAACAGAACTGGGCTGTACATAGCTGATACATGCCCACAGAGGGAGCATTTAGACTGGCCATTGTCAGAGGGGAATTACCATCCCAGCGGTCAGAACATGAGTTCCAGAAAGCCTCACCACTGCAGGCTAGAGTGCTGTATATAAACTTGAAAGGCAGTCTAGGCCACAAGGACTAAAACTCCTAGGCAAGTTCTAGTACTGAGCTGGTCTCAGAGCCAGTGGACTAGAGGGCACATGACCTACTGAGACAACCGCTGGGGTGGCTAAGAGCGTGCTTGTGCCATCCCTTCCCCAACACCAGGTTGCACAGGTCACAGCTCCAAAAGAGACCCCCTCCTTCTGTTTTAGAAGAGGAGAGAGAAGGGCAAAGAGGACTTTGTCTTACATCTCGGATACCAGCTCAGCCATAGTATGATAGGGCACCAGGCAAAGTTGAGAGGCACCCATTCCAGGCCTTAGCTCCTGGACAACATTTCTAAATACACCTTGGGCCAGAATGGAACCTGCTGCCTTGAAGGGAAGGGTCCAGTCATGGCAAGACACATCACTTGCTGAATAAAGAGCCCTTTGGCCTTGAATAACCGGCAGTGATGCACAGGAGGTACACTGTGGGCCTTGGGTGAGACTCTGAGATGTGCTGGCTTCAGGTATCAGCTCAGCCACAGGGAATTAGGGCACCAAGAGGCCTCTTGAGGTCACTGATTCCAGGCCTTGGTTCTTATGGCACTCCTGAACCTTCCTTCAGCCAAAAGGGACATCACCATCCTGAAGGGTAAGTTCTAGGACTGGCAACATTCACCACAAGCTGACTGAAGAGCTCTTGGGCCTTCAATGAAATCAGTGGTAGCCTGGCAGTATCCTCATGGATCTGCTTGTTGTGGCCATGGGCTAGAGCTCCTTTGCCTGTAGAAAGAGGAGGGAAGAGTGGGAAAGACTGTCTTGTGAATTGAGTGTCAGCTCAGCAGCAGTACAATAGAACACCAGGTAGACTTCTAAGGTTTTAGACCCCAGTACCTGCTTCCTGGACAGCATCTCTGGACTCACCTGCAGCATGAGGGAGTTTGCTGCCCTGAGGGAAGGACACAAGCCTGTCTGGCTTCACCACCTGATGATTGTACAGCCCTAGGTCCTTGAGTAAACAGAGGCAGTAGCCAGGTAGTGGTTACAGTGGACCTTGGGCAACACCCAGTGCTGTGTTTGCTTCAAGTCTGATCCAGTGCTGATCCCAGTGGTGGTGGCCACAGGGGTGCTTGTGTCATCCCACTCCCAGCTCCAGATGGCTCAGTACAGAGACAGACAGACTGTATATGTTTGGGAGAAAGTAAGAGAAGACAACACAAGTCTTTGCCTGGTAATCCAGAGAATTCTTCCAAACTTTATTAAAGACTGCCAGGTGCCATCTCTATGAGTCTGTAAGAACCACAGTGCTACACAGTGCCCCCTAATGCAGATATGGCTTAGATCACACCACCTAAGTTCTGTTGAATACTTGGAAAGCATTTCCAAGAAGGATGGGTATAAATAAGCCCAGACTGCAAAGTCTACAATAAATACCTAACTCTTAAATGTCTAGACACTGATGAATATCTACAAGCATCAACACCATCCAGGAAAACATGATCTCACTAAACAAACTACATAAGGCATCAGGGACCAATCCTGGAGAAACATAGATATGTGACCTTTCAGACAGAGAATTCAAAATAGCTGTGTTGAGGAAACTCAAAGAAATTCAAGATAACATAGAGAAAGAATTCAGAACTCAGTAAAATAAATTTAACAAAGAGGTTGAAATAATTACAAAGAATAAAGCAGAAATTCTGAAGTTGAAAAAATACAATGGACATACTGAAGAACACACTGGAGTCTTTTAATAGCAGAATTGGTCAAGCAGAAGGTAGAATTAGTGAGCTTGAAGATAGGCTCTTTGAAAATATGCAATCAGAGGAGACAAGAGAAAAATGAATAAAAAAACAATGAATCATTCCTGCAGGATCTAGAAAATAGCCTCAAAAAGGGCAAATCTAAGAGTTATTGCCCTCAGGGAGGAAATGGAAAAAGAGATATGGGTAGAAAGTTTATTCAAAGGGTTAAAAACAGAGAACTTCCCAAACCTACAGATACTAATATCCAAGTATAAGACAGTTATAGAATACCGAGTAGATTTAATTTAAAGAAGACTACCTCAAGGCATTTAGGATTCAATCTCTCAATGGTCAAGGATAAAGAAAGTATTCTAAAAGTAGCAAGAGAAAAAAACAAATAATAAATAATGGAGCTCCAATGTGTCTGGCAGCAGACTGTTCAGTAGAAATCTTACAGGCAGGGAAGGAGTGACATGACATACTTCAAGGGCTGAAGGAAAAAACTTTTACCTAGAATAGTATATCCAGCAAAAGATATCCTTCAAACATGAAGGAGAAATAAAAACTTCTTAGACAAACAAAAGCTGAAGGACTTCATCAACACCAGGCCTGTCCTATAAGAAATGTTAAAGGGAGTACTTAAGTCAGAAAGAAAATGACATTAATGAGCAATAAAAATCATGTGAAGGTACAAAACTCATGATAGTAAGTACACAGAAAAAAGCCAGAATATTATAACACTGTAATTCTGTTGTGTTAACAACTCTTATTTTATGTAGAAAGAACACAAGATGAATCAATAAAAAATAATAACTCCAACAACTTTTCAGGACATAAGTTGTACAATAAGATATAAATAAAAACAACACAACAGTAAAAAGTAGGGAGACAAAGTTAAAGTGTAGAGTTTCTGTTAGCTTTCTTTTTGTTTGTTTTTTTGTTTATTTATGCAAAGTGTTAAGTTGTTACCATATTAAAATAATGGGCTATGAGATAGTATTTGCAAGTCTCATGGTAACCTCAAACCAAAAAACATACAATGGATACACAAAAAATAAAAAGAAAGAAGTTAAATCATACCACCAGAGAAAATCACCTTCATTAAAAGGAAGACAGGAAGGAAAAAAAGGGAAGAAAGAGAAGACCACAAAACAACCAAAAAACAAGTAACTTATCAATAATAGCATTTAATGTAAATGGACTAAACTCTCGTCAGAAGACATAGAATGGCTGGATTGATAGAAAAACAAGACCCATTGATTCCGTTGCCTACAAGAAATACGTTTTACCTGTAAAGACACATACAGGCTGAAAATAAAGGGATGGAAACAGATATTCCATACCAATGGAAACCAAAAAACAGCAGAAGTAGCTATACTTATATGAGAAAAAAAATAGATTTCAAAATAAAAACTGTAAGAAGAGACAAAGAAGGTCACTATATAATGATAAAAGAGTCAATTCAACAAGAGGATATAACAATTATAAATACATATTCACCCAACACTGTAGCACCCAGATATATAAAGCAATTATTATTAGAGTTAAAGAGACAGACCCCAATACAATAAGAGCTGGACACCTTAACACTCCACTTTCAGAATTGGACCGTTCTTCCAGACAGAAAATCAACAAAGCAATTTCAGACTTAATATGCACTATAGGCCAAATGGACCTGATAAATATTTACAGAAAATTTCATCCAATGGCTGCAGAATATACATTCTTTTTCTCAGCACATGAATCATTTTCAAGGATAGATCATATGTTAAGTCACAAAACAAGTCTTAAAACTTTCAAAAAATTGAAATAATATCAAACATCTTCTTTGACCACAATGGCATAAAACTAGTAATCAATAACTAGAGGAATTTTGGAAACTATACAAATACTTGGAAATTTAACAATATGCTCCTGAATGACCAGTGAGTCAATGAAGACATTAAAAAGGAAATTTAAAAATTTTTTTAAACAAATGATAATGAAAACATAACATACCAAAACCTATGGGATACAGTGAAAGCAATAATAAGAGGGAAGTATATAGTTTAAGACCTAGCTAGAGCAATCAGACAAGAGAATAAGTGCCTACATCAAAAAAGAGGAAAAACTTCAAATAAACAACCTAGCGATGCATCTTAAAGAACCAGAAGGCCAGGCGTGGTGGCTCACGCGTGTAATCCCAGCACTTTGGGAAGCCGAGGCAGGTGGATCACTGGAGCCCATGAGTTCAAGAGCAGCCGGGGCAACATGACAAAACCCTAACCCTACTAAAGACACAACAAGTATCTGGGTGTGGTGGCGTGCACCTGTAATCCCAGCTGCTCGGTGGGCTGAGGCAGGAGAATTGCTTGTACCCAGGAGCTGGAAGTTGCAGTGAGCCAAGATTGTGCCACTGCACTCTGGCCTGGGAGACAGAGCAAGACTTCAGAAAAAAAACGAACTAGAAAAACAAGGGCAAACCAAACCCCAAATTAGAAGAAAAGAAATAATGAAGATCAGAGCAGAAATAAATGAAATTTACATGAAGAAAACAACACAAAAGATCAATGAAACAAAAAGTTGGTTTTTTGAAAAGTTAAATAAAATGAACAAACCGTTAGCCAGAATATTAATAAGAAAAATGGAGAGAGGCCCTAAACAAATAAATCAGAGATGAGAAAGAAGACATTACAACTCATAACACATAAATTCAAAGGATCATTAGTGGCTACTATGAGCAACTATATCCCAATAAATTGGAAAATCCAGAGGAAATGGATGAATTCCTAGATACATACAACCTACCAAGACTGAACCATAAATAAATCCAAAACCTGAACAGACCAATAACAAGTTATGAGATTGAAGCTGTAAGTAAGTCTTCCAGCAAAGAAAAAACCCAAGACCCAATGGCTTCACTGCTGAATTCTACCAAACATTTAAAGGAGATCTAAAATCAATACTGCTCAAACGATTCTGAAAAATAGAGGAGGAGAGAATACTTCTGAATTCATTCTGCAAGACTGAAATTACACCAATACAAAACCAAACAAATAAATACAAAAAAGAAAACTACATGTCAATATCAGTGATATGAGAAAATCCTCATTAAAATACTAGCAAACTGAATTCAACCCCACGTTGAAAATATCATTCATCATGACCAAGTGGGATTTATCCCAGGGATGCAAGGATGGTTCAACATATGCAAATCAATCTATGAAATTTATGCAATATATCATATTTTATGTCAACATTATATATCAATAACCTATGAAGGATAAAAACCATATGATCATTTCAATTGATGCTGAGAAAGCATTTGATAAAATTCAACATCTTTTTATGATAAAAACCCACAAAAAGCTGGGTATAGAAGGACCATACTTCAACAAAATAGAAGCCATATGTGACACACTCACAGCTAGTATCATACTGAATTGGGGAAAAACTGAAAGCCTTTCCTTTAAGATCTGGAACATGACAAGGATGCCCACTGTTACCACTGTTATTCAACATAGTATTGGAAGACCTAGCTAGAGCAATCAGACAAGAGAAAGATATAATAGGCATCTATATTGGAAAGGAGGAAATCAAATTATCCTTCTTTGCAGATGATATGATCTTTTATTTGGAAAAATGTAAAGACTCCACCAAAAAATTATTAAAACTGATAAACCAATTCAGTTAAATTGCAGGATACAAAATCAACATACAAAAATCCGTAGCATTTCTATATGAAAACAGTGAACAATCTGAAAAAGAAATCAAGAAAGTAATCCCATTTATGATAGCTACAAATAAAATTAAATACCTAGAAATTAACCAAAAAAGTGACAGATCTCTCTAATGAAAACTTTAAAACATTGATGAAGGAAACTGAAGACGACACACAAAAAAATAGAAAGATATTCCAAGTTCAGGGATTGGAAGAATCAATATTGTTAAAACGTCCATACTACCCAAAGCAGTCTACAGATTTAATGTAATCTCTATCAAAATACCAATGTCATTCTTAAGAGAAATAAAGAAAATAATCCTAAAATTTATATTGAATCACAAAAGACCCAAAACAGCTAAAGCTATTCTTAGCAAAAAGAACAAAACTGGAGGAATCACATAACCTGACTTCAAATTACACTGCAGAGCTATAGTAACCAAACAGCATAGTACTGGCATAAAAACAGACACATAGACTAATGGAACATAATAAAGAACCCAGAAACAAATCCACACACCTACAGTGAACTCATTTTCAACAAAGTTTCCAAGAACACTCACTGGGAGAAAGGACAATATCTTCAATAAATGGAAAAAGATATCCATGTGCAGAAGAATGAAACTTGATCTGTATTGCTTGCTTTATACAAAAATCAATTCAAAATGGATTAAAGACTTAAATATAAGACCTCAAACTATGAAACAACAACAAAAACACATTGGGGAAACTCTCCAGGACATTGGAGTGGACAATGACTTCTTCAATAATACCCCACAGGTGCACTCAACCAAAGCAAAAATGGACAAATGGATCACATCAAGTTAATAAGCTTCTGCATAGCAAAGTAGACAATCAACAAAATGAAGAAACAACCCACAGAAGTGGAGAAAATATTTGCACCACCCATCTGACAAAGGATTAATAACTAGAATATCTAAGGATCTCAAACAATTCAATAGAAAAGAAATTTCATAATCTGATTAAAAATGAACAAAAGATCTGAGTAGACATTTCTCAAAAAAAGACATAGAAATGGCAAGCAGGTATATGCATAGGTCTCAATATCACTGATATCAGAGAAAGGCAAATCAAAATTATGGGTTATCTCACCCTAGTAAAATAGCTTTTATCCAAAAGACAAGCAATAACAAAAGCTGGTGAGGATGTGGAGAAAAGGGAATCCTACATTGTTGATGGGAATGTAAATTAGTACAACTGCTACAGAGAACAGTTTGGAGGTTCTTCAAAAAACTAAAAGTTGTGCTAACATATGATTAAGCAATACCACTCCTAGGTACATACACCCCAAAAAGGAAATCAGCATATTGAAGAGATATCTGCAGTCCTGTGTTTATTGCAGCACTATTCACAATAGACAAGACTTGAAGCAACCTAATTGTCTATCAACAAATGAACAAATAAAGAAAATGTGGTACATATACACAACAGAATACTATTCAGCCATAAACAAGAATGAGATCCTGTCATTTGCAATTACATGGATGGAACTGGAGGTCATTATGTTAAGTGAAGTAAGCCAGGCATGGAAAGACAAACATCATACATTTTCACTTACCTGTGGGACCTAAAAATTAGAACAATTGAACTCATGGAAATAAAGAATAGAAGGACAGTTACCAGAGGCTGAGAAGGGTAGTGGGGATGGTGGGCAGGAAGTAGAGATGATTGATGGGCACAAAAAATTGTTCAGAAAAATAAATAAGACCTGGTGTTTGCTAGAACAACAGAGTGACTATAGTAAAAATACTTTAATTGTACATTTAAAAATCACTAGAAAAGTATAATTGGATTGTTTGAAATTCAGAGGATGGGTGCTTGAGGTGATGGTTATGCCATTTTACCTCATGTGGTTATTATGCGTTGCATGCATGTATCAAAGCATCCTATAAATATGTACACCTACTATATATCCACAACAACTAAAAATTTTAGAATAACAACACATGATTTCTTTATAAATTGAATACCAAGAGAAACAAACACATATACTATTTGGCACAAATAGATGAGAATGGTAAAGCTATGGATATTTTAGTATAATGATGTTATATAGATGGCAGCATTCAGAAGACACAAATATAATCATATTTAATCAAATGCAACTCACCAAAAAAGATGTGAGAATTTGTTTAGTTAACACAAACAATAAAAAATTGCTTGACATTAATTTGTTATAATAGCTTTGTTGTATATTTAAAAATTGACATCATAAAATTCAAAAAGCAAATAAGAAAATTATATGCTATAAAACTCTATGTAGTAAGAAGTATTAAAATAGAGATCAGATTTTGAGTATGAATGAGGAAAATATTACTGGCTTTATTTGTAGCTTCATGTTCATTATAACTTGATGTACAATATAATTTTTTAAGTCATACTTAGTACTTTTTCAGTTTTATATGTCTACTGCTTTGGAAGTTATACATTCTAGTTCTATTTTTTATTGACTTAAAAGTTATGTGTGCATGCATTACCTAAAATCTAATAACATTTAATATCTCTGTTATTCCTAAATGACTAAGGGCTTCTTGGGCATATTAAATTACAATCACCAACCCCTTTCAGCCTTTCATACCATTATTTTAGTATTTTTTTGTTGTTTCTTTAAGCACAGTATTAGGCATTGCTATCATTTTTTAAAAACAATTAATGTTAATTTAAGTTTACCTACAAGTTCAACCATTTATTTGCACATTATTTCATCCTACATCTCAGACATCCATTTTTCTTTCAAAATTTCTTTAGTTAAGGTCTACTGGTAATTAAATATAAATTTTTGGTTGCCTGAAAATGGATGCATTTCAACTTCATTGTTGAATAAAAATGTACCTGGGAATACAGTTCATGTCAACGGTTATATTTCTTTTACATCCCTCAAGTTGAAATTCACTACTTTCTAGTGTCCCCAAATATTGTTTAAATTCTCAGTCTTATTTACAATCTGTCTTTATATCCTGTCTGAAGATCTTTACTTTGCAGTTTTCCTATGATTTGCTCCTGAATCTTCATTTTCCACCAGTTCTGTAAGATTCTCTATCCCTTTAAATATTATCTCTTCTTCTCAATTACTTTCTTTGGGACTCCAGTTAAACATATATTAGACATGTTCATTCTATCCACTACTTAGCTACTCTTATATTCTTCATCTCTTTTTCTCACAACTTTGCATTCTGAGTAATTTCTCCATATCTTCTGCTTTATTAATTATCTTATCACTAGTCAATCTTTCATATTACTCTAAATTTCCATCTGATATTATATTCTTTCTCCCAAAGAATATGCTTTGCTATTTTAAAAATACTACTTTGATCATGATTTCTTTAGTTGAAAATGTCTTATTTTCCTTCTTTCTTGGAATAAGGTTTGCATGAGACCATAATTTGATTTTGACCATTTTTTTTTTAGCTGTTTGAATATAACCTTCCCTTGTTTTCTGGCTTTTCTTATTTCTTAAGAAGTTTGTCAACAGTTAGTCAAACAGGTGCTCCTTCAATAGTAATCTGATATTGTTTCCTATCCATTTTTGAAATTTTTTCTTTGTATCTTTAGTTTTTAAATATTTTTATTATATGTCTGGGTGGGGTTTTGTTATCCCACTTGGAGTTCATAAACCTGTAGCTTGAATCTTTTTCAGTTATGGAAAATGCTTAGGCATAATCTCTTCAACTATGGCTTCCACTCTTTTCTCTCTTTATAGGACTCCAACTATATTTGTGTTAGACCTTTTGCCCTATTCTTTATGCTTTTATCCTATATTCCTCTTTTGCCTCATTTTTCTCTCAGTTTTTTGTGGTGGATTTTTTTGTTCTAAATTATCTCCCAGTTTGCAAATTCTCTGTTTAGCTATCTCAACTGTGCTGTTTTCACCATCCATTAGTTTTCATTTTTATTACTGTTATTTCCAATTCTAGAACTTCTATTTGGTTCATTATCCAATCTGCTATGTCAGTTGTTTACTTGAACTATGGTAATTATTTATTTTGAGACATAATTTGCATACTATATGATTCATCATTTTGATGTGGTTTTATTCACTGGGTTATGCAACCATCAACACTATCTCATTCCAGAACATTTTCATTACCCCCAAAAGAAATTCTATATCAGAAGCAGGCACTCCCCATTATTCCTATATCCACCTTCTGCCAACCCCTAATCTATACTCTTTCCATAGGTTTGCCTATTGTGGATATTTCATATAATTCAGGCATACACCATGCAGGCATTTGTGTCTGGCTTCTTTCAGTTAGAATAATGCTGTCAAGGTTCATCAATGTAGCACGTAAGAGTACTTCATTAATTTTATGGATGAATAATATTCTATTGCATGGATAAGTCACATTTTGTTTATTTCTTCATCCATTGATAGAAATTTGGGTTGTTTCCATGTTTTGACTATTTGACTAATGTTATCTTTTGTAAACAACATAAAACAACATAGAGCTGAATCATTTCTTATATCTATTATTTCAATCTCTGCCCTTTAATTGAAGTATTTCATGCAATATTAAGGTGGGATTTGTATCTGCCATTTCGTTATTTGTTTTCTATATGTCTGGAATTTTTTTCCTCAGGTATCCGTATAGTTCACTCTCTCATAGTTCTTTTGTTTTTTTCCCAAATATCAGCTCCTCAGTGAGATCTTTCCTGGTCACTCTTTTCAAAATGTAAGCATTTTCAACATGCATACATTTCCCAACTTCTTCTCCTTCTCAATGCTTTCTTTTCAATATTTATCACTATCTAGCAATTATATAGTAAATTTATTTATTTAATGTATATATTATACTGTACGCAAACAAATTTAGCTTACTAAATTGTAAGCTCTGTGTGGGTAGATGTTATTTTTTCTGTTTTGTTTACTGCTGTATCTCTAGCACCTGGAAGAGAGTCCTGCCCATACTAGATGTCCAATAAATATTTTGTGGAATGAATGATCAAAATAACTGGGCATTTTTTCTATAAATTTGTCAATGAAGGCCAGTTGTTGGTTTCTTTTTTCAGTCAACACTAAAAAATTGTAAAATTGAATTTTAAATGCCACATTTATAATAAATTAAAAGAGAAGCCACTTGTAATGTTTATTATATGTGCTACACAATAAAGTTTAGGCTTTTAGAAGGTAAGGAATGCAAAATAAAATTCAATAGATGCATTAAAGTCTCTGTGTGTACATGATCAGAAGGTAAACTTGATCTGGCTCAAGGGAGTTCCTAATCTCAGCATGCTATTTTCTTCTTACAGATGGAGCAAAAGGTGTTAAGTGGCTCTAGACATTCCAGACATATTCACTGAGCTCAAAATACAGATATCTTACTGCCACTTAACATTCTCTCTTTGGTATCTCAAGGGCTCACAATCTCAACATATCTAAAACCAAAATATATTTCTCTTTACACTGGGATCTCTTCCCAAGAATGCCATCTCAACCATCTTATTACATATCACCCTTACTCAGTTTCCTGCAATAGATTCTTAACCAGTCATCTGTATTCCTCTCCAATCCATTCTACACACTACAGCCAGCACAAATTTTGCTAAAACATATCTGCTTAAAATATTTTATTGGCTTCCCATTTCTTCCTCTTTAATTAATGAAGAAATCCTGAACTGGGCCTAATGCTCTGAAATTGGTTTGCTCCCTGCCTGCTCCTTCATTTTAAACCACTCTGCCCCTCTCCTCTTTATATAGCTGGCACACTCACCATTTCTTATTTCTTAGAATACACCTTGTTTGCTCCTGTCATTTTGTTCCTGCTTCCTGGCTCTCACTGTCTCTTATTCTATCTCCACATACATATCTTCTTCTCTCCCTCCTCATCTAGAGAGAGCTATTACTACACACCCACCAGATCTTAGCTCAATCCTTTCATTTTCAAGGAAGCATCCCTTGTCCATCTCCCCCTTCCATATCTCCATGTATATATATCAGATATCTTGGTTAAAATCTCCTATAAATCAAGTTCCTTTTTCTTCATGGCATTTGTTGGGGTTGTAATTAAATACTACTCTCCTATAGGATTATTTGATTAATATTAATATTTTAAGCTCTACAATGTCAAGGCCATTCTAGTTCTGTTCTGTATGTTTTGCCCAAATACAATGCCCAGAACAGTAAGTATTTATGAATGTATGATATAGCTCCATATGAAGTAGACTAATACCTGATGTTATGGCATCCATACAATTTCCTTTTTGCATCACCTTCACTAACATTGACCTCTCTTGCCCCCAGAGACTGCTCCACATAGCAGATATAGCTATCTCAAGCTGTTGGGACCAACGAAAACAGGACTGCTCAATCATGTGCTCAAAGACCAGTAATAAAAATATAACTTTATCAGGCAAACACATGGGGCACCACATACAAAAAAGATAGTTACATCATGAGTTACTGATATCCACACCCTCTTTTATATCTGATATGTATAAAGATTATCCTATTTCCTGTAAGTAAATAAATATATGTATATGTATGTATTAGAAGTATGTTTATGTGTCTATCCAGAAAATCAGTAATAATCAGACATGTAGTCAAGTCACTCAACTCTCTTCTTTTACTAACTGTTGACCACAGACCCAGCTATCTGAAAACTATGAGGTTGGCAAACTTGTTTATATTGTGTTATATGGTGTTTTTCCACCATACTTTTTAACTATCATTGCGCTTACTCTCATTCTTTTCTCATGACCGCTCAAGATCTCCTGAGATCCTTTAGATACCTCACTGCCTCCTTTATGTCTTCCATCTTTGCTTCCTTTACATTTCTCCCCTGGTATTGCATGTAAAAAATATAGGGCATCCAAATTGGTAGAAAGGAAGTCAAACTGTCACTGTTTGCAGATGATATGATAGTATCATCATATCATGACAATAACCTAGAAAACCCTAAAGACTCATTCTAAAAGCTCCTAGAACTGGTAAATGAATTCAGCAAAGTTTCAGGATACAAAAATTAACGTGCACAAATCGGTAGCTCTGCTATATACCAACAGCAACCAAGCTGAGAATCAAATCAAGAACTCAACCCCTTTTACAATAGCTGTAAAAATAAAATAAAGCACTTAGGAATATACCTAACCAAAGAGGTGAAAGTCCACTACAAGGAAAACTACAAAACACTGCTGAAAGAAATCATAAACAACAAAAACAAATGGAAACACATCCCATGCTCACGGATGGGTAGAAACAATATTGCGAAAATGACCATAATGCCAAAAGCAATCTACAAATTCAGTGCAATCCCATTTAAAATAGCACCAACATTCTTCACAGAACTAGAAAAAAAACTATCCTAAAATTCATATGGAACCAAAAAGAGCCTGCATAGCCAAAGCAAGATTAAGCAGAAAGAACAAATCTGGAGGCATCACATTACTTGAATTCAGACTATACTATAAGGCCATAGTCACCAAAACAGCATGGTACTGGTATAAAAACAGGCACGCAGACCAATGGAACAGAATAGAGAATCCAGAAATAAAGCCAAATACTTAAGCCAACTGATCTTCGACAAAGCAAACACAAACATAAAGTGGGGAAAGGACACCCTATTCAACAAATGGTGCTAGGATAATTGCCAAGCCAGATGTAGAAGAATGAAACTAGATCCCCACATCTCACATTATGCAAAAATCAACTCAAGATGGATTAAATACTTAAATCTAAGATCCAAAACCATAAAAATTCTAGAAGATAACGTCAGAAAAACCCTTCTAGACATTGGCTGAGGCAAAAATCAAGAACCCAAAAGCAAAAACAACAAAAACAAAGATAAATAGACAGGATTTAATAAAACTAAAAAGCTTCTGCACAGCAAAAGAAATAATCAGCAGAGTTAACAGACAACACACAGTGGGAGAAAATCTTCACAATCTGTACCTCTGACAAAGGACTAGTATCCAGAATCTACAAAGAACTCCAACAAATCAGCAAGAAAAAAACAAAAAATCCCATGACAAAGTGGGCTAAAGACATGAATAGACAATTCTCAAAAGAAGATACACAAATGACCAACAAGCATATGAAAAAATGCTCAACATCACTAATGATCAGGGAAATGCAAATTAAAACCACAATGTGATACCACCTCACTCCCACAAGAATGGTCATAATCAAAAAATTTAAAAAAATAGATGTTAGCGTAGATGTGGTGAAAAGAAACATTTTACACTATTGGTGGGAATGTAAACTAGTACAACCACTATGGAATACAGTGTGGAGATTCCTTAAAGAAATAAAAGTAGATCTACCATTTGATCCAGCAATCCCACTACTAGGTATCTACCTAGAAGAAAAGAAGCTATTATACAAAAAAGATACTTGGACACACATGTTTATAGCAGCACAATTTGCAATTGCAAAAATATGGAACCAGCCCAAATACCCATCAATCAATGGGTGGATAAAGAAAGTGTGATATTGGGAGGCCGAGGCGGGTGGATTACCTGAGGTCAGGAGTTCAGGACTAGCCTGACCAACATGGTGAAACCCCGTCTCTACTAAAAAATACAAAAATTAGCCAGGTGTGGTGATGGGCACCTGTAACCCCAGCTACTCGAGAGGCTCAGACAGGAGAATTGCTTGAACCCATGAGGCAGAAGTTGCAGTGAGCCAAGATCACACCATTGCACACCAGCCTGGGTGAAAAAAGCGAAACTCCATCTCAAAAAGAAGATTATATATATATATGTATACACACACACCATGGAATACTACTCAACCATAAAAAGGAACAAATAATGGCATTTGCAGCAACCTAGATAGTATTGGAGACCATAATTCTAAGTGAAGTATCTCTGGAATGAAAAACAAACATTGTATGTGCTCACTCATTAGTGAGAGCTAAGCTATGAGGATGCAAAGGCATAAGAATGATACAGTAGACTTTGGGGACTCCAGGGAAAGGATGGGAGGGGGTGAGGGGTAAAAGACTACATACGCATTGGGTATAGTGTACACTGCTTTGGTGATGGGTGCACCAAAATCTCAGAAATCACCACTAAAGAACTTATTCATGTAACCAAACACCACCTGTTCCCCCAAAAATCTATTGAAATAAAAAATAAAGTAAAATAAAATAAAGGCAACATTAAAAAATTATCAAATGATTTGTAAATATCCTCAGAAAAATAATTTCTAGTGGTGAAATTTCATTATACAAAATAGACTGTCAGATGGTAATTTTTGGAGCAAGAAATATACGCTTCTCTTATTCAACAGTATAGGTATCCTCTAACAACTAAAGACAGCACAGCTCTTTTCCCAATGGTTCTATTCTTAGCTAGTGTAGAAAAAAAAATCAGCTAGTACAATATATAAGGAAATGTATCTTTTTACAGCTCCTAAAAGTGTTTTAAAAGAAAGAACCCCACCCCTAAAACTAAACATTGCGGTGCTTGCTATAGATTTTCTCTCTGTCTTTGGAAACTGCCCAACTATTTTCATATGGTGCTTAGTAGTAGTTCTCCACCCCCATGATTGATGTGGTTTGAATGTTAATGTTAAAGTTTCCTTGTCATCCAAAGTGATTTCCGAGGATGATCTGTTTCCTTTCAAACTTCAGACATTTTAACTCACACTCTGAAAATAGCCAAGGCAGTTCTTAAGAGAATCAAGTTAACTTACCATCAAGAGTATCCGAAAAAAAAGCTTTTTTCTGGATCCTAGTCAGTGTTATTGGATATTCTTGGACGTGACTGAAGATCTAAAACATGTTCTAACTATAGTCACTAAAGAAAACCAATTCTTTTTATTTAAAGTTAAATGAGATTGATTTTAAACATTCATTGTTTGCTATAAAATCATGTAAGCTTTGCTTTGATTAGTTAATCAAACAAAGAAAGGCTTTAGGGTCATTGCTGGGATAATATAAAAATGTTTCTCAATATTTAATTTTTGATTATCTGGATAGTTCAGGTAACAAGCTTTGTTTTCGTCTAAATTTCTCAGGCTATTTCGCAGCTATGGACATACTCTGATCAACTGGAGTGGGTACCTCTCAAATAGCAACTATGGGAGTGTTTCTAATTTTCTCTTATCCAAATTTTATTTAGAGAAAAGTGTTCAGTTTTGTACAAAGGAGACTAGAAAGAAAAAAGGATTCCCAAATTAATGTCATGTAAAGATGAACTGAAATGTGTAGAATTGTTAGTAATGGTGAGGTAGGAGGTGGGACGTGATTCCAGAGGTGGGGCTCAGACATCAGACCAGATTGAGGACTAGATAAAAGGGAGAAATGGTAGAAACACCTCTCCATAAGACATGCCCAGCAGTGTGCCATGTCAGTTTACCATTGCCATGGCAAGACCTGTAAGTTACTGCCTCTTTCCATGGGAATGACCCAACAACTTGGAATGTACTACTCTTTTACTAGAAATTGCTGTATAATCTGCTCCCTAATTTGCATGTAATTAAAAGTCGGTGTAAATATGACTGCAGAACTGCCTTTGAGCTGCTGCTGTCAACACAGTGTCTACGAGGAAGCCCTGCTCTACAGGAGCAGTCATGAAGCTCTAACACTGCCATGTCAGTAAAGCTGCTTTCTTCTACCACCAGTTTGCTCTTGAATTCTTTCCTGAGCAAAGCCAAGAACTCTCCTGAGCTAAGCCCCAATTTGAGGCTTGCCTACCTTGCATCAACAGTAGCCTCTGCCTCCACCCATCATCTGTCTTGACCACATTTGCCAAACATACTTCTGCATTTGTAGCACCATTTCAGAGACTGGTAATACCAGCTCCTTATTGCTTAAATTGGATACTGAGACAAATGCTTGACTTCGGTCTTTTCTTCTATATCTATAAAAGGCACTGCATTTCCTCACCTTTACCTCATGTTAATATTTCTAGGATTCCTTAATTTCTCATCATTCCCACTGACTCTATTTTAGTTGAGACAATTATCTCCTCTTGCTAGAATATAGAAGAATCTTTGACTGACTTCTCCAGCCACATCTCTTAATAGTTGGAATTTTCAACCCCTTCTTCCTCTTATTCCATATTCTTCAATGATGTTGACTGTCTTCACTGCTACCTTCTATCATACAAGGTTATATATTATCATCACTCTGATCCCTGGACTTTGTGAATTTTGCTTTTTTGTTGTTGTTTGGACAACTGTCTCCACCCCACCATTACTCCTTCTTGTCTTCTATTTGTGCTGCAATGTGGGGCTCAGCAATCAGCCTTTTTGACTCTTCTCGCAACCAGAGGTTTGATAAGTGTCCCTCCTCTGTCCATTTTCAGTTAAAAGAAAATTTCTTTTTTTAAATCAAGCATGTTTTAATGAACACAGTATAGTTTTATTCTGTTAAAATATATTTTCCAACAGACTTTATGAATTAATGAAAAATAATATTCATCCCTTTTTTTGTTTAGCTTTTGTGCTCCAGAAGTCAGGGATGCTGAGATTAAGTTAAAGGAGTGAAGTTGCTGTTACCACAGCACTTTCCTAAGGCAATGTAGTAGATGGAGTCTCATGGCTTGCCTCACAACAGATCATTCTTGGGACTTGATTACAGACTTGTAATAAAGTCTGCAATTTTGCATCCTATCCTGCTACTATCCACAAGAGAATGTGGATCATTTAACTCATTAGAATATAAGCACTTAAGGCCAAGCGTGGTGGCTTACGCCTGTAATCCCAGAATTTTGGGAAGTCAAGGCAGGTGGATTGCTTGAGCACAGGAGTTCAGGACCAGCCTGGGCAACATGGTGAAACTCTGTCTCTACAAAAATTACAAAAATTAGCCGGGGATGGTGGCACACACCTGTACCCAGCTGTTCAGGAGGTTGAGAGAGGAGAATTGATTGAACCCAGGAGGTTGAGGCTGTAGTGAGCCTTGATTGCACCAGTGCATTCCAGCCCGGGTGAAAGAGTAAGACCTTGTCTCAAAAGAAAAAGATAAAAAAGAAAAAAGAAAGAAATTTAAGCCCTTAGTGCTTACACTTGTTTTCTCTCAACCAAAAGGTCTCAGGGCTAATATTTGTTCTATAATTCTGGCATATGGCTCACTACAGAACATCATTTTTTTCCTTATAGGGGTTTCTGTCATTACCTCAAACTGTAGTTATTCAAAAATACTTGTGGATTAAAGAAGAGGCAAGTGAGTTTAGCAAATTTGAATTATTTCACCTAAAAGGAAAAGTAATCAATTTTCCAAAGCCCCTGCAAAAGCAGGACATAGATAAAGTCTAAAAGTTGTCAAGGTTGAATCTCATACCTGTGAGCACTTCCCAAGCTGTGCCCTATTCGAAGCTTCCTGACTCTTAGGTATCTTGGGTTCCTGCATCTCTCTGCTTACCTTAAGGAAAGTATAACATTAGCACGTTCAAGTTAATGTAAAGAATTAATTTAGCTTTAAATAGAATCCTTCTTCCACTTGCATTTGGAGGTTGGAAAACCTTGACTAGAAGAAATAAGTCTTGGGAGAAGCACACTTGGGGTAGGAGGACATTCAAAACCTCTCAAACCTTAATTGTCTACAGGTAAGTCACACTCTTCATCTGAGGGATGAAGGATTAGTTTAGAAACTGCTAGTACACTATGTGCTCTATTATATGGCATGTGTTAATAATTCATATTAATCAAAGATTTAAGTCAACAAAACTGATATATTAATAAATTATAATATTTATAGTAGGTGGAACTAAAACAAAATAAAACATACTTTACTAAATCATCACTAATTATTTTTAATCTTGTTTTATTTTGAAGGTACTTTAGGGTCTTGTAAAACTTCAGGATTCTCATTAATGAAAAATTTTTGCTGTTGTGATCTAATAAATTTGTATTAGCTAGTACAAAAATTGAGTTCATTTCTTAGTAATTCTACCAGAGATATGGATTGTTGTTTGCCTTTTCCAAACTTCCTTATAACAGCTGATGGAGAGCACCTTGTTTGTGCCTGTAAGATATACTCTCTTAGATGAGAAAATTAGAGTACATTGAGCTTCTTGGATGTGTAGATTCACGTTTTTTGTCAAATTTGAGGCGTTTTAAGTCATTATTTCTTCTGCTCAATTCTGTCTTCTGGTACTTTCATTTTGCATATGTTTGTGCACCTAAAAGTGTCCCACGTTTCTCTGGGGTTGTTTTTTGTTTTGTTTTGTTTTGTTTTTATCTTTTTTCCTCTCTGTTCTTCAGGTTGCATATTTTCTAGTGATCTAATTCAAGTTCACTCATTCTTTATTCTTTATTCACTCATTCAATTCTACTGTTGAATCTCTTCAGTGCATTTTTTATTTTACTAGACTCTGGAATTATTTTATTTCTTAACTCCATTTGGTTCTTTTTCATAATTTCTATAACTGGTATTCTCTATTATGAGACCTTGTCAACGTATCTTCCTTTACATCTTTAAGCATGGTTGCCTTTGGTTTTTTGAACATATTTATCCAACATCTGGTTGCTCTCACAGACAGTCTTGTTGTCTGCTATTTTTTTCCCCATGTATAGGTCAGACTTTTCTCTCTTTTTTTGAGGTGGGGTTATGTCTTGGGAATTTTTGCTGGAAAAAAGACATCTCAGTAATACATTATAGCAAATGCACCGCCCCACCACTGTATCTGGGCCTTGCTATTGTTGTTTGCCTATTTGTTTAGTGATTGGCTGGATTCCTTTAGCGAAGTCTATCCCCTGCATCGCCACAGTGAAACCTCTACTGTTGCTCCTAAAGGGAGCAGCCTTGGGAAGGCATGGTCACTCTGGGATGACAGTGGTTTGGCAGGGCTTTCTTTGACTGTGTCTTTCTCTAGCCACAACCAGCTATTAAGACCCATTAATTACAATTGATTGCTCTATTGTTTTCAACAATGCCCTGTGGCATAAATTGTTCAGCGGATGGTCTAATTAAATTCAAATTTCTTTGTAGGGATAGTTTTTGAGGTAAGTGTTTCAGATTTGGTCCAACCTCAAGTCAGCTCTTAACTGTCTTAACTCTTCTTAACTTTCACTAATTTTCTCTGGTAAACTAGCTGGTCTGTGGTTTAACTTATATTCCTAATATATTGGTCAGTCTCCTCTTAATCGCTTTTTACCACAACAACCATTACTTTGTAGAGTACCCTTCAGGCTTGAACTTTCTCACATTCTATTGCAAATGAAGTCAGTGGCTTTAGGGAGAGCGTTTTATGACCTGTCTTTCTCCCTGGGCAAAATCTCTTATCCTCTCTGAAGCTCAGGGCAGAGAAAGTGACAACTTGTTTTGAGTGACGCCCCTGCTTTAGGATCTGGCATTTAGCAGGGAGGTAGGGATTGAGTACAGTAGGCTCAGGTCTCAGCTTGCCCCTCCTGGCTTAGAACCTCTACATTAGGAGCCAGGACAGGGATGAGAGGGCTCCAGTGTTTGCAACTGTCCCAGGTAAACCTTATGTCTCATCAGTGGAGGTTAGTTGGAAAAAAAAGAGCCCCCAACTGTTGGCTATACTTGCTTAAAACTTAGCCTCTGTAACTTGTATCTGGGAGCAGTATGAGAAATGCTGATATTCTTCCCCTCCTTGGAAGATAGCATAGACTTCTGTTTGGGAGGTAGGGGAAGAGAAAGCCCTGTGTTCTTGGCAGTGGCCATCTGGAGTGCAGTTCCATCATGTCAAGCTGGGATGGTGGGAAGGAAGAAGCAGGTTGTCATTCAAATGAAACACTCTCACTGTTTTCTTTCACCAGGGTGTAGTAGGCTTTCTTGAATAACTGTGTCTTCATTTGCTAAATGCCCTTGGAATCATTTCTAAAAGCTTAATTAAAATGGTTGAGGTTTAAAAAAGTTTTTTTCCACCAGTTTCACTGGGAAGTGGGAACACTGAGTTTTCACATTGATGCCAGGGAAGTGAAATATTCTTATGCGTTTATTTTTAGTTAATGAACATATCTAGCCCAGATGATTAGACTCAAAATCATCAGCACATCAAATTCCTTTCAGAAGTTTGAAATTGGGAAGCCAAGGTCCTGCAGCAATTATTAGGAAGGGCAGATGCCAAAATATTACATAATGAATTTTCATCAGGCAAATAGGACCTGGTCAATTAAAATGGTTTACAACAAACTGAAGTGAATGAAAAAGTAAAGATAATGGGATAATTGTTAGAATAAAAAATCACATGCGAAGAAGAGAGACAGGGTGAGGGAACATGGGGCTGCCTTAATGCCAGTTCCATTTCTTATGCAGTCAGGCTCTACTCTGCTTCCCATGTTGGAGCCTTGAAATCCCTGTAATCCTGTTATATTTGTACAATACAACTACTCTACCAATAAAAAGACTAAATGAAAGCAAGAATTCTCTATGTAGTAACAAAGCCTCCCGTTTCATTTTCTCTGTTCTCTTACTTACTTATCTAAGCAACACATTGGAGTAGAATAAAAGCTTAAAAGTCCTAAAGGTAAAATAATTAAAGAAATGCCTCTTTTGAAAAAAAAAATGAAGTTCAAATAACCTGGAAAACGTTCTGATATTATAAAACCTAATTATGCTGGGTAAAACGTAATAAAAATATTTGTTTTTTTAAATTGTAGTAACATGTACACAACATAAAATTAACCATTCTTAAGTGTGCAGTTCAGTGCTATTAAATACATTCATATTAGCATGAAACCATGACCACTGTTCAGCTCCAGAACTTTTCCAGCTTCCAAAGCAGAAACTTCACACCCAATAAACAAAAACTTCCACCTCTTTCCTCTCCCTAGCCCCTGACAACACCATTCAACTTTCTGTCTCTATGAATTGAATTACTCTAATACTTCACATAATTGAAACCATTTGTTCTTTTGTGACTGGCTTGTTTCACTTAGCATGTTTTGAAGGTTTATCTATGTTATAGCATGTGTCATAATTTCTTTCCTTTTAAAGACTGAATAATATTCCAACGTATGTACATGTCACCTTTAGTCTATCCATTCATCCACTGATGGACACTTGGATTGCTTTCACCTTTTGGCTATTGTGAATAATGCTTCTATAAACATTTGTGAACAAATATCTACTCAAATCCCTGTTTTCAATTCTTTTGGGTATATACTGTGATAATGTGTTCTTTCATTGCTATAAAGAAAGAACCTGAGGCTGGATAATTTGTAAAGAAAGAAGTTAATTTTGGCTCATGGTTCTTCAGGCTGTACAAGAAGCATAGTGGCTGCATCTGCTCCTGGTGAGGCCTCAGGAAGTTTCCAGTCATAGCAGAAGGCAAAGAGGGAAGCCGGTGTATCACACAGCAAGAGTGAGAACAAGAGAGTGAGGGAGGAGGTGTCAGGCTCTTTTAAACAACCAGATCTCACATGAACTCACAAAGCAAGAATTCATTCATTACCACCATGAAGTCATTCATGAGGGATCTGCCCCCATGACCAAAATGGCTCCCACCAGGCCCCACCCCCAACATGGAAGATTACATTTCAACATGAGATTTGGAGGAGACAAACATCGAAACTATATCATATACCCAGAAGTGAAATTTCTGGATCATATAGTAAATGTATGTTTAATTTTTTAGGAACTTCCATACTGTTTTCTGTAGTGGCTACAGCATTTTACATTCCGACCAGCAATGCCCAAGGATTCCAATTTCCTCACATCTTTACCAACATTTATTATTTGTGATTTTTGGTAATGGTCATCCTAATGAAAATATGTAACAAACATACATTTAAATCCATATCTGCTCACTCAGGAAAATAAGGGAACCTCCCTAAGAAGAAATACAAAGGAGGCAAAAGCCAAGGTGGCAAACTATGGAAGGGTCTTAGGTTTTTAACTGTCATCAGGGCATAAGAGACAAATGTTGAGATTATGCAAGATGAGGAACTGACTAAAATGCCTGGATAAAGCCACAACCATCAAAGAGCTACACCCTTTGTGAAGAAGTCTAAGGACAAAAATCATCTACTAGTTTATGGAGATGAGCAGAGAAAGCTTGTCCTTTTTGGCCTAGGCTCCAAGTGAAAAGATCTCCTCTAAGAATTTGTAACCAGAGGTGTGCTCTTAAGCATATTTCGCATCAAATGCATGCTCCTGTATGGTCTGGGAATACAGAAGCATAATAGCATGAAAGCAGTCAGGCCATCCAGTCTAGGAATGCTCTTGGCAGAAGAAAGCATAAAATAACTCCAGGGACTCACACCCTTAATTCATGCCACATGAAGTTTCCTTAAATAAAGTTCTCCCTTCTTTCTAACATAAGCATAATAGCCCCAAATGATAAGACATGGGGTATGTAAAGTGTCATGGTCAAGCCATTAAATATAAGAAATAGCACACTTACACTTCAAAGTAGACTGCAGAATCATCAATAAGTAGTAACATTAAAGTGTTAATGCTGTTTAAATAAATGAAAATAAATGAAAAAAATATGATACCTTCAAAATGTATCAGGCTGATTTGAAAAAACTTTAATAGAATTTCTACAAAATAAAAAAGAAAGTATGTCACTAAAATTAAGTAATCAAAGGAGTTGTTAATATACAATATTAGACACAACAGAGAACAGATATAATAGACTCAATTATAATTCTAAAGTAACTGCCCATAATGCAGAATATATAAAATAAAATGTGGAAAACATAAAAAAGTAATTAAAAGACATGGGGGGAAAATGAGAAAGGCCAATATACCTTTTGTTTGAGTCTTAAGAAGAAGCACAGGTGATAAATGAAAAGCAATATTGACAAATAATGGCTAAGGATTTTCTGGAGTAATGTAAGACATGGATCATCACGCTCACAAAATACACTAAATCACAAGCGAGGTAAATATGAACAAATCCATGCCTAAACACATGATAATTAAACCAGAATATGCTACAGATATAAAATCTTAATAACAGCCATAAAGAAAAAGACAGTCTAAAATTTAAAAAAAAGGTTGGAAGTAGAAGAGGAATAATAACCCAAAGTGCTAAAGAAAAATAATTGTCAAGCTAGATTTTATACCAAAATTTTTAAAACTACCTTTCAAGAAGCAGGATACAATTAAGAACATATTTTTAAAAAACAATATTGAGAATGTTTTTCACCAAAAGATCTTCACCTGCAAATTTCTAAATTCTCCCTGAAAGGAAAAGCTAAGGAAGAAGTAATGATAAGCAAAGGAATTGATAAATTTGTGGTTTTATGTATACAAGTAATTATTATAAAAACTATAAGACTAACAGATAAATTGGTTCAGGAACTAACTTAATGTGGACAAACTTCAAAGCTAAAATACTGTTCTAAGATACTGTTCAGAAAGTATAAAGTTATTGATTTGCTTTTGACTTTCTCAATTATACATAAGTGAAAATTTAAAAACAAATATAAAAAAGAAAACTAAAATATTTAGCTTCTAAATCAATAAAACATAGTAAAGAATAAGAAAATATTGATCAATTCTAACAAGATTTTAAATGGAGAAAATGTTAAGTATAAAAATAGCAAGATAAGTGGAAAGCACAAAATGTGATAGTAGAAAAAAACAAATACGTGTGATTAAGCTAAATTGAAGAACTATCTATTCTAGAAATAGACTTAAAACACATCACTGAAGGTTAAAAGTTTTTTAAAAAGCCACACACATAAGTAAACAAAAGTCTCCATAGCCTTATTAATTGACAGTAAGGCAAGAGGCTGTATCTGTCATGTTTTTTGACAGGTGGTATGTACATATTACCTTTTTAACTTCTTGCATGGCTAACATACTTCCCAATAACAAACGATGATAAGGAAAATGGCCTAGGGTTCAGAGTTAGGAAACAGTCTAAGGGCACCTAGAGGAGCCTCAGTAGCTAATAATATAATAAGAATTTTGCTTATGGAACTTAAAATGTTACTGGTGGATTTATATAATGATGTGTGTAACATGCTAAGAAAACTGTCCACTGTGAGCTGTGAATCAGTAATGAAAAAAGCACAAGAGTGTCATTTTGGCAAAGACCCAAGGGACTTTTTGCTTTTATCTCTCCAGGCTCTCCAGATTTTATTTCACTTGAACAAAGATCAAGTTTTCGATGTTATGGTAACTGTGAGGATGCCCAGGTAATCACTATGGACTTTTCTGTCACCTGGTACAAATTTTGAATAAAGAAGGCAGGGCTTTGCTTTGGCAAGCATTTGTAATTTGATGTCACCACAGAAATGACAGAACACACATACATGCACATACACACACGTGTTATTTCCTGCAAATGCTGCGAGACTGCAGGGAACAGTAGGGGCAGGGAGGACAAGGTGTAGGGAAATGAAGATGAGTAGGATGCCAAGGAAAAAACAATCCGGCTTTTTATTAGATAATGAAAGGCAGGAAGGGTTGGAGATTGAGAAAGGAAGGGACAGATGGACAGACAGGGAGGGAAAGAGAAAGGAAAAGGAAGAGGACGAAGGAAAATGAAGAAGAGAGAATGGAAGAGAAGTGGAGATGAGAGGAGGAGAGGGCAGGGGAGGGAGGAGCAAGAGCTAAGTGTCAGTCTCTCTTAGCAGTCCATATAGGGTTGCTGCTTTATACCCAAGAATAAGACAGGACTTCTAAACTTTGTGAAGATGGACAGTATCCTAAAGTCTGCCAAACCAAGACAAATCCACATAAACAAACAAGTCTAGTGCTGGTATTCCATGATGCATGTCTTCTCTAGGTAACATTACATGCACTACCTATACACTGATTTTCTTTATAATATAGTAATATTATTAGCTAAGTGTTTTCTGTATACATATCTATACCTCCCAATAGGGTAAGTATTGCTTTTATCTCCATTTTACAGATGGGGTCACAAAGGCAGAGTGAGCTGAAATAACTTGACTGAGGCCATGAAAGTAATGAGAGGTGGAGCTAGTATCTGAACCTAAGCAATCTGATCCGGTTCCTATCTCTTATTCTGGATGATAAACTCCCTCTCAACCTCAGAAAGGCAAGTGTGAGAGCTCACTGCAAACATGAAAGCAGGACAAAGGACTGGGACCTTTGCAGAGATCCCAGAAATCTCTTTTGCAAAGTGATCATTCTCCATTCTCTGGGCAGTGTCAGTGTGGTTTTTATGGGTCCTATAGAAGGGGGGAAGAGGTGGGTGCACACCCTTTCTGCCCTGTAGTTTCTCCACTTGCAACAAAGTTAAGGTGATAGGAATAAAACACTGAACTCAAAGACAGAACTATGTTTTAAGTCTGGCCCAGCCCACTACTGTGTGATCCCGAGTGAGCAAGAAGAAAAATACAGGGCACTGCAATGTATGAAGCTCTTTCCAGGCACGTCTCATTTACTACTCCTCAAAACCACAGGCCAGGGCTATCTCTCCTTTTAATAGCGCAGTAAAATTAATTGCAGAGGAGTTTAGCAAATAAGTGCAATGCCATTCTCTGATGGAACTCTCCTTTGTTCCCAATTTTGTGTGATTCCAAGTTCCATTTAGATTCCATCACATCTTGCAAAAGTTCCTGTCTCTCTATGGGTCTAAAATTCCTCAATTAAATCATACCGGTTGGCATAGAGGACGTGTGAAGTGTCAGTTCTCAGACTTTAAGACACTCATCTCAGAACAAGCCCAGCAACTCAACTCAGGACCCCTGGGCTGAAGACTGAGCTCTCCTGTGTCATTGAAGAAGTGGAGTTCGGTGCTGATCACGCACGAGGGCAGTTAATGAAAATTAAAAATTTATATTTGACTTGAGATGCTCTCTGGGTAATTTTGCAGGAGTTTTTGTCTCCTGGTCGTTTTTCTTAGATTAAAATTTTTGCCAGCATTCCAAGGGCATACACTCACTCATGTGCAGGGGCCCAGTAATGAGAGGGAGCGCCACTTTGGAGTCAAACTCTGCCAAGGCTAATACTAAAAGTAGGTGAATGAGATTTGACTGCCTCCTAAATTGAATGTCTGTGGAATTTCTTGGACCTAAAACAGAGCCCAGAACAAGGTCTGTATAGTAACATTCACTAAGAGTCAGTGTTTGACAAACTGTCTTGCCAGCATCATTAGTGGAATGTTCATTTTGGCACAAATTGTCTATGGAAAATGCAATTAGGAAAAAGTTGTGCAAGTAGCAATTAGAAAGTGAATAACTTGCCTTATTTCTTTTATTCAGATTACCCTTGGCTACTTAGCTGAAATAAAGCTCAGTTGGAAATCGCTTGCAGACCATCACAGTAGCCTCTGGAATGCATTGTCTGCATAAACAGTGGGAAGAGAAGGCAAGGGTTTTCTTTGGTGCTTGCCTGCTTCCTCTTTCTGACAATCTGTTACCTTTTCCTGGACCCTGCCTAGTGGCTGTATTGGCCATTAAGCCCATACCTCCCTCCTTGGCCACAGGCTAATACCAGTGCAGGGAGAGGAAAACCCCTTCCAAAGAGTGGCATTTTAACATGTATTCAGCCTCAACAAACATTGAGCTGCTCTATAATGGAGAGGTACAATGTACCAGTCAGTGTTCCAGGTGCAATAGAAACAATAGTAAACTAAATAGACAAAAATCCCTAACTTTCTGGTGAGGGGAGACAGAAAATTAACAGAAAAGTAAAATACATAGTGTGCTAGGTAGTCATAAATGTTATGAAAGATAATAAAGAAGAGAAGGAGAGAGTGAATTCCTGGTGTGAAAAGTAGTTGCAAATTAATTATGGTGGAAGACATCCCTGAGTAGGTGGCACATAAACAAAAATCTGAAAGAGGGGAGGAAGTAGTACCCATCTCAAGAAAGGGCATCCAGGCAGAGGAACTGGCAAGAGCAAAATTCTGGAGGGATGAATGCCCTTAGTAGGGTCAAGAAAGAAGCAAAGTCAGCGTAAGCTGGAGACTAGGAGGAAATGAGATCCGAGAAGTAAAGGGCAGTGGATGGGCACACAGTGTAGTAGGCCTTTGGGCCATTGTAAGGATAGGCATTTACTGTAGGAAACTTTGGAGCATTTTGAGCATGAGAGTGAGTATGACCTGCCTTAGGCATAAAATATGACTTTGTGGAGGGCATTCTCCAGGGGTATGAAGGGAGAAACAAAGAGACCAATTAGGACTCTATTATAATAATTCAGGTAGGTGGTGAGATTGAAGTGCTAAGAAATGAAAAGATTCAGGATATATTTTTAAGGTGTAATGTAGGAGTACTTGCTGGTAGATTGCTTCTGGGATTTGGGAAAAGAGGAGAGTCAAGGATATTTCAAAAGATTTTGACTTAAGCAACTGGCATTGACATTTCCTGAGATGGAAAGGACTTAGGGGTAGAAGAGAATAGTGTGGTGGGGGAAAGAGAACAGTTTAGTTCTGACTTGTCAATTTTCATATGCCTCTTAGATATCCAAAAGAATATATTGAGTAGGCAATTTGATATACAATTGTAGAGCTCAGGGAAATGGCCTGGGTTGGGAATATGAATTTGGGAATTATAAGTGTATAGGTGAAATTTAAAACCCTGAGATGGAACAAAATCACCAACGAAGGGAATGTAGACAAAGAAGAGATGAGGTGCAAGGACTGAGTCCTGGAACACTTTACCATTTAGAAGCTGGGCAAAGGAACCAGCAAAAGAAGCTGAAAACAAATAATCAGGGGAGCAGGGGCAAGACGTGGAATATGTGGTGTCCTGGAAACCCAGGGAAAAGAGTGCTCAGAGAGGAGGGAGTGATCAAAAACCAGGAAACGAGCAATGGGGGTGGAGGGAGTGAGTCAAAAGAGTATTTCTAGACCCTAAGTTGGTTATCTTCTAGTGTAGTCCTTTCATTATGTTTAGAGTCAGCCTATGTTAGCTATGTGAGACACTGTTAACCTTTGCTTAATGTTGCTTCTTTCCTGACTGGTCAGCTTTAGGAACTTTCACCCTTCATCCTTCACCTTAGCCATTCTTACATGGCTGCATGTAAGAATTATTACATGGCTACATGCCCAGTGTGCACACACACATACAGAGAGTTATTTCTGGGAATCAGGGGTTGGGCTCACCTGTGCTTCTAAGCAAGCCCTTGGTCACCATAACGTGCCCTCTTCTGTCTTCCATAGGGATGTCTGTCACTGTTTCACCTAGACCCACAGATGAGCCTTTAATGTGTTAAAAGTCCTCAAGGTATTAAAGACAAAACTTAACACACAAGGAGGGAGATGTAATATTATCATGGTTAAGCATTTGATTTCATTTGATTATCTTTTAAAATTTATTTTTATTGTTTTTAGGTATAATTTTACTTTTTAATGAAAAATAATAATTGTACATATTCATGAGGCATATAGTGATGTTTTAATATATATAATGTATAGTGATGAGATCAGGGTAATTAACATATCTATCATCTCAAATTTTTATTATTTCTTTGTATTGGGAACATTCACTATCCTCCTTCCAGCTACTTGAAACTATGTTTTGTTGTTGACTGCTGTCATCCTACAGTGGCATAGAACACTAAACATTGTTACTTCTCCAAAACCATGCTAAGACTAAGCCAAATGTTTTGTTTTACTTCTTCCTCTTTTTTATCTTTTTGTAATACGACCAAATTTTGAGTAAATATCTTGAAAAGATTATGCTAAAGATATAAGTAATTTAATTCAGTTAAAGATAAATATGCCACAGGAGCCAATTTGGAAGAGTTCTTAACGGTCAAAAATAGAACAATTTGAACAAGAAATAAATAACAAAAGTAATAGATTGTAACCCGTAGGGTAAAATAAATATCTGTAAGTCCATACTAATAGAAATCAACAGTTGAATAAATAAAGCAATGCTGTTTTTTGTTATATAAGTAGCCTGAGAAACAAATATGTTTTTACCTTTTTCATGTAACATTTGTTTAGAAGATCTAACTATATTGATATATAGATTTGGCTCACCATTTCTAATGGATGCACAGTATTTTACCAGTTCAATTATTTCTTACCTTCGAGATAAGCACCTAGGTTTTCTTCAACTTCCCACTAGTATAAATCCTACTGTAAAAAAATCCTTGAACATGACTGTTATTATGGAACTATATGAGAATATTTCTCTGGAATATGTATACAAGAGGAGAAAATCTAGAACATAGAACAAATGCATATTTAATTTCACTAAGCACTACTGCATTAGTCTGTTTTCACACTGTTGCTAAAGACATACCTGAGACTGGGAAGAAAAAGAGGGTTAATGGACTTAAAGTTTCACATGGCTGGCAAGGCTTCAGAATCATGGGGGAAGGCAAGGAGGAGCAAGTCACAGCTTACATGGATGGTGGCAGGCAAAGAGAGAGAGAGCTTGTGCAGGGAAACTCCTGGGTTTTGTTTTGTTTTGTTTTTTTAAGGTGGAGTCTCACTTTGTCACCCAGGCTGGAGTGCATTGGCACAATCTTGGCTCACTGCAACCTCCATCTCTTGGGTTCAAGCGATATTCGTGCCTCTGAGTAGCTGAGATTACAGGCACCCACCACCACGCCTGGCTAATTTTTATGTTTTTAGTAGAGACAGAGTTTCACCACGTTGGCTAGGCTGGTCTCGAACTCCTGACTTCAGGTGATCCACCCGCCTCGGCCTCCCAAAGTGCAGTGATTACAGGCATAAGCCACTGCGCCCAGCTGGAAACTCCTGTTTTTAAAACCATTAGAACTCACGAGACTTATTTGCTATCACAAGAACAGCATGGGAAAGACCTGGCCCCATAATTCAGTTAGCTCCCACTGGGTCCCTCTCACAACACATGGGAATTCAAGATGAGATTTGGGTGGGGACACAGCAAAACCATTTCAACTTCCAAATTGCTTTTTAGAATAGGTATACCAGGTTATACTTTCACATGCAGCACACGAGCTTCCCACCTCTTCGCATTTTTTGCCAATACTAAATGCCATCTCCCCATCCAGTTTTTGCAATTACGAGGTGGGTATTGTATTATTTTCCATTGCTGCTATAACAAATTACCAGATAATTAGTGAGTTAAAATAAGTCAGATTTATTATCTTACTATTCTGGATGTCAGAAGTCCAAATCAGTCTGAATGGGCTAAGATGGAGGCGTCCACAGGGCTCCATTACTCCATGGAGGCTCTAGGGGTATATCTGTGTCTGTGCCTCTTCCAGTTTCTGCAGGCTGCCTGTATTCCTGGGGTCATGGGCCCTCCGTCCATTTTTAAAGCCAGCAACATATCACTTACAAATCTTCCTTTCACTCTAATCTTCCAGCTTCCCCTTATAAAGACCTTTGTAATTACACTGGGCTCGCTCAGATGATTTAGCATAACAGGATAATTGCTCCACCTGAAGATTCTTAATCACATTTGCAGAGTCCCTTTGCCAAGTAAGGTAGCATATTCACAGATTCCAAGGATTAACATGTATACATCTGAGGGGCTGTTATTCTGCCTACCATTATTCAGACAGGGGGGGATTATTCTGCCTACCACAGGTGTTACTTTTGAGAGAATCATAAAAAATATAAGGGTTATATTACATGTCAAATCTCAATGAGTTTTTTCCTTCACTCATACACTGCCTTGTCACAAGACACTCATTTGCAATATAACATTGCAAGAGCATGGAGAGAAAAGATTTATATAAAGATACCAATTCTTCAAACAATCGACAGACAGATAATGAAGCAGAAATGAACATACCTTCACAAAGCTTTGAAGATACAAATTTAACTGAGAAAACCCTTATTTGTTGAGTATTCATATTCAGTGTCATGAAACAGACTTATAAAATGTGCAAGTATTACACAAATAAAATTGTAAATTGGCTATGTTTCCTCTTTGAAAATGAAATTATTCCCCTGAATTTGTATGCAGAACTTTATATTATTCCCTATGTTAAGGGTGCAGGTCAGAATCGGAGAAAGAAAATAGCCTAGAACATCAGTTTTCCGTTTTTTTTCTTGTGAGCAGTGGAAGCCTTCTTCAAACAAACTCAAAAATTAGTCATCGAAGTGTAACAAGCTTAAAAACCAAGCTCTCTGGTTGAAATAAAAGGTAGAGACCCAAACAACCTCATTTCTCTTTGCAGATGCCCTGGTGACACCTCTGGAGCATCTTAGGCTTTGAGCATTACTCATTGACTAGTTATGCTGAGCTGGTATATAGGGCAAACTCCCAAAACCATGTGAAATATAGAAACTTTTATGTACGTCATGAAATTATTTGGGAAGAAGAAAGCTTATCAGGATTTGTCAGTGAGAGAGGAGCATCCTATTTACAACAGAGAATCTGGAAGAGATGCCATATAAAATATTAACCAAAATACAAAGGTCAATTTTCAAGTAAGGGGACATGTGCAACTAGCAACACCTTGATTACTGGCTTATTTGGGTATAGCAGGTGCATTTGGAGGGGAAGCTCCATGTTGCTGTTTTAGATAATATGTTGTCAGATGGAGCAATTAGAAATATTAAATACAAAGTTCTAATGAATGTGTATGTATGGTATAGCCAATTAGATTACCAGCAAATGGAGATACACGCTATCTCTGACATTTGAATCACTTTCCAGCCTCTTGTTGATAATGCTCTAAGCTGTCATCCCCTACTCTCTAAATCTTCCCTTCCATCTCATTGTTCCTATGGTTTACTCATCACCATTCAGTCCCAACAAACTCATGCCGAAATGCATGCTGTGCCATACACCACATCTCTATAACCTGTCCAGTGTCCCCCATCCAATATGAGTTCAAAATTATGTTTTATGGTCATTTCTCTCAAGGCTGTTTTTAATATCCACGAAGCCTCAACATTTGTATGGTCTTCTTAATTTAATCTCCTGGTTCTCAGTTGGTGAAAATGACAAGGATTTGGCAACATTTTCAATCCTTCCATTGAGTTGAAGAATTATTTTCTATTTTAAGCACTCAATTTAGAAACATTTCTTAGACAATTTAGCTTTAAAAAAAAAAACATTATTAACCCACACTCTCTTCTGTATTTGGTCATTGCCTCGTTTCTATCTGTAAAGGGGGTTCTGTGTCCAAAAAAAAAAAAAGGAAAAAAAACACACAGTTTTTCAAATGTTGAAATTTAATCAATAAGCCTTGATTGTGAGTCGATTTGGTTTCACTTACCTTTAATGCTATAAAGTGACTCAAATCTTTTGGCTATAGTGGAACAATCCACATAATTGGCTGCTGATATGGAAATTAGAAGGTGAATTAGCCAGGTATAGCCATACAAACTGGATTAGAGAATAAAATGATTGAAAGATTGGCTTGAGAACACAGCAATACAGCCAAAGTTATCATTCATATGCAACAGATTGGATCTGTAATCTGGAACTACAAGTTGGTGGTTTGGCTGCTAGAAGAAGCTCACAAGATGTAAGAATGCTCATTTAACCCTTCCTTTCACAACTCAGGAAGCTAGTATTTACAGTCTAGGCAAAAAAAATAAGAATATGATGAACAGATAGCCTGAACTCTGATTCCATGTGAACAACCCCAGCTGAACTGGAAGCTCTGCAGCCATATCTACCGAAAAGTTAAAAGCCATCCTCTTGAATGACATTAGGTAGACCTTTTAATATTTTATTTTATCCTAGAAATTAATAAAAATAAAATTCATATGTATTAGGGTCCCCAGAGAAACAGAACCAATTGTGTTTCTGTTTCACATGCATGTGCATGTGTATCCATCCATGCACATGCACAGATGGATGGATGGATAGATGATAGATAGATAGATAGATAGATAGATAGATAGATAGATAGATACATAGTTAATTTTAAGAAATTGACTCACTAGATAGATAGATACATAGTTAATTTTATGAAATTGACTCACTAGATAGATAGATAGATAGATAGATAGATAGATAGATAGATAGATAGATAGATGATAGATAGATTATTTTAAGAAATTGACTCACATAATTATGGGAGCTGGCAAGCTCAAATTTGCAGAGCATACTAGCAGGCTGGAGACCCACAGAAGAGTTGTTGTTGCAAACTGGGTCCAAAAGCAGTCTGAAGGCAGAATTCCTTCTTTCTAGGGGGCACTTCAGCCTTTTCTCTTAAGGCCTTCATTAGACTGGATGAGGCCCACCCACATTATAGCAGGTAAACAGCTTTACTCTGTCTACTAATCTAAATGTTAATTTCATCTTAAAAAATGTCTTCACAGCAACATCTAGACTGATGTTTAACTACACATCTGGGCACTGTAACCTAGACAAGTTGACACATAAAATTAACCAACACAGCATAGTAACCTTTATTCTAGTTTCTTTGTTTATTCATTCAAAAATATTTGCTGAGCCCCTACCCTGTGCTAGCTACTCCCTTAAACGTTCATGATGCAGACAGGAACAAGAGCGACTGGGTCCTTACTCTCATAGGGCTCACAGCCTAGCCAGGAATTTGAACAAGGAAAAACACAACAGGACATCGAATGAGGTTTTGCCTACTGTTTAGGAATTTTGGTTGATGCCAGAGAAAAATAGGAGATAATTATCCTGAGAGTCTAAAGAAAATTGCTTGGGTTTTACACATGTAAGTAAGCACATAATATATGGTATACGAAATCCTGTACTTCAAAGTCAACTAATAGACTCAAATGTCTCAGAATGGCCTAAATTTTTCAGAATGTTTATACAGCTTGGCTTTCAAGGAATAAAATTTTTATCAAGATATTTCTATCTAAATAAGTCAAATATTCAAACTAGCTATACATGTCTAGGTACAGCATTATCGGTTTAGCTAAGTTTCTGCCAACATTCCGGGAAGCCGAATAATGTTTTACAGGACATTGCTTGTCCTAAATAGACAATGGCCAAAATACAATCATTCCATTTGGATCTAATGTGTTTTTCTGTGGAGACATAGTGGGGCCCAAGAGCCTAAGTGGGATAATGATCTCATAAAAAAATGTCTAGGCAGCCATTCTGCGGGTATTCTCATTGAGTCCACTCTGTCTTCTATGTGGAATATGCCTCAGTGATGTACCAATCAGCTCTCCAAAAGGGAGGCAGATTTCTCAGGAATGAAAATTAATCCAAGTTATTAAGATACTTGAGGTTAAGGAAACCAGCTCTGAATTCAAACTGCTTAGGTATAAAATAAGACTTATGAGCTATGTGACCTCAGGCACGTGGTTTCACTCCTCTGTAATTCAGTTTGCTGATTCATAAATTAGAGACAGTATGGTGCCTATCTCATTGGTTTATTATGAGTATGCAAAATAATGTATGCTAAAATGCAGATGTATTATTGTCATCTGTTGTCCTTTAAAACATATTTAGTGGAGCAATAATTCCCTGGCTTATAACTCTTTTTCTGAAAGGACTCCATTTTTTAAAAATGGTTTGATCACTTTAAGTCCCAAACAGGTTTCAATTATGATATTAGGATATATAGTCCCAAATAAAGTTATCAAAACTGTGCTTGACCTGTGATCAAATCCTCTCCTCTGCCCCAAATAGGAGTGGCACCTCTCTCTTTCTTCCATCTAGGATTTCTCATCCCTCAACATGCTTGCTCTGCTTTCTGACCTTTTTGGGGTCCATCCTCAGAGGAGAGAGAGGTAGAAAAAATGGGAAGTCTTACATTGTGAGTGAAGTTGTCATCTACATCATTGGAGCTCACTGCCACTGGATACCAGATGTATAATTGCTGTCACTATCACCAGATCAGGTGTTTCTAGGTTGAAGGCCAAAGTAGACTTCTTGAAATGATGCAAACTATTTTTCTCCTATATGAATATATGTGTTTTTAGAGAGACCTGCATTCATAATTTTCACTCATTCCCAGAAAACAAAACAAAACAAAATACTGCTCTACATAGAAACAATGCCATTCTAGGAAAGCCAGTCTCACTGTCCCTCCTTGTCCCTGTGGTAAAGGGCAATTCAAGAGAAGGGGAGGATTTCAAGGGAGATACCGGTCTTCTTAATAATAAGGCACATAAGAAAAGTAAGGAGAGGCCGGGCGCGGTGGCTCACGCCTGTAGTCCCAGCACTTTGGGAGGCCGAGGCGGGCAGATGACGAGGTCAGGAGATCGAGACTATCCTGGCTAACACGGTGAAACCCCGCCTCTACTAAAAATACAAAAAATTGGCCGGGCGTGGTGGCGGGCACCTGTAGTCCCAGCCACTGGGAGGCTGAGGTAGGAGAATGGCGTGAACCCAGGAGGCGGAGCTTGCGGTGAGCTGAGATAGCGCCCTGCACTCCGGCCTGGGCAAAAGAGCGAGATTCCGTCTCAAAAAAAAAAAAAAAAAAAAGAAAAGAAAAGAAAAGTAAGGCGATGTGAATGCTTCCATAGCCTTAATTTGTGGAACGGATTATAGAGTTTACAAATATCTAACTCACAGAGTGCTAATAGAAGCAGAAATAATACAACTAATAAAATAGTTATGCATTGAGCACCTCCTTTGTAGCTGGTACTAAATGTTTCATGTGTGTGCTAAAGAAATCTAGCAAATAGTAGGTACTTCATAAGTAGTAATTCCTGGCTCTCCTTTTCTCTTTCATTCTCCCCTGCTTCTTCCTGCCATTCTAGGATCATTCATTTATCTGACTGACTGTACTCAGTTTCCTAAGGTCTTCCTTCCAGTTTTCTCCCAAAGATTTCTATAAGGTTGTTAAGCAAGAATTCATCAATGAGAAAACTCGTTACTTGCCCAAACATATTTGAAATCTCAAGCAAGAGTTGGATGTTAACGAGTAAAAGTAATTCATTTTAGATACCTCTACTTCTCAGGATTCCTTTTCTTTTTATTTACTTTTTTCCTGTAAGAAACAAACAAACAAACAAACTATTTTCACTAGCATTCCTATACACCAAGAAAAGTCAAGCTGAGAGCCAAATCAGGAATGTAATCCCATTTACAATTGCCACCCAAAGAATAAAATACCTAGGAATACAACTAACCAGGGAGGTGACAAATCTCTACAAGAAGAACTACAAAACATTGCTCAAAGAAATCAGAGATGATACAAAGAAACGGGAAAACATTCCATGCTCATGGATAGGAAGAATCAATATTGTCAAAATGGCCATACTGCCCAAAGCAATTTATAGATTCAATGCTATTCCTATTAAACTACCAAAGACATTCTTCAGAGAACTAGAAAAAACTATTGTAAAATTCATATGGAATTAAAAAAAGAGCAATCCTAAGAAAAAAGAATAAAGCTGAAGGCAACATGCTACCCAACACCAAACTATACCACAGGGCTACAGTAACCAAAACAGCATGGTACTTGATATGGTTTGGCTGTGTCCCCAGCCAAATCTCATCTTGAATAACTCCCACAATTCTCACATGTCATGGGAGGAACCCAGTGGGAAGTGATTTAATTATGGGGATGGGTCTTTCTTGTGCTGTTCTCATGGTAGTGAATGAGTCTCACACAATCTGATGGTTTTAAAAACGGGAGTTTCCCTGAACAAGTTCTCTTCTCTTGTCTGCCGCCATGTGAGATATGCCTTTCACCTTCTGCCATGATTGTGAGAACTCCCCAGCCAAATGGAACTGTGAGTCCAATAGACCTCTTTCTTTTGTAAATTGCCCAGTGTCAGGTATGTCTTTATCAGCAGCATGAAAATGGACTAATACAGTTCTGGTACAAAAACAGACACAGAGACCAATAGAACACAATAAAGAGATTTGAAATAAGGCCACACACCAACAACAAATTGATCTTCCACA